>NC_000005.10:145078659-145703659 GCF_000001405.40 Homo sapiens
TGGTGAATAAGAAGTGCAGCATTGTTGTGAGGGTCAACAAGAAGACACAAAACTCCCAAGAGGTTCTGATGACATGACTTAATCAAGCAGCTCTCTTTTGACTAAAATGGTGTCTTCAAGCAGCAAATGCTAACCATACTTCTCCACCAAAATTTATCAGAGTATTCATCCCATAGAATGTATATTTATAGAGTTGTAAAACTTTGGCATTCCACATTTTTTAACAGTTATGCTCATACCTAAATGGCACTAAAATACTGGCATATTTAACAGAAACATCTTAAGTACAAAATGTGTTCAGTCTTGACAGACTCACTGCTCATGACATTCTAGATTATTTTGGGAAATAGTCATCTTGGGTATCTGCATTTATGGTAGTCTTGCTTGTTAGAGATCACTAGTGACTAAAAACTTGTAGCAATGAAAGAATTTGAGAATGAAAGGAATATTAAGTGCCTAGTTGAGTGTAGTCATGGGTTATATATTTTACATAAACTCATATCTCACCTTACCCTCATAAAATTCCAATTGAAAGGCTGAAAAGGAATCATGTTGGAGGGATAGCTCTTATCTTCATGCTCTTCATTCACAGCAGAACTTCAATGATCCAGAATCTTTAGAGAATTCATGGAATTCTAGTTACTTTTTTTCTTTATAAATTACCCAGTCTTGGAAATGTCTTTATTAGCAGTGTGAGAACAGGCTAATATACTAAGTATCGTCCTCCATCTCTCCTGTGATAAGCCCTTCCATGTATTTAGCAATCAGTTAGATTTATGTCCTTGTCTATACTTCTTTTTGATTAAGATGGTTTACCAAACTGCATTCTACAAGCAGATCTCTGAGTTCAGTCTGGACCGATTAGTCCTATGTACCTTTCAGATTTGCCAGACATAAATTTAAAGCCAGAGAATGGAGTACTTTATCATCTTTATCAGATGAGAAAAAAATTAGGCCCATAGATTTATACAAAGAACAAAACTTTACAAACATAGCAGTGGCTCTCATGGATAAATGTGTTTGCTGCTATTGGGATATTCATGCTCTAGGGTAACTGCACTTGCTAGCAATAACTTAAGCATATCCTGAGAACTACCCTGTATGGCAAATGCATCTGAATGTGTGTTCCAAGCTAGGGAATACAGTAGTGGCCAACCTGCAGATTCGTTCCTTGCCTATGAAAAACATCTGAGTTTCTTGTCTGTCCTGTGGAACACCGACTGTACAGAGGATCAAGGTTCTAAGTTTTGGGTTCTGAAGATTGCCAGGTGGAGTTTGTTACGGGGAAGGTGCTAAGTAAAAATGACATATAAACTGCATGCCTTTTGCAAGCAATTATGGTTCTCCTGTCCAGCCTGTGGCCACTGGGCTGTCTCCTCTGTATGTAAGCTTCCAATAAAACCCTATGTCTTGTTTGCTGGCTGTGAATTTCTTCTTAGTCCTCTCAAATCTGGTGCCATCTCCATTGGAGTTGATAGGAATTTGGCACAACATTGGCTTATCAAAGGACTTCAGAGATCCTAATGCCTTCATGTGGGGATCTTTCATGGATATATTGCAGAAGAAAGAGAAGGCTGAAAGTGTGGGTCTTTGCCCCTATCCCTTCAACAAGTAGTAGGTAATCACAAGTGCTTCTGATCATGAGAATATGAGACCCATGAGAGCTGTGGAAAAATAGGTGTAAATGATGAAAATTTGAGGGCTTTCGAATCACTTTGGCTCACTGCTTGTCTTTTTAGCTTTGCCTATGAATAGAAAATGCATATGCTATAGTTGTGAGTTGGGGAAGGTACATGTTCTGGGTATCATACAGGTCACCAAATGGTACATAATAGAGAAGTATCTACAATGAACCAAGTACTCTGATAAGAATTTTTATATGAATTGACTTGTTCATTCCTCATATATAAGCTAGAAGGTGAGAATAATATAATAATCCCCAAAGGGAGATGAGGAAACTGACCCACAGGGAAAGTAAGTGAATTGTTTCAGCTACTAATGGAAAATGGTCTAAATTAGAAACCAGGTGACCCTGACTCCAGGGCCCACCCACTTGCTCTGCATTTTGCTTTTCTTTAATCTGGCTACCTTAGGAACTTGCCCCTCTCTTACACAGTAGTTTCTCACTTATGCAGAGATTTTTAAACTCTTGATTTAAAAGAATATATTTTTTTGAAAAGAAAGGAAGAGAGGGAAGGAAAATAATAGGTTGTGTGGCATAGGAACCCCATATAGTGCATTTGTAGAACAGTGCTCAGGATTGCTGCAGGTTGTGGGGGTGGGGGTACATGATTCTTATCTGATTCCTCCCTGATTAACCACTAAGGCACTCTGTGAAGTTCCCAAGAAACAATTTGAAACCAGTTAGTTAGGGTATTCTTGGCAACAAGACCCACATACAACAAACAAAAGCCCTGCCAGCTCAGGGAATAGTGCAGGTGAAACCAAGAGTTTACATTAAATATAAAGAAGATGCAATGCCTGTTTGTTTTTGTGCTTGCCCAGGATATTTTATACCTAAAAAGAACTCTTATCTGGAACAGGGGTCATCAAACTATGATCCAATGGCTACATCTGCTTTTGTATGGACCTCAAGCTAAGAAGGGATTTTACATTTTAAAAGTGTTTTGAAAATTATCAAAGAAGAACATGTGACAGAAACTGTATGTGAACCACAAAGCCAAAAATATTTACTATCTGGCTTTTTGTTTGGAAAAATGTTGCTGACCCATGCCCTAAAATGTTTGGTTATGACCTTTCTGCTTTATCACTGTCCAATTCAGCAGTGACTGGTCTATTACAATTCTGCCAGCAGAGCCTCTGCTGCCAAATTTGTTTGTTTAAGGAAAGCAACTCAACATGGTTATTAATGGGTTCCATCTATTGTCAGACCGAATTATGCTTCCAGAGGTGTGGAGGTGCTAGGCTTGGTCTCCTCTGGATAGGAGTATGGAAAGCACACAGAGATGGATCTTTTCTAAGGAAATGTCCTGTCACACTGTCCTGTCAAACACAACACCTGTAGAAAAACTGGAACTAGGGCCCATGAATTTATTATCTACATGTGCCAGAAATTTCATAAATAGCCTAAGCATAAAATACTGGAAAAGGCAGATGAGGTAGAGGTAAGACAAGATTGATTTTAAGAATAAGCTGAGTATGTTAGGTTTTCCAAGAAGCATACACTGAATCAGAATTGGGGGTGCAAGAGGTTGATTGTGGGGAGAGGGTATCCTAGTAAAAAGCAAGAAGAGGTAGGATTGAACAGGGAAAGAAGGAACAAGATTGAGCAGAGTTGCCTGAGATAACAAGCAGGTCTAAGACTGAATTGGCCCCAAAGAGAGCTCCCCGGGAAGTATGGCCCTTTGGAGAAGTCCCACTTTGAGCAGAATTGGACAGGCCCTGGTAACCCAATATACAATCATCGTCAGAGCCATCTGGGAAGAACAAGTTTTTCACTGAGCACATGTGGTGGATATTGAGGGTGTCATCAATCTTTTTTTTTTTTTCTCTGTCACCCAGGCTAGAGTACAATAGTGCGATCTTGGCTCACTGCAAACTCTACCTCCTGGGTTCAAGCAATTCTCCTGCCTCAGCCTCCTGAGTAGCTGTGATTACAGGTGCCCACCACCACACCCGGCTAATTTTTGTACTTTTAGTAGAAACGGGATTTCACCATGTTGACCAGGTTGGTCTCGAACTCCTGACCTCAAGTGATCCGCCCGCCTTGGCTTCCCAAAGTGTTGGGATTACAGGCATGAGACACTGTGCCCAGCCCAGGTGTCACCAGTCTTTTTAAGGGAGAGCATAGTGGTGCACTTCACAAATGCACATTGAGTAAACTAGCGGAGACCCTATGGAATAGGGGGTGGCAAGAAGTGCCATGAAAGCCTTACACGCAAATCTGTTTCTCTCCCTGATGTATCAAAGTTAGCTCTTCATTCTTTCAAGTATATGCTGCTTTTTCCCTGGTAGCCTCTTGTTTCCTAGGAAGAGGGACATATCAAGTTGTAATACCACAGAGTCAATGATTCGATCATATTTTTTTAGAAGGAAAAAAAGACTTGTGTTATGAGTACTGGAGACCTATTTATTTAGAATTAGAAGAAACCTAGAGAATGCTCAATTCAATATACTCCCACCCCTATATTACAGACATGAATTGACAAGATGGAAGAAGATAGAAGTGGTAAGCCAGAGAAATGGGAAAACAAAATCAAGGATTTTATAGTTTTACTGAGAACTGTAACTTTTATTCACTGCTCCACCCCAATCCAAGCTACTATCATTTCTCCCTGATTTCCTGCCATTTTCACAGCAGCCAGAATGATTCTGATATCTCAGTCAGATGATGGCATTCCTTGGCTCAAAAAGTTCTAATGGTTTCTGTGTAGCCAAGAGTACAAGTCAAAGTCCTTTGCAATGCCTGAAGAGCCTTATTCACTCCTGCCCCAATTATACCTTCTGCTATCTTCCCCCACCACTCACTGGGCTCCAGCTACACTGCATCTTTGATTTTTTTTTAACAAGTTACAGACCTTTGCACTAGCTATTCCCTCTCTTCAGAAGACTTATAGTATGTACATTTACTTATACTTTTTATTTTGAGATAACTATAGACTTACAGAAGAGCCACAAAAATAGTATACAGTTACCATATATCCTTCCCCTAGCTTCCCTTAATATTAATATCTTAGATAATCCTGGTACAATTATCAAAACTCAGACATTAATGTTGGTGTAATACTACAACTGAACTGCAGACTTTCTTTGGATTTCACCAGTTCATAAACTAAGACCCCCTGTCTTCCATTCCAGAAATCAATCCAGGTTCTCAAATTGTATTTAGTTGCCCTGTCTCCTTAGTCTCCTCCATTCTTGACAGTTCCTCCATCTTTCCCTGTCTTTCAAGACTCTGAAATTTTGAAAGTATTAGCCAGTTATTTTACAGTGTCCTCCAAGTTGCATATTAGGTATTCCATAGGTTGTACTTTTCACCACCTCACTTCCTTTGGTTCTTTGCTCAAGTATCTCAGTGAAGTCTTGTCTGATCATTTTATTTAAAATGTTACCCAGTTCGCTTGTACCCCAAAGGCTGTCTACCATAATCCCCTGCTTTATTTTTCTCTACTTACAAAGATCAAATGGTCCTTATTTCTTCATTATTTATTGTCAGCCTACCTCTTCAAGACTATTAACTCCATAAAGGCAGGGATTTTTGCCTAATTTCTAGAAAATTCTGTGATACATAGAAGATGCTCAATAAAGTTTTATTGAATGAATTCAATGAATGAACTGGATCTTTTGCTGTTCTCAGGAATCCAGAAAGCAAAAGGAGCTTACCTCAAGTTTTGAATGCTATATAACATAGAAAATTCAAAGACTGTTGGAACTATCCAGCTAAGAGACTAGATGAAGCTTCATGGGACACCTCACATATAGTTTTCTGTTTTCCTTGTTAAGCCAGTAGGAACAATTATTTAAAATATATTTCTTGCTAAGCTGTGCAGGTCCAAATTTATAAGCTTGGATTTTTCTACTTCTTTTTGAAAAAAAAAGATGAAATTATGGAAACAAAAACCTCTTAGCCTTTGTAACTACTGTACTTTGCTCAGTAAAATGGATTTCAGATGCAGAAACATTTCACCCTCAAATAGAGCCTTTCAAAATCATTTCCTGACATTTTTACTCATACAAGTGCAAATGCCTCCTGATTCATGGAGATTTGAGGCATGTTAAAAACCCAGGCTGTTCTCAACTATACTGGGTTTGCTATTCCATCAGCAAAGTATACAAGATTATTTTTTACTCTTCTCCTGTTTATCTTACTTTTAGTTTCAAATATATTATTAGAGTTTCCACTCAAAGTGATAAAAGGTGAAAAAAGGAGACAAAACTATAATCTGGTAATTTTATTGCATGTGACCATCACAGAAGACACTGACTAGTAGAGATTCTGGTGCTAGAAACCTTGGGAATTACTTTTAATTTCAGTATCCAGGGCCAAGAAGAAGGAATGAGGTACAGTGAAAAGTTAAATGGTGTTGATTTCTAACAATAGATATTCAGAAAATCATCTGACTTTCTTAAGCCTGGCTTCTTTACTTACAAAATGAAGTAACATCATATCTACTAACTAATGTGTTAAGCCCCTGCTAATATGTTTAGAGTCCCTGCTATGGCCAATCCCTGGAAATACATATATGGAAGACACAGGTCCTCTTCTCAAGGATTTCACAGATGAGGAATATAGATTTCCAGGAAAAACATTTACTATAGTATGATAATTTTTAAAATATCAGTTTATACAGAGAAAGTGTTGGTGACTAGTTAAAAGGTATCCAGATGATGACAGTACCTTGGAGTAGATGACGTCAGAGGGATTTATGAGGTTTATGGACAGTTCGGCAAGACAGCAGTCTTAGATGACATAGGCAGATGTGATACTAACTGAGATAAGGAGAAGTAGGTTGAGGTGATGCCAGCACAAAGATGATGAACTCAGTTGTGAAGGTATGAAGAATGGGGCATCTGTGAGACAGTCATGCTGAAATTTTTGTAGAAAATTAGATATACAAGTCTGACTTTCAGAAAAAAAAGATCCAGAAGAAAATATGAACTTGAGAAGCACCAAGACATAGATCAGTGATGTTTCTCAAGAGGCAACTATGGAACAAGAAGAGCACAGAGTTTAGGACTTAAGCTTGAACAACATCAAAATTTAAAGATTAGGTAGAGGCAGATGTGCCCAAAAAGGAGTTAGAAAACACTTACCCAAATGGAGGAGGAATATTATGAAACACTAGAGCTACAGAAGTCAAAAAGTAAGGTACCTTAAGGAAGAGGCTGTTATCATTAGACAGTGAAAAGTATCCACTAGATATAGCCAAATGATGGGCATTGGTGACCTTCAAGAGAGCTGTTCTCATGGTTTGGCTGGGCCGATCGGAGATCGAAGTAGACATAAAAGAGTGTGTTGAAACTGCTAGAAAATAGGGAATGAGGAAGAAAATAGAAACCTATTAAGATAATTATATAGAAGTCTCTGTCTGTATTACTATTACTGCATTAACCTACTCTCTCCCTCATCCTCTCTGCACATGTATGATTATATTTTATATACTACCTAAATATCTAATGTATCTATTACATATAAGGTATATATAAGGTGCATTAGAGAGATGATAGGTAGATAGATTGATTGATTCTTACTAATTAAACAATTTGGACACTGAAGTACAAATGTTAAAATTAAAACTTAAGCCAAATTAAATTAATCAGAACGTAACTGATCAAAGAACAATTAACAAATTAAGCACCATCCCCCGCTACACTATTCCAACCAGAATAGGTTCAGAATAACTCCATTGGTGCCACATAGAGAGGATTTATGGACAGAAAGAGAAAAGGATTCATGGACAGAAAGAGGAAAGTGAGGTACAGAAAACAAAATAGGTCAGCATTTGTCTTATTTGAACACAGTTTGCAGTTGGCTGCCTGTGAGTGGTTGAACTATGGCTGCTGTGATTGGCTGAGACTTAGCTACTTGTTATAAGTGTAGGTTACAGTCCGTTTACACATCCGATTAGACTATGATTCACTATGTACAGAGAAACCTTTAGGCTGAACCTAAAATATGGAAGGAGGCAGCTGTAGATTAAACTTAATTTAACATAAGTAAACTTAAAATGGCAGGCACTTCTATTGCTTTAAGATTTTTCTTTCTTTCATAAATGGATGCCTTTCTTCTACATCTTCATGCTGCACTTACTGAGCAGCATTTGAAAGGATTGGCACCAGTGTAAGGAAAGCTTCACAGGCTGAAGATAAATCACTTCTCTTATATCTCTTCTATTTCTCTTATACCTGCAAGTCCAAAACTACAAGTTCTCTTACACCCAATGTTGTGTTGCTTATGTGCTGCTTAGATTGGAGTTTGTTAAGGGAACTTGGACATACCATATCTAAGAAACCAAGCTTTGTATGACTTACCTATCTGGAGTAACTAGATCACATAGATATGTTTGGATTTCTAAGTGAAATGTTTATTTTCAGAATACATCTTCTTTCAAATTAACCTCAGCTATTATTAAATTAAAATTTGTCAGTTTTTAAAACTTCTCTCTGTGTATAGTTTTTGATTGCATTTTTATATCTTTTGCAATTTAAAATTTGTTGCATAATTTAAATAAAGTAACATGTAAAACCTAAAATATACAGTTAATTAGTTTTGGCAATTACAGTCCCATAACCAACACTAATATCAAAATTTCCTCCATCCCTCAATCTCTCTCTAAAGACAACCAAGTTTGTTTTCTTCTATTAGAGACTTTTTTTCAACTTTTATTTTAGAGTAGGGTGTACATGAGCAGTTTTGTAACAAAGGTATGTTGCATGATGCTGAGGTTTGTGGTACGAACGAATCTGTAACCCAGGTACTGAGTGTGGTACCCAATAAGCAGTTTTTTTCAACCCTTGCTCCCTTTCTTCCTCCTCTGTCTTAAATTCCCCAGTGTCTATTGTTCCCATTTTTATGATGATGAGTACCCAGTGTTTTAGCTCCCACTAACAAGTGAGAATATACAGTATTTGGTTTTCTATTTCTGCGTTAGTTCACTTAGGGTAATCGTTTCCAGCTGCAACCATGTTGCTGTGAGGGACATGATTTTGGTCTTTTTATGGCTGTGTAGTATTCCATTCTGTATATGTACAATATTTTCTTTATCCAATCCACTGTTGATGTGCACATTGGTTGATTCCATGTCTTTGACACATTGAACACTGCTTTGTTGAACATGTAAGTACATGCGTATTTTTGGTAGAACAATTTATTTTCCTTTGGGCATATACCCAGTAGTTGGATTGCTGGATCAAATGGTAGTTCAACTCTTAGTTCTTTGAGAAATCTCCAAACTGCTCTCCACAGCGGCTGAACTAATTTACATTCCTACCAACACTGTATGTGTTCCCTTTTCTATGTAGCCTCACCAATATCTGTTGTTTTTTTGAGTTTTTAACAAAAGTCATTCTGACAGGTGTGAGATGACATCACACTGTGATTTTGATTTGCATTTCTCTGATGATTAGTGATGATGAGCATTTTTTCATGTTTGTTTTTCTCTTGTACGTCTTCTTTTGAGAAGTGTCTGTTCATGTCCTTAGCCTACTTTTTAATGTTTGTTGTTGTTGTTGTTTACTTGTTGATTTAAGTTCCTTATAGATTCTGGATAATATATCTTTGTCAGATGCTTAGTTTGCAAATATATTCTCCTATTCTGTAGGTTGTCTATTTTCTCCCTTGATAGTTTCTTTTGCTGTGCAGAAGCTCTTCAGTTTAATTAGATGTTATTTGTCAATTTTTGTTTATGTTGCAGTTGCTTTAGAGGACTTAGCCATAACTTCTTTGCCAAGGGCAACGTCAAGAAGGGTATTTTCTAGGTTTTCTTCTAGGATGTTTATAATTTGAAGTCTTGCATTTAAGTCTTTAATCCATCTTAAGTTGATTTTTTGTACATTGTAAGAGGTAGGAGTCCAGTTTCATTATTCTGTATATGGATAGCCAGTTATTCCAGCATGATTTATTTAATAAGGAGTCTTTTCCCCATTGCCTATCTTTGTCATTGTTGTCAGAGATCTGCTGGTTTTACCTGTGTGGCTTTATTTCTGGGCTTTCTATTCTGTTTCATTGATTTATATGTCTGTTTTTGTACTAGTACTATGATGTTTTGATTATTGTAGCCCTGTATTATACTTTGAAGTTGGATAACGTGATGCCACCAGCTTTGTTCTTTTTGCTTAGAAATGCTTTGGCTACTTCGTCTCTTTTTGGTTCTATTAATTTTAGAAGATTTTTTTAATTACATGAAGAATGACATTAGTAATTTGATAGTAATAGCATCAAATATGTAGATTGCTTTGGGCAGCATGACCATTTTAATGATGTTCATTCTTCCAATCCATAAGCATGGGATGTTTTTCTATTTATTTGTTCCTTCTCTGATTTATTTTAACCCTATTTTGTAATTCTCTTTACAGAGATCTTTAACATCCTTTAACAGCTAGCCGTATTCCTAGGGGTGTGTGTGTGTGTGTGTGTGTGTGTGTGTGTGTCTACTGTAAATGAGATTACATTCTTAACTTGGCACTCAGCTTCAATATTTTTGATGTATAAATATGCTACTGTTCATATTCTTTGCCCACTTTTTGATGGGGTTGTTTTTTTCTTGTAAATTTGTTTAAGGTCCTTGTAGATTCTGCATATTAGCCCTTTTTTAGATGGATAGATTACAACAGACCCTTCTCAAAAGAAGACATTTATGTGGCCAAAAACATATGAATAAAAGCTCATCATCACTGGTCATTACAGAAATGCAAATCAAAACCACAATGAAATACCATCTCATGCCAGTTAGAATGATGATCATTAAAAAGTCAGGAAACAACAGAAGCTGGAGAGAATGTGGAGAAACAGGAACCCTTTTACACTGTTGGTGGGAGTGTAAATTAGTTTAACCATTGTGGAAGACAGTGTGGTGATTCCTCAAGGATCTAGAACCAGAAATACCATTTGACCCAGCAACCCCATTACTGGCTATACACAAAAAGGATTATAAATCATTTTACTATAAAGACACATGAACATGTACGTTTATTGCAGCACTATTCACAATAGCAAAGACTTGGAAGCAACCCAAATGCCCATCAATGATAGACTGGATAAAGAAAATGTGGCACATACACACCGTGGAATACTATGCAGCCATAAAAAAGAATGAGTTTATGTCCTTTGCAAGGACATGGATGAAGTTGGAAACCATCATTCTCATTAAACTAACACAGGAACAGAAAATCAAACACTGCATGTTCTCACTTATAAGTGGGAGTTGAACAATGAGAACACATGGGCACAAGGAAGAGAACATCACACACTGGGGCTTGTGGGGGTGTGGGGGGGCAGGGGGAGGGATAGCATTGGGAGAAATACTTAATGTAGATGACGGGTTGATGGGTACAGCAAACCACCATGACACATGTGTACCTATGTAACAAAATCAGCACGTTCTATACACGTATCCCAAAACTTAAAGTATAATTTAAAAATGCTACTCATTTTTACACATTGATTTTGTATCATGAAACTTTACTGTAGTAGTTTAGCAGCTCTAGAAGCCTTTTGATGGACTCCTCTGTGTTTTCTAGATATAGAATCATATCGTCAGTGAAGAGAGATAGTTTGACTTCTTTTCCTATGTGGATGCCTTTTATTTCCTTCTCTTGCCTGATTTCTCTGGCTAGCACTTCCTGTACTATGTTGAATAACAGTGGTGAGAGTGGGCATCCTTGTCTTGTTCCAATGCTCAAGGGGCATGTTTCCAGCTTTTGTTCATTCAGTATGATGTTGGCTGTGGGTTTTTCATAGATGGCTCATATAATTATGAGGTATGTTCCTTTGATATCTAGTTTATTGAGGATTTTTATCATACAAGGATGTTGGATTTTATTGAAAACTTTTTCTGGGTTTATTTGGATAATCATATGGTTTTTGTCTTAAATTCTGTATATATGGGGAATTACAATTGTTGATTTGCATATGTTGAACCAACTTTGAATCATAGGAATGTTGCCTATTTGATCATGGTATGCTGCTGGATTTGGTTTGCTAATATTTTGTTAAGAATTTTTGCATCTATGCTTATCGGTGATACTGGTCTAAAGTTTCCTTTTTATGTTGTGTGTCTTCCAGCTTTTGTTATCAGGATGATGCTGCCTTCACATAATGTTAGGAGGGAGTCTCTCCTCCTCTATTTTTTGGAATAGTGTCAGTAGGATTTATACTAGCTCTTCTGTGATTTTTTTTTAAGACAGACTCTTGCTGTGTCACACAGGGTGGAGTGCAATGGCACAATCAGGGCTCACTGTAGCCTTGACCTCCTGGATCCAAGCAATCTTCCTGCCTTAACCTCCTAAGTATCTGAGACTACAGGTACTTGTGCCACCATGCCCAACTGATTTTTAATTGTTTTTTATAGAGACACGGTTTCAATGTATTGCCAAGACTAGTCTTGAAGTACTGGGCTCAAGCAATCCTCCAGCCTTAACCTCCAAAAGGGTTGGCATGAGCCAGTATGCTTGGCCTACAGCTCTTCTTTGTATGTGTGGTAGAATTTGGCTGTGAGTCTGTCTGGTTTGGGGCTTTTTTTGGTTGGTTTGTGTTTTATTACTGATTCCATTTTGGAACTTGTTATTGATCTGTTAAGGTTTTTAATTTCTTCCTGATTCAATCTTGGGAATTTGTGTGTCTCCAGGAATTTTTCCATTTCTTCTAGATTTCCTGGTTTGTGTGCATAGAAGTGTGCAAAATAATCTCTGAAAATCTTTTGTATTTCTGTTGGATTGGCAAAGACAACTAAGCTTCTAATGTCTATCCCCATATATTAGTTTTGCTTGATTCAGAACCTCATACAAATATAAGGTAAATACGTTTTTTGTTTGATTAAAAGAGTCCTCAGCATCATGCTTGTGAGAATAGTGTGTCTCAGTAGTTGAATAAATTTTTATTTCATTAATATACCATAATTTGTTAAATCATTTCCTGCTTATGAACATTTACTTGGTTTTCAGTTTGTGACTTGGATCAACAAAGCTACTATGAACAATGTTTTTCCAATCTATATGTAATCATATGGTTTTATTTCTCTCAGGGGAATACCTATCAGTAAAATTGAAGGGTCATGGGCAAATACATATTTAAATTTAAAATAAACTAAAAGTTTTCCAAAGTATATGTGCCATTTTATACTTCTATAAATAAAGGTTCAGAGTTTCATTCCACACCCTTGCCAATATTTTGCTTTTTCATTTCTTTCAATTTTAGTTATTCATTTGGTTTTAATTTGTATTTCATTAAATATCTAATGATGTTGAACACATTTATTTGCTTATTTGTCATGTGTAATATGTCTTTATTAAAAATTTATTCAAAATTTTTCACCAAACTGTATTATTATTTGTATTTTTATTACTGAGTTGTTAAAATTTTTTATATAATTTGGATACAAGTTTATTTTCAGAAATCTGTACTGTGGATATTTTCTACCAGTATGTTGCTTGAGTGCTCATGGTTTGTAGTGTCTGATGTGTAGAAATTATGGAGACCAGAAAATAGTAAAAAACATTTTTAGACTGCTGACATAAAAGAACTATCAATATAGAATTCTATATATAACAAAAACATTCTACAGAAATAAAGGCAAAATTAAGATAGTTTCAGATGAAGAAAAATTACGAGAAGTTGTTGCCAACAGACTCGTTCTACAAGAAATGCTAAAGTAAGTTCTTCAGGCTAAAGGCAAAAATAAAGGGGGAAACTTGAGTTTTTGCAAATAAAGGAAGAAAGCCAGAAAAGTTAAATAATTGGGTAAATACAAAAGATTATTTTCCCCTGAAATACTTTAAAATACATATAATTGTTTAAAGCAAAAATTACAATGCTGTCATCTGGAATTTTCAACATATGTCAATGTAATAAATATGACAACTGAAGTGTAAAGTTCAGTGATAAGGGAAATTAAAAAAAAAGCTATGTGAATTGAAGATTTCTACATTTTATATTAAGTGTTATAATATTAACTAATGATATTAAATAGGTTATAATTAATTAGATATGTGTATAGTTATCCTTATAGCACTCATTAAAAAAATTAAAAATATAGAAAGACTAAAATCTAGTAGATACCACCAAACAACAGTACAGGGCACTTTCTTCTCAAGTGCACATGAAATATTCTATAGAATAGTCTGTGTGCTTGGCCATAAGACAAGCCTTAATAAATTAGAAAGAATTAAAATCTTATAAGGTGTTTTCTCTGACTGTAACAGAATTAAATTAGAAACCAATGAGAAAAGAAAACTTGGAAAATTCACAAATGTGTGCAAATTAAACAACACACTACTAAATAACCAGAGGGTTAATAAAGAAAACCAAAGAAAAATTAGAAAATATTTTGAAATGAAAGAAAACAAAAATACAATATACAAAACTTATGAAATGTAACAAAGCCAGTGTTTAAAGGAAAATTTATACCTATAAATGACTGTGTGTTTTAAAAAGAAAGTTCTCACATCAACACCCTAGACTTCCACCTTAAGAAACTAGAAAAAGAAGAGTAATCTACACCTAAAGCACAAATAAAAGATTGGAGTGAAAATTAATGAGAGAATGGAAACAATGGAAAACACAAAAGCAAAAGTTGGCTCATTGAAAAATATCAACAAAATTGCCAAACCATTAGCTACACTGACCAAGAACAACAGCCAAAAAAACATGAATAACTAAAATCAAAAATGAAAGAAGAGACTCTTCTCCCAAGCTAAGAAAAATATAAAGGATTTTAAAGGAAGACTGAGTAATTGTATGCCAACAAATTAGAAAATGTAGATGAAATGAACAAATTCCTACAAAAAAAGAAATGCCAAAATTGACTCAAAACGAAATAGGAAATTTAAATAAAATTATAACAAGTAAAGAAATTGAGTTACTAATCCAAAAATTCTCCACAAAGGAAAATTCAGATCCAGATGGCTTTACTGACAAAAGACTACCAAATGTTCAATGTAGACTTGGCCACAGGTGATAGCTCATGCCTATAATCCCAGCATTTTGGGAGGCCATGACAGGAGGATTGCTTGAGCTCATGAGTTTGAGACAAGATGGCGAAACCCTGTCTCTACAAAAGATACCAAAAGCCAGGCATAGTGTTGCATGCCTGTAGTCCCAGCTAGTCAGGAGGCTGAGATGGGAGGATGCCTTGAGCCTGGGAGGAGGAGGTTGCAGTGCATGGAAGTGGAGATGGCACCACTGCACTCTGGCCTGGGCAATAGAGCCAGGCTTTGTCTCAACAAATTAATAACTAATAAATAAATAAAGTAGACTTAACCCCAATCATTGGCAAACTCCTCCAAAAAATAGAAAAGATAACATTGACAACTCATTCTATGAGGCCAGCATTACCCTGATCCTCATACCAAAGACATCATAAGAAAAGAAAACAACCATGGAATACTATGCAGCCATAAAAAATGATGAGTTCATATCCTTTGTAGGGACATGGATGAAATTGGAAACCATCATTCTCAGTAAACTATCGCAAGAACAAAAAACCAAACACCACATATTCTCACTCATAGGTGGGAATTGAACAATGAGATCACATGGACACAGGAAGGGGAATATCACACTCTGGGGACTGTGGTGGGGTCGGGGGAGGGGGGAGGGATAGCATTGGGAGATATACCTAATGCTAGATGACACATTAGTGGGTGCAGCGCACCAGCATGGCACATGTATACATATGTAACTAACCCGCACAATGTGCACATGTACCCTAAAACTTAGAGTATAATAAAAAAAAAAAAAAAAAAGAAAAGAAAACAACAAAACAATATGCCTTGTGAAAAGACCATCCCCCAAAAAAAGTCATAAACATAATACTAGAAAACTGAACTGAACAACATATAAAAAGTATTATATAAAATGATCAAGTGATATTTACCTCAAAAATGCAAGGTTAGCTCAATGTATGAAAGTCAAACCATGTAATATACCATATTAATGGAATAAAGGACAAAAACCATATGATCATGTCAATATACACATAAAAAGCATTTGACAAATCAACACCTATTCCTGACAAAAGCACTCAACAAACTAGGAATAGAAGGAAACTTGCTCAACCTGATAACGACCATCTATTCTAAACCCATAGTTAACCACACTAAATGGTGAAAGACTGAATGCTTATGCCCACCAAGAACAAGACAAGGACGTCTGCTCTCACCATTTATAAAACATTCTACTGGAAATTCTAGCCAGGGCAATTAGGTAAGAAGAAAAAATAAAAGGCATACAGTTTTGAAAGAAAAAATAAAACTATCTCTGTGTAGATTATGTACAGATTACATAAGCTTGTACCTAGAAACTTCTAATGCATCAACATACATGCATACACACACACACACACACACACACACACACAACTATTAGAAGTAATAAACAAATTCAGGATTCCTCATCAATACAAAGAGATTAGTTATATTTCTATATATTAGCAATGAACAATAAAAAATGAATTTAATAAAATAATACTTTTTACAATAGTATCATAAACAATAAACTACTTAGGGTATATTTAACAAAAGAAGTATAATTCTTGTACATTAAAAACTAGAAAACAATGATGAAAGAAATTAAAGAAGATCTTACTAAGTGAAAAGACATTCCATGTTCATGGGTAGGAAGACAATATTGTTAAGATGTTAGTTACCAAAAAATGACCTACAGATTCAATACAATCCCTACAAAAAATTTAACAGCTTTTTATTTATTTATTTTTTTACTGTAGTGGGACAGCCTATTCTCAAATTCATATGAAACAGCAAAAAACCTTAAACAGCTAAAACATTCTTGAAAAAGAAGAACAAAGTAGGATTCACACTTCTATTTCAAAACTTATTACAAAGAAACAGTAACCAAGGCATGTTATTGGCATAAAAATAGACATATAGATCCACGGAACAGAATCAAGAGTTCAGAAATAAACCAACACATTCATGTTGGAATGTTGAAAATCAATTTTCAACATAGACGCCAAGACAATTCACTTAATACAAATTAAGTGGTTTTAAAAATCATTTATAGAACTGCCCATATTTTAAAGTTCTTCTTATACCAATATTGCAATTGTTTAGTTATATGATTTTGTGTGACAAAATTATATTGACAAATTTATCCTCATAAAGTTGTTTATTATATATCCTTGTTAAACATTTAATGGCTGGAGGATCTAAAGCTGTCCCTTCATTTATTACTGATATGGTTAATTTCTGCTTTCTTTATTTTTGCTTGATCGACTTAGATAGAGGTCTGACAATATTATTACTCTTTTTAGTGAATTAGTTTTAGGTTCTCATAATCTCTATTTTGTTGGTTTCCTTTTTCAATGGTTTTTGCTCTGATTCTTAAGCTTTTTTCTTCTATTAATTTGTGTTTAATTTTCTTATCTTTTTCAATATCCTTAAGATAAATGCTTAGATCATTAGTTTTATCAGTTTTTTCTAACAGTGATTTCTGCTTTAACATAAACCCACACATTTTGATACACTATGTTTTTATTTTAATTCATTATTTTTTATCTGATTCTTATCACTTTCCACACATTCAGAGAAGTACTGTGCTTTGTTCTTTACAGTTAAGGAAACCCAATTTAAGAGGGGTGGAAGGACTAGCCTAAGAACCAGTAACTATGAATTCACAGACCCAGGAGTTGAGCCCAGGCCTTTGCAGAACAAGCACCCTTCTACCAAGTAGAATAAGGCTTTTGGTGTTTTAGTCATGAAGTCAAGTTGCCTCTTGACTGTGCAGAACCATTTTAATCTCTGAATGAACAAGACATTTTGACATTTACTTACAGTAGTCATTAAAAGAAAGTGCATAGGCAGTGACCATCAAGGGCTCTGAACCATCTGTTCTGCTTGAATTTGAAACTAGGTGTCTCTCTAGAGAAAAATCAGAGAGAGGGCTGTCGCTTTTCTTGTTCTCATTCAGTTAGAGTATTTCACAAAATTCAAAAGAAGATAATACAGACAACACAACTGGTACAATCACACTAAGTAGCATTAACATCCTAAATCAGAAGCATAAAAAGGCAAAGAAGGTGCTTTTTAAAATTTTTTTTGTATTATGATATTTTAAGTTCTGGGATACATGTACAGAACGTGCAGGGTTGTTACACAGGTATATACGTGCCATAGTGGTTTGCTGCACCCGTCAACCCATCATCTACATTAAGTATTTCTCCTAATGCGATCCCACCTCTTTCCCCTACTCCCAACAGGCCCCAGTGTGTGATGTTCCCCTCCCTGTGTCCATGTGTTCTCATTGTTCAACTCCCACTTATGAGTGAGAAGATGCAGTGTTTGGTTTTCTGTTCCTGTGTTGGCTGCTGAGAATGATGGTTTCCAACTTCATCCATGTCCCTACAAAGGACATGAACTCATTCTTTTTTATGGCTGCACAGTATTCCATAGTGTATATGTGCCATATTTTCTTTACCCAGTCTATTATTGATGGGCATTTGGGTTGGCTCCAAGTCTCTGCTATTGTGAATAGTGCTGCAATAAACATACGTGTGCATGTGTCTTTATAGTAGAATGATTTATAATCATTTGGATATATACCCAGTAATGGAGTTGCTGGGTCAAATGGTATTTCTAGTTCTAGATCCTCGAGGAATCGCCACACTGTCTTCCACAATGGTTGAAAAAATTTACAATCCCACCAACAGTGTAAAAGCATTCCTCTTTCTCACATGCTCTCCAGCAACTGTTGTTTCCTGACTTTTTAATGATCGCTATTCTAACTGGCATGAGATGGTATCTCATTGTGATTTTGATTTGTATTTCTCTAATGACCAGTGATGATGAGCTTTTTTTCATATGTATGTTGGCTGCATAAATGTCTTCTTTTGAAAACTGTCTGTTCATATCCTTCACCCACTTTTTGATGGTTTTTTTTTTTTCTTGTAAATTTGTTTAAGTTCCTTGTAGATACTGGATATCAACCCTTTGTCAGACGGATAGATTGCAAAAATTTTTGGCTGGGTGCAGTGGCTCACACCTCTAATCCCAGAACTTTGGGAGGCCAAGGCAGGCAGATCACGGGGTTAGGAGATCGAGACTATCCTGGCTAACACGGTGAAACCCCGTTTCTACTAAAAAAAATACAAAAAATTAACCGGCGTGGTGGCAGGCCCCTGTAGTCCCAGCTACTCAGGAGGCTGAGGCAGGATAATGGAGTGCATCACTGCACCCAGTCTGGGCAACAGAGCAAGACTCCATCTCAAAAAAAAAAAAAAATTCTCCCATTCTGTAGGTTACCTTTTCACTCTGATTATAGTTTCTTTTGCTGTTCAGAAGTTCTTTAGTTTAATTAGATCCCATTTGTCAATTTTGGCTTTTGTTGCCATTGCTTTTGGTGTTTTAGTCATGAAGTCTTTGCCCATGCCTATGTCCTGAATGGTATTGCCTAGGTTTTCTTCTAGGATTTTTATGACTTTAGGACTTACATTTAAGTCTTTAATCCATCTTGAGTTAACTTTTGTATAAAGTGTAAGGAAGGGGTCCAGTTTTAGTTTTCTGCATATGGCTAGCCAGTTTTCCCAACACCATTTATTAAATAGGGAATCCAGCAGAACATCAAAAAGCTTATCCACCATGATCAAGTTGGCTTTATCACTGGGATGCAAGGCTCATTCAACATATGCAAATCAATAAATGCAATCCATCACATAAACAGAACCAATGACAAAAACCGCATGATTATCTCAATAGATGCAGAAAATTCCTTCGATAAAATTCAACACCGCTTCGTGCTAAAAACTCTCAATAAACTAGATATTGATGGAACGTATCTCAAAATAATTAGAGCTATTTATGACAAACCCACACTCAATATCATACTGAATGGGAAAAAGCTGGAAGCATTCCCTTTGAAAACTGGCACAAGACAAGAATGCCCTCTCTCACCACTCATATTCAACATAGTATGGGAAGTTCTAGTCAGGGCAATCAGCAAGAGAAAAAAATAAAGGGTATTCAAATAGGAAGAGAGGAAGTCAAATTGTCTCTGTTTGCAGATGTCATGATTTATTTAGAAAACCCCATTGTCTCAGCCCAAAATCTCCTTAAGCTGATAAACAACTTCAGCAAAGTCTCAGGATACATAATTAAAGTGTAAAAATCGCAAGCATTCCTATACACCAGTAACAAACAGAGTGCCAAATCATGAGTGAACTCCCGTTCACAATTCCTATGAACATAATAAAATACCTACGAATACAACTTACAAGGGATGTGAAGGACCTCTTCAAGGAGAACTACAAACCACTGCTCAAAGAAATAAGAGAGGACACAAACAAATGGAAAAACATTCCATGCCCATGGATAGGAAGAAGCAATGTCGTGAAAATGGCCATACTGTCCAAAGTAATTTATAGATTCAATGCCATCCCCATCAAGCTACCATTGACTTTCTTCACAGAATTAGAAATAACTACTTTAAATTTTGTATGGAACAAAAAAAGAGCCCATATAGCCAAGGCAATCCTAAGCAAAAAGAACAAAGCTGTAGGCATCACACTACCTGAGTTCAAACTATACTACAAGGCTCCAGTAATAAAAACAGCATGGTACTGCTACCAAAACAGATATATAGACCAATGGAACAGAACAGAGTCCTCAGAAATAACACTACACTTCTACAACCATCTGATCTTTGACAAACCTGACAAAAACAAGCAATGAGGGAAGGTGCTTTTTATAATACATGTACACAGATGAAAAATGACAAAGCCTTGTCAAAAATTTGTGATATGTGCCTTCCTCTACTGTACTCCCCCCAAAAATCAAATTAATATTGCTTTCTGAGTTCTGTGAGAGGACTTAACCGAATCTTTTGACTTCTAGATACTATTACAGTTGTTTTCCTAAGATATTTTCTAGGAAACAAGGATAAAAACTTTTGAGGTTTTGAAATCTTAGGCTAATAGAAAAATTGTTTCCCATAAGATATGGTGAAATTTTTCCAAAGCTACATGAATTCCTACAAATGAGATATTTTTCCTTATAAGTAGAGGAGGAATTTACCCAAAACAGTGATGTAAGTTGGGCTTTTGATCCCAAATAGTGTGTGCATGTGTGTCGCTTATTATTTTAAAATGTTAGAGATACAGACATAAGAATATGTCTTTCAAAATCGAGTTTTAAGAAGTTGAGAATATCTTTATAGAATCTTCCTGAAACTTGTGCTAACTAATTAGGTGGAGATTAAAAAAAGTATCTTGGAAAGAGCGGTGCCTACAGGAATAAATGAGATTTGAAGATTACTAGGCTATACCTTCACTTCACACCCAAATATCTGTCTGGCCACCCTCAAATTTCTTCAGCTGAAATTCTTCCTTGCCTCCTTTTCAGCCATGAATTCTGATTAGTTTGAAAGCAAAGTAAATACCAACAAAATGGAGGATAAGCAGAAATGGTTACAGTACATTATTTTAGCCTCAATAGCTAATAATAAATATTGAAGATTAATAATATATATTTATGCATATAAAATATTAACATATTAACAACATATTAATATGGATGATCCTCAATTTATAATGGCTCAACTTAAAAATTTTTGACTTTATGAAAGTGTGAAAGAAATATGCATTCTACAGAAGCCACATTTCAAATTTTGAATTTTGGTCTTTTTCCAGGCTAGGGATATGCAGAATATTACTCTCTCACAGTGCTAGGCAGAGGCAGGGAGACACAGCTCCTAATCAGCCACATGATCAGGAGGATAAGCAACCCCTACTCTTTAGTATTGTGTTACCAGATGGTTTTGCCCAACTGTAGGCTAAAGTAGGTATTCTGAGCACATTGAAGATAGGCTAGGCTAAGCTATGATGCTCTGTAAGCTGGATGTATTAAAAGCACTTTCCAACTATATTAACACACTATGAGTTTGTCAGGACATAACAACATCATAAATTTTGGAGCACCTGTACATCAAATGCTACTGTGCAGCATGCACACAAAAACAAGTTGTGTGTGTGTGTGTCTGTGTGTGTGTGTCTGTGTGGTGACAGTGTGGGTATTTTTTATTTTCAATCTTTTAATTATACTGTCTTTTAACTTTTTGACAAAGAAGTTACTTGATGTAAGTTTTCAATGTCAGCAGTTAAGTGATGAAATGAAGTTACATACAGCAGGTCTTCAAAATAACATCATTTTGTTTAACATTGTAACATTGATGAGAAAAAAATGGCTTGTTACATGTGATTTCACTTAAAGTGACTGTTTCCAAGAACCTATTGGTACTGATAAGTGAGGACTTACTGTGCAATTTTGTATTAGGGATCAAAGCTTGTTTTTAATTTTTAAAAATATGCTTAAGTCAGTAGAGGACTCAAGTCAGCATCAGCTCACAGCCAGGGGATGGTGGGAAAGGAAACGTTTGTTGAAGCCCACATTGAGTTGAATCAAAACTTCAGGAAATGAGGTGAGGATCTCTGCAAATCAGCCCTGTCTGTCTCAGCCTGGACTCAAAGGAAGGCTTAGGATTCCCTAAAGCTTCAGTCAGAAGTCAGGTCACCTAGAGACCCTTCATGTTCAAAGTAGAGGGGTTTGAAATCTGAGTCTCACTTCCGTCACACTGCTTCTAGCTTTGATAACAAAATAATGTGCTTTAAAGGCAACTCTCCCATGTGGGAGAGGGAGTCAAGCAAAATCTATTGAACACAGTCACCTAAACATCCTTCCACGTCACTGGAGCCTTCCACCAAATAGCATTCTCATTCCTTCACAGCTCGCCGTGGACTGCTTGCTAAGGAAGGATTTTCTTTTTTAACCTAAAGCCAACAGGAAACCTTTTATTTTTATTGCTTCAGGTACATTAAACAGTGACAAATTTTCTTGGTGTTGGCCTTAATTTTCTATGTTTGAAATATTTTGAAAATTTACTTGGAAAGAGAAAACTATGAGATACTCCAGGCCCTAAAAGAAGCAGGTTAATTTATATTCAACAAAATAATTCAGGTCATTTCAGTTTGACAAAACCTTCAGTTTGACAAAGGTTCTATAAGGGACAGTAGAACTATAAGACACTTGTCTCTAGAGGTTCTGACCCAACCTCTACCTCTAACCCAGAACTTCCATTTCTCTGGGGCCATGTGCTTGCAGATACGCCACCTACAGGCCTTTAGCCATTATGATTAGACACTGGTTTATGGAATCAGGAACAAGTGAAATAATTCCCAAAGACATAATGGTAATGCCACCAACACCGATTACCAACATTTTTCAATGAAGGAGAGAGGAATAGAGAGATGCCTAATGAACAGATACATGGCTGTCACTGAGAAAAAGAAGGTAACGTAGAATTAAAATTGCTTAGAGAAGAACGTAACTAACTGCATTTCACCCAGGTCCTTCCAGAGGCCCAATTTGCGTTAACTTTAAGCACTAACATACAACTTTTAATAATTTGTGTCCTAAGACTTTTCACCTAGGACAGCGAAAACAAGTTTAAACAAGGATTTACTAAAATAGGAGTCCATACACATGCAAACACACCTACACATGATGTTAAATTAAGGCATTATATAGCATATAGAAATGCAAGGAATGGGATTTTATGAGTTATATATTCAAAATAAATAATATATTTATAAATAAATAAGTTAAATGAGCAAAACAACATCACCATTACAGACAACTGATACTATTTTGGGACCTTCCTTCCAGACATCCCTCTCTTTTTTCATACATATCTATACAGATTTTATAGATTATATGTAGGTCACATATAAAACTTTATATGCAAATAGACACATTTATATGAAGAAAATGAAATGTTTTCTATAAGTGAATATGCATTCATTCTACATTTATAAAATTTGTATCACTTATTTTCTAGTGTCAGAGGTACAGTAACCCATAATTATGGATGGAATTTCTTCTTTCTCATCCTTCTGGAAGGACTCATGTGAGTACACTTTGAAATCTCTTAAAGAGTCTTTCTTAAAAAGGAAAATTGCCTGAGAGTCATTGAGGGAATGCTCCCTCAGAGGAATTAGTGAGTTATACCTTTATTAAGTGACAGTTAATGCAATCCAACAATTTCTGCTTTGAGAATTTAGAGGAAAGCTGGCCATTACTCAGGCGGATCCCCTGTGAAGAAAGAGGATACAGTTCCAGGGCTTCGTGGTGGGCTATGCAGGATGCCAGAGTGGCAGAAGACCGACACCATCTCTCACACTAGGTGCCAGTGACTCTCCTGGGAGACAGTGTACTGTGGTTTACTCCCCTCGCCCCACCAAGAGTGGAAGCCAAACTGATCCATTGCTTCTCCTCACACCTTCCATTTTCTTGAACTTCTCAGAGGGCTAGAAGTGCATCATGGAGGATATTCTGAATTTTCTGCAATTGAGGTATATGGGAACTTCAGTAATTAATCTGGTAAAATTAAAAAGATGTTATTCTATTTGCTCCCTAAGTTTGTAAGAACTATCTACTGGATAGGAACAGGAGGAGTCTCTATATAGAGATATAAATATAAAGATAGCTATAGATATTTCCAGGGTTGCTGTGCTGTTCAGCTTCACGGCATAGACTTCACATAGTGCAGGCAGCACACAGTGGCTCAGATGATTGCATAGAATGTATTATATTTGGTATTTGGCAACTTGTCATATAAGTGTATGTGAAAACACTTTTTTACATTTAAAGGCTACAGAGTGCTACATTGTATAAATGCACCACAATTTATATAATCAATCTTCTATTGGTGTACATTTTAATCTATGGTTTCTCTATTCCAATAATGCTGTAATGAGCATGTTTTACATATATCTTTCTATGTTTTCCACTTATTTACTTCAGATAAGTACCTAGAAACATAATTGATGGATAAAAGCCATGCCTGTTTGTAATTGATGTACATCTCTCATCTACTGCGTCTCAGCTACTGCATCAGTAGCTGATGCTCACACGAAAAATAAATATTAGATTGATTTTGTTGTTTGTTTTCTTCATTAATGTTATGGCCAAGATTTTCATGTCGCCTCCTTCAGGCCATTCCCCTATAAGAGTGTGTGTCTCCATGTGTGTGAATAGTGATGGGCAGGGGGAGGTCGGCTGTTGTTGCAGACACTAGCAACTTGTTCACCCCAGCCTTTTGCTGGGGTACCCAGCTAAATACCACATCGCCCATACTTCCCTGCAGTTAAGTTTTTTCATGGGACTGATATCTAAGCAATAGAAGGAGAAAGTGGTATCATTTTGAGACCTGGCCCATAAGAATCTCCCCTGAAATCTCCAGTCTCTTTTCTTTTCCTGTCTGCCTGCTGAGTACAGGGTAACATGGGATTTGGAGTGATTTCATAAAGCACAGCCTTTCTTCACCACCATCAATCCTGACCCTTTTGCCAACCTGCTTCAGTCTATAATTGTGTGTAAGCCACTGGAGGGTTTCTTTTTTTTTTACACAAAAGCTGCCACATGGTAAATATTACACATGTGGCAGTAATTCTTGCAGTTCTTATTGGGAAGGAGGATGTTAAGCGTGACAGCATGAGGAGGTGGGTGAGTGAGCTCTTGAGATTCCAAAGTGTGGCTTGTGGAGGGAGAATTGAGAAACTTGGTAGCGCCTATGAATAACATGGATTTTATATCATCTTGCCAAATTCTCTGTCAGTTAAGATTTCAAGTTTTGGACAGCTTTTGCCTTCTCTTAGAGCCATAATTTTTATTCTGCAAAAATTGGTAACAACAAGAATAACAACTTTCTTTTGTTGACCAAGTACTCTGTGCCAGGTATTGTGTGAGCATCTTTACATTTATTGTTTTACATAATTCTGGCAAGAAACCAGGAAAACAGATTTATTAACCCCAATTTATAAGTGACAACATGGAGGCTTATGATGCTCAGGTTTATGCAACTAGAAGGTGGTAGTGCTGGGATTTAAGTCATAGTCTACTTGAATAAAAATATCTGGACTTAAATCACAACCATATTACATACCTCAGAGGCTTGTGGTAAGAATTAAACAGAGGAAAATTCTCAGCTCCTCAACCCCCCTTCCCACACACACTCATGCTTATTGAAGCACTAGTTATCTTTTCTCATCCCTGCCTCTTAGCATAGATTTTAAGCCACCTCAAAGGGTATCTTTGTCAACAACTTTTTGCCTTAGTGATTGTACCTCAGTCATTAGATGTTCTAAATTGAATTTATGATTTTAGATACAACTGAAAGCCAAAATTTGTGAAATATTTTAGTAATCTTCTTACCCTCATACTTTTCTCTTAAAGTTTTCCAAAATTATATAGATTTCCAATGACTACACTAACAAGTAACTGCATTTATCACACTGACTCTGGAGATCAAAAGTTCTCTTGGTCAAAGATAATACCTTGAAGGTACATAAAGAAGTTTGTGCAATCTCATTTTTGGTACCATCCCCAAATAAAATCTGATTAAAAAAAAACATTGCTATCATTTTGGTACACAGAGAGAAACACGCACACACACACATGCACAGAAATATGCTTTACCTTGTAATAAAAAATACAATACCTTCTATCAGCAAGATTGTTTCTTTGCTTTGTTGTTGTTGTTGCTGTTTGGTTGGTTGGTTTGCTTTTTGCTTGTTTTTCTTTAAAGGGCTGAATTAAATCAACTTATTCTTTTGGTGGCCCATGGAATAAAAATCTTCACTGCTTAACATATTATATTTTACTAAAGCATTCTGGTTTCACAGCCAATGCCTAATTCCAACTCTGTAATAATAACAGCTGCTATTTGTACACCTTGTACTATGTGCCAGAAAATCAAGCAAGTGCTTCATATGACACAACAACCTATGAGAAAGATTCTATTGTCATCTTATCCTATCTTACCAAAGTGGAAATTAAGCTTATAGAAGTTAAATCACTCCCCAGTAGTGAGCCGTCAATGAGGGGAAGGGTCTGCCTGTCCCAACAGTCTGAGCATTTGACTTTTACATATATTACTCTCTTACCTTTCTACTTTTATGGCTGAGTCTACATAAAATAGATATTAAAACTAAGGGTGTATATGTATCGAGTGCTTATTGTGTGCTGTGCACTATTCTACATCATTTACATCATAATTCCCTTTACTCTTACCTATGAATTATGTATATCATTTGTCCGCATTTTATAGATGAGAATTCTGGGACCCAGGGAAGTGGAGTAACTTGTCCAAGACTACACAAGTGAAATAGTAATAGATTCAAGATTTGTGCTAAGTCAGTCTAACTGCAAAGCCGATGCATTTAGTCACATAGTGTACCACCCAGAGTAAAAATGTGTGGAGACTCCTCTGCGCCTCCTGCTTGGAACTACTTAACATACACACTGTCTTGTGTTTTTCCATCCCCAAAGAACAGATACTGCTTCAACACATTCTATGGTTTTTGTTTGTTTGTTTGTTTTACTAATACAAAAAGGTTTTTCTTCTTTCAGCATCCACACACAAAGAGAGCAAACATCATTTATTTATCTCAAAGAAATCTGGAAATCCCAGGCCTGACTAGCCTCCAAATGCCCCTCAAGTGGAAATTTTGAAAGCAAGAACATGTTGCTATTTTTGACTGCCTCTCCATTCCCAGAGTGCTCTGCTTTTCACTCTCAACTGCTCTTGCTCTCAGCGTCTACCAACCCCATGGCTTTTGTAGACTACTTATTCATCATAATGCACAATTGCATTCCCTCTTGTCTTATTTAGCACAAGTATACACTCTCCAGTCCTTCCTCCACCTCTTTGTCCATTTAGTTTTCATATCACCTACTGGTTTGCTGGCTCCATAATATATTTCTAATGAGGGAGAACACATTCAGAAAGGGCCAAGAAGACTAATAAGAGCTCATTCAAAAACCATAGCTGTCTGCTGCCACTTGAGATTTCCCTGGGATTTATGCCCTTAGAATCCCACTGCCCTATACTCCCTGTCATCTTGCTTAAATTCTCCCAACAGCCTTCCCTTTACCTATCACAAGGATCACTAAAAGAATTATGTAGCTGGGCACAGTGGCTCACACCTGTAATCCCAGCACTTTGGGAGGCCGAGGTGGGTGGATCACCTGAGGTCAGGAGCTCAAGATCACCTTGGCCAACATGGCGAAACCATGTCTCTACTAAACTTACCAGAAAAAAAAAAAAAAAAAAAAACCTAGCTGGGCGTGATGGCCTGTGCCTGTAATCCCAGCTACTTGGGAGGCTGAGGCAAGAGAATTGCTTGAACCCAGGAGGCAGAGGTTGCAGTGAACCGAGATCGCACCACTGCACTCCAGCTTGGGCAAAAAGAGCGAAACTCCATCTCAAAAAAAATTGTTTAAATGGATAATTGAAGGATTAGAATGTTTTTATCTCAATATTAATAAGGGTCTTAGGAGTCAGTGGCAGGAATGGTGGATTCAGAATTAGAACTTCTCAGTTCTATGGTCATTCCCTAGGTATAAGATTCAGCTCCCCATCCCCTGCCCCTGTAAATTGGAGATAAGTATGTCTGCTTACCTAAACATTCTTCAGAGGGTTTTTGCACAGTCACCTTCAGCTATGCATAATAGAGAATTATGGAATTTTTAAGGGCTCTACAAATAGAACCCCCTCTGCATGAGCTCTCCACTCCTTAGTAAGGACCAGGATTTGTGGGAACCACAGTCAATAGGTTGTACTACAGCTGACAACACAATCAACTGACAGAAACCATTACTGAGTAAACATTTACGGAGCATTTGTTATATCTCAGTCACTTTACTAGGTGCCAAAAAAACAAAAGATTTTCTATGATATAGAAAATCCATGAAAGCATGCTATGGAAACCTGTCCTTACTGGGCACCTCGATGGGTCCTAGGCACAAAACAGTGAAAGAGAGAGCCCCATGTGGTATAGCCTACTAGAGGACAAGCAAACAGAAAATTAAACATACTGAGGTGGAAAAAGTAGAGGATTCTATGGCAACACATCAAGGGACACTTGATTTAATCTAGTGGTATAGAATGTATCACCATAGACAGTGACACCTGAAGAAAGTTGTTTTAGTTTCCTATGGTTGCCATAACAAAGTCACACAAATAGGGTGGCTTAAAGCAACAGTATGCTGAGAGTTCAAGATGCCAGAAATCCAAAATCAATGTGTACACAGATTGTTTCTTCTGGAGCCTCTGAGGAAAGGCTGTTCCATGCCTTTTTCCCAGCTTCTGTGGGTTGTGGGCAGTCTTTGCTTGGGGTTGTTTGGCTTGCAGATACATCACTCTAGTCTCTGACTCCATCTTCATATGACCTTTTCCTCTGTGTCTCTCTATGTCCCTTTCTGTCCCCTATAAGGACAGTGTCATTGGATTTAATGCCCATCTTCATCCAATATAATCTCTATCTCTACTCTAATTACTTCTGCAGAGACCTTATTTCCAAATAAGTCCATATTCTGAGGTTCCAGATGGACATGAATTTCTGGGAGGCGTTATTCAACTCACTCCAAAGGAGAAGGAGCCATTTTAAAGAGTAATTGAGAACAGACTATGCAAAATCCTATAATGAAGAAAGATTATGATGCACTGAGAAATTTGATTTTTAAAGTCAGTATGGTTGAAGCAAGGAAGGCAAGGGGGAGTTGAAAGAGACAACAACGGACAGAAAGGAGAAACTTGTCAATTAAGCTGAGGAATTTGGACTTTCTTCTGAGAATAACAGGAGACAATGACATGTGATTCAAATAAAGGATTGACATGAGACTCTTTAAGCAAGACCCTCCTGGCCTTGAGCAGAGGACCAACTGTGAAGGGATTAGAGGACAAGAGTCCAGTTGGAGGCTGCTCTTGGTGTGGAGTGAGGGAAGGTGATGAATTGTGTCATAGGAGTGGCAGTAGAGGGAGAAAGAAGTAGCAGGCTTGGGAAAAAAAAAGATTGAATCAATAAGGACTTGCAGAGTTAAGACAAAGGCATAGAGTTATAGATTGCTATACAACTTATTTTTGACAATTGTTTTTCTTTAATAACTGGCTAGATTTCCCATTGACTACAATGATTTTCCTCAGAGATACAATTGTTTATTAGAAAAAAAGTGACACTATTGGGACAATTTATTTGAATATTCCTGTGTTAGAATTATTTCGCTTTTAGAAGTAATCGTAATTGAATTTAAAATAACGTAAAAAATAAATAAATAATGGGATGTGTCTACTCACATCCTGGGAAGTGAGGTATAGGCTTGGCTAGGTCTAATGATTCAAACACCATCATCAGAATTATTTTTCTTTCCTTCCTTTGACTCTACTTTTTCCCTTGCTGGTGGGAACAAAGGTTGCGGTAGCTCCAGCTCACATCAACTTTATACTCAAAATCTCCCAGAAAGGAGTCTCCCCCACTAACTTTGTTCAGTGTCTTGGAGAAAAATTGAATTGTTCCAGCTTGGATCCTCTTTCCACCCCCGAACCAGTCCCTGCCCTGCAGTGAAAGGAATACTCTATTAGGCCTGGATCGTGTGCCTAAATTTGAGTATGAGTAAGCTTCATCTGAGCCTCATGTACCAAGCAGATTACTATGAAATTGGTGAAAGAATCTTCCTCAAATGAAAGGCTGTGAAATGCATAAAAATAAAACTAACAGACATTTAACTAACGGACATACACTGCAATGGTGTCAAGCAATCATTTTCAGACAAGGTAAAGACTATGAATTCATAATTTATTACACCAGTTTATGCTATTTCCTAATTCATCCATCCATCCATTCTTCTATTCATCCATTCACAACTTGTTTATGAAGCACTAGGCATTTAAACGGGGCCAAGGAAATCAACACTGAAAAACATTTTTGTCTTCAACTTGCTTACGATCAAAGAGGGAAAACAGATGCTTCATAACTTCTAGGCAAGCTTGAATAAAATACCAAATAATGGTATAAATAACAAACTTTCATAATATGAAATATGGGATAAATATTCCATTTGGAAGCTCAAGAGCAATGTTGTGGGGGAAATGACATTTCAATGGGGAATTAAAGAACAAATAAAGATTTCAATAACTACAAGACTGTTCCAAACTGACGGAACACTAGGAACAAAAGTCTAGGATGTGTTAACTTGCTTAGTAGTTGAAGAAAATGATGAGAGACTTGTATGGCCAAACGCGGAATGTCTAGAGGATTAGAGAAAGGAATATGACCAGAAAGGTAGTTGCTTGGAGAAAAACTATGGAGGATCATGAAATCCAGAGCACAGAAGGTCAACTATTTTTTATAGATATTTTGGAGCCTGTTTGCTGGTAAGAAGTTGAATAATTTGTGAAATAATCTGTGTTTCAAAAGATAACTCAGAGAAAAACGGCTTGTACTCATGGATGCTGTGCTCCCCAAAGTCAGTTCAACTCTTTTCATCTTTCCATTTAGCTTTTATATTTCTGGAAATCTGGAAAGAAATTAAGTATTTTTAAATATTTAAAAACCACTTTCTCTGAAGAAAAGAGGTCCTCAGTAGTTGAGCACTTTAGTAGTAAAAATTCCAACTGCCACCTTTCCTAGAGAAGAAGCCAAACCTCTGCAATTTCATGGCCTACTTTGCTTCAATATACTCAAGACAGGAAGTTGCAGCAAGGTCATGAAATGTAGAGTCACAAACACATTCACATTCTTACCTAGTGCCATTTCCAGACCCTTTTAGCACTCTTGGAGCTTTTGTTCGATAGAAAATAAAACTGCATTTTAGCAGTTAGTTTGTGAATATATGTTTGTTCCATTTCCATCTCTGTTAAACATGCCCTCATTCCCACTTTCTTTGTCAAAAGAAGAGAAAAATGTAAGGAATTTTTGTTTGGGGGTATGGGGGAAGTAATCTTAAAAACAACTGCACTTTGAAAGAAAGTGAAAAAATGTTTATCTTCAGATTTTATTTTTTTTATTTTTGTGGCAAATGTTCAAAGACATCAGCATACAGTTGTGAGTTGATATACGCCATGCAGGAAAGAAAGTCATTGGAATCATAAACTCATGGAGAATGGCATTTCTCAATCTGCGCTGGTGATAACGCGTTTCATATAACCACACCACCCCTTCCCTGAAGACACAAACAGCCCCCACATGAGATGTGATCCTTTTGGCTGGCAAGTGGGATGTGAGTGAGAAGCCCTTTGAATATAAGGCATCAGTTCTCACTTTGGAAGGTCTGGCTTACACAGCCACCCCAGCCAATCCCACACATTCTCACGATCACCATAAGGAGAAATTCATGGAGTCTTGTGTTAAAATAAGAAGAAACTTTGTAGACCACCTATGTGTTTTGTTTTGTTTTGTTTTGTTTTCATGGAGAAAATGAAACAATTGAGAGATGTCATTTACTGTAGGTGAAGATTAATGACAAAACTACAAATGCTGAAGTAAATAGTCCCTTGTATATGATGGCACTTTATAATCTAGAAAGCATCTTCATTCCCAATCTCACCTCCAGTTCTCATAGCAAGTCCTTGAAATGTGGTTTATTCCCACTTTACAGAGAAGAAAACTGAAACTTAGAGGGGTTAAAGTAACTTCTCTAGAACAAAAGAGATGGCAAGAGTTGAGTTGAGACTGGAATTGTGATATTCTGAATATTAGGCTACAGCTCTTACCTTGATATTGCATTGCCTCTCAAAAAATTTCACCAAATTACCCCTTGTTTGGTATTTGTTGTTATAAGACATTCCAAAGGAGAATTTCATAAGATTTCCTTGAGTTCCTAGGAAATCAGCAGCACTGAGTACAAAACTGCATGGGAGTAAACATAGAATAGCTGTTAGCACTGTTTCTGTCACAGAAGAAGGATAATATAGCTGGGGTCACCAGACAAGCACACATTAAATAAACAGAGAACAATTCAAAGTGGGCCACAGCTAAGTGCTGAATGGTTATGGCAACATTTGATATAAAAAGTGATAGAAGGGAGTGATGATTAAGCCTAAAGAAATCAGGAAAGCTTCACAATGATTCTAACAGAAGGATAAAAATCTAGGACTTCTGTAGCACGTACACCTTAGCACAGGATCCCCGTACTACCAGCCTGTGACTTTGGTAAGTCATTTAAATCCTCCAAACCTCCATTTCTTCATCTGCAAAATGTGACAACTTCTATATCTGAGGGTTGTGGTAAGGACCGAATGGGATAAAATTTCGAGTCCTTAGCATAAGGCATGACACACAAATATTTCTATAAGGCCTTATTAAGCATGTGGAATTTAGACTGACCTGGCTGGAAGGGGAAGACACTAGGGGCAGCTTCCACTTGGCACATGTGCTAATGAAGTAGAGAACACAGCTGTGCATCTCTGTGCCTGGCTTTGGCATGCTGCTCGGCCAGCCAGTTTGCTTGAGCTGACTTTGGTAGTCTAGGGGACACTAACAGAGAGGTGTGAAAAGGTCTGGGCTGATTGTCACGCCAAAGGAAGGCATCAATATTTGTAAATGAGTGCTTTTAGAGCTTGGGAAATGCTCAAGCCTGGATTTACAAAGGAAAATAATGGAGCACTCTGAAACCAAACATCAATACTTCTGAGGAAGTGATGGCTAGAAACATGAGGTAATCTGGCTCCTATAAGAATGCCAAAAATTTTCCCAGAGACATGAACAAATCTCTAGGACAGATTCTTTGTTTTCCTGCAAGTGATCACTTAGAAAGCCTTCTTGATCATACTAGTGCAGTTCAAATATCTATTTGATATTAGTTAATTTTACCATGGATAGAGGTAATGGAATAGAAACACTACAGACAATAATGGTAAGTGCATGGATTAGTAACAGAAACATGTGTTTTATAGAGGAACAGTACAATTCTGGGGAAAAAAACAAAACAAAACTAAACAAAAAACTGAAGAGGTATGAAAAGAGGCTGGAGGGTTGTGTTAGACTACTGGGCTGCCATAACAAAAAATACCACCGAGTGGATGGCTTAAACAACAGAAATTTATTTTCCCGCAGTTCTTGGTGCTAGAAGTCTAATATCTAGATGTGAGGGTTGGTTTCCTCTGAAGTGTCTTTCCTTGGCTTGTAGATGGCTGTCTTCATGTTCACATGGCATTCTCCTTCCATGTCTGTCTGGGTCCAAAATCCTCTTCTTACAAGGACACCCATCATATTGGGTTATGGCGCACATTATTGACCTCATTTCAACATAGTTACATCTTTAAAGATCCTATATCCAAATATAGTCACATATTGAAGTACTAGGGATTGGGACTTCAATACAGGAATTTGGCAAAGATACAATTTAACTCATAGCAAGGACACTAACAAACACTGCATATTTCTACACAGGTCAAGAAACAAAAACTGGGGTTCCATTTATTGGTTGAAGAGAAAAAATGAGAGAACTAGAAGGCCTCATCAACAGGACACCAATCTAGAGCCACAGTGAGCACTGTGTGGAAGGAGTTTCCTGTGACAGAGGAAAGATGACTAGTTCAGGGGACACTCATGTCTAGTTTTGAGTCAAATTGCTCTCATCTCAATTAACATGACTTTATAATATCTTCAGTTTTCGAGCAAAGTTTACTATCCTGATACAACTTGGTTTCAGTCTCTTGTTAGCACTATCTTGAAAATAAAGGAAGGTGCTATGTCAACATTTTAAGCAAAACAAAGAGAAGAAATTTAAATGACAAGGAGAGGTAGAGATAAACATCCAAAAATGGTAGGGTGAGGAATTAGAAGTTACAATTCAGAGCAAGAATGACAAAAGTCAACCAGGACAGGCAAGCACTTTTTGGAAATATTTAGATATATTCTGAGAGGTTGGATTTTTTGTAGTCACGCAGAATGAGGTTGACTTCTTTCATTTTGTATGAGGTTTACCTGCTATTTAAAAGGTCCTAAGGGAGAAACCATGATTCCTCTAGAAATACATAAAAGAGGGTAGAGGATTTAAGACTGTAGAAGTTGACACATCAGTTAAATAGCTTTTTGTTGTTGTCTTTGCTTTCAACTTTGAACTTTTGCACAATGTTTCCAGCTTCCAAAAATGCTTTTATTTAAGCCAATACTTTCAGAAGATATTCATTTGGAATTGTTTTGGGTAGTATAAGCAGAGCTCTCCTCTAACTAGGAACAGAGTAGAACATGTGTTACCAAAGTCAGAAAGTCCCACCTTGAGCCACAGGGTAGATGAGTCTAAAAGTTTTTTACAGTAAGGATAGGAAGGCAAACTCAAACTGTGAGTAGGTAAGTCCTCTACTCAAAACTTCCATGACTGTTCAGTTCATTAGTATGATATTCAGTCTCCTCATCACAGCCTACAAACCCCCACCTGATCTGTCTCACCCACTGCTGCAACCTCATTCTGTGCCACCCTTTTCTTCACACTGCGCCTTATTCACTGGCCTTCCTTCTCCCCTTTCAACATGTCAAGCTTACTTCTGCCTTAGGGCCTTCATCGAGGGGTCCACCCTACCCTTCTTTCTCTTCCTTCAGATCTGTGCACAACTTCTCCTTCATGTCTTTCAAATCTCAACTCAAATATCATCTTCTTAGGTAAGTATTCTGTGATTAAAGAAGCCATCCTCCCATCTCATCCTTATTCATTATTATTTACTACTTTTCTCTCATGTATTGATTCATGAATTTTGTGTTTATTATCCATTGGAATAGATACTTCTTAAGGAGAAGCACATTATTTTCTTATTCTCTGCTATGTTCCCAGCAGGGAAACCTTCGTTCAATGAATGAATGAATGAATGAGTGAATATCACCTTCATCCGTGCTCAAGGACATAACATCCATACATGTACAAACCTTCTCATGCAAATTGGAGAACCAGATATTCAAATCATTCATCTTTAGCTAAAAGTTTAATCTCCTCCTTACTAATCTTTTTATTCATATTATGTCTCCTCCACCCCCCAAACACAGCTTTAAAGTAATTTACAAATCATAGAATCACTAGACTTGGAAGAGCAACTAAAGTTTATAGTGCAGTTATACTACTTGGTCTTTTATATGCCATTGCATTGTTTCCACCAAGAGGTTTTCTAGTGTCTATGAGAATACTTCTAGTAAAGGACAACACCCCCACCAAAAACTTGTCCGGTTTACAGCTGAAAACTTTCAGTGTTAGAGTTGGTGCAAATAGAAAAAATGAATTTCATTTTATTCTTTTCATTTATTTAGTTTCTCATTCAACACATATTTATTTACTTATTATGTAAGCATCTCCTGGCAAATGAATACTATATTGTAGTTACTACAATATAGCAGTGTGTAAGAAAAGCAGCCTCTTCCTTTATAGAGTGTTAAGGCAGCTGGGAAGATAGACACTGTGTACATAATTACAGGAAAAGCACTGGAAAAGGGGTAGAGAGTGCCAATAGAACTGATAACTGAGGGACATAGCCTGGACAGGAAGGGAGGAGCATGCATGAAGCCTAAAGGATAAGTATGGATTAGATAGCACAAGTAGGAGCACCAAGGAAGTGCTAGAAGAAGAAAGGGCAGTTCCAACCAAAGGAGAAATATGTCTGGAGTTTCCAAAACTAGAGGGAACGGAGTATGCTACCAAGGCTGTAGCATGAAATTACATAGAAGTGAAAGTGTTCACTTCCTCAATGACCCCACTACAGGAGAAGCAAAGACTAAAGGGCAAGGCAATGGGACTGGAAGAGGGGAAAGAATAGAATTATTCAGGAATATGTAAGCCATCTAAGACTCTGAACTCTTTGTTTAAAGTGATGTGAAGTTATTGAAGTGTTATACGACAGGGAAAGACATGAATTGGAGGGAAGCAAATGTGAACAGGGGAGGCCACTTATGAAGCTGTGGTAGTAGTCCAGGCAAGTGGTGCAAATGGCATATACTAGAGCAGTGGAGAGTTGAGATGAAGAGAAATAGATTTAAGAGATATTTGGGAGGTAGAACCTACTTGTTGATACTAGTTCCCTCTGCTGTGTTATGCAACATAAGTAGTTTCACATGTCCACCTGACCACACTTCAGCTTTTTTAAGACAAACCGTGTCATTCTTATCTGCTTTCCTAACTTGGACTTATGCAAGTAACAAAGTCATGGATATTTCAATGGTCATCTGTTGACTGTGGACTGACATCCTCTACCATTCTTGTTATTTTAGTCCAAATATACACTCTGTCAATATGTATTGGTGGTATATCTCGCAATGCCTCCAAGTATATGTATCAACCCTCAGGTGGTAAAAAGAGCAAAAGTACGATAGCTGGAAGAAGCAAATTCAGAAGACTATAAAAATAAAAGAAAGAATCATTTGGTTCTTCAAGAACTATTTGGTTATTTGAAATCTTCAAGAACCAATCATATTCCATTAGAGTTCAAGACTTGTTTTGGGAACCAGTGTACACTAAACTTCTCTGCATAAAAAGATATGACACAATGATTGACCGATAGATTCTGAGACTAAAAACAACTTTAGAAACAGTATTCAGTGAAGCAAAAATTATTCCTGTCCTAAAAGATGGGCCTATTTTTCTTGTGATCACAGAAGGGGGTGATTGCTGAGATCAGAAACGCAGCCAGGTCCATCAAAAATAACAGTCACAGGGACACATTTATTTTGAACCAGCATATTCTGTTGACATCTCCCCAGGAGAAAGTACAAGAAACTGGCATTAGCTTTAGATCTAAGCTGAGACAGCAGCATGAAATCATATGGACATTCGGATGTTATCTTCCCCAAAGAGTTTCATTTTATATAAATTGCAGGAAACCTGACACACATATTAAAATTTACTATGGTTGAGTGAAAGCTAGGAAAAAAAAAAAGGAAAAAATGTTGCTTCTAGTAATAACATCCATTATCACCTGATACATGTTTTTTCTCTTGGGGGCATTTCATGACATAGATTTTCACATTCAACCAAAAACGTTTTATTTTCAATGAAAATACAGCAGATGTATTCAACCACAGGGAAGATTTGGCTAAAGTAAGTGAACGCCCTGTTTCTCTCTCTCTCTCTCTCTCTCTCTCTCTCTCTCTCTCTCTCTCTCTGTTTCTCTCTGTCTCTCTCTCTCTCTCTGTGTGTGTGTGTGTGTGTGTCTTTTCTTAGTGTTCACTTTTATCATCATCAGTTTGGTGCAGTCACTCATCTAACAGCAACAGTTATAAAAGTGTCTACTTTGAGCAAGAGCCTTCAAACCCAATGTCTGTTCAATGAGAATATCTCAGAACACCTGAGGAAAAACCCTTCGAGCTCTACAAGCTCATTTGTCTGTCATAGCCAACAGTGTTTCCAAACACACTGCAAGAATGAAAAGCTTAAAAGTTGCTACTCTAGGTTGCTCTGCATGGTCATTTCTAACTTTGACCAAAGATTCCACGTGTAAATGTTAAAAACAGACTTGGGAGAATGTTTACTCATATATTACTGCAGAAAACATAAACTGGTACATCCTACTCAAAAAGTTATTAAAAGTTTTAAAAATGCCCCCAAGTCCATTTCCAATAAGATCACTCCTGGAAAGCTATCCTATGGAAATATCCAGAGACTAACATTATATATGTGAAGAGAAATGTGACCAGAAACCAAAATACCATCAGTAGAAGAATAATAATTTTAAAGATTTAATTATTATATTACCTCTTAATTGATGCATTGATATGCAACTCATAAAAAAGATATTTTCAAAGGCCAATCCTACAAGGCTTGGGCTTAAATGAAGAAGAGAAGACATGCAACTATGCACATTCATATCCATTTTATATTTTAAATTATATATGTGAGCATAACAACATATATAATAAAGTTGAAATCACAGTGTTGGGTACATGGTAGGAACCCAAAAAATTAATTATTGAACAAACGAATTACCTACAACAAAATGGGAGATGGGTTTGGGGTGGCTATAATTCTTCTTTATACTTCTCTGAATTTTCCTACTTGTTTACAATGAGAAGTTAATTCTTATAATAAGAAAGCCTCTGCAAGATGAGTAGGAAGAGAATCATTTGATATGAGAAGAGTATCATGAAAAAATTGAAATGACTTGCTCAAGTTTGTACAGTCCTAACAATCTAGCTAGGGCTGCAATGTAAACGTCTTCTATTCTGGGCAAGTATATTTCCCGTTAAGCAAAACAGAAGTTTCTCTGAATTTTTCTTTGAAGTCCAACCCTAAGCTCTCCCTTACCACCGTTAAATGAGAGAAGATCCAGTTGCCTGCAGGTACAACTCCTAGTAAGTCTCATCTCAGCCTTTCAGACTAAGGTCTTGATCATGGTTGGAAACTGAAACTTCAGCTCATGCCCTTTTGGTTTCCTGCTAGGGAGGACTCGGAGCAGAAGTGTGTCACAGGAGCAGCAAAAACACAGGCAGTGGGAAGAATAATTTCCCAGTGGAAGTATTTCCTAAAGAATAGCTGGTCTACTCCTTAGGGCATTATATTTTAATGTCTGCCAATGTTGTTTGACTTGAACTTGGTTTTAAAGACTGATTAAGAATATACTTTTAAAAATAATGACTGTTTCCATTTCAAAATCATTATTTGCCAACCACTATGCTTAATGCCTCAGCTGATTGATGTCATAGAATCCTTACAAAAACTTTCGGAGATAAATAGTATCATTATCCCCATTTTACAGATAATGAAAGAGACTTAAGGAGGTGAATAATTTATTCAAGTGATACACAGTTATTAAGTGGCAAATTGAAGATTCAGACCATGACCTGTCTGACTTCTACCCTGCTTCTTAATAATAACATCATTATATTTGCTCTCCCTCCTCTTTTCCTCTCTGACTCACCTTGCCTAACCCAGCACCTGGAAGAAAGAATAGTAGGTACCCACTAAATATTTGATGAATTAATGAATGAATGAAATACTATGTTATACAAAGATCTACAATTGCAGGATTGAGTCAATTCCCTATTTCTGGGCAACAAATTATTTATAAATTTAGTGGTTTAAAAGAACAATTATCTCACAAATGCTGTGGGTCAGAAATCCAAGCATGAATGTGCTAGGTCCTCTGGCCAGTGGTCTCTTTCATGTGGCTGCAATTAAGATGCTAGTTGGGGCTGTAGTTATATCAAGACTCAAATGAGATAAATCTACTTCTGAGCTGACTCACAATGTTGATGGCTGGATTCAGTTCCTCACTAGTTATGGCCTGAGGCTGGCTTCTGTTTCTTACCACATGGATATGTCTTCATAAGGCAGTTCACAATATGGCAGCTTTCGTTTATAAGAGTAAGGGAAAAAGAGAGAGAGAGAGAGAGGTATACAAGCCACCCTTTTTAGAATCTAATCTCAGAAGTGCTATTGTATCACTTTTGTCAAATTTTGTTCCTTAGAAGTAAATCACTAGGTCTGTCCCACACTAAGGGGGAAAGAATTATGTAATGTTCATTATGAGTGAAACAAACAATAAAGGCATTAAATTTTTTTGATCAAAGCAAGATTATTTCTCATTGGGGTGATCTGAGAAGACTTCATGGACTTGGAATTGAAACTGAAATTTTAAGAATGGCTTGCATTTGTGAGTTTGACTTTTTTAGATTCCACATATAAGTGAGATCGTGCAGTTCTTGTCTTTCTGTGTCTGGCTTATTTCGGTTAGCATAATGTCCTCCAGGTTCATCCATGTTGTCCCAGATGGCAGGATATTCTTCTTTTTTTAAGGCTGAATGATATTCCATTGTGTGTGTATGTATATATACACATATTTCCCACAGTTTATTCATTCATCTGTTGACAGACACTAGGGTTGTTTCCATATCTTGGCTATTGTGAATAATATTGTTATAAACATGGGGGGCACAAATATCTCTTTGAGATACTGACTTTTTTTTGGATATATACACAGAAGTGAGATTGCTGGATCATATGGTGGCTCTATTTTTAATTTTTGAGGAATCTCCATACTGTTTTCCATAAATGTCTATACCAATTTACATTCCCGCCAACAGCGTGTTCCTTTTTCTCATATCCTTGCCAATACTTGTTATTTTTTGTTGAACTTATAAAAGCAGAAAGTAGAATGGTAGTTGCCAGGGGCTGGGGGTGGGGAAATTAGGAACGTGTTGGTCAAAGAATACAAAGGTTCATTTATATGAGGTGAATAGGTTCTGGAGATCTAACATATAGCATTGTGACTATGGTTAGTAATACTAAATTGTATACTTGAAATTTGCTAAGAGAGTTTAAGTGTTCTCATCACACCCCAAAATATTATAATTATGTGACATGATTAATACAATAATTAGCTTGATTGTGGTAATTCATTTTATAATGCATATATATACCAAAATGCCAAATTGCAAACCTTAAATATGGGCAATTTTTATTTGTCAATTATACCTCAATAAAGCTGAGGAGAAAAAGAATGGCTTGTGCTTAGGCAGAGGAAGAACAAAAGGAGGACTTTCATGTGTAAGAGTCATGAAATACAGCACAGAGAAAAACAGAAAAAAATGACAATGAACGATACGATTTAATGTCAGTAATTGGCTCTAGCTGAATGTTTAACGAAGAAGAATGAATAGAGGTTATGTCTTCAGGAACTAGTCCAATGCCTTGATCATAGTAGATACATGATAAATATTTGTTGAATGAATAAACTCCCAGGCCTTCTTCTATATGCAGCTTGAAAACAGACACAAGATCATGAAACTAGCCTTTTCAATGTGTATTACCTCAATCATCTGTGTGACTTTTGTGAGCAGTCAGGGCTCCAGTGGCTTTCTGAAACACACAGTTCACAGTGGGACGGTGACTTTTGCAGGTCTCTCAGCTGCAGATGGGGAATGAAAGAGCAACCACAGGAGAACCTTCCAGCTTCAGGTTGCTTTTAGGGTTCTGGGAGAGGGATAGGGAGGATGGCAAGAAGTGGGGGTGCCAAGACAAAGGGCACCAGTGATGACAGAATGCAAGAAACTGCATGTTTTACCACAAAATCTGTTGTCTTGTGTGGTTGGCAGTATTCATAAAGTTCCAGTTGTATCTCACTGATTCCTTGCCTTAGCATGGACCTCACTGTATGTCGTTTCATGTATATCAATTACAAGTCCTAATTAAAATGCCTCTGGCTTTGTGGGATGAGATTTAAGACATGCTAATAATTTTCTGTTGTGACTATGATTAATGATGATGATGTTGTTGGCAAAGGGTTGAAGGTGGGCAATAGCGATGGTTGTTGGGAGCTGTCATCACTACTATTAGCTCACAAGTCTCTTCTTTGCCCAGAATGACAAAGTTGAAAGTTAAATGTGTGTGTTTTTATGTGTGCATATGCAAAAAAAAGTGCCTAGTTTTTTCATGGAATTTAGAAGTTTTTCTTCCTAAGCCAAAATACAAGTTTGGATTCACACACACATTTGCACACATGTACCTGTATGCACACACAGAAACACACACTTACATATTTACTCTTCCCGTGATGGGAGCTTGAAGTCTATTCAGTGACTATCATAACAAGAAGCATCTCAATTCTTGAAATCAATGAATTCTGTATTGTGCTAAGGGTCAATAATGATTGGGAAGTTAAAGGAAATGGTAGAATCTGAGGAGTTCTAGAATCAGTAATTGACATGGAATACTCTCCTAAGCTCTATTTCAGCCCCAGTATATACACAAGTAGAGACAGAACTAACCACTGATGTTAAATGCCTCCACAAAGAGACAGAACTTTAATTTTCAGAGCATATCTAAATTAATAGGCAAATCCTCCATGCATACAACTAATGAGCCCAAATGCATATTATTTTCACTTATCTGGGAATATTTTGCTTGTTTGCTTTGGTTTTTGTTTTTTGGTAGGAGACAGAAGGCAGCTACAAGGTCCAGAATGTTTCTGTCTTTTATTTAAGTTTTAAATCTTTGGCCCAATTCTAATGTCTTACTTTCATATTTTCTGTTTTTTTCCTTTCATCTAACCTGTAATAAAGCACTGCATTGTGTTAGCATGAAAAAAAAAAAGTGCAGCAGTATGGAGCTACATCCTCAAGATGGTACAAGTCTCTTGGGGAGACTTTAGTTTTTTGATGTACAATCCTATGTTCTAAGCAGGAGATTTTTATTAAGCAGGTATTAAAACACCTCCTTTTGCTTTAGGTTCCTTATCAGTGTGGTTACTGTGACAAGGCAAATAGAAGTTTATAAGTAAATGCTTCACCTTTTCATCTCTGCTTATACTAGTGCCTAAATCTAGAGAAATTTCTTTTATATAGCTCAAGGAAAATAGTGTTATATCTGATAAAGTTCAAGATGCAACTTTCACTTTATGTTTTGCTTTTTAATGAACCCAGTGTTCAAACTGCCTTCTTTTTCTTTCTTTCCCTTTACCTTGCAGACCTGTGGGAGTAGCAAGTGAGAAAACGCTGTATTCAGAATTTAGGAGGTTCACACACAATAATTTTACTCTGTCTGCTCCGGCCAAGAACATAAGACTCTAGGGATTTGGGTTGAAAAGCAAAAGTAATTCTAGTCAGGATTATATAACCAAGGACTGAATGATCATAACTGGCAATTTATGGAAGAAGGCCTTATTCGCAGCTTTCATTAATTTTTTAATAGCTTACTTACTATTTTCTGAATTCGCTTTTCTAAGTGTCCATAATCGACTTCTTTTCCTGTTTTTCTTTTTTTTTTTTTTTAAGTAAACCTGTAAGTGCTGAGGAATATATTGGTAGGAAACCTAGCCTATATTTTCTAAATGCTGTTATCTAGTGTTGAGAAGGTTATGCTGATCATCTACTGTGTGTAAAACACAATAATAGGTCATAGAAATCTGAAAATTTTAATAAGTATTTACAGAGCTTGTCACATGGCAATATTAAACATATATTTTTTGAGTAGATATTGAATTCTAAGCTACAGAAATGTCATTTAAACTGATATTTAAAGGCTGAAAGGGATCTAGCTGAGTAAGATACTTTATTTTTTTAAATATATATTTTTAAATTTTATAAAAGATAGGATCTTGCTGTGTCACCCAGGCTGGAGTGCAGTGGCACAATCATGGCTCACTACAGCCTCAACATCCTGGGGTCAAATGATTATCCCATTTCAGCATCCTGAGTAGCTGAGCTACAGGTACAAGCCACCAGTGTCTCACTACATTGCCCAGTCTAGTTTCAAACTCCTGGGTTTAAACGATTGCTCCTCCCTCAGCCTCCCAAAGTGCTGGGATTAGAGGTGTGAGCCACTGCTCCTGGCCTATAAGACACTTTAACATAGGGAGATATAAAAGCATCTTTCAGGACTCTCTTGACTGTCAGTTGCTCAGAGAAGACTTCCCTTGATTCCCTCAATCTAAATAAATTTTTCCTCTTTCATTTTACTTTCTTATTATTTATTATAATTTGTTTATTCATAGCCATCTCTGTGATTGCTTAGCATCTCCTCCGTTGCTAGAGTATAAATGCCACAAGGGCAAGTATTGTATCTGTTTTATTTATTTGTATAGCTTAGTACATAGTCTGGTAAATAATGGTGTTACATCAGTGTTCATAAATGAAAAGATTAAAGACTATAACACATTTATTGAGCACTTACTGTCTGCTAAGCACTTAAAAACATCTTATTTAATCATCTAAGAGTGCTCCAAAGTCGATAGTAATTTTATGTATGAGACAACCTAAACTCAGAAAGGTTAAGTAAACTTCCTAGACTCACAGCTAGTAAGTGCCAGAGTTAGGATTTAACCCCAAATCTAGTCTTTTCCTTATTATAATAGCTATACTGCATGATTCCTCTCTCCTTCTTGCCCTTCTTCCCTCTCTCTCTCCTTCCCTCCCTCCCTCACAATTTATAAATCTCTTCTCTCTGTTTCTCTCTCATTCCTTTTCTTTCTTTCAAAATACATTATACATGCAAAAGAGTTTATGTAACATATTTGCACAGGTTTAGAGAGCATTGATGAAACACACACCCATGATCCTGCCCTGCCCCCAAGTTAAGATTGATGGCTCTGAAATAACCATGTATTCCCCTTATCACAGTTACCTCTTTTATTGTAAATATTTGTGTCAATCATTTTCTTGTACTTTTTAATAGTCTCATTGCATATGTAAAAATCCTTAAACAATGTATTATTTGTTTCTGCCTATTTTTCAACATTATGTAAGAGAAATCAAAGTGTGTATGTTTTTATAGCACATATTTTGCTCACCATTGTTTTTGAGATTTACTCATGGTGTATGTTGTAACTATAATTTCTTTATTTTAGTTACTGCACAGTAAATTGCTCATAATATAACACATTTAATTATTAAATTATATTTTTGATGTATACGTGGCTTCATTCTAGATTTTTTCTATTATGGATTTAGTTTTCTGACGCAGTAGTCTTCCCTTATCCATGGGGAATACATTCCAAGAACCCAGTAGATGTCTGAAACTACAGATAGTACCTAACCTTATATATACTATGTTTTTTCTATATATACATACTTATGATAAAGTTTAGTTTATAAAGTAAGCACAGCAAGATATTAACAATTACAAATAATAAAACAGAACAATTATAATATTTTTATTGATTACTGTAGCTTTATTATTTTTTAGTTTTTTATTATTTTTTTTATTTCCATAGGTTATTGGGGAACAGGTGGTGTTTGGTTACATAAGTTCTTTAGTGGTGATTTGTGAAATTTTGGCGCACTCATTATCCGAGCAGTATACACTGTACCCAATTTGTATTCTTTTATCCCTCACCCCCTTCCCATCCTTTCCCCCTGAGCCCCCAAAGTCCATTGTGTCATTCTTATGCCTTTGCATCCTCATAGCTTAGCTCTCAATTAGCTTATGAGTGAGAACATACGATGTGTGGTTTTCCATTCCTAAGTTATTTCACTTAGAATAATAGTCTCCAATCTCATGCAGGTCACTGTGAATGCCATTAATTCATTCCTTTTCATGGCTGAGTAGTATTCCATTGTGTATATATATTGTTTCTCAACATCTTATTTTACAGTGCTGGAGGTAACCGAATCTGCAGAAAATGAAACTAAAAGGGGAGGACTACTGTAGTTTGTTTAGAACATTTGCCCATATGTTTTCAAGAGAGAAAAAAACTGTAATTTTTATTTCTCATACTATCCTCATCTCATTTTCAGTTTGTCATTTTCCAACTAATTTGAAAATATAAACAGTCTTGTAATGAATCTATTATTATTATCTGAAAAAAAATTCTGTAGGATTTGAGTTTTTTATTTCTTAAATGTTGATTGAACTTACTTGTCTGGGTATTTTCTTCACAGGGAGATTTTCAAGTATTAATTCTTTATTAATTGTAGGACAATTTAGGTTTTCTGTTTCTTCTTGTATCAGTTACTGGTCAGTTGTGTTTTTGAAACTTTCATCAGCATTTTAAAATTTATTCGCATAAAATTGTTTGGTATATATTTTTTAGTTTGTGCCATGCCTGTAGTTACACCATGTTAAATCCTTAGTATCTTCATTATTAATTTATTGCTTCTCAGTCCCAAATCACCCTTCTTTTGCCCTATTTTGGGATGCTGAAGCTAGACTCTACAAATCAAATTTCTTCTTTTCTAGCTGGCCCTGTTATGCTTTGACAATAAGGGTCTCTTCAAGGAGACTGCAAGACTGGAGGGAGAAGTTACCTGCTTCTTTCTGTTTGTTTTTCTTCAGTAGCAAGTTGTGGGGTTCATGGCTGATCCCAGCCCCAGGAATGACGGGTCAGATTGATGGGCAGCTGATTTCTTCATCAGTGTTCTTCAACGGGAGCACATTGTTCTTGTGGTTCTGGTGAGTGACTCCCAGCAACTTCTGTGGCAGCTGATGTGGCTGTGGAAAATCTCTGCCATATCCCAGAGGGCTAAATCTTATCTTTACAGAGCCTCTCTTTGAAGCTTCTGTTTTACCCTTGTTCATTTTTAAGGCAACACTAAGGGCAGCAGCTGCTCTCTGTAGTTACTCTCTCTGTTGTGTCTTGGAGTCTTTTGCCCTTCCAACGAGTTTACCACCCTTTTCTTGGGTAACAATTCTTTATATTAAATGTTCTCTCTTCAAATTGCTGGTATGGTTTCTGTCTCCTAATTAAACCCAGATTCATTTAATTCATTTGTTATCTTTTTTATTTTATAAAACGTGAAAATTTAAAGCAATGAAATTGCTTTCACTTGTATTTACCCATAAGTTTGATATATGGTAATTTATTTATAAGCTAAGTTATAAATATTTTTCAAGTTCCATCTTGATTTCCTCTTTGCTTCAGACATTGTTTTGAAGTGTTTTTCCCTAAATGTATCATTTTTGTTATTATTTTCTAATTATGCTGATATACATGTTCATAAAACATGGTCTGAATGACACTAATCTTGTAAAGTGAGGTGATACTTGCTGTTTGGGCTGTCTGTAAAGATTAATTCATCTATAATTGTAGGGTCATTTCAGTTATCTCCTGCTGAATAACAAAGTGTCCTAAAATGTAGTGGCTAAAAATAATAATTTATGTTTATGCTCACAATTTTACAGATTGACTTAGACCAAAGATTGGAGCCTCACATGCATTTTCAGTGAGATAGGGGCTGGTATTGAAGACTTCAGAAAGGGAAATCCAAGAAAGCATTTGCAATCATATTTCTGGATATAAGGAATAACTTATCTGGGAATAACTGAAACATCTTGGGATGTTTGCACATCTGTCTCTCCCCCAGTGTTCACCCCACTTAATGAACTTGAGCTTCCTCACACAATGGTGGTATTTAGGTAACTGGGCTTTTTACATGAAAGCTGGCTTACCCTAAAACATTCCTCTTAACTAAGGTGGAAGCTGCAAAACTTATAATCTAGCCTTGGAAGTCACACAGCATCCTGTCTTATTGGTTAGGCAGAGTTTTCTCATTGTCAGTGCAGGTAGGTTTACACAGGATGTGAGCACCAAGAGGTGAGGCTCATTGGAGGGTCGTCTTTGGAGATTACAAGGATTTTTTTTTGCATGAGAATTAGAAGATTAAATGTGATCTTCCAATTTACTATCTCCATAATGTTTTATTTTAGTCCATCTTGATTCTCCTCTTTGCCCTAGATACTACTTATAATTTTTATAAATATATTGTTTTTACTTTCTAACTATATTGACTTATGTTCAAAATGGTCTGAATGAGACCAGTTTTTTGAAAGTCTGGTGGTACTTGTTTGTTGGATTAAAAAAAAAATTGATCTCTTTTTCTCTCAGAAATGTATGCTGTATTTCTTCAAAGCTTTCCTCCAGATCACTATTTATATTTTCAGCAGAATCTAATCTGCTCTTGTAACCCTCCGGTTACTTTTAAAATTTTAATTATTATATTTCCCAGATATGGAACTCTATTTGGTTCTTTTTCCCATCTCCTGGGCTGCTTTATAGTCTTTTTTTCCTTATTTGTTCTGTCAATCCTTTCTGTTGCTTCTCGAAACATATAAAACATACTCATTTTATATTCTATATTTGATAATTTCATTAATGGAGACTTTGGTGGGATTCTGCTTTCTGTTGTTTTTTTTCTGGCTCTAACAGTGTCTTGTTTTCTTATATGATATAGAATTTTATGTTGTAAGATCATATTTTATGGAAAAGCCTTTGCAGGAATTTTTTGAAGCACAGGCTAAAGTTGGATTTCCGCAGAAAACATTGAATTTTATTCTTTTTGTTACCTCAAATTATTACCTACTTAAAATGATCTGCTTACAATTATTTAAGTTGCATACGATAACAGTAATTGGGACTTGAAGCCAAGTAAAGGCAACTGGTTGTTTATTAATTCTCAAGGGAAGTTTCATTTATCCACCAACCAGTGCCAGGACAATGACAAAGGTATGTTTGTCTTGTTCTACATAGAGTTTATTTATCATTCACCCGTACTTTGAAGGAATAGTCCTTTAGGTTCCAAGCTTGATATCTAGGTTGCCTAATATATTCTCACTAGTCGTTATTTCCATTCTCTTATGCCTGGCATAACATTAAAACCGAATCCTAAAGTCAATAATGTTCATCTTATACTCTTAAGGTGAAATTCGCCTTCAATATTAGCTTACCTCCTAGAATTCCCTTTCTTGGTGTGTGTGTGTGTGTGTGTGTGTGTGTGTGCAGATTGCAGATACTTTGTTTTCCTTCCATGTCAATGGTGGCGATTTTCACCAGAATTTTTAGCTATTTTCAGTTGTAAACTAAGGGAAAGAAAAAAAAGCAGAGGGAAAGAAAAAAATAGTCCTCTAGGTGTTTCATTTGTATTCCAAAAACTTACCAACATTGAATTCCTGACAATTCTTGCTTTCTGTAAATATGTGGAAAGAAAGGAGTAGCTGAGTAAGAGATACTTCAGTGCCACTACTTGCATTACACTTTTACGGTAGACATTACTTGGGGATGAGAGGTGTTGTACTGGAAGAGAAAAAGGAAAAAGTGCCCCAGCAATATGGAGGAAGCTGAGATGGTATATACTCACTTATTAAACTGAGTCAGATTGAGCAGTTACTTTCATTATATGTTTTTTGTGGGCTTCCTATAGTTTACAATTAGTGAAAATGACCTTCAGGCCTGTTTTGAAAAATAAATTATGGAAACCCCTTTGATTCCTCATTTTCTTGAAATGTCCTGTTTGCTAATGTTCTTTTCTAAACCAATAACCTAAAATGTGAAAATACCTGAAATGTAGCGATGAAATACATCAATGTTTTCAGTTTCATGTCTTTGAAATGGTACAAAAGCAGTGATGTCTTATAGATGAAAAACAGGTTTGGTTTGTAACCTGAAGAAAGTATAAGAAAGGAACTCTTTAAACATCCAGGATGGAGAACATAGATTCAGCATTACAATGAAATTATTAAAAAACTCCAGACTGATTTTACATTCCATTAAGGACAGAATCTTTTGAGAGAAGGAGGCAAAAGGAAGGAGAAATAAACCTAATGTCTGCTGCCGTTTCCTAACTAGGATCCAAGTGTAGCTTTTAAATTTATGAGATCAGAACATCAAAAGATAGCAGCTAAATATATTCAAGTACAGTGGAAATTTTGACATAAATTTAGTGACTTATTTTTCCCCCTCAAGAAATGAGTGCATGTGTTTTGCAAGCTATTTTTTAGGACTTGATTTACATAGAGACCCATTTATTTAGGAAAGAGTCAATAAACAGAATACCAGAGAAGAACATCAACTGAGTCAGATATATGGGTCTGCAATATCGTTGGGTACCTGCCCCTGTGCTGTTTTCAGAGTGTAAATAGAAGACCTCTCAAAGGGTCCCCCACTGAAGCAAGGCCAGGTGGAACATCAAATAGCACCATGAAGGGAGGCTGCCTTTCCATCCTCTGCAGTAAACTTTCTTAAAAGGTTTAACAGTCCGTGGGCTGTTTAACTCTTATCATGCCTGGGACAGAGGTTAGACTGTCCAACAGAGCCTAGAAAATGTTTAGATTGTAGACTTCAGTTGCAAAGCTCCTAAAATAGTTTCTCGTTTAGAAAACGGACGGATATGGGGCCAGGTGTGGTGGCTCATGCCTGTAATCCCAGCACTTTGGGAGGCTGAGGCAGACGGATCACCTGAGGTCAGGAGTTCAAGACCAGCCTGGCCAACATGGTGAACCCCATCTCTACTAAAAATACAAAAAAAAATTAGCCAGGCATGGTGGTGGGCGCCTGTAATCCCAGCTACTTGGGAAGCTGAGGCAGGAGAATCTCTTGAGCCCAGGAGGCGGAGGTTGCAGTGAGCCAAGATCATGCCATTGCACTCCAGCCTGGACAACAAGAGTGAAACTCTGTCTCAAAAAAAAAAAAAAAAAAAAAAAAAAAACGGAGATGGATACACCACAGTGAGTGGATGTCTTGTACAGAAAACACTATAGAGCAAAAAATGAAGATATAGAATTATATCTCAAAATAAAATGTTAAATGGAAACCACAACCAGAGAACAGTAAGTTGGAAACAGCTGATGCCATTTATATGAACAAAGTACAAAATAATTGTTTATCAGTATATCTCTATGTCATAAAAGTTCAAAAATACGCTTATGAGTGATTCACATCATCTTCAGGATATTGGTTACCTTTAGGGAGTGAAGGGGGAGAAGTGGGAGGTATATGGATTTTTCATATTTGTAAGGTTTTCTTATTTTTTAAAAAAAGAGTCCACTAAAACATATAGCAAATAGCAACATGTATTTTATGTCCATAGTAATTAACATGGATGTCTATAATATTCTTTTCTTTTCTATATGTTTAAGATTATTTATTATCAAAAGTAAAAAACATGGTCTTAAATGCAGCCTCTTTCAATAGAACATTTCTTATGTTGAAAATGCTGTATATCTTTTCTGTCAAACAAAATAGACACTAGTCATGTGTGACTACTGAGCACTTGCAATTTGGCTAATGCAACTAAGGGATTCAATTTTTAATTTTATTTAATTTTAATTAATTTTAATAGCTACATGTGAGTAATGTCTTTTATATTTGACAGTACATATCTAGTATGCAAAATTTGTCAGTCTTGATTAATTGTAATGCTAGTCCCTAAAATCGGACTCTGGCACTAGCAGGTATTCTATACACAGTTTCTTATTTAAGAAAATAATGAATCCTACTGCATACATTCGACTTTCCTCCTATGATTTGGTAGGCATATACGTGGAGCCAGATATTCACTAAGCCTAGAATTATTTTTAATATAGTATCCTTTAAAATCAATATTTTCTAGTCACCATCCTTCTTCTATCTATAAGAACAATTCCTAGTACGTATTTTAATTAACTATAATGTATATTGTGCAATAATTTAATTTCGACCTATGTCTATTATTGGGCTATGCTCAGCGTCTTAGTCTGTCAGTTTGCTAGGTATGGCTAATACTATATCAAATATTTCAATGATAAATTCTTAGATGTTTATAAAATTATTGTGCTTCCAAAATCTGAGCTTCAATAATTAATAATAATAATCTGAGGTACAATAATAAAATATAAATAAGTACATGTTTACCAGAGAGAAAGGCATATCCTAGACCAAAAAAGGATTGATCCAATGTGAAAGAAAACAAAAATAAGTTGGTAAGAAACAATGTAAAAAAAATCTTTAAAAAAAACACAAATATCAGAATTAAGTTTCATTTTCAACAAAGAAGCAAATAAAAAGTGGGAATAGAAAATATATTAAGAAAAAGATATTTTTCTCTTATTCCTCCATTTAACTTCCTCTCAAAATTATTAGGAAAGAGGGTAAGTTCTGCAATAGGTAAATGATACCCCAATAAAACTGATGTGAGAAAAGACACTGTGAGAGAACTTAATGTTAGAAGATTAAAGTCTAAAAAACCTAATGCAAGTGAAATATGGATGAAAATAAGTGCAAGAAAATGAACAGCAACGTCTCAGATGACAGAATTTCTTTTTGATTTTCCTCCTAAGAAGGAAAAATGGTAAAGAAAATAGAAAGCTGTCTGTCTCTGAAAACTAAGTCAGAAAATTGAAGAGACAGAAATAGCTAGGCAAGGGTCATTTAACTTCCACTTTAACTTTACATATGAAGGAAGCGGTGGAGGATTCAGAGGAAGATCCCTACTGATGAGAAAATGATTTGGGACCAGTGGACACATAGTGAAGCTTCAACTATGTCTAGATCAATAAGGATCTAGAAAAAGTGGCATTATTTATGGATTTATAGTAGCTTCTGGCCAGATTAGGTGACACCGAATGAGAAGGCAGAAGAATCAAGAGAAAGAATGTCAGCTGAATGGGAGTGATACCCTCTAATGTAAACAGGGATTGGGAAATAATTAAAAATAGATTTCATAAGGTCTTTCTGTTGTGCATGTCCAGCAGGATAAATAAAGGAATAAATAAATGCAAAATGTTTGATTTTATGTCGTCAAAGCCATTATCAATCAAAGGAGAAAACTTTCCCTGCAGTTGTAAGAAATTGTTTAGCTTCCCGGGAAAGCAGTCTCCAAATTTCCCTGGCTCTTTAAGTGACAGTGCTTCAAAACAGGATGTGGCAAAAAGAGCCCAATCAAATTGATTCTAAGCATTACATGCTTGGTGAAAGTTAGAGCAAAATAGCAGAGTTCATTAAAGGGCAAGTGTCACAAACATCTATTGACTAACTCAGTCCTTGAAACAGAATTCCAAATTGAGATATGGAATTGCTTGGACTAGATCGTTCCACATCTTATCTTAGAAAAGCCATTCAAGTATCCACCAGTGCAGATGTCATGAATTTCGTGTGGGCAAGGGCTCAGATGTAGAAAAGTACTTTTTTTTTAGTTATTCTTGGTTTACCAAGAGTGGGAAGAAGTGACTTGTAAAATGCCCACGTGCAACCTGGGCATGAGAATTGAAAATTTGTTATGTCTACCACTATTTACACCTTAAATGAAATGGAAATGAAGTGTATTTAAAAGGGGAGAAACCAAACTGATCTAAAGTTTGCTAAGTGTTATATTGAAAAACAAATGAATAAACACTGTTTTCACGATTTCACTGTTGGCTCTGTTAACAATAGCCAATAGATTTGGCTATTGTTATTATTCTTACGTATTATGTTTATTAAGCACCCAGAGTGTTTCCAAAATATTGTGAAAAAAGCTAAGCAAAAACCAAATAAGAAGAATAATGGTTGTTAATATTCATGACTTTCCACCATGTGCTGCTCGCTGTGCTAGAGCCTTACATAAATTATTTTATCTACTCTTTACCACCTTCTGAAGAAAAAATATTATTTACCCTCTTTATTCAGGAGGAAGAAACTAAGGTTTAAGATTGAGGAAACTGTTCAAGTAAAATGCTGGTATTTTTTTTATCTTAGCTCTAGTGAATTCCAAAGTGCATGACTTTTTCATTTACCCACAGTACTCCTTAAAGAATAAGAGTTAAAGAAAAATAAGACTATTTTTGCCCAGAATCCCACAGTCTAGTTGGTGCAGTTGGTGTGTGTGTGTGCATGTGTGTGTGTATGTGCGTATATATATATATATATATATATACACACACAATATAAACAATATAGCCCACATTATATGAGCATGTATACAAGTGCCATGGAAAATTAGAGGACACATAAAAACTAATGGCTCTTTAAAGCTAAAAGCAAATAATTAACATCTGAATTGAAAAATAAACAAGCTATGAACAACCAGTTTCAAAAGAAAGAAAAATGGACAATAGATATATGTAATAATGTTAGAGCCCACCTGTTAAAAAACAATTCATACTCAATGTTAATGACATTTTTTTCAGCGCTCACATTACTAAGCTCTAAAGCATGCTAACACTGAGAGTAATAAGCATTCATAACCTGCTTAGAGTGTAAATTGCAATAATGTGTGGGGATGATGGGGGCAACCTGTCTTTTGTTACATTTAGCAATACTATTCAAAATGCTTATACCCTTTTTCCAACTAATTTCACTTCTATTTACTTAAGTAAAAAAAAAACAAATATAAAGTTTTGAGTATAAGGATGTCTACTAAAGAATTTTTTTAAAAGCAAAAAATAGGAAACAACCCAAATGTCCCACTCAAAATTTAAAAGTTAATTAAATCTATGTTCAAATATAATGAAATACTCTATAGACATTAAAGTGATGTTCTTAAGAAATATTCAGGAAAATAAGGAGAAACACATTTTATTAAATAAAAAGCATTATATAAGATGGATGTATCTTCTGATTCCAATTTATATTCATATATATTTATATATTCATATATATATATATGTATGTAGTATAAATTCATCAATATAAACATTAAATGTCAGGAACTTCATGCAACAAAATGTTAACAGTGTTTAGGAAATAAGATTCTGTATAATTGTTTTGTTAATATTGTCTACTTTTATTCATCCTTTAGATCTTAACTATATATTTATTAAATTATCAATTCAACACTCATTAAATTACTTTTATTTAATTATTTAATAAGTAGTAAGTGAGAAAGGAATCAAGCATAATATAAAAGCTAAAGTATCCCAAGTAAGACTTCATGGAAAAGCCAATTTCATTTGGAGCACCAGGAATGCTGGCTAAGATACATAAAAGACCATGTAGAGAAAGGCGATATTTCAAGAGAACAGGAACAACAAAGACAATATTGTAATAAGTGTTTATGAGACTGAGAACAGATCAGCCCAGGAAGAAGATAGAAAGAGAGCACTGAATTTGAATAGTACTAAGATTATAATCAATGCAATCTCTCTAAATAACTACATAAGTGAACAAAAGACCTTAGGAAAGAAGAGTTCAAGAGTCATCACCAAGGTAACCTGTGCCCTTCTTTACCCATTCACTCATTGATTCATTCATTTAGAAAATATCTCAAGCACCTATTATGCTCCAAGCAGTGTTCTAGCTGCTAGAAAATATGAACAAATCAAACTGAGGACCCTACCTTTATGGAGCTTGCTGCCTAGAACAGAAATAATCTCACAAATTTTCTTCTACCATTTATTTCCTGAGTTCCACTCAAAACCCCAAAGATATACTGAAATCTTGTTCTGTTAAAGTTGTGATAAAATAATCAATTTCTTTGAAAATGGTCTATTAACTCAATGGAAGAGAACTTCAAGTTTCATCATGTAAAACAAATGACTAGGATCTGATGTTGCTGTCTGGTGTACTTTAACCTCATCTAACTAGTCCCCACTATATCTTCCTGTAGGACTCTTAGATACAACTTACTTCTCACTTGTCTCCCAAGCAAACCACACCCTTCCAGTGTGAACTGCCCTTTTCTGAACTCTACCTGTCACACACTACTCATCTTTCACAGCCATATCAAATGTACTTTCCTAGAACACTCACTCACACACAGTTCTTCACTCATCTTTACTCCTCAGGCTTATTACTTATAGAGCTTATACTTTACTTCCACCCGAGAGCTCTGCAAACCCCTGTATTCACAAGTATTACTGTATTATATAATTTTTCCCATTCAGTGCACTGGAGAATAAATGAAAAAATTTAAGTTATCCTATAAGACCTTTAAAGATTCTATAAACACAGGATTAAAGTAATTTATAGTACTATTAAAATAAATCTAGCTGGACCACCATCTGAAGCAGCTTCATCAACTGACTTACTCACTCACTTATTCATTCATATTATTAATATAGAGCAGTGCTTTTCATGCTAGGAGTTACAAACCATTAGTGAATCATAAAGTCAATTTAGTAGGTCACAATCAGCATTTACAAATGAAATAGAAAACAAAAAATTAGTAAAATATCAGAGTATATGACATAAAGGAAAGTATTGGATTATGGAAGTTTTGTTTCAGTGGTGGATGTGCGTGCGTGCGTGCGTGCGTGTGTGTATTAGATTGTAAAAAGGAGCAATTTTTTTTAGATGGGCCATGGATTTTTAAAAACACTGAAAACCACTTATATAAAGCTTGTGGCACAATCCTGTCGTATATCCAAATTTATGAAGGGATTTGACATGCTACTTCTTAAATTATTCCAACATTTCTATATTCTATAAAGAACCAGCATTTTTTTAGACTGCTTCACTTGCTCCTCACACTCCTTATAAGCACTACAGCTGGATTTTTTTTCAAATATAAAGTTTTTATCACTTCATGTGGCATTAGGGCCATGATGAGATATAGATACCGAGATATCAGCTTTGCTGATTAATGATCTGTTTCTTTTCTCACATCAACCCCAAAGCCTGAGCAATTCGATTCATGCTTATGCAAAATAATAAATTATCCTGGTCTGTGAAACTTCAGTGCTTCAGAATGGTTGCAACCACAAATATTAAATTTGTCAAGATGTCTTGTAGATCTTGTCAAATTATTCTCATAATGTGGCCACATGGGCTGCAAATGAACCCATTCGGGGCAAAAGAACATGCATGTTTTATATTTACATACCTAGCCATGATCATTACTGGCTCATAGTGAGTGCTTAGTGTTTCTTGAACAAATTCCACTTGGGAGGGGTCCAAAACGAAAACAAAAGGGATTAGAAATATGCTTTTTGTGCTTTTCAGCTGAAGAATTTGGTCACCATTATTGTTTAAATATTTTTTAATTACCATTACTAATCTCTTGATTGGCAATACCTAAAAATTTATGAAACTAATTTGAAAAAGCTAAAGTCAGAATACATCTTCCTATCATCCACTGTCTGTATAATTCCTTTGCCATCAATCAAATCCTTTTTTTTCCCCAAGTCCTTTAATCTTGGCAAAATAAGGAAAAATGGCCTCTGAAACATTTTCTTCAGTAAAATGGTGTCTTAGCACCACACATCAGAAACTTCAGAGAATAAACCACACTTAGGGTGAGAAGGAAGGGCGGTCTTGTTACAAGTTAGCTGCCACATTTTAAGGCATTGCTATGCCTTAGACTCAGAGGCACAGTGCAGTTATTGAGAACTGGAACTGTGTACTCAGAAAAACCTGGGCTTGGTTCCTGCCTAGTTCTGTACTTCCAATTGTGTCACCTCTGTAATTGAAATAAGTACTGCAACTACATCAAAGGGTACTTGCAAGGATAAAATCAAACACATCATGCAAATTGTGTAGCATATTTTCTGGCATATAGTAACTGTCATATAGATAGCTATTATTTTATTATAATTACTATTATTGCTGTTTGATTTTTTACACATTTTAATTGATGTAAAATAGTTGTATATATTTGTGGGATACAGTGTAATGTTTCAATGTGTGTATACATTGTGTAATGATGAAATCAGGATAATTAGCACATCTATCACTATTTCTTTGTAGTGAGAACATTTGAATTTCCGTCTTTTAGGTATTTTGAATTATTCAACACATTATTGTTAACTATAGTCCCTACTGTGCAATAGGACACTAGAAATTATTCCTTCTATCAAATTGTAACTTTGTACTTGTTAACCAATCTCTCTTCATTTCCTCCTTCCCTCTACCCTCTCCAGTCTCTGGTATACACTGTTGTATTCTCTACTTCTATGTGATCAACTTTTTATATTCCACTTTTGAGTGAGATTATGCAGTATGTGTCTTTCTGTGTTTGGCTTCACTTAACATAATGTCTTCCAGGTTCATTTATGTTGTTTGATTTCATTCTGAAGAGTGTTTAGTATTCCATTTTACCATATTTTCTTTATTCATTCATCTGTTGCACTGTAATACTAAGCATTTTTACAATGCTTAATATTCCATTATGCTATAATGGAATTGTAAGACTGCTTAGTATTCCATTATACCGTATTTTCTTTATTCATCTCTTAGTGGACATTTAGGTTGATTACATATCTTGGCTATTGTGCATAGTGCTGCAATAAATATGGGGGTGCAGATATCTCTTTGACTTACTGATTTAACTTCCTTTGGATGTATACCCCATAGTGAGATTGCTGGTTCATATGGTAGTTCTACTTTTAATTTTTTGAGGAATCACTACACTATTTTCCATAATGACTTACTAATTTACATTCCCACCAATGGTGTTTAAGAGTTCTCTTCTCTCCACATCCTAGCCAACACTTGTTATCTTTTGTCTGTTTGGTAATAGACATTCTAACTGGAGTAAGATTATGTCTCATTGTGGTTTTGATTTGCATTTCCCTAGTGATAAGTGATGTTGAGCATTTTTTCTTATACCTGTTGGCCATTTGTGTATCTTACTTAGAGAAATGTCCATTAAGTTCCTTTGCACATTTTGTAATTGGATTATTTGTTTTTCTTTTCCTTTCCTTTTTTTTTTTTTTTGGCTATTGACTTGAGTTTCTTATATATTTTAGATATTAACTCCTTGTCAGATGTATCATTTGCAGATATTTTCCTCTATTTGCTAGGTTGTCTCTTCACTTTATTGTTTCTTTTTGCTGTGCAAAAGCTTTCTAGTTTAATGCAATCCCATTTGTCTATTTTTAGTTTTGTTGCCTGCATTTTCAAAGTGCTAATTTAAAGATCTTTGCCCGGCAGGGTGCGGTGGCTCATGACTGTAATTCCAGCACTTTGGGAGGCTGAGGCGGGCAGATCACGAGGCCAGGAGACCGAGACCATCCTGGCTAACATGGTGAAACCCCGCCTCTACTAAAAATACAAAAAAATAGCAGGGCGTGGTGGCGGGCGCCTGTAGTCCCAGCTACTCGGGAGGCTGAGGCAGGAGAATGGCGTGAACCCAGGATGCAGAGCTTGCAGTGAGCCCAGATCTTGCCACTGCACTCCAGCCTGGGCCACAGAGTGAGACTCAGTCTTAAAAAAAAAAAAAAAAAAAAACCTTTCCCAGTCCAATGTTGTGAAGCCCTTCCTCTGTGTTTTCTTCTAGTACTTTCATAGTTTGTGGTCTCACATTTAAGTCTCAAATTCATTCCAAGTTGATTTTTGTATATGGTGAAAGACAGGGGTTCAGGTTTATTCTCCTGCATGCGAATATTCAATTTTTCCAGCACCATTTATTGATGAGACTATTCTTTTCCCAATGCATGTTCTTGTCACCTTCGTAGAAAATCAGTTGGCTGTAAATGCCTAGATTTATTTCTGGGGTATCAATTCTGTTCCATTCATCTATGAGTCTGTTTTTGTGCCAATACCATGTTATTTTGGTTATTCTAGCTTTGTTGTATATTTTGAAATCAGGTATTGTGATGCCTCCAGCTTTGGTTTTTTGTTTGTTTTGTTTTGCTCAAGATTGCTTTGGCTATTCTGATCTTTTGTAGTTCCTCACCAGTTTCAGGATTTTTTTTCTTTCTGTGAAGAATATCATTGATATTTGATATTTTGATGGACATTGCATAGAATCTCAAGAATGCTTTGGATATTAAGGACATTTTAACAATATCAATTCTTCCAATTAATGAAAACAGAAATCTTTCCATTTGTTTGTGTTCTCTTCAACTTTTTTCTTCAGTATTTTATGGGTTTTAATGTAGAGATCTTTCACATAATTGGTTAAATTTCTCATTAGATGTCTTATTATTTTCTAGTAATTATAGATGGAATTGTTTTCTCAATTACTTTTTCAGATAGTTCATTATTTGCATATAAAAATGCAATGGATTTTTGTGTGTTGATTTTTATCCTTCAACTTTACTTAGTTTCTTAGTTTATTAGTTCTAACAAGGTTTTTTTTTTTTTGGTTGTTTTGTTTTTGTAGAGTCTTTAGGGTTTTCTCTCTCTGTATGTATATCTGATCATGCCATTTGCAAACAAGGATGATTTAACTTTCTCCTTTCTAATTTGGATGCCTTTGATTTCTTTCTTCTAATTTTTAGCCTGATTGCTCAGGCTTGGATTTCCAGTAGTATGTTCAATAGAAGTGGTGAAATGAACCTTCTTTGTCTTATTCCAGACCTTAGAAAAAAAATCTTTCAATTTTTTTCTGCTCAGTATGATATTAGCGGTAGGTTTGTCATATAGGGCCTTTATTGTGTTGAGTTATACTTTCTATACTTAACTTGTTGAGAATCTTTATCATAAAGAGATGTTACATTTTATCAAACGCTTTTTCTGCCTTTATTGAAATGTTCATATGATTTTTTCTTTCATTCTGTTAATGTCATGTGTCATGTTTGCTGATTTGCATATGTTTAACCATCTGCATTCCTGAGATGAATCGTACTTGATCACAGTGGATGATCTTTTCCGTGTGCTGTTGAATTTAGTTTGCTATTATTTTGTTGAGTATTTTTGCATCTATGTGCATCAAGAATATTGGAGGGTTGGGTGCTGTGGCCCACACATGTAATACCAGCACTCCAGGAGGCTGAGGCACAAGGATTGCTTGAGCCCAGGAGTTCAAGACCAGTATGATTTTATAGGAAGGCCTCTACTTCTACAAAAAATAGAATAAAATAAAATAAAAAAATAATATTGGCATGTAGTTTTTATTTGTTTTGTTTTGTTTTTTGAGATGGAGTCTCGCTCTGTCACCCGGGCTGGAGTACGGTGGCAAGATCTCGGCTCACTGCAAGCTCTGCATCCCGGGTTCATGCCATTCTCCTGCCTCAGCCTCCCGAGTAGCTGGGACTACAGGTGCCTGCCACCACGCCCGGCTAATTTTTTGTATTTTTAGTAGAGATGGGGTTTCACGTGTTAGCCAGGATGGTCTCGATCTCCTGACCTCGTGATCTGTCTGCCTTGGCCTCCCAAAGTTTTGGGATTACAGGCGTGAGCCACTGCACCTGGCCTGTTTTTCTTATTTTAATGGTTGTTCTGTCCTTTTCTGGTTTGTTATCAGGATAATGGGGCCTCTTAGAATGAGTCTGGAAGTGTTCCCTCCTCATCAATTTTCTTAAGTAGTTTGAGGAGAATTGGTATGGGTTCTCCCTTAAATGTGCAATAGAATTCGGCAGTAAAGCCATCAAGCACTAAACTTTCCACCAACAGAAGACATTTCAATGTCCTTACTTGTTATTAGTCTATTCAGATTTTCTATTTCTTCATTATCCAATTTAGAAAGGTTATACATGTTCAAGATTTTTTCTGTTTCTTCTAGGTCACCCATTTTGTTGGTATATAAAGATTCAAAATGGTCTTATAATCCTTTGTGTTTCTGTGATTTCAGTGGTAATGTCTCTTTTTTCATCTCTGAGTGTTTCAGTCTTTCTCTTTTTTCTTAGTTGGCCTGGCTAAAGGGTTGTCAATTTTGTTTATTTTTCAAAAAAACAATTCTTTGTTTCATTGATTTTTTGTCTCATTATTTTTGCTCGTATCCTTAGTATTTTCTCTCCTTTCTTAATCTTGTGGTTAGTTTGTTCTTATTTTTCTAGTTTCTTGAGGTGCATATCAGGCTATTTATTTGTGATCTTTATTCTTTTATGGTGCAGGTGTTTATTGCTATAAACTTTTTTTAAAACTGCTTTTGATGTATCGCAAAAGCTTTGGTACATTGTATTTCTATCTTCATTTATCTCAAGAAATTTTTTAATTTTCCTTTAAATTTATTCATTGATCAATCAATTATTCAGAAGCATATTGTTTAATTTCCAGGTATTTGTAACTTTTGAAATTTCCTCCTTTTGTTGATTTCTAGTTTTATATTATTGTGGTCAAGAAATAGACTTAAAAATATTTTGATTTTCTTAAATTTGTTAAGACTTGCTTTGTGGCCTTACTTATGATCGCTCCTGAATAATGTTTCTTGTGGTGACGAGAAGAATACGTATTCTGCAGTTGTTGGGTTAAATGTTCTGTAAATGTCTATCATGTGTATTTGGTTTATTGTGTGATTAGCTGACGTTTATTTAAATGTCTAAATGATCCATCCCTGCTGAGAAGGGATTATTGAAGTCACCCAGCACCCAGCCCTCCAATATTCTTGATAAACATAAATGCAAAAATACTCAACAAAATAGTAGCAAACTAAATTCAACAGCACATTGAAGAGATCATCCACTATGATCAAGTGAGATCCATCCCAGGAATGAAGGATGGTTAAACATATGCAAATCACTAGATGGAATAGGATGTATTGCATTGTGTATCTCTCTTTTATATCTAATAATTGCTTATATATTTGGGTGTTGCAGTGTTAAATGCGTGTGTTTACAATTATCATAACTGCTTGTTGGATTGACCCCTTTATATTTATATAATTACTTTTTTCTCCTTTTATAGTTTTTAACTTAAAACTTAGCTGATGTAAGTGTAGCTACTCCTGCTGTCTTTTGGTTTCCAATTGCATAAAGTGCTATTTTTCATTCCTTCACTTTCAGTGTATGTGTGTCCTTATAGGTGAAGGGAGTTTTTGTAGGTAGCATATAGTTAGATCTTGGATTTTTATCCATTTGGCCACTCTCTAAATATCTTTTAATTGGAGAATTTAATTTGCTAACATTCAACATTATTATTAATAATTAACAACTTACTCCTATTTGTTTCCTGGTTGTTTTGTAGATCATTTATTTCATTCTTCCTCTTTTTATTATTTCTATTTTTGATTTGATGGTTTCCTATGGTAATAAGATTTGATTATTTTTTTCTTTTTTTCATTGTATATGTGTTGTGATTATTTTCTTTGTAGATACACTGGGGCTTAAATAAAAACCTTAAGTTTATAATGAGTATCCTAAACTAATAACAACTTAATTTTGTTTGTATACAATTAGATTTTTCCCTTTCCCCAAATCTATAATTTTGTTGCCTTAATTTAGATTTATATTGTGTGTGTCCCTTAACAACTTATTGTAGATATAATCATTGTTGATCATTTTGACTTTTAAACTTCAAACTGAAGACTAAAAAGATTTGCCACCATTTCATTAATTAGTGTTGAATTTGATTATGAGTTTATCTCTAATAGTGAGGATTATGCTTTCATACGTTTTCATGTTAGTAGTTACTATTCTTTTGCTTCAGACTGAAATACTCTCTTAGGCATTTCTTGTAAGAGCAGTTTTGTGGTGATAAATTTCCTCAGCTTATGTTTGGGAAAGACTTAATTTCTCCTTAGTTACTGAAGGATGGCTTTCCTTGCCATGGTATTCTTGGCTGAAAGTTTTTTTCTTCTTCTTGTTTCAGTTCTTTGAATACATTATACTCTCTCATAGCCTACAAGGTTTCTGCTGAGAGATCTGCTAATTGTCTGCTGGAAATTCCCTTACATGAGACTTGATGGTTTTCTGTTACTACTTTTAGAATTCTCTTTGTCTCTCACTTTTGACAGTTTTATTATAATATGCCTAAAGAGAACCTCTTTGGGTTGAATCTATAATGGGTCCTTTGAGACTCATGGATCCAGATATCTCTCTCTCTCTCGCAGTAGTTGGGGAGCTTTTAGCTTATTTTGTTAAATAAGCTTTCCATGCTTTTCTCCTTTTTCTTCTCCTCCCTCTGAAACTCCTATACTGCCAACATTTATTTGCTTAAGCTTTATTTATTCTTTCATTCCTTTTTTTCCTCTTTTCCTTTGAGTGAGTTATTTTAAAAGAACTGTCTTCAGGTTCAGAAATTATTTCTTCTATTTGATCTAGTCTGCTGTTGAAGCTATTATATTTCATTTGTTGATTTCTTCCATTCCAATTTTTAAAATCTATCTCATTTTTGAATTTATTTTAGGTCATTGACTCTTTTTCTGGCATTTTTGAATTGTCTGTCTGTATTCTCTGGCATCTTTCTGAGTTTTCTTAAGATAATTATAATTATTTTTGAATTCTTTTTCAGGAAATTCACAACCTTTATCTGAGATCAGTTACTGGAGAATTATTTTGCTTGTTAAGTAGTGTCATATTTCTTTGCCTTTTAATGTTTCTTGTGTCCCTGTGTTGATATCTTTGCACCTGGTTAACTGGTCACCTTTTCTTTACATACAGTGGCTTTCAAAGAAAAAGACTTTTACCTACAGATGTGTCTAGGGTATCAGTTTGGTAGGGTATGTTGGCTTTGGGTCCAGCTGGATGTAATAGTGTAATTTCCATGCAGTTTTTTCAGCTGTAGTCAACTCAGTGAAACCTGGGAGTGCCTTAGTGATCTAGACTATAAGAGTTAGTGTGGCTGGTCCCATGGCTTTGGGCAGGGACCACCTGGAAGCAGCATGCCTGGCTGGTGGGTGCACTGGTGGCACATGGGATCCAGTCCACAGGCTCAGGATGGGGCCCCTTTGGAATTGGCATACCTGGCTGGTGAGTGTAAGTACATTAGGTCTGGTCTACAAAGAGTTTGGGGTTCCTTGGAAGTGGTTCACCCAGCAGGTGAATGATACTGTGGTGACAGCAACTGATTCACTGGCTCAGGTTGCGACTCCCCTGGGAGCAGTGCACTTCACTGATGAACCTACCAACTGTGTCTGCAGCTAGTTCAGATTTGGCTTCTCTATGGAGCAGGATCACCTGTTCCTTTGGTGACAGGGTGCCATATGGGCTCCAGTGCTGGGGCGCTGGACTTAGGCTCTGGACTTAGGACTTAGGATCAAGGTGATGCATTCACTAGGATATGTAAGGCAGAGGACCTTGTAGGCAGTTTGCTCTGAGGGTGTAGGAAGCTGTAGCAGTTTAGCAGAAGAATGATGCATTATCATGTGTGAACATGTTATAATGGCAGCATAGCATCTAGAATGAGATGCAGTAGCTACTGGCTCCCAGAGCAGGATGTGTTCTAGCTGTGGCTCTAGTTTCAAGATAGTGCTGTACAGTTGCAGCTTGGGTCATGGGGGAAAGGGAGGACAATGTGGGTTCCTTTACTGGGGCAGTCCAGTTGCATGGGCACAGGGAATTTTTTTAAACTGGGCTCAGGGATTCTGGAGACTGCAAGATTCTCCAGTAGCAAAGACTGCAAATGTCCCCAGCATTAACGAGAACTGCTGGGGCCTTCAGCTTACTTTTTCCCCAGTGAGTGAAGTGTCTTCTTGTTCTGAGCTAATGTCATCTGAGAAGACATTGTGGTAGAAGCAGGTTATTTTGTTTTCTTCTATATGTCAACCTTAGTTGCACAGGTTTTTTTCTTCTCTTCCTCCTGTACCCCAGTGCTCTCCTTCAAACACTCTAGTTTAAATATAGTTGTTTGTTCATTGTTTTGGTCATTTTTTGTGGGGGATATGGGCCTTAGGCTTCTCTAGTCGGCCATCCTATTCTACCTCCCTCTGTGCTATGAATTTAACTGTGATCCTAGCCAACTTCTTCTTTAAGCCAGTCTCAGATGTATATATGCAATTTTATGTATATAGTGTGTATATATATATATGTGCAATTATATATGTATATATAATATATATACAATTATAACTATTAGCATTTCTAAAACCTACTTTTGTAGTTGATAGTATTTTTTGTTTAGAGAGTGTGTCTACCAGAGTATACAAAATATACTCAGAAGGAAGATTCCACTGAATCAGGAGCTTCTTTGAAAACAAGAGAGAAAAAAGAAAAAAAAATAGAGAAAAATTAGCAAAGGTAGCAATAATCATCCTCAAGGAATTGGTGTAGTTTCCAAGTATTAATTTACTGCAAGCAAGATCTTCTTTACTAGGAAAAAAAAATGTGTTACAGCAGAATTGGAAAATGGAAAAGCAAACCTGGTTAGCTTTATTTCACCTAAAACAAAGTAAAATGTAAAAACAGCAAATTGGGTCAGTTTTCCAAAAGTTCATTACAGTTTAAGGTCTTCCCCTGCCTTTTTTAACTTTTTAATGGGCTGAAGTGCTGGCCCTAATCCTTGGGGGTGGAAAAAAGTATATGTTAATGTACAGATTTAGCCCTTAAACAGTAAGTGAGTTTTAGAGGCAATCTCTATGGTGGTCTAATTGTCTAGGCCTTAGAATGACTTTCTGGGAAGAGAGACAGGGAGAAGTAATTTGCATCATGCCTGCCAGGCACCAGAGGGAAGGTTCTTTGAATACTAGCTCACCTGCAGCACAAGACTTCCTAAAGGGAAATGAAATTTCTTTCAAGCATTTTGTTAACTGTCTCATCTGTGTCTTTTCTGGGAAATTTCAAAGAGGGATGCAACACATCAGGTTACAAACTCAAATACTTAAAAAGGCTCGGCAGATAAGCAGTTTGGTATAAATAAAAATAATTTATGGCCGGGCGCGGTGGCTCACGCCTGTAATCCCAGCACTTTGGGAGGCCGAGGTGGGCGGATCACGAGGTCAGGAGATTGAGACCATCCTGGCTAACACGGTGAAACCCCGTCTCTACTAAAAATACAAAAAAATTAACCGGGCATTGTGGCGGGTGCCTGTAGTCACAGCTATTCGGGAAGCTGAGGCAGGAGACTGGCGTGAACCCAGGAGGCTGAGCTTGCAGTGAGCCGAGATCATCACGCCACTGCACTCCAGTCTGGGCTACAGCAAGACTCAGTCTCAAAAAAAAAAAAAAAAAAATATATATATATATATATATATATATATATATATATATGATTATTCAATTTGTGCCTATTATTAATATATATGTACTTTCACTCAGCACATACTTAAAATACCATTAACTATAAACATTTGTAGCTTGCTAAGTAATCACAATGAGATAAAAACCAACCTGTTAAAAAATAAAAAAATTCCTAATAAGAAAACTCATATCAGGTCAAATTATTTCAGGAAACAGATGCCAAAAAAAAGTCTAATTTAAAATAATTTCATGAATGGTCTCTTCTATGTGAGTATAGACTGCGTTGAGAAAAACAGAGATGTAAGTCATTCTGAGGGTGGCAACGATGTGTTCACCCTTAAGCTAGAAAGGGAAGTAAGTGGAAAAAGTGTTACCAGGCCCAGAAGAGCTGGGGCCATGGATGGGTGGCTGACTGTGGAGGCACGGGATGCAATGAGCATAGTTCCTGCCAGTAGCAGAGCAAAGCAGAAAGGCTATCCAGGGAAGAAGAAATACCCCACCCTCTTTCTCCTCCCACTCTCCAATCCCCTACCAGTATCTCTCATTGGTTCAACTCAACTAAAGATCTGAGAAAAAAAAGTACTTGATACACAGTCCATAGAGGTCAGCCTTCCTGGGCCAAAAAGCAGGAGAGGGAAGGGCAAGATATATTTGGTAGAGACAAACCAAGAATAACCTGCAAAGCCACCAACCATTCATTTTGTCTATAAGCTCTGCAAAAATTAGATTGACCAAAAGATCTTGTTCCCCCAATAAATCAAAAACATGTCTGTTAAGTGAAGACAGACTGAGATGTTCACACTGGGTTATATGTACCACTTTAGTGGAATTGAGCATTTGGTTTATTCAAAAAGGTAATTGGCTACCTGATTTCAAGGGATTTACTGGTTGTTTACTGGTACCTTTTTGGTGTTCCTGTAGATACTGTTACTCTCTCACATTTTCAAATGATATTATAAGGATTGCAATTCAGCCTTCCAAAGATCCATCTGGGCTCCCAGACATTGCTCCTGAAAATGCATTTTGCTTTGGAAATAGAACTTAAGAGTTAAAGGCCCCTAGACCACTGCAGCACATTTCATCAGCTTGGTAAGTGACTCTCCTGTTTCCTATTGCTTGAATGGGCAGCCAGATTCATGTAGACACATTATGCCCTTCCCTGTGGCAGAGGTATGCTACTAAAGAGAGGAGAGAGAGAGAGAGACATAAAAAATGAAAGGTACTTAAGCAAGCAGGACTACTACTGCACTCTCTAAAAGAAAGATGGTTGCAGTGAACATGATGTCTGGAACTTAGGTTTGTCCAAATTAAAGTGGAACACAAAAATAAGAAGGAAAGAAATCTAATTTCCATTTAAAGTTGATATCAGTGGTAGTTGTACAATATTCTTTTGTCATACCTTCAGGTGATGGACCTGCAATGCTGCAGAGCTGTGGTAATTCAAAGGTAGCCAGGGGCAAGAGAAATATAAAACTCACATCTGCCAAAATAGATCTGAGCAGTGAGTTGGCCAGAGAAATGTGGGAGGAGAAATAGCAGGATGCAGTCTGAAGAAGTAATCAATTGCAATTAATGGTGCCTGCCTGCATAATAGGAAACGGAGAGGAAAAGAAGATTTTGTATTTTCTTTTCTCTGAGAAGAGTTGTGGGAGGATGAAGCTTAACAGTGACTATTCAATCCTTTTTTATTCTTATGAAGTCAGAAAAACTATTTTGCCATTTATATTTCAAAAGAAAAATCGTGTCCTATTTGTATTTTCTCTAAGAATAAAATATAGACTTGTCCCTCTATCCTACTACATAAGCTAATTATAGATTTTTTTAAAATTCAAAATCATGTTAATTCTGTTTATTTTTATTTCTGTGACAAGGATTTTGCCTCAGAGGGGTAGACAGAGCACTGGACTCAAAATAAATCATACTGATTTTATCTTGGTTTTTGTGATTATAAACCGGGCATCAGGCACCAGACATAGAACACTGATTCCTTCATCTTGGAAAAGTTTTACCCAAGAAGAGATGCTGAATTTATCTTAATATCAAAACTCCTTTTAGAAAATGAATCATCACCTCTGTGACAGAATCCAAAATATTGTCCTATTTTCTGTCTTTTACATTTGCCCACACAAACTTTTATGGATCTTAAATTCAGTTCCCCCGCTCTAACCTCTGACTGCATTCCTCTGGGAGGAATAGGTCTAATTCCTATTCCTAGTTCCTGGGACATAGTCCCTGGGAGATTTAGGTCTAATCCTTTGAGGAATACAGACAATTATAGTTCCATATTAGGCTATGAGAGTGTTAAATATGCTAAAGTAAATAAAATGATACAAACCATAAAAGAAAAAATGAATCAATTAGATCTTATCAAAATTTGACATTTTTCTCTTTCAAAGACATTATTAAGAATGAAAAGACAAGATACGGAATGGTAAAAATAATTGAAATACATTACCTGACAACACAGTTTTATTCAGAATATATAAAGTGCTCTTACAAATCAATGATAATAAAAATAATCTAATAAAAATTAGCAAAAGATTTTAGTATACTTCACAAAAGACAATATATGCATTGCCAAAAATCACCTAAAAAAGTGCTCAGCATCATTAGCCATCAATATATTGCATGTGAACATGATGTCTGGAACTTATTTTGCACTAGTCATCTAGTTAACACCACAATGAGATACAACTTTACACTCACTAGAATGTCTATAATAAGGACAGAAAATAAAAAGTGTTGATGAGGATGTGGAGCAACTGAAACTCTTATACACTGCTTATGGGATTATAAAATATAACAGCTCTGAAAAAAACTTATCAGTTTCTTAAAAAGTTAAATATAATCCTACTATAAGTGTCAGCCATTCCACTTCTAGCTATCTATCCCAAGAAAAATAAAAGCACACAAGGACATGTACGTGAAGGTTCACTGAAGCTTTATTCAGAATAGCCAAATACTGGAAACAACTCAAATGTTCATCAGTAGGTGAAAAATGGAGAGACGAAATGTGGCATACCCGTAAAATGAAATACTACTCATCTATAAAAACAGAAAAATTTATCGATACACCTAACGAAATGGGTGAACTCAAAATCATTATTGAGTTAAAAAAAAACCATGTACAAAAGAGCACATAGTGTATTATTCCATTTACATAAAATTATTAAATATGCAAACTAACTACAGTGACAAAAAGCAGATTGATGGTTGCCTGAGAAGAATGCAGGATGGAGTGGACTGCAAAGGTGTATATGAGGATCCTTTGGGGATGATGGAAATGTTGTGTTTTGATCAAGGTAGTGGTTTCACAAGTGTGTATATCTGTCACGACTCAATGAATGGTACACTACAGATGTATGCAAAACATTTGAAGTGAATTATACTTCAGCCAAGTTGACTTAAAATAATAAAATAAGTAAAGTGCTGAGCTCTGAGCTTGGCTCAAAGTGAAATATCAAAGGAATATTATCCTTCTTATTGTTTCTGCTGTAGTAATTATTATTATCACTATACCATTGACATCTGACTCTGCCCCATCCACATTTGTAGCTTCTTTCCATTCTGCTTTGTGCTCAATGGGTAAGACAGAATTAGGCCAAAGGTAGCCCTTCCTGAATTACTTAATAAAACTCTTTTTTCCTAAAAGGGTAAGTGGGAGGATCAAATGATGACATCTTACATGTGGAGGTAAACTATAAATACTCGGTTTGGTAGTTTTATTATTATTTGTTTACTCAGCTGATAGTCCCTGAGAAAGCCAGCTCTGTTTCTGATGAAGGAAAAATAAGTGGACCAAAACCCCACAAATTTCAAGTTTTCTCTCTGCCCTTCTCATGGTTCCATCTACCAGTTGCAACTTGGAATTAGCAAATCTGATGGACACTGAGTGGGCTTGGATTCGAAGCTTGGTTCTACCATTCATCAGTTGTGTGAACTTCAAGGTACTTAACATCTTTTAGACTCAGTTTGTCATCTATACAATGGGCAGAATAGTAATGCCTGATACAGTGGTTGTGAGAATTTTAAAATATACATATATATTGCATAACACCTTTGATTGAGTAAACTCACAGCAGATGGTAGTTGTTCCTGTATTTTCCCCAATGGTCAGGTATTATGTGTATTTGTTTAGCCACAGTGAGAAGCCAACCCTGGAGCTATGGATCCATTTATAGTGTGTGACACAACGTTGAGGTCTTCTTTTTGCATCTGTACTTTCTCACTTTGTGCTTGAGACATTGCATGCTAAAGGTCAGAGTGGAAAAAGGTCATACTCTATATTCACCATTCACTCCTCTCACTGCAGGTAATTTCCTCTGTCCATGTGCTGTTAATGATGTGATTATCAGTTCTGGTGGCCAATCATATGACCTAATCATATCATGGAATCACACTCAATTCATCTCTGTCAACAGCTCCAGATGGCATCTGAACACTCATTGGTAACAAACAGGGAGAGGTTATTAAAAATAAAAAAAGACTTCCCTAATCAACTTGGATAATTACCTCAAAAATAATAATAATTCTGAATCCTCTCCATAACCCATATGGAAAACTCTAAGATTACGAAGAAAAGAGATGCTAATTAGCTATTTTCACTTTACCTAAAAAGAACAGGACCAAAGGCATTCAGTCAGGAAACTAAAATCATGTCTTCAAAAGCAAGTTTGATTAAGGAAAAAGTGAGACAAGCATTCAAGGGCTTGCTGCAAAGAAGCAAGAACTCAAGCAAATGTTAAGGTAGAAAATGGGCCAAGGCAAATGCACCAAGCGGACCTAATAGACATCTACAGAACTCTCCACCCCAAATCAACAGAATATACATTTTTTTCAGCACCACATCACACCTATTCCAAAATTGACCACATAGTTGGAAGTAAAGCTCTCCTCAGCAAATGTAATAGAACAGAAATTATAACAAACTGTCTCTCAGACCACAGTGCAATCAAACTAGAACTCAGGATCAAGAATCTCACTCAAAGCCGCTCAACTACATGGAAACTGAACAACCTGCTCCTGAATGACTACTGGGTACATAACGAAATGAAGGCAGAAATAAAGATGTTCTTTGAAACCAACGAGAACAAAGACACAACATACCAGAATCTCTGGGACGCATTCAAAGCAGTGTGTAGAGGGAAATTTATAGCACTAAATGCCCACAAGAGAAAGCAGGAAAGATCCAAAATTGACACCCTAACATCACAATTAAAAGAACTAGAAAAGCAAGAGCAAACACATTCAAAAGCTAGCAGAAGGCAAGAAATAACTAAAATCAGAGCAGAACTGAAGGAAATAGAGACACAAAAAACCCTTCAAAAAATCAATGAATCCAGGAGCTGGTTTTTTGAAAGGATCAACAAAATTGATAGACCGCTAGCAAGACTAATAAAGAAAAAAAGAGAGAAGAATCAAATAGACACAATAAAAAATGATAAAGGGGATATCACCACCAATCCCACAGAAATACAAACTACCATCAGAGAATACTACAAACACCTCTACGCAAATAAACTAGAAAATCTAGAAGAAATGGATACATTCCTCGACACATACACTCTCCCAAGACTAAACCAGGAAGAAGTTGAATCTCTGAATAGACCAATAACAGGAGCTGAAATTGTGGCAATAATCAATAGTTTACCAACCAAAAAGAGTCCAGGACCAGATGGATTCACAGCCGAATTCTACCAGAGGTACAAGGAGGAACTGGTACCATTCCTTCTGAAACTATTCCAATCAATAGAAAAAGAGGGAATCCTCCCTAACTCATTTTATGAGGCCAGCATCATTCTGACACCAAAGCCGGGCAGAGACACAACCAAAAAAGAGAATTTTAGACCAATATCCTTGATGAACATTGATGCAAAAATCCTCAATAAAATACTGGCAAACCGAATCCAGCAGCACATCAAAAAGCTTATCCCCCATGATCAAGTGGGCTTCATCCCTGGGATGCAAGGCTGGTTCAATATACGCAAATCAATAAATGTAATCCAGCATATAAACAGAGCCAAAGACAAAAGCACATGATTATCTCAATAGATGCAGAAAAAGCCTTTGACAAAATTCAACAACACTTCATGCTAAAAACTCTCAATAAATTAGGTATTGATGGGACATATTTCAAAATAATAAGAGCTATCTATGACAAACCCACAGCCAATATCATACTGAATGGGCAAAAACTGGAAGCATTCCCTTTGAAAACTGGCACAAGACAGGGATGCCCTCTCTCACCGCTCCTATTCAACATAGTGTTGGAAGTTCTGGCCAGGGCAATCAGGCGGGAGAAGGAAATAAAGGGTATTCAATTAGGAAAAGAGGAAGTCAAATTGTCCCTGTTTGCAGACGACATGATTGTTTATCTAGAAAACCCCATCGTCTCAGCCCAAAATCTCCTTAAGCTGATAAGCAACTTCAGCAAAGTCTCAGGATATAAAATCAATGTACAAAAATCACAAGCATTCTTATACACCAACAACAGACAAACAGAGAGCCAAATCATGAGTGAACTCCCAGTCACAATTGCTTCAAAGAGAATAAAATACCTAGGAATCCAACTTACAAGGGATGTGAAGGACCTCTTCAAGGAGAACTACAAACCACTGCTCAAGGAAATAAAAGAGGATACAAACAAATGGAAGAACATTCCATGCTCATGGGTAGGAAGAATCAATATCGTGAAAATGGCCATACTGCCCAAGGTAATTTACAGATTCAATGCCATCCCCATCAAGCTACCAATGACTTTCTTCACAGAATTGGAAAAAACTACTTTAAAGTTCATATGGAACCAAAAAAGAGCCCGCATCGCCAAGTCAATCCTAAGCCAAAAGAACAAAACTGGAGGCATCACACTACCTGACTTCAAACTATACTACAAGGCTACAGTAACCAAAACAGCATGGTACTGGTACCAAAACAGAGATATAGATCAATGGAACAGAACAGAGCCCTCAGAAATAACACCCCATATCTACAACTATCTGATCTTTGACAAACGTGAGAAAAACAAGCAATGGGGAAAGGATTCCCTATTTAATAAATGGTGCTGGGAAAACTGGCTAGCCATATGTAGAAAGCTGAAACTGGATCCCTTCCTTACACCTTATACAAAAATCAATTCAAGATGGATTAAAGATTTAAACGTTAGACCTAAAACCATAAAAACCCTAGAAGAAAACCTAGGCATTACCATTCAGGACATAGGCGTGGGCAAGGACTTCATGTCCAAAACACCAAAAGCAATGGCAACAAAAGCCAAAATTGACAAATGGGATCTAATTAAACTGAAGAGCTTCTGCACAGCAAAAGAAACTACCATCAGAGTGAACAGGCAACCTACAACGTGGGAGAAAATTTTCGCAACCTACTCATCTGACAAAGGGCTAATATCCAGAATCTACAATGAACTCAAACAAATTTACAAGAAAAAAACAAACAACCCCATCAAAAAGTGGGCGAAGGACATGAACAGACAGTTTTCAAAAGAAGACATTTATGCAGCCAAAAAACACATGAAAAAATGCTCATCATCACTGGCCATCAGAGAAATGCAAATCAAAACCACTATGAGATATCATCTCACACCAGTTAGAATGGCAATCATTAAAAAGTCAGGAAACAACAGGTGCTGGAGAGGATGTGGAGAAATAGGAACACTTTTACACTGTTGGTGGGACTGTAAACTAGTTCAACCATTGTGGAAGTCAGTGTGGCGATTCCTCAGGGATCTAGAACTAGAAATACCATTTGACCCAGCCATCCCATTACTGGGTATATACCCAAATGACTATAAATCATGCTACTATAAAGACACATGCACACGTATGTTTATTGTGGCATTATTCACAATAGCAAAGACTTGGAACCAACCCAAATGTCCAACAATGATAGACTGAATTAAGAAAATGTGGCACATATACACCATGGAATACTATGCAGCCATAAAAATGATGAGTTCATGTCCTTTGTAGGGACATGGATGAAATTGGAAATCATCATTCTCAGTAAACTATCGCAAGAACAAAAAACCAAACACCGCATATTCTCACTCATAGGTGGGAATTGAACAATGAGATCACATGGACACAGGAAGGGGAATGTCACACTCTGGGGACTGTGGTGGGGTGGGGGGAGGGGGGAGGGATAGCATTGGGAGATATACCTAATGCTAGATGACGAGTTAGTGGGTGCAGCGCACCAGCATGGCACATGTATACATATGTAACTAACCTGCACAATGTGCACATGTACCCTAAAACTTATAATAAAAAAAAAAAAAAACATGTTGAGCACCTTTTCATATATCTGTTTGTCATTTGTATGCTTTATTTTGAGAAATTTCTGTTTATTTATTAATTGGATTATTAGATTTTTTTCCCATAGAGTTGTTTGAGCTCCTTCTCTATTATGGCTATTAGCCCTTTGTCAAATGGATAGTTTACAAATATTTTCTGTCATTCTATGGGTTGTTTGTACACTTTGTTAATTTCTTTGTTGTGAAAAACCTTTTTAACTAGATGTGATCCCATTTATCCATATTTGCTTTGTTTGCTTATGCTTGTGGAGTATTACTCAGAAAATTTTTGCCAAATTTAATGTCCTGGAGAGATTCCCCAATATTTCCTTTTGGTAGTTTCATAGTTTGAGGTCTTAGGCTTAAGTCTTTGATACATTTTGATTTGATTTTTGTATGTGGTGAGAGATAGGGGCCTAGTTTCATTCTTCTGCATATGGAAATCCAGTTTTCCTAGAACCATTTATTGAAGAGACTATCCTCTCCCTAATGTGTATTCTTGGGACTTTGTCAAAAACGAGTTCACTGCAGGTATATGGATTGGCTTCTGGGTTCTCTATGCTGTTGTGTTGGCCTATGAGTCTGTTTTTATGGCAGTACTATGCTATTTTGTTTACTATGGCTCTGTATTATAATTTGAAGTCAGGTAACATAATTCCTCTAGTTTTGTTCTTTTGCTCAGGATAGCTGTGACTATTCTGGGTCTTTTGTGGTTCCATATATATTTTAGGATTGTTTTTTCTATTTATGTGAAGAATGTTATTGACATTTTGATAAGAATTGCATTGAAACTGTAGATTGCTTTCAGTAATATGGATGTTTTAACACTATTGATTCTCCCAATCTGTGAACATGGAATATCTTTCCATTTTTTAATGTCCTCTATAATGTCTTTTTTCAATGTTTTATAATTTTCATCGTAGAGATCTTTCACTTCTTTGGTTAAGTTAATTCCTAGGTATTTTATTTTACTTGCTGCTGTTGTAAAGAACATTATTTTCTTGGTTTCTTTTTCAGACGGTTTCCTGTTGGCATATAAAAATGCTACTGATTTTTGTATGTTGATTTTGTATCCTGCAACTTTACCAAATTTGTTTTATCAGTTGTAATAGTTTTTTTGTGGAGTCATTAGGTTTTTCCAAAAATAAGATTATATCATCTGCAAACAAGAATAATTTGACTTCTTCCTGTACAGTGGATGTCCTTTATTTCTTTCTCTTGTCTGATTGCTCTAGTTGAGACTTGCAGTACTTGTTGAATGGCACTGGTGAAAGTGGTCATCCTTGTCATGTTCCAGATCTTAGAGGAAAGGCTTTCAGTTTTTTTCCCATTCAGTATGATACTAGCTGTGGGTCTGTCATATATGACTTTTATTGTGTAAGAACTAATTAATTTTTACATTTTAAGGGGTATTCGGTGCTACAATTAAAATGAAAAACCCACAAATACCTTTGCATGTGTAACTTTGGAGGGGACAATTTTGCTGTTTTTCTACTCTGATTTACATCCGCTCGGAATAACTGAAATAACTCCTGCTGTGTGTGATCTTGCCTTTGTTGGGAGGCTTCAACTTAAACACTCAACCTGCCTAACACTTCACAGAGGGAAACTGTAACAGGATCAAAATACACTGGTTAGGGCCCCCACATACATGACTAGTGTGATGGTTAATATTAAGTGTCAACTTGATTGGACTGAAGGATGCAAAGTATTATTTCTGGGTGTATCTGGGTGTTTCTGGGTGTTGCCAGAAGAGACTAACATTTGAGTCAGCAGACTGGGAGAGGAAGACCCACCCTCAGGAAGACCCAGCCACATGGTGGATGGGCACCATTCAGTTGGCTGCCAGTGTAGCTAGAAAAAGCAGGCAGAAGAAGGTGGAAGAAAGAAACTGACTTGCTTAGTCTTCCAGCCTTCATCTTTCTCACATGCTGGATGCTTCCTCCTCTCAAACATCAGATTCCAAGTTCTTCATATTTTGGGCTCTTGAACTTACACCAGTGATTTGCAAGGGGATGTCAGGCCTTCAGCCACAGACTGAAGGCTGCACTGTTAGCTTCCCTACTTTTGAGGTTTTGGGATTTGGACTGAGCCAGTACTGTCTTCCTTGCTCCTCAGCTTGGAGATGGCCTATTGTGGGACTTCACCTTGTGATCGTGTGAGTCGATTCTCTTTAGCAAACTCCCTCTCATGTATACATATATCCTATTAGTTCTGCCTCTCTAGAGAACCCTGCCTAATACACTTAGGTAAGCCATCCTCAGCCTGCTGCCATCTGGGTGCTGACAGAATGCACTGAGTGTGATTTTGGAATGTGTTTCTGTAATCCACTTTCTGAATTGGGAACACACTAATCTCTGCTGCTGAAGATACATGTGAAAAATTCTAGTGTCCTTGTTTTCTGATCTATGATATCTTTGTTTGCCTCCTTGAATTAGCAACGTCATATTAGTTCATCATTGTTCTCTCTAGTCTTAATTTGTGGCTTTATGATAATAATTATTATTTTAGAGATAGGGTCTCACTCTGTTGTCCAGGCTGGAGTGCAGTGGCACAATCACAGATTATTATAACATCAAACTCCTGGACTCAAGGGATCTTTCTGCCTCAGCTTCCTAAGTAGCTAGGACTGCAGGCATGCACTACCAGGCCCGGCTAATGTTGTTTTTGTTTTGTTTTGTTTTGTTTTTAATTATTTTTTTCTATAGAGATGGGAAATTTGTGGTTTCATTGAAACCAGCTCACATAGTGTTTGAGATTTGATTAAATGAATTGAATTTTAGTGTGTACATTAAAGTAAGTCTTGCTTCCTTTACTCTTGTGACCAAAACTGCTATATGCATAAATAGAACTTTCTCAAAGAGGATTTCTACTACAGTTACTTTCTTTCTACTTCACTTCTTTTTTCCTAAGTGCTTTTTAGGTAAGGATTGAATAGCTCTTCACTCATTCACTTATTTACCCATTCACTTCATTCATTCATTCAGTATATTTTAAAGGACATCCCACCGTGGTCTATGTGTTGTATTAGACCCTAGAAATATAATTTTGATTAAGACTCACAATCTTTCACCTTATAAGACCAATATTCAGTGGGGGATAAGAAAAATCCCAAAGACACTAGCAAGTTAAATCATTATAATTAGTGGTAAGTTGTATAAAAAAACCAAACGAGGTGATAAGATATGAATAAAGGAGTGTTTCTATTTAAGTGTGGTGATTAGAAAGACTTTCTTGAGGAGGTAAAGTGCTGAAACCTAAACCATGAGAGGAGCTAGACAGTGTAGATGAAGCACACCCCAGGCTGAGGTCAAAGAATGTGAAAAAATATTACCTGAAAAATAACGGTGTTTTTGCAGAACTAGAAAGGACAAGGCCCTGGCATCATGAGTCTATCAGTCCACCTTTCTCAAAAGCTGGTGAGTACTTTAAAGGCCAGGCTGGTACCTGTGTGCACCATCTTTCCTTCTGCAGCTAGGGCAAGTGTTGATGAGCAATGAGACCTCTATTACTTTACTTGAAAAATTGAAGAATTTAAGGAATGCCAATCTGGATCTTTATAAACTTCACACATGTGGTGGCATTGCTTAAAAACATTGATAAACTACTTTCCTCTTAGCACTGACATCTCCAAGGTATTTCAGTGGGCCATGTGAAATGATCGTTTCTTTAGTTTAGGGAAATGATTCATTTCACCTTCCCTGGAATCTTTCAAATGTGTTCTTGCCTCTATGAGTTGGGGGCAAAGTTCTCTTTCTAGGAATGCCCAAGCTCCTATGCTCCTATATTTTTCAAACTTCAGCCATGCACATTCAACTTTCATAACTATGCCATATCTGGATTATACACATATTGTTATTTAACATATGTCTACTTATATGTTAGACTATTTGCCTCACTTAAATAAAACTGATAAAACTTAAATGCCTACTAGAGCCATATGCTAGGCAATAACATTTATAAGATCATATCGTATCCAATATTCCACATATATTTTTAATATACATTAAAATAAACATGTAACTTTTTTTATACTGATCATCTGTGTCTTAACCTAAAATTATATCCTCTACCACCAAGGTTACCTATTAAAACAATATCCTAAGGACCTGGGGATTTTCAGAGTGTTGCAGATTGTTTTCTTGTTATTTGTGTTAGTCTGGGGCAGAGAGAAGAATGCTTAAAGGGACCAGGCAGAATGGCAGGCAGAAGCATTTAATGCCCAAGAATCAGTAATAGGCTAATTGTGGCTTCATTGTATTGGCCCCAGTGCTCAAACTGGTTAGATGGGACCTTTGAAATTGATACCTTATAAGAGTACTTCTTTACCATTATTGGGGTCCCAGACCTCTTTTAGGAAGCTCTTGAAAACTGTACTTTCTCAGTACATGTAGCACATATATTAGCACATACTTGCAAGAGGCTTACACAAAACAACAACAACAAAAATATAAAAAATCCTGCTAATAATTGGCATTTATTAAGGGCTTACTGTGTTCTGGATCCTTTGCCTGATAACTCATGTGCATTATGTCTTTTAATTCTTTTCACAATCTTATGTGGTATGTGCTATTGTTAACACTATTTTATAGAAAGAGAAAAAGAAGAGATAAAGACAGGTTCAGTAATTTGCTGAAGTTCAAACTACTAGAAAGTTATACAGGCTAATTTTGGGCTCTAGTAGTTTGACCAACTCTGTTAACCATACTACTATAGTCTCCTTTTTCAGTATTACTCATGTCTAATCCTGATAAGGAGTGAATAGCACATCCATTTGGTGAAGGAATGTGTTACAAGAAACTTGGATGATTGACAATAGCACCAGATGTTAATGCTATGGATTCTTCTTCCAAGAATGGAAACTATCTATTCTGAGATACACAGGGAATAAAGATAGATGTGAAGAGTCCAGGTGGTAATTAACACTCTCCCCACTACTTCTTTACCCAGACTTGCTCAGTTTCTGTTTTCTTAGATGAGGTTAAAAAAAATAGAATAAATCCTCCTTCATTCTGGTTGCAACATATTCTAATTTTAAGGGATCACAGGTTAATTAAATTGATTTAAAAACAACTTTTGGGTACTACCTCAATTAACCTTCCAGGTTTCTTCTCATTCTGCTCCCATTCAGCACTGTCAGTCTGCCAGGGCAAGGGGTTAGCACTCCTCACCTCCTCAGGTAGGAGGGGAGGGTGGGAAGTAGTATTTGCTCCTCAGTTTGATTAGTGGAGCTCATTAGCTGTCACATATAAGGCACTAGAGGTCCATCAGATGAGAACAGCAACACCAGTGACATTTATTACATGGCCATTGTTCACAGGCTGCTTAGAAACCAATTTCCATTCTTACAGATTCTGTCCCCAAAACAGGAGTTCTCCAGGATTCATAAGCAAGCCTGATCAAAATTCTGAGCAAAGAAAAGAAAAAGGAAAAAAAAAAAAAAAGGCCGTAAGATAACCAAAGCACAAAACCAGCCCTGAACACTTAAAGCAGAACTAAAGGAGTCAAGTCGTCAGTTGCTTTTCTTTTTGTTAGCTGAGCCTGGGTGTTGTTTACACAGTTTCAGGAGACTTGCTGTTCTTGTGTTTTCCTGCGATTTCACAAAGTGAATGGGTATCAAAGCTGTTTGGTTGATGGTCCTAACACAGTGGAAACCGACATTGGTTTTCTGAATTGATCACCATATGCTTATCTGTCTGTTTACCTTGCCTGTCCTAAAATGCTTCCGGACAACTGACTTGAAAGAGGACTTGGCCAGACCACACAGTGGGCAGATGTTTCATTTGCAAAAAGATCTCAGTGCAATGAGCCAGGAAATCCTCTGAAAGCATTTCTGCCTTTTAGCAGTGTGGGAAGGCACTTATTTTTTAAAACTTATAAATAAATATCAGCAAATGGCCCTTTTTCTAAATGATATATGGTTTATACAAAGAAATGGATGCTGAATGAATTCAAATTTTTTATAGAGCAAACTATAGTAGTGCAATCCTTTAAACATTGCGTTGATTTCTCATTTGCCCCCAGTGTAGCTGACTTAGTTTCCTTATGTACAATATGAGTGTATTGCACGGTATTTGTAGTCTTTTCTGGCTTGAAATTATTTACCTTTACGATTATGGGTAGTTTCGGACCCACCTTTTTTCTATTATTTTGCGTAACACTCACTCCAACCCTATGAGCTAGGTATTATTATTTCTCCCATTTACAGAGGCATCCACTGAGGTACACTGATGTGAAGTCACTTACTTGCCCAAGGGTACACGGTTAAGTGCTGAAGGCAAGGGGTGAACTCCAGTGGGAGATGTCAGATCCTGCTGGTTTATGCATTCTGCTGCTTCCCAGATCCTCTTTACCTCTAACAATCTATGATTCAAACCTGCAAATCTTTGAGGCAATAAATTGCCAGTTTTCTTTAAATTACTTTAACTTTTGTTTTGCCTGAGGGGTTTTTAACCAAAAACAAAATTCACAATTTATTCCCTGGTCTCCTCCATTCACTTCTGTCTACATAGGCGGTGGCAGTGGCACAAATCCTTAGGATCTCAGGACCACCCACTACACCTGGTTTCTTCTTATATCTCTGAAGAGCAGAGAACTGAACCAGGAACTAATAGGCATTACTGCATTACTTGTAAAGATTTCAAGGAAGTATTTTTAGCTTGGAGGAAAGGTGAGTCAAGAAGTAAAATTTCCTGATAAATATACCTCATAGCAGAGGTTTTCAAACTTGGGAAGGTGTTAGACTCGCATGAGGAGTTGTTAAGCCCATGTTCACAGTCCCTCTCATGGAGACTGATTCAATGTGGGGCTCAGCCACATGAATTTTTATTATGCTTTGAAGGTGATTCTCATGCAACTAGATAAGGTTAAAGAAAAGCTGTCCCAGAGACTCTCTGGAAGGTAACAGCAGAAGAGACAGTTGTTCTGAAAACATTTCCATGGTGTTGTCAAAGTCCTCCCAAAAATTCTTACATTCCTAAGTTTAAATTCAAGGCTGATGTACCCATATTCCTTCTTACCTTCTTTCTCTACTTGGCTATCTCCTAGTTATCTTATATTTAACAGCCAAATATAGAACGTTTTATTTTTTCCCCTGAATGTTTTCCTCCTTCACATGTTCCCCATTCCAATAAATAGCATTGCCAACCACTTGGTTATTAAAATAGTAAATCAGGGCGTCATTCTTGTCTACTCTCTTCCTGCTCATACTTTCGCTTTCCTACTTTCCATCCCTTCCTCTAACTTCTAATCTATTAGCAAAACCCTTTTGTTCTACCTCCAAAATATCTTTTTTTCTTTTATTTTGTTTTTTTCTTTCTTTTCTCCATTGCCGCTACCATCATCTTAGTTCAAGCCAACACCAAATCTCACCTGAATTTCTGAAGTAGTCTTCTCGCTGCTTCTGATTTGACCTCGCCAATTGATCTTCCACAGAGCAGCCAGTGATTTTTAAAATGTATTCATCACGTCTCACTTGAAACACTCTAATGGCCTTTTATTGCAAATGGAATAAAATTCACACTTCTTATCATGCTCTGCAAGTTCACACCTGGCTACATCCTGCCTAGCTCCAGACACATCAGCTTTCTGGGAGTGTGTAGGTTGAGCTTTCCCCCTGCCCGGGGCTGTTGTGCTCACAGTCATCTGCCTACAAGGTTTTCCTTTTGAATCACTCCTTCTGTTCCTCTAGATCACAGTTAAATTGTTACCACATGAGAGAGGCAGCCCCTGACTTCTCTAGACACCCCCTACCTCATTTGTCTCATCCACAAAGCTATTTGTATTTCCCTCATAGCGTGTATCACTATTAAAATGATTTATTTGTTAATTTCCTGCTTCTCCTAATAGAATGTAAGCTCCCTGGAGTTAGCAACTTCATCTGCCTTGGTCTGCTTTGTACCTCAATGCCTAGCTACACACCTTGGCACTTAACAAAGACCTCATAAATATCTGTTGCATTTAAATCAGATATTAGTAAGTTGTTTGAACATTTCCTTCTTTGCAAAATGGAATTATTATGGATATAGGTATCATTCTTCTGGAAGGTATAATTGATCTGGAAAAAGAAAAGGGTCAATTTGTGTGTGGGGTGTTGCCTTTGTTCCTGAAAGTTCCACATAGAAGAATCTTTTAAACTCACATTGACACCATCCATGCTGATTTTGTCTGATCAGAGAGTATTTCCTAACTCACGGCTTTCTCTTCTCAGACAAAAGACAGCTGTTTTCCTGATTCATGGCCCAACCCACTGTGCTCATGGCGGCCCTCCCAGCATGGCTATGGAGGGTCCATTGAACATAATGAAAGGCGCTCAGCTCCAAACAATTACAAAAACAAATGATGATGAACTGCTTCATGCCCTCCTCTGCTGTGTAACTCCTCATCTGCTGTTAGCTTGAAAAGCATCCTGTGGTAGAAATGTGATTGCACTTTCAACAGTCAGACAAAGAAAACACAAGTGGCTTCCTCCAAAGGCTACAAAGAGGGTAATTCTCTTTGTTTAAGTGTTAGACACAAATTAAGTTCAAATTCTCTCAAACAATAAAATGCTACTTTTTTTTCTAGAGCTCATATTTTAAGATTTGCTTAAATATGACTCTCTTTGAAGGTTTATATTTAACCACTTTGCATTTTGAGAGAGAGCTAACTAAGCATGCTCTGCCTCTAAGCCAAAGAGGTTGAGTCAAAAAATAGCAATTAAGAATAGTCTTTGTGTTCGGAATTACTTTTTGGTTGTTGTTATCTTGACCCAATGCATTTTTTTCTTCATCTGCTAGAACATCTTGATTTTGCTTTGGCAAATAATTCTTCCAAAACTCTTAGTCCAAGTGATTTAGCTGGGATAAATCCACCCTGGGTACAAGAATGGAAACAATTCATAAGCTGCATCTATCAGATTGTCTCTCTCTGGAATTTTCATCTTGCTTGGAGTAACTCAAAGGCTGAAACAGTAATATGTGATGGTGAGTCCAAAAGAGATTGTCCATTTGTTTTTGTTACTAAAGCTCCCAGAGGCCCCAGTTTCATGTGCTTTCAGAGACCTACTTCTTAAGCCTCTCTTTCAATTGTATGAGCTATTCTATGTTCTTAAAATTCTTTTAATTATCTGTTGATACATAACATAACACTTCTGAGTTTAGTGGCAATGATTTTATTAAACTTATGGTTCTATAAGTCAGAAATTGGGACACAGCACAGAGGGGATGGCAGGTCTTACTGGATGGCTTGATGAGTTTAAGTTCTGGCTATTAGCTGGATTCCTCACTTCCTCTCCACATCACATCTATTGGGTCTAGAATATATAAGATGGTTTCTTAATTCACATAACTGGCATCTTGGCAGGGTTGGCTGGAATAGCTGGGGCTGTCTGGCCATCTCTTTTTCTCCATATGCCCCCTCACATGATGAGTTTGCCTTCCCCACAGCACATCAATTCACAGAATAGTCCAACTTCTTACATAATGGTTGACTTTCATTCAAGCAGGTGTACCAAAAGTCCAAGGTGCAAAATCTCTTCTAAGTATGCCTCAGCAGTCAAATAGCCTTTATTTTGTTGAACTGCATTAGTTACAAGTGAGTCACAGAATGAGTCCAGGTTAAAGGGGAGATAACTTCACAAGAACATGAGTAGTTGGCAATGTGGTTCTTTCAGGTGTCTTTGGAGACTATCTAACACATCAGTAAATTCCTTTGGAACTTCAGTTTTGTTTCTTACAACTACATGACTCCAATTTTCCCAATCCATACCATGTTTTGGGGAATCTGTGATAGTGTTTCTCAGATTTTAAATTTCACATAACGAAACTAAAAATATTGCATCCTTACATTGGGTTATCACTTTTGAATTTTGCAAGTAAAAATATTAAAATATATATAATCTATTATCATTTAGTAAACAAAAGGAGATTTAATACTAAAATGTAGGGGAACCTAAACTCATAATGAGGAATAATCTGTTCATTTCTTTCTTTTAGGAAAAATGAACAATAAACAATAATCAGCTCATTTATTTCTTTTAGAAACAATTCTTGTATTGTATTGTATTGTATTGTATTGTATTGTATTGTATTGTATTGTATTGTATTGTATTGTACTGTATTGTATTGTATTTTTTGAGACAGGGTCTTGCTCTGTCACCCAGGCTGGAGTGCAGCGGTGAGATGTTAGCTCTCTGCAACCTTCACCTCGGGGGTTCAAGCAGTTCTTGTGCCTCAGTCACCCAAGTAGCCAGGATTACAGGCATGATTGCCACCAAGCTCAGCTAATTTTTGTATTTTTAATAGAGACGGTGTTTTGTGATGTAATTCATGTATTTTAAATGGAAAAAACAAGCTTTCTGAAAAAACTCATATTTTCTTTCTTACATTGTTTAGAACAGTGGAAACTTTTTCTCTGGTTAGCAATAGTCTGCTGAAGTACTTTGGAAAACTAGAAGTGAAATGCCAAAGTGCATGATCCTTACAGGTTACCACAAGATAAAGATACAGATAAAGTCACAAGGATACAGATAAAGGCACTAGATACAGATAAAGGTACAAGGAGAATGGTGGTGTGGGAAAGCCATAATGGAGAAGGCAGGGAGGCAGAGGAGGCAGGAACTCATTAAGGGTGGGAGAACAAAGAAGATGACAGAAAGGAAAAAGGACAGATATTTGTTGAAATTTGCTAATGCCAGAAGTTTTAGATGTATTTAATTTAATCTTCATCACAGTACTCTGATGTAAGAATACATGCCCCATTTAAAGATAAGGAAATAAGTTCAGAAAGCTTGAGCAAAGTCCTCAAGCTGTTAAGTGGCTGAATTAGGACGTGGATCAGGTTTGGTCTGAGGCCAAGGATTATTCCACAGTAATGAAGAATCCTGGAAGTGAGTTAAGCATCCAGACGTACAATGAATATGTAAGATACGTGAACTGAGCATCTATTGTGGTCTAGGGACAGAGGCTACAATAATGAAAAAAGACAGACATGTTTACCTCCAGGAAATGTGTAGTTTAGCATTGGATGATAGACAATGTAGTAGTAGTTACATGGCATTGTGATGAGTGCCATTGGGGAATGTGGAATCAGAATTCAAGAAGCTTTTAGAGCTAATCAGTGGTCCTCACTCTAATCAGGAGAGTCAAGAAAGGCTTCCCAGAGGAAAAAAGTATATATAGAGGTTAGCTAGGTGAAGAAGGAGTGTCTTTGGTGGGGCTGCAGGAGTCATAGGAAGGGGCTTTTCTGGAAAAATGGAGAAATCTGGAGCTAAGAAGTGGCAAGATAACTTTGAGGAGCTCCATGCAATTCAGTATGGTGAGAGTTAAGTGCCCGAGAGCCTGGACTAGTGGACATGGAGCGTTAGGCAGGTACTAGCTCAAGACAGGCTAGGGAACCATGATTGTTTTCCATTCTGTCTAATGCTGAAAGTGGGAGGTGTGCTGTTGTTTTGCTTTTGCTGCAAGGACTCCTTTTGACAGCCCATAAAGCAATGATGGATGCCAAAAATAATACTTCTCGGCTTTTGTCACCTTGCTATATATTTTCCATACATTCTTAAGGGAAAATTTGAGTCACCAGCCATTAATAAACTTATAAGTATACTTGAGTGGTTCTGAGAAGAGCCGGTTATCTCCATTTCTTTGTCTCAGATTTTTGGTGAAATATTTTAATGTTTGCATGACCTTTAATCAAACATACTGCACTAGATCTCAGTAAATTACTGCCTTCCTGTAAGTACTGTGGGCAGCGGCAAGGGGGGAGGGGAGGAACATAAAAGTACCATTAAAAAAAAGTCATCTTTTCATTTTTTTTTCTCCATGCAGTTTTTATTCCTGCCAGTCAAGAGTTTCTCTCTCTCTCTTTTTTTTTTCTTGTGCCTATGGAAATTAGGCAGGCTTTTATTAGCAATAAAAAACTTCCAAGTTATCTTCTTTCTGGGTCTAATGTATTTCCTACAGCCCTTCTCAGGCTATAAAAGGATTAAGTTCCTTGAAATCTCTAGTTCTTAATCATCACTAGCTCATTAACATCACCCTTCTCTGATGGGCAGTGACACTGACCCAAAAACCAGGGTATATCTTCAAGTAAGTTTCTAAGTGAAGAAAACTAAACACTTTTTTATTAGATGCTGGTCAATCTAACTTTAAGGAATAAGAATTGCGTTCCTCTATTAGCTAGGACTCTTTTGGTTTCAAGTGATAGAAATCAACTCAATCTGGCTTAAGCAAAAAATATAAATAAAGAAATAAGGACATTTATCGGTTTTGACAATGAGGGAATCCAGGAGTGCTCTGGCTTCAGGTCTGATTGGGTCCAGGCCCTCAAATTATAACACTAGAGCTTATATCCCTATCTTCTGGGTCTGCTTTGCTCTGTGTTTGCTTCAATTTTAGAATGTTCTAACCATGTGATGATTGTATTGTGGTCTATGGACACAATATTCTTACTTGCTGGCATAGAGCTTGTGAAGGTAGAATTTGCATCCACTGTCTTAGAAATTATATAGACTAAGAGGTAGTAGGAATATCTTGGAATATCAAGATTTTATTACCAGAATAAAGGGGAATAGACAACAGAGAGGAGGAAATGACAGATTTCCCTATACAATTACTTTTTTAAAGTAGTTTTAGGATTTATGATACATAAAATACAATAAAACCATCCTTTCATTTCACAGACAAGACAAGGCCTCATAATTCAGCCATTGTACTTTTGAGGTCCCAGGATTACAGATGCTGTGATAGATTCATGTGTAGAGTTCTACAGGTTTCATAGGAGAATTTTCTCTAAATAGAGCAAGGTTATTAAATAATGCAGTAATTACTTTGTCTCATTTTTCTTAGCCACATTGCTAATATTTTCATAAGGATGATATAGTTCTGATTTGGGAAGGAGAAAAGTCCAATAAATCCCAACTTTCCAGCCCAATTACATTTCCTTTAGCAGCTTTTCTGTGCCTAAAAGGAATCCATTATCTTTTGCCTCATTAAGCACGTCTACATATAACACAAGAGCATTTTCTGGTAAGTGTACCTAAAACTCCGCAGGATGTCCATCAAGACCCGAGGTTCTGCCTGTAGAGGGATGCATAATGGTTCATTTTAGCTTTACTGGAGTGACAGGCACTTTATTGTCGTCATTACTCATTGAAAGACTGAACACTCAAAATATTGCCATTTCTGCAGCTTAAGCAATACCAAAGGGAAGTTGGATTCTTCTTATTAAAAACAATGTAACGCCTTCATAATAGTCTTTGACTTAAATAGGTGTCTGTATCCTATGGCATAACACAATTGATGTTTTAAGGTCTTCACTTACAGGAAGCAAAGACTGTCTCCCTATACTTCCCTAAATTTACGATGCACAACCATGTTTATTGCAGCACTATTTGCAGCACTCAAAATTAGAAAGCAGTCTAAGTCTCTATCAACAGACAAATGGATAAAGAAAATATGGTACATTTGCACAATAAAGTACTATTTGGTCATAAAAAAAGAATGAGATCTTGGCATTTATAACAACATGAGTAGAACTGGAGGTCATTATGTTAAGTGAAATAAGCCAGGCACAGAAAGACAAATTTTTCATGTTCTCACTTATTTGTGGGAGCTAAAAATTAAAGCAATTGAACTCATAGAAATAGAGAGTAGAACAGTGGTTACCAGAGGCTGGATGGTGTAGTGAGGAGTGAGTGGGAGAAATGGGGATAGATAATGGGTACAAAAATAGAGTTAGACAAAAAATAAAATAAAATCTAGTATTTGATAACATAACAGGTGACTATAGTCAACAATATTTTCTTGTATACTTAAAAATAACTAAGTATAATTGGATTGTTTGTAACACAAAGAAAGAATAAGTGCTTGAGGTGATGAATGTCCCATTTACCCTGATGTGATTATTATGTACTGCATCCCTGTATCAAAATACCTCATGTACCCCATACATATATACACCAGGATCCATAAAAATTTAAAAGCTGAAAAAAATCGGCCAGACATGGTGGCTCCCACCTGTAATCCCAGCACTTTGGGAGGCTGAGGTGGGCAGATCACCTGAGGTCAGGAGTTTGAGACCAGCCTGGCCAACATGGTGAAACACCATCTCTACTAAAAATACAAAAATTAGCCAGGCGTGGTGGCGGACGCCTGTAATCCCAGCTACCCGGGAGGCTGAGGCAGGAGAATCGCTGGAACCCAGGAGGCAGAGGTAGCAGTGAGCCAAGATTGCATCATTACACTCCAGCCTGGATGACAGAGCAAGACTCCATCTCGAAAATAAATAAATAAATAAATAAAACTTAAAAAATTAATTAGTTCTTGTTTATTATATAATTGAGTTAGAGAAAGAGCTGAAGGCTACCGATTCTGCAACCTTCCCCACTGATTCCTTCAAGCAGAAAATTGGTTTCACTAATAAACAACAATATTATGAGAAAAAAAACAACTTTCATACCTAGTATCCTTACAAACCAGGATAAAAACTGCCCTTCATTCCCTCCTTCAGAGCATGGACAGATGGAGGTTGAATTACAGCTTCCTGAGAATATGAGTTCTGAATTTTCCCATCCCAAGGATATTGGTAATAGGTACCAAGAAACTTTAAAAAGTTTAGCCCCGTAATCTTGTAGAAATCTTGCCTAGGGAAATAATCAGACCAGGTGTGTTAGCAAGGATAGTTCTTTATTGCTATGTATGAGTCACAAATTGGAAACAAGAAATGTATACACAAAATATTAATATGATATTCACAGAATGCAATGGCATTCTACTTTTAAATGTCTTAGGGTCAATAATTTTTGTAGTATCTTATTCTGTAAAAAAAGCATTTATCACAGTTAGAGTATCATATTTTGTCACGGTGTGGACTATAGTTGATCTATCATTAAGTCTCTAGTATTTAGGAAAGTGACTAAAACAAAGTTTATTCTTTCTCTTTCCCTCTCTCCCTCCCTCCCATCCATCCTTCCGTCCATCCATCCATCCGTCCTTCCTTCCATAACAATTATAAAATAAAGACTACATGAATACATAAATATTATGTGCATATCAATTGTTAAAAGAAAGAAAAGATCTTAAAATGTTAACAACAGAATTGGGGGGATCACAAGTGATTTTATACTTTAATTCTTTATATTTCTGCAATTTATAGATTTTCAACAATTGTGTATTACCTACATTATAAGCAAATTTTGAAATTAAAAGAAAATTCTATCGGCTACTATTAACTATTCCTCTTTGGAGTTTAGGCAATTGCTGCTATCTTGAGTTTTGTTGATAAGGGGGTCATTTTGGAAACTGAGGTGTTTTAGAATGGTTTCTTGATATTTGGAGGTGAATGTGAAAAGGAGCTGAAGAAGCCTCAGCATCACTCTGATGCCTCCCTGGATGAGATCACATGCTGATGGAGCAGCTTGAAATGGGTCCATGCAGTTCTTATATAGCTCACCTTCTTGAAGGGAATCTGCATTTCATGGAATAATATAACGCCAGAATGTCCTGTTCTAAGGTAAATAAGTATGCAATTTTTCTACTGTCTCCATCTTTGCCTTTGTGTTTTATGTATTCTTAAAACAAAATATAGTATATTCTATTAATATATTAGATTTTGATCAAAATATTGACCTATATTTGTACACAACCTGTTTCAAAATATAAGCGCCATCTCATGCATGTCTTGTCTCTTTTAGTAATGATTATTTACTTTTCTTTTTTAAAAAAATGAATGCTTTGTTTTGTTTTGTTTTGCTTCTCTTAATCTCCATGATAATTGCTATGATAAGAGTGCATAAAAAAGTATTTGAGTTATTCTCATTACAGCCCTTTATCAAATACCGACTGTGCACAGCAAATTAGATATACCATGACTATATTTTGATTTGTGTTTTTCATAGAAACTATCTACACAAATGCATCACTAATTTAAATTCTACAGTAATAGCATGGAAACACGGAAAGAGTAGACTAGGAAGAAAAAAATAAAAAGTTCTATCTTCAGCAAAAAAATCATGGAAGTTACCAGCTGAGGAAAATACTGTATCTGAAACCGAGAATTACTAGTGGGGAATTCCAAATTGTCTGCGTAGCTGAAGAGATGCATCTTCACCAAGAAAAAAAGAATAGAAGATATAGCCCAGGGAACAATATATGTGTGTGTGTGTGTCTGTGTGTGTGTTTGTGTGTGTGTGTGTGTGTGTGTGTGTGGGGCGGCGGAGGGTGGGGGTTTGGTGCTGTGTGATGCAGAAGGCCTTGGAAAAACTGTTAAGTAAGCATGAATTCTTGAACTCCAGGCTTCTAAGAAGTAAGAGTTCTAATGAATATCAAACAGCAAGTCTTGCAAAAGATTGATGAAGCTCAGTCTTTAATCAAAAATATATTGCAATTTGAACTTAAACCATACTTCCTTTTTTTTTTTTTAACTGCTTTTAGACTTGAGCAACACGATTTCTGAAACAAACCTCATTCATCCCACCATGAGGACACTAATGTCTGACCCATTAATTGCCTGTCTGGAGCTTTCTTATTCATCAACGTTTTATACAACTCCTATATTCTCGGAGAACATTCATTTGAGGGCCTCTGTTATCTCATTTTTTTTCTATTATCTATTAACAACATCTATCATTTGATATTTATCTTTCCTCAGTTGTTTGTCAGCTATTTTTGTTGTTGTTCAATGGGCCTTTCTCTCTACTGAATCTGGACCTTGTACAAACTCTTATCATTACATATATTGCAATATGTTTTATTATTTGTCCATGTATCTGTTTTCCTGCTATACTTGATTTGTTAAAAAGGAATGAGTAGGACTGATCCATTACTCTATTCCTAGAATTCAGCAAAAGGCTCTGCCCAAGTGGTTATAGTACGTGGCCTTTTTTGCAAAAATGAGTGTTTCTTTCCATTTTACAATCGGACTATCTGTCTGTGGCCATCTGTCTGTAGAATATATTACATGCATGTTCTACTGGGGTTTGTCTGTTGTCACACTAGAACTCCCTTACAACATCCATGTCAAGTAAAGTTGTCACTTCTGTAGGGCACTGGGATAATATACAGAAAATAAAAGCATACATCGCTATAAGAATTTTAGGAAACATTTAAAAATTACAACATTTTATTTATTTTATTTTTCATTTTACTTTATTTGAGACAGAATCTCACTCTGTTGCCCAGGCTGGAGTACGGTGGCACAATCTCAATTCACTGCAATCTCCCACCTTCTGGGCTCAGGTGATTCTCCTGCCTCAGCATCTCAAATAGCTGGGATTACAGGCATGCACCACCATGCCCAGCATTTTTTTTTTTTTTTGTATTTTTAGTAGAGACGGGGTTTCACCATGTTGGCCAGACAGATCTCAAACTCCTGACCTCGGGCGGTCCACCCACCTCGGCCTTCCAAAGTGCTGGGATTATAGGTGTGAGCCACCACGCCCAGCCACAACTTTTATTTTAGATAGTGGAGGTATGTGTGTAGATTTGTTACATTGGAATATTACATGATGCCACAGTTTGGAATATGGATCCTGACCCTCTGGTAGTTAGCATAGATAGTACCTGGTAGGTAGCCTTTTAACCCACCTCCCTCCCTATACCCTCTAGTAGACCACAGTGTCTATTGTTTTCAGGAAACATTTTTTAACATCATGGCATCCAATGCCATTATAAAAACAAATAATGAATATATTAAGACCAGCATTAAGAGTTAATTTTTACTAAATATTATATTCCCCTATTGTGGTATTTTCACAATTCTCTCTCAGTCCAGCCATTTATTATCATGATCATCAATATCCATATTAAAGCGTGGGTACATTATCAGGAGAGGCAGGATGAGCAAGTCTGCCAATGAGGGTTTTACTTCAATCTAGAAATTTTTCTCTTTAAGTTTTCATTTAAGAATCTTTTCTCATAGGCTCTTGGCAAATTGTTACATAGAGCCCTTCCCAGGAGTATTGCAAAGTTTCTGGATGGTTCTGACTCTCCTGGCCCATTGATATCTAAGCTTTCTCCCATATCAATGTATCAGGAGAATACAAAAAATCACTATGACTCTCAATTACCATAGTAGAAAGGTGATGGCAAAACTTTCTAAGACAAAAATAAAATGTAGATTGTCGATCTGTGATCCTTTTTAAAACAGAGGCTGTTGGGAAACTATTTCAAGCTAACAAAGCTACTAACCAAGGCAGATTTGACTTATGACTCCCCCTCTATCCCTGCAAGCATCATTGTCCACCATCACTTACTGCCATTTTGGAAAAATTGGGGATGAAAAAAAGTAAAAATTCAATATAGCAATTCCGTTTAGTCAACATGACAAATGTGTAATTTGAACTACTTACTTTTCACTAATTGTTTTGGTAAAACGAGTAACTTGGTAACTTCTAAGTCAGGAAAAGCCTTGTATACTGGCATGAAGAGCTAGTTTTTCAACTTTCCTGAGCCTCCCTCAGAGTGCACGGCTAAGTCTCTGATGAGTTGCAGCAGGCCATTTCCCTAAAATAAGCAAGTGCTCAGAAAGCTTTTAACCTGGGATTAACAATAGCAACGAAAAAGATCTGGGTTCAAAGTAACTTAACCACATTGAGTCCCAGTGTCCTCATCCATCAAGTGGAAATGATTTAACTTATACTGCATAACACAAGAGCTGAACTCAGAATCAAATGAGAATATGGGCATGAGAGTGCTCTGGAATTTTAAACAATATGGAAATTCCCATTGCCTCACTGAAATATGTAGTGGGCACCCCAGCATCTATTTTGCCCTTTTCTCATTGTATAGTAGGATGCAGTTTGGAGAGAATTTATCCATCCCAAGCTCCAGAGATGAGGCCTAGTTGACCCAAGTCAATTGGTACTTGACATTTCTATGACCACAGGGATTGACTCAAGGGTCAACATATAATCTAAATTGAATCACCATTAGTTAGATTAACAGGTTTCTCATTTAAGTTGGCCATGTCAGAGACAACAAAGAAAATACTTCTGTTAGATGGTGGAAGTACAATGCTGTCTCTCTCTGTGTTGCTCTGTCTCCCTCTCTCTCTCAGCTTATTCAGTGCACCTTTGACAGTCATCTTATTACTGAAGCTGAACCAGCCTTAGGATCAAACTGATACCATAGGAAACAGAGAGATGAAAAGAATGAAAATAGGGTTTACCCTTTTGAGTCACTTTTCAAACTCTTGTATAAAACTTCTACCTTTGAACACCATGCTTAGTGAACATGCTTAAATATAAGGCAATAAGGTTCCTATTCAGCTACTCAAAAGAAATACACCGGTCAGAAAAGAGAAAATTGGCTTTTGTTAGCAACCTAGAAAGTCTTTCATATTACAGAATATTTTCTTAAATAATTCATTTTGAAAAAATTAATTCTATTGAAGAAGACAGATTGGCCTGAGAATTAATCATTATTCATTTTGAGGTGTACATAAAAGTTACTTGACAGATTTGGTTAAAAAAAAAAAACAAGAAAAAAATTTTACATGTATTCAGTAATTATTCTCGGGAATTGTGATTTTATAATTGCAGGTGTTGGACATCATTGCGAGAAGGACTTTTGCAATCACATTTTGAAGAACAATATAGTAACTTACATTGTATATATCATCTTTTAGATGTATGTATAGATACATATTAAAGCATCATTATCTACCATCACTTACTGTCATTTTGGAAAAATTGAGGCAGAAAAAATTAAAAATTCAATATAGCAATTCTACTTAGTCAACATGATGACAAATGTGTAACCAGAACTATTTGCTTTTCACTAGTTGTTTTGATAAAATCAGCAAGTTATCAGAAAGCTATGATATATATGTGTATATATATATAATATATACTTACATGTTACATATATTATATGTTACATATATATTTAATGTTTTATGTACATATATATATATGCACCCAGGAAACTTACATATATATAACATATATGTAAGTTATGTTATATATATGTTATAATAGGCCTTCGGGGCACTTGCTCATTTTACTTGCTTTTTTTATACTGGAAAAAGTTATATTACAATATAACATATTCTTTTTCATAATACATTATTTAAAATGCACAGGTAATTATCAATTATATGTCAAAAGTAAACTTTTATAGTTTTCACACATAATAGTTTATATATTCACATTCAGGTGGTTATTTCAAAGGCTTCTGGCTGCCATGCATCTTCAGCTGGGTGAAGGTCACATGATGAAATAGCATGGCATAGCATCATAGTTAGAAACTCTATCCCCTCTCTCACCTCAGCATCTACTGTTAGAAACAGTCAGATCTCCAGCTACTACGTGATTTTGGCAAGTTTCTTGACATTTACAAACTTCTATTCTGTAAGCGGAGGTAATTAACATATTTACTTCATAAGTATGAAAATTCAATGAGATAATACAGGTGAAATGATTAGCACAGACTAGAACATATTTGATTTTAAATATTTATTGAACAAACAAATTAACAAATGACTGAAAGAATGAAATGAAAGAGAAGAAGAAACACTATTAAAATGATTAAAAATTATTTCCTCTACACTTTTGGTCTTTGAGAGATAATCATAATGTAAGGCCCATAAATCACTCCTTAGTCCAGTCGTCTAGAAATTCTTTCTTGTCAGGTTCATACTCTCTCAGTTGCATTTTACCTTCTGGCCTGTTAACAGAAGCACCAGAGTCCTACTTCTGTACTTTTTATCTGATGGGCATTCCCTAAGCATGAAATTGTCATAGCATATGTTAACAATATTTTGGAGGGATGTTTTGTTCATAACTGTACAGATCACTAGATCTTTGAATAAAATTCTCTGACCAAAAGTTATTTTAATGGAAATATTATTTTAGCAGATTGGTATTTTGGACAATTTTTTCCCTTTATGTTGTGAATATTTTTAAAAAGAATTTTGAATAGAAAATACACAACTTTTCCAAAAACATTGGTTTCTTCCTGAATTTATTGTTCTACCTTGGTAACAATCATCTGAATTAGAAATACGTTTAGAGTTCAAAATAAACAAAATGCTCTGTGGTACCAAAACGCCTAAGATATAAGCAACTTATCTTTATGTTCATTTTTTGGTAATGTCTATTAAATTGCTAAAATCACACAATTTTGTAAATAAGCTATTTAAAGGAACAGATAATAAAATGGTAGTTAACATTTACAGAGTGTTTTATGATATATATGTTAGAGACTGTAAAAAACACTTTATGTGTATAACTTCAGTTAAACATTAGGACAACTCCATTAGGTAGCATTTTTATTATTCTCATTATATGAGTATAAAAACTGAAATTTAGAGAGGCATAAGTAATAGATCTAACATCACATAGTGGAACTAGGAGTTAAAAGCAGACTATATGATCCCAACAGCCACATTTGTAGCCACTACATCACACAGGTTTCACTACATTTAGTAGAATGTAGTGTAATAATAGTTTAGTAATAATAGTTTAATAATAATAGTGTAATAATAGTTTATGTCAAAATATAGAACATTGGCCTGGGAAAATATTCTAAAGACCTCTACATCTAGTTCTCTGTATTTTTCAGTCTTTGTTCAAAATGTCTTTCTTCTTTTTTGTTTTTTGTTTCCCCTTCCTTCCATTAACATAATATCTACTATGTGCCAGACACAGTGCCAAGGGCCATATCATAGAGATGAATAAGACCTACTTCTGATGAATGCCCCTACCCTCTGATGAATACACACTGATTGGAGGAGGAGAAATAAGTAAAACTACTACATAAACTGGGTAAAATGCTATGCTAGAGGAAAGCACAGCTATTATCTCCAGAGCTGTGGTTATCCAAGTATTGTCCTGAACTAGCAGCCTTATCTTCACCTGGGAACTTGTTCAGAATTCAAAGCACTGAGCCCCATCCTAGACCTACTGAATCAGAAACTCTAGGGGTGAGACCCTACCATCTGTGTTCACAATTCCTCCAGGAGATTCTAATACACTAAAGTTTACGAGCCACTTGTCAGAGTTTTAATGGATGAAGGGAAACTATCTTGAAAAAGACCAGTGTTCCAAGCAAAGGGAGCAATACTGCCAACCCCAGGAGTATGAGGGAGCAAAACACAGCAAGGATTGCAAACTCAGTATGGCCAAAGTTTAAGAAGCTAGTATGCAGGGACTAGAAAGATGCAGCTGGCCAAATGCAATGGAGCAGATCATGAAAATTCTTGAGTCATCTTGACGAGATTAAATTGTATCTTGAAAGAAATGGATCATCACTGAAGGGTTAGAATCAGAGATGGATGGGGCAAGACCGAAAGCAGGAAGATGAAGGAAGAGATTATGGCATAAACATAAGTTGAGACAGAAAGATCCTAATATTAAAAAAAAAAGTGGGGAAAGAAATAAAAGGGCATACTTTAGAGGTATTTTGGTAAAGATATGCTAATTCATGGGAGATGGGGGACTAAAAGAGAGGAAGGGTCAGGGATAAGCTCCAGGCCCTATTTGGAGCATCACCTCATATACCATTCTATATACTTCTTGCCTTTTGTCCCAGGGCTCCCCTGTTGACTCTGAGGTTTGGGAAGCCACCTGACACCCACCCATGTATAACCTGGAAGTTAAGTGGTATTAATGCCACATGGGGCAAATCTATAATCCTTGGCTTTGGATTTCCCCTTTCTCTCCCTGATGAATGGTCCTGAGACCTGCTTTTTGTCTGTTTGTTTTTTGAGACGGAGTCTTACTCTGTCACCAGGCTGGAGTGCAGTGGTGCGATCTCAGGTCACTGCAATCTCTGCCTCCCGGGTTCAAGCAATTCTCCTGCCTCAGCCACCTAAGTAGCTGGGATTATAGGCAGGTGCCACCACGCCCAGCTAATTTTTGTATTTTTAGTAAAGATGGGGTTTCACCACATTGATCAGGCTGATCTCGTATTCCTGACCTCGTGATCTGCACACCTCAGCCACCCAAAGTGCTGGGATTACAGGCATGAGTCACCACACCCAGCCCCTGAGACCCAGTTTATACAACTTCTTGGGTGGCCAACTTGCTATTGCATCCTTATATTGGCTTTCTCTCCTTTTCTGCTTTACCTTTGATCCTTACTCCTGATCCATGGGACTATATTCCCTATCAAATTAGCAGCAGTAATCCTTTGCCTCAGTCTCTGCCTTCTGGGGAACTCAAAATAACTCACCTGTGTTAAACTGAGGAAATTGTGATCATTCTATAATGTGCAAAGTATTGTGCTAGGTGCTAGGGATAAGACAGTAAACCAAACATAGCCACTGCTCTTGTGGGCTTAAAATTGTCATGCATGAGAAACAAAGTGACAATTAAATATAGTATTTTAAGTACTGTGATGGGGAGACGTGAGTGCTATGGAAACACAGAAAGAGAATTTCCTTAGGAAAAAAGTAGGAAGACAAGTTGAATTGGAGGCATCAATAAAGTGTTCAAATGAGGAAGTCTTATAGGTTCATGAGATTTGGGCTAGAAAATTGGTTTGAGTTTCATTAGTTTATAGGCAGTATTTGAAGTTATCAGAATGGGTGAGGGGGAAGAAAATATAGGAGATAGTCCTGGTTAGGGAGGTAGGAGGACATTGTAAGAGTAAGCTGAGTAAGTTTCGGTGAAGTCTAAGTAGCAGTTAGAATAGTTGGTGGCCTCATCGCTCCCTAGCCCCATGAGAGTGTGCCAATGAGCTCATTTCTCCAACCTCCTGGGCCCTTGTTTTCCCATCTGTCAGAGTTTTTGTTTAAATAATTTTCAAGTTTTCTCTCCTCTCTAGTATTTTTTCATTTATTAGCTATTATATTTCAGTCTATTGTTAGAGGGAATGTAGAAGATTGGTCAAACTACGTCTTATTCTCAATTCATACCCTACAAAACACTTTTTAAGTAAGTCTCTGTTTCTACTTGCAAAACAAGAAAAATAGACTTGATTTTAGTTGGGTTCCAGATAAAAGGCATGAAGAGTAAAATATAAGCCTCCCTATTATCATGTTTTCTCTCTATTATACTCGTGGGATAAATGCAGCCAGACATGAGAAGATGGCTAATCAATAGGAGAGGAAAGCAAAAGATTCTAACTTTCTGATCCCCAAATGTCTTGCAGTGCAAATTCTCTTCTCAGTCAGGAAAAGCCTTGTATAAAGGCATGTAGAGATGGTTTTTCAGCTTTCCTGAGCCTCCCTCAGAGTGCATGGCTAAGTCTCTGCTGAGTTACAGCAGGCCATTTCCCTGAATGCAACTTTCTTTACACTGAGCCCCCCACCACGAGTCCCAGAGATTAGAAGTCCGACTGCATCTGCTGCTCCATCCCAGGTTTGTCAGCCAGAAAGTCTTGTCCTGTTACCTGCACTATGGTGGGAGATGAAGGGGCAACAAAATACCAGACCAGGACCACAGACCTCCTAGGAATCCAAAAAGTGAGGCAATATAAAGCAGTAGCTTAGACTGGTGCTTCTCAAACATGTGAATTGCCTGGAGAATTAGTAGAAGTAAAGATTCTGCTTCAGTGTGCCTCTCCTCCAGGGAGCTAATCCATGGTTCACATCTCTTCCTGAACCTGTGGTCAGTGATGACGGTGGTAGCTTGTAATCGGCCACGGTGAGAGCATTCAAACCGTAGAAATCTGCAAACACTACAAAGTACCTCCTCGACACACACATCTCCCAAAAAAGCTGATTGCAGAACACTTGCCAGTGCCCTACTGGACATGAGGCCTGAGAGTCTGCATTGCTAACAAGCTCCCAGGTGTGTGGATGCTGCTTGTTCCCGTACCACACTATGAAGGGTTTAGAGAGGCTCCAGAGTTAAGCAAGTCTAGGAATAAATTCTGATTCTGTCTCTTCAAGTGTAATTTGTATAAACTAAATAAGTTACTACTACCGTATGACATCTTACCATGGTTGGTTGCCTAAACTAGTCTGACATTTTCTACTTTATCTCTCTGAGCTCAGTTTCTTTATCTATAAAATGGGGAAAAGAGATCAGTTCCTACTTCTTAGTATTATTCCAAGCAGTAAATTAAATAATGTACTTAGAGCACAGTGCCTGGGACACAGTAAACATCAATAAATATGAAAACTTATCATTTTTCTTTAAAAGAAAATAATTCTATAACATCATGATGGTAGGGACAGAAGAAAACAAAGTGAAAAGCAAACATTTTGCTAACACAAGTATATAAGTATCATACAGTATCCTTATATAAATGTTAAATTGTTTATCTCCCATTTAATTCATTTTTTTCTAATCTAACTCCACAATATTAAAATTCCAGATGTTTCGAGGTGAAGGTGGAGGTTAGGGGGAGGGAAAAAGAAGAAAACTAATTTTGTACTAAACATGTCATGAAAGATACAAAAGTTGTTTTTTTGGAAAAAAATACTCTCTCTCTGTTCTCTCTTTCATAAAGATAAAAGTGCTTCTCCTTGACATGGAGACAACATTAGGCATTTTATATTTCTGAAGCCCATCACATGCCTTTCATCCCCAAGCTCATGAATAACTTATGTTCTGGGTTGGGAGGAGTTCTCTTGACTTCCTGTGGAGCAAAGTTTGCAGTTGCACAACCAACTTTCCCAGAAATCACCTGTATGTCTGCACTGCACTCAGGTGATGAATATCCCCTTCAGAAGACAACTGAGTGTTTGTTACCTGCTGGTCTCAGTTACCATAACAAGTCTTCCCCCTAACAATGCCGTGAGGACAGAGCTGGAACATGAATCATGACATAAGGGAAAAAAAACTTCTTTTCATTTTTTCATTTAGGATGTGAAAAGACTGGCAACAAACACATTTTATGGTCTTTTAAGTAGGAAGAAAAAGATGATAGATGCAGAAATTTCAAGGAGAGAAATGACTGTATAAAGCCAATTTCGCCTGAAGTAGGTGATAACCAAAAAACTGCATCCATGTGATGTTCATGACGGCAAATAATGCTGACAGACAGATAATTTTTACTTAGCTAGGTATTTTATTGCCATGACAGTAATTTGTAACATTTTTTTGTCTTTCAGCACCAACACACTAAAAGAATGAGACACAGTGCCATTCTGACAAATGGCAAAGGTGCTGACAGCACCAATTTCCAGAAAGGCTTGGGGAAAATATTTCAGGAATGCTAAAAGACAATGCAGAGAGGCTATCCACAGCTCCCACAACTCCCTCCCCAACTCATTCCTAATCAGGAGTTACTTTTGTTAGGAAAAGAGCACATATATCCCAAAATATCACAGTTTATATTCTTTTGCATAAAGTCCTACTTTCTCTTGGCAGAAAGAATAAATGCAAAATGAACAGTTTCTTAAACATGAAGGCCATAAACCCCCCACAAAAAATTGTGCATATATATTTTTCTATACTCAAGATTCAAAACTTTTCAGAAGGTCCACAAGAAGTCTGCGACACCCCTTATGCCCTCTCACCCTCCACCAAAAACCAAAACCAAACCAAACCAAAACAAAAACAAAAATACCTGCTTTCATGGTAATAATATAGAGTTCAGAGTCATAAACACTCTTGAGTTTCAGTGTACTAGTTATCAAAGATGAAAACTTCCATTTATATTATTCTCTTTGAGAGTCTTTTTTTTTCACCTGTGAAAATGGAATAATACAAACTTTACAAAACTGTTGTAATAGTGCAAATAACCTGTAACAAAACATCCAGTAGAGTTTTTGGACTTACAAGACCCTGAGTATATATCAAATCTCTGATAAAAGCAGCTCAGCTATCTTAATTAAAAGAGGAAAGGGATGTGGCATTTTCCCCTCATCAGGACAACTGAGTGCAATATTCAGAAGCAATGTTCTTATTTCTGGTCCCCATAGATCATCCAGCCTTCCCCATCCTTCTCTCATTTTGACTGCCCCAGTACCCCTGTCATATTATCTAGTTGCCTTCTCATTTGACATGTTCGCTGCGTGACACTCTTATGCTCCCCCAAAAGTTAAAATCCAAATAAAAGTGGCCTGAATGTTTGGTCATTCAAATCACTCTGCTGAGTTTAAGTCCCTCTGGCTTCATTTCTTTCCAAACAGTGTTTTTTTTTTTTCTTTCTTTCTTTTTCCCCAAATTGTTACAAGCTTAATTCTACTCCCCACAGAACAACAAAGGATTAGCATTGAACTCAGTTAACTTTGGTTTTGTTTACACAAATGGGAAAATTTGGAAATGGAGAAGGGCACTGGGGAACTTACGGTGTAGGGAAGGCATCATGCTGGAAAGCTTAGAGTTTGAAGTAGCTTTAAAGCCCAGCTAGCCAGTGGCCCCATAAATTACGCCTTCCAACCCACTGAGCAAATTGAAAAACCAAAACAGATCAGGTAAGAATGTGAAATGTGGCCAGGGAGAGAAATCTAGCTACGGTAGCAAATGGAAGTGCTGCCCAGGAATTGTCATGGTACAGTGGTGTTAATTTCAGAAAAGCAATACAATTAAGTTGCCAGGCTAAATAATAGCCACACGCAGATGAGTACAGATTACCAAGCGTAGGAGAGAAGACAAAATCCAAGCAGGAACTGGCTGTTAAATGGCGTGTTTCCAGACCATGTAGACAGAGAAAACTTTAAGATTTTACAGTCCAAATGTCCAGATACAGAGTCTTAGACCATCCCGTAAGGAGTGTACTCGCTGTCAGAAACCTTTTAACTGTGAGATGTCTCTGATGCCCCTCGCTCCATAGGGAAACATAAGGCACTAATGATTTTCACGATGTTCTTCCACTAGTTAGTTCTCTTTAGCATATATCGAATCAGTTTATGGTGGTGATTACGCTCTTGTCTCTTCCTAAATCATATTTTGAATCCATATTTTTACTGTATCTCAATGAGAGATGTTTTTAAAAGATGTATTAATTGGCCGGGCGTGGTGGCTCATGCCTGTAATCCCAGCACTTTGGGAGGCCGAGACGGGCGGATCACGAGGTCAGGAGATAGAGACCATCCTGGCTAACGCAGTGAAACGCCCTCTCTACTAAAAATACAAAAAGAACAAAAAAAAAAAATTAGCCGGGAGCGGTGGCAGGCGCCTGTAGTCCCAGCTACTCGGGAGGCTGAGGCTGGAGAATGGCATGAACCCGGGAGGCGGAGCTTGCAGTGAGCTGAGATCCCGCCACTGCAGTCCGGCCTGGGTGAAAGAGCGAGACTCCGTCTCAGAAAAAGAAAACAAAAAGATGTATTAATTATGCAAAGGTAGATGAAGAGCTTCCACATGAGTTTTTCTTTTTTCTAGACTTCTCTGTAGCCTTACAATAAACAGAAGTTGTTTTTATAATTAGCGAAATAAACTTGAAAATTAGCTTATACATGTAAGTGTATATTTAATTATACTTAGGTTTCAAAATGTCAACAAAACATTTAGTATACAAAATATTAATAGTAGCTATTTCTGGGTGGCAAGGCAACTGCCAACTGGTGGTTTCTTCTTCCTTTATGTGTTTTCCAAAAATTTCACTTTTATAATGGTTAAAAAAAGGCAACTTTTATGTTGTTAACTGTTATTGGGAGAGCCCTTATTAAGGCATTGCAACTCACTGTGTTTAATTGCCTAAACTTGTCTGGCAATTTCCACTGACTTTCAAGTCATGTAATTTTAGAAAAGAACATCTTTCAAAGTGTAGTCCTTGGAGGCCACGCACACAGTGGCTCACACCTGTAATCCCAGCACTTTGGGATGCCAAAGCAGGAGGATCGCTTGAGGTCAGGAGTTTGAGACTAGCCTGGCCAACATGACGAAATCCCAATTCAACCAAAAAATATAAAAATTAGCCTGGCATGCTGGTGCGTGCCTGTAGTCCCAGTTACTTGGGAAGCTGAGGCAGGAAAATCGCTTGAGCCCAGAAGGCTGAGGCTGCAGTGAGCTGAGATTGCACCACTGCATTCCAGCCTGGGGGACAGAGCAAGACTTCATCTCCAAAAAAAAAAAAGTGTATATCTTGGAATACAAGTTCTTGGGATGTTAATAATTGTTACAGAAAGAAGATGTTTCAGTGGTCAAGTAAGTTAGGAAACAGAGTTACCAAAGTTAAACACATGAGGATTTTTAAGAATCTCTACTAATGTGCACTATGCATTACATGCAGACAATAGGATATGCTTTATATCTGAACCTTACTAGATTATGAAACTCATTTTTGCTCTAAACATTTAAAGAAATACACCTTGGAGAAGATTGATATTCAAGCTTAAGCAAACATATCAAAATCTGAAGATATATATATATAAACAGTCATATATATCTGAATTTATATATAAACATATATAACATATATTCATAGAATACATTGTTTTAACTGTAGTCACTATGTTATACAATAGATCTGTTGAAATTATTCCTTGTATTTGACAGAAATCTTTTAACAAATGAACTAATCAATTTTAAATTTATACATCTATATGTTATACATATGAAAAAAATTAATTTTAAAAGATACACTAAGTGAATTTTTAATTATTCATATATTCATATTCATATATATGTTATATATTTACATGTAAATTTGTATGAAGGTGAGTAAGAAAACATGACCTCAAGAAGATCACAGTTTAATGGTGAAGACTGCTAGCTAAACAGACAAGTACAATGCTTGGATAGAAAGCAATAATGGAGCTATGTTCAAAGTTCTCTGGGAGCACTATCATGTAGGAGAGAAACCAAGAGTTTTATAAATTGGATGTTATTAAACTACACTAAGAAACAGGGCACTTTAAAGAATTGAAAATTTACCTAGTGAATCTTTTAGAATTTATTTTAATGGATATAACATATATATTCATGTTATATGTTATATATTTATATATAACATATATATTCATGTTATGTTATATATTTCTATATACATATCTTCATGTTATATGTTATATATTTCTATATACATATCTTCATGTTATATGTTATATATTTCTATATACATATCTTCATGTTATATGTTATATATTTCTATATACATATCTTCATGTTATATGTTATATATTTCTATATACATATCTTCATGTTATATGTTATATATTTCTATATACATATCTTCATGTTATATGTTATATATTTCTATATACATATCTTCATGTTATATGTTATATATTTCTATATACATATCTTCATGTTATATGTTATATATTTCTATATACATATCTTCATGTTATATGTTATATATTTCTATATACATATCTTCATGTTATATGTTATATATTTCTATATACATATCTTCATGTTATATGTTATATATTTCTATATACATATCTTCATGTTATATGTTATATATTTCTATATACATATCTTCATGTTATATGTTATATATTTCTATATACATATCTTCATGTTATATGTTATATATTTCTATATACATATCTTCATGTTATATGTTATATATTTCTATATACATATCTTCATGTTATATGTTATATATTTCTATATACATATCTTCATGTTATATGTTATATATTTCTATATACATATCTTCATGTTATATGTTATATATTTCTATATACATATCTTCATGTTATATGTTATATATTTCTATATACATATCTTCATGTTATATGTTATATATTTCTATATACATATCTTCATGTTATATGTTATATATTTCTATATACATATCTTCATGTTATATGTTATATATTTCTATATACATATCTTCATGTTATATGTTATATATTTCTATATACATATCTTCATGTTATATGTTATATATTTATATATACATATCTTCATGTTATATGTTATATATTTATATATACATATCTTCATGTTATATGTTATATATTTATATATACATATCTTCATGTTATATGTTATATATTTATATATAAATTTAAAATTCATTAGCCATTCATTAAAAGATTTCAGTTAAATGCAGGGAATAAGGCCGGGCGCAATGGCTCAGGCCTGTAATCCCAGCACTTTGGGAGGCTGAGGCAAGAGAATTGCCCAGCTCCAAAAAAAAAAAAAAAAAAAAAAAACAAGGAATAAGTTTAACAGATCTATTGTATAACATGGTGACTATAGTAAATAACAATGTATTATAGTCTTGAAAATCACTTCCAGAGTAGATATTAAGCGTTCTCACCACACACACACACAAATTATTAGTATCTGAGGTATTCTTACATTAATTAACTCAATGTAGCCATTCCACGATGTATACATATTTCAAAACATCATGAGGTACACTAGAAACATATAAACTTTTATCAATTAAAATAAATAAAAATTAGGCCAGGCACGGTGGCTCATACCTGCAATCCCAGCATTTTGTGAGGCCAAAGTGGGCAGATCACCTGAGGTCAGGATTTTGAGACCAGCCCGGCCAACATGGTAAAACCCCGTCTCTACTAAAAATACAAAAAATTAGCTGGGCATGGTGGGGGGCATCTGTAATCTCAGCTACTCAGGAGGCTGAGGCAGGAGCATCACTTGAACCCGGTAGGCGGAGGTTGCAGTGAGCTGAGATCGCACCATTGCACTCCAGCCTGGGTGACAAGAGCCAAATTCCATCTCAAAATAAATAAATAAATAATAAATAAAATAAATGCCAATTAATTTTAAAAGATTCATAGAGTGAATTTTGAAATCTTTAAAGTGCTCTTTCTTAGTGCAGTTTAACAGTACTCAGTTTATAAAACTCCTGGTTTCTCTCCTACATGGTAGTGCTCCCAGAGGACGTAGAACATAGCTCCATTATTGCTTTCACATTGATGCATTGCACTTATCTGTTTAACTGGTAGTCTTCACCATTAATCTGTGATCTTCTTGAGGTCAGGGATGTTTTCTTACTCATCTTCATATTACTAACACGTTAGAGGTGCTCAATATTTATTGAATAGATTAGCCATTGCCTAACTTGAGGTAAATGAGATTGTGTAGGAATAAGAAAGGAAGGCTAGCGTACAGCCAGCATGCTTTGGAAAGAATAATTTTTTTAAAAAGTAAGAGAAATAACAGAGACCTTAGGGCTTACAAAGAAGAACTCATGGTTGAATCAAATTAGCCCCATAAAAGTCCTAGAGGAAAATGAAACTGACAGGGCAGGTCCTCCAAATTAGGTGTAAAACTTCTCTTGAACCAAGCTTGTGATAAAATATAATGAAAATATTTGAAGCAGACAGACAGTTGTGTGTTCAAAAGATGTATATTTTACGATGTGGTAAAAAAGTCCATTAAACTGAGAAGAGTTGAAGGCACAGGAGTCAAAGGAACTTAAGTTTAAAGATTGAAATGAAAAATGTGGCCCTGGGGGACATGAATGCTATTGAGGGCAGCATGAGGATTGTTTTCTGAATCCCTAATCGCTTTTTTTTTTTTTTTTGGCTTATGCTTTGCAAATTCTTAGGGGAAAAAATGCATTGGAAATTTGTTGTGATGCAACTGAAATACATGATTTCAAATGGATGTGCTACCATGACTAATTTCAATGGCTCTGTTTTGGGTATGAAAACAATACAGATGTAAGTTGGAAGTGGAGCCGGGGCTCAATGAACCTTCTAGCTGTTTTTAAATCTCCTCTATTTTGTCATTGCATGGCCTTTACACTTGACTGAATGAACATCTCTTCAAGCTACTCTCATTATGCCCTTAGACAACATTCTGCCTATGGCATGGCTGAAGTGAACCTTAAACTGACTCTGATAAACAGAACACATTATCCCAAGTGAACAAATGCTTTCTCCATGCTCTGTGTCTCACTTTGCACTGTGCTTTAAATGTCTTAGTATCCCAAATATCACAGGATGGAAATACAAACATCACCCTCATTTGACAAATACAATACCTCATAGTCTGTGTAATTTGTTGCAGACTAAAAAACCTCAGAGAACCAGACACCGAAATTGTCAAATATTCATGTGATAAAAATTACAAAAGCTATTATTTATCAAAAACTTTATTTGCATGATTTCTAAATCCTTTCCAAAGGCCCCATCTCTTAATATTATCACACTGGGGGATAGAGTTTCAATATGTGAATTTGGGGGGACACAAACATTTAGGTCATAAGAAAAGCTTAACTTCCATAAGTGACAATGAACAATTACACATGGCCTCATCATATGGACCAATCTCCACCCTAATGTCTTCATTGTTTTTCCACTAACTCACCCCAGTGCTTAAAACACCTCCTGCCTTTTGTTTCAGTGGAGTTGAGTTCAGTCTCTCTTCTATTGCAATAGTCTTGATTAAAGTCTTCCTTGCCTGTTTACTTTTAGTGCAATTTTTCTTCGACAGATAGTAATAAAATTCAGGTTTCAAAAAAAGGAGTATTTTAATATTTCATCACAACCTTATACTTTTAGCTCACTGCATCTGAAGACTGACAAGCAATTATTAGAAGATGATGTCTCACAAAAATATTGCATTTTCTTGTTTCTTTTTACGCTTTTCCTCTCTTGAAATAAACTTGATCTTGGCATCCAGGCTTCTTCATAGACCTGGCGCCTCTCTCTGTTCCCAGCCTCTTTTCTGGCCACCCAGGAAATACACGCTATAAACGTGCCATGATCTTTCTTACCTTTGAGCTTCATATATGCTGCTCCTTTAGTTTAAAATGCCCTTTGCCCTGCCCTCTTCAACCCTACCAATTTTCCATTTTACTCTAAGTTCTTTTTCAGTTTGCAAGACATCTCTATCTCTGGGAAGTACCACTTGTCCACCACTGCCCAGAATGCTGCTACATGTGCCTCTTGGTGCTTTCAGAGAACCCTGGGTTTTGTTTTTTGTTTTGTTTTGTTTTGTTTTTTCATGTAGTCAACAGCTAATGCCTTAGAGACAGGAACTGTATCTTATGCCCCTTTGTCTCTCCAGCACAGTGTCTGGAACAAAATAGACACAAAATCATGTTGGTTGAAGGAATGTTAAAATGGGAAGTAGATTTTTTTTTTAACTTTCCTTAAATGTGCCTCAAGCAAAATGAACTGTTTCATTTATTTCTAGTAGCTCTTCTGGGTAAATATATATACATATTTTCCTAGCAAATAGTAGGAAGTGATTTGGTGAAATGGCTAAGTGTGCAGGCTTCAGAATTGAGAAAATTTAGTATTAAACCCTGTGTTTGAATTCTAGCTGTACACTTGAAATTAGTGTGATGCTGACAAGCTACTTAATCATCATTCTCTTTCATTTTTTCAGTAGAATAGGGATTGACTCCTGCCACATCTCTGTCTTCAAATAAGCTACTTTCTCTGTGTGTTTGTGTCACTTTTTCTAAGGACACCAGTGATATGGTTCAGATCCATGTCCCCACTCAAGTCTCATGTTGAATTGTAATCCCTGATGTTGGAGGTAGAGCCTGATGGGAAGTGATTGGATCACGGAGGCGGAGTTCTTATGAATGCTGCAGCACCATCCCCTTGGTGCTGTTCTGAGGATAGTGAGTGAGTGAGTTATCAGGAGATCTGGTCATTTTAAAAGTGTGTAGAACCTCCATCCTGTCTTGCTCCTGCTCCACCATGTAAGATGCCTGGCTCTTTGTTCACCTTCTGCCATGATTTCAAGCTTTCGGAGGCCTCCCCAGAAGCTGAGCAGTTGTCTCCATGCTTCCTGTACAGGCTGCGGAACCATGAGCTGATTAAAGCTCTTTTCTTTATAAATTACTCAGTCTCAGGTATTTCTATTATTTTTCATTTTTTATTATGCTTTAAGTTCTGGGATACATGTGCAGAACGTGCAGGTTTGTTACATAGGTATACATGTGCCATGGTGGATTGCTGCACCCATCAACCCGTCATCTACATTAGGTATTTCTCCTAATGCTATCCCTCCCCCTGCCTACCCCCTCCAACAGGCCCCGGTGTGCAATGTTCCCCTCCCTGTGCCCATATGTTCTCATTATTCAACTCCCACTTATGAGTGAGAACATGCGGTGTTGGTTTCCTGTTCCTGTGTTAGTTTGCTGAGAATTATGGTTTCCAACTTCATCTGTGTCCCTGCAAAGGACGTGAACTCATTCTTTTTTATGGCTGCATAGTATTCCATGGTGTATATGTGCCACGCTTTCTTTATCCAGTCTATCATTGATGGGCATTTGGGCTGGTTCCAAGTCTTTGCTATTGTGAATAGTACTGAAATAAACATACGTGTACATGTGCCTTTATGGTAGAATGATTTATAATCCTTTTGGTATATACCCAGTAATGGGATTCCTGGGTCAAATGGTATTTCTGGTTCTAGATCGTTGAGGCATAATTGTTGCACTGTCTTACACAATGGTTGAACTAATTTACACTCCCACCAGCAGTGTTAAAGTATTCCTATTTCTCCACATCCTCTCCAGTATCTGTTGTTTCCTGACTTTGTAATGATTGCCATTCTAACTGGTGTGGGATGGTATCTCATAGTGGTTTTGAGTTGCGTTTCCCTAATGACAAGTGATGATGAGCTTTTTCTCATATGTTTGTTGACCACAAAAATGTCTTCTTTTGTGAAGTGTCTGTTCATATCCTTCACCTACTTTTTGATGGGGTTTTTTTTTCTTGTAAATCTGTTTAACTTCCTTGTAGATTCTGGATATTAGCCCTTTGTCAGATGGATAGATTGCAAAAATTTTCTCCCATTCTGTAGGTTGCCTGTTCACTCTGATGGTAGTTTCTTTTGCTGTGCAGAAGCTCTTTAATTAGATCTCATTTGTCAACTTTGGCTTTTGTTGCAATTGCTTTTGGTGTTTTTTAGTTACAAAGTCTTTGCCCACGCCTATGTCCTGAATGGTATTGCCTAGGTTTTCTTCTAGGGTTTTTATGATTTTAGGTCTTACATTTAAGTCTTTAATCCACCTTGAGTTGATTTTTGTATAAGGTGTAAGGAAGGGGTCCAGTTTCAGTTTTCTGGATATGGCTAGCCAGTTTCCCCAACAAGATTTATTAAATAGGGAATCCTTTCCCCATTGCTTATTTTTGTCAGGGTTGTCAAAGATCAGATGGTCGTAGATGTGTGGTGTGTGTGGTGTTATTTCTGAGGCCTCTGCTCTGTTCCATTGGTCTATGTATCTGTTTTGGTACCAGTATCAGGTATTTCTTCATAGCAATCCAAGAATGGACTAATAAACCAGTCATTGGATTTAAGCTCATTTTTTAACTAATTATATGTTCAAAGACCTGATTTTCAAATAAGTGACATTCTGAGGATTCAGGTGGACATGAAATTTCATAGGGATGTTATTGAACCCACAACCCATCACATTCACAGGTACTAGGGATTAGATTTGGTCATATTTTTTTGAGAGACACAATTTCTGGAGGAAGGCACAATTCAACCCAATACAAAGGCAGAAGGTATTCTAAGTTCTAGGCACAAAGTCTAGTACAGAGTGAGCACTGAATTAGTAGTGACTGCTCTTACTATTAAATATTCTATTGTTATTAATTGATCATTATTTTGGACATTTGGTGGTGAGTGGGGGAGATACGAAAATGGGATCCAGACTCTAACATAGAAAGTAGCTGAACCTATTAAAGTGAATGTGCTCTTTCTAAAGGCACTGTAATGGGCCTCTCCTTTGTGGGACCCCAAACAGTGGCACATACTTTTTCCCAACTTCTGCTTTCTGTTGCCTGTTACAAGATAACCTATGAGTCTTGCCAAGAAAATAATGAAAAATTCCAGACTATTAGGCCTTAGCAGAGCTTAATCAAAGACTCAATGATCTATACTGGCTCTGGAGGCCTCTTCAAAGCTGAAATCCAACATGTAATGACCGTGGCATGAACCATAACCAGAAAAGAGCAGCATCTGTGAATGCAGGATGACGTACCTCTTTTCTCGTTAGTTACCCACTGCTCTGCAGAGGTGCCTGTGACTCAGGGGTGAATTCTAACAACACATCCTGATATGTGTATTAGAGTTTATGTGTCTTAAATGCCCTTTTACCGGATAACTAATATAAAAATTCCTGTTGCTTCTATCAAAAATATAGAGGAGTTCATATTTTTGCCTTCTCATCTTTTGAGCAAATGACCTGGCCCCTTGTATTTTCTAGCCTTCTTGCATTAGGCCAGTTTTTACAGTGGAATGCAAAGCAAAAGCCATTTGAGGTCAATAGGTCTTCCTTATTTGTCAAGGGCCTCAGGACATTTAAAAATATATATGTTTGGTGTTTTAGAGAAGGAAGGATGACAGGAGAATACCACAATCACTGAGAAGTGGCAGGTACTTGGGGATAGGATGTTAATATACGAACCAAGAAAGGCTGGAACCTAGGCATAGCGGTCTGGGTGTTGGCAAGTGTTTCAATTTCCCTAGTGAGGATGGAAACAAGGAACATATGGGTAAATACAACAGACACCTCTCACTATTAACCAGAGTGGACACAGACTAGGTTGTCTGAGGAGTCTCTCTGCTGCTTTGGTGCTGACAAATATCTTGGTACCATGATAGGGAGGGGAGATCCCAAAAATGATAGAGAATTACTTTTCTGCCAGCCAACTGGGATGAGCATACAGATTGAGTTTGAGATTGAGATTGAACTAGATGCACTTTAAATAAAACTGATTATTTTTTAGCTCTCGGTTTATGAACAAAGATTCATCACAGTTACACACTTACTTGTTTTTTGTACTAGCCTTTGGAAGTATGTCTTTGGGTATTATTTTCCTCCTTCAACTAATGTAGAAATGAGATCAGAGATAACTCAACTAAGGCCACACAGTTGATAAGGGGCAAAACAGTGCCTAGAAATTCTGACTCCTAGCTCTTCTTCACTGCACTGTGGCATAAAGCACACCAATAGAAAAAGAAAACATTATATTCTTCAGTCAGGGCCGCATTGGTGGACATGTGGTAGCTATCATTCTGTATGCTACACTCAATCAGTGCTATTAGGCAGACTGAAATATCTGTTATTGCTAGGAAAATGTGAGGATACTTTGCTATTGACAAAGAGTGATGGCTCTAATGCTGTAACACCATTCCCTTTGTGAGGTACTGGAGGCATCTAAGGAATAATTGGTATTATTGTTGCAGCCATCATCCTGTATGTGTTGCTCACCTTCAAGACAAGGACCATGTTGAACCAGCTCATCCCTGCATCCCCAGAATCTAGGACAATGCCCGCTTCATTATAAGTGTTTAGTAAACATTTCCTAAAAAGAATTTAAGGATTACGAGCAAATTATTCCAACAGTTGAGAATAGAGGCCTAAGAAGAGGCTAGAAACTAGAAATATATACAGAAGCAACTTGACTTCACCTGAGAGTGGAAAAATTCTTTTAAAGTAGCCAGTAGATCTGTTTCAAAGAAAGAGTGCCCAGTAATATTAACTGAATTGAGGACTGACATAGGTTCTAGGTCAGCTTTGTGAGTCAAAACACTCTTAGGCCATTAAGACTGGAAAGGTAGTTCTGAGTGACGTGGAAGGGGATACCTGAGAGGTCCTTGAAATATTTCTACTGAATATTTGAAATATATTAATATATAAAATATATTAAATATATTACAAATATAAATTTATAATTTATATAAATATTAAATATATATAACTCTACTGAATATTCTATTGCTCATCTGGAATTTACTTCTTCTATAAACTGTCTCTCCACTTTGCTATAATCTTCATGGCCCCAATTCCTTCACCTCTTAAAACATCATTGAATATTAGAATTTCATTAGACTTCAGATGCAATGGAAAGTGGTACATCCTAGTGCAGAAAAATAAATTAAAACAGAATATTAGACATCTCACATCCTTTTCTTTCCATTATTAAAAATCTTTTTACCACTGAGTAGTTTGCCTGCTTTCTCAACTACGATGTAAATATTCACTGTAGCTGGGTTTGTGTCAATCAGCCGCCTTTCATAAATATCCCAGCTAAGCCACTCAACTCTTAGAATCTTGACTCAGCACTTCACTTCTCCACTCACACTATCCTTTGCTCCTCCATCAGTTCCACTGTGGCTCCCAAATGGGTTCCTGACATCCAACCTTGAAATTCTGCTACCAATTCTACTACCTCAAATGATAGTAACAAAAATAATAATAACGCTGATAATAAGTATTTTTTCCTGAATAATGTCATTAATTCCTCACAACAAATCTGTAATATAGGTATCATTCTACCAGTGAAGATATTGATTATCAAGTGACATAACCGGAGATGACAGGATTGGAATTGGAACCCAGGTCTGACATACTCTTAAGTCCATCTCAGTCCTAAATATATCTATACCAGTAGCCTTGGGCTTACTGAAAAAGTCTGTCCTCTAAAGAACAAACCACCCTGAGAATGGAATAAAACAATCCCCAGAAAAAGGTCAGGATGATGTTCTCTCTACCCGGCAGGCCACAAGTGGCCGTGCTGAAATGAATAGTTGTATCCCCAAAATATGACTGCTTCAGTTCAATCTTGTTAGGGGAAAGTCAGTCCTAAGTTTTCCTACAGGATTTTATATACTTTTATTTGGACTTATTGTCTTATTTGGTTAATTTTATCATTTTGTTTAGTAAATTTTGTTCAGTTGCCCAGAGGCCCTGAAACACACTGTGCCAAAAAATAAACATTATTAAAATGACAGCTATTAATGTAAACATTGCCAAGGAATAATTTGTAAGGGTGAAAGAAAAGCCAAATGTTGACTAGGGTATGGTTGCCAAAGACACAACATCCTTACTACTTCCTTTAAGTCCCTCTTCTCTGTTCTTTAGGAGAGCAAAGTTAGGAGAGTCTTATAAGATAGTTCTGGGAAAGGATATTTCACATCAAGTGCTCACAAATGGCTAGAGGCACAAATACAAATGCATAACTTATTGCAACTGTGGGAGCTTATCATTTCAGGTGTGAAATTATGAATTAATGCATCCCACAGTTATGTCAACAGACATTTTAGCTATATTGTCAGGTGGAGAGTAGAAGGGCTCAATTGCCAACAAACCGTTTTTGAGATGTTCATTTAGGTAGAAACCTGGATCACGACCCAGAACGTAGCTTTGGAAAATGAACATCTCTTTTTACATGTCCTTCCTCATCTTTACTGATAAAGATTTGATTTATTGATATCTTTATTGATAAAGATGAGGAAGGACACATAAAAAACAAAGGGTTTAGACCTTTGATGGTTGTGAAAACAAAACAAAACAAAACAAATATGAAGTAGCTTCACAGAAGCATGAAAGAGGATTGTACAGGAGGCATGTAGGATCTTTCATAGTTCCATTCCTTCCCTAGAAGCAGAACTTGAGGGAGGACAAAAAAAATAAGAGGAACTTCCTATTGGTATCTACACTCGGCCTTGTTTCTTTCTCTTTTTTATGATGATTGAAGGGTGTACGGTTAGAGCGAGGAAGAAGAGAGGACATATGAGAAAGGAAGCAAGAGAATGATTTTGGAAACGTTTAGACATCCTTAAAATCTAGAGGAAAAATTAGAGGCTCAAGAAAGAACATAAGATGTTCTATCATTGCCACTTTAAACACTACCTAGAGAGTCTTCCTCAAATATTAAGAGATGTTTCCCATCTTGGACCTGATCTTGTCACTTCCTAAAAATACTCAGAAGCTGAAGGAAAAATTAACTTTGGCTTAATATCAAAATCCCTGTGGGGTTTAGCAAACCTGTGGATGCCCAAAACCATAGCAAAGGTCTGCCATGAACTTGGCAAGTGACATTGACACCTCGTGTGGACACCGATCACACGAGGATCTTGTTGAAAAGGCAGATTATGCTTCAGTTTGTGGTAGAACCTGAGATTCTGCATTTGTAGCAGGCTCATAGATGATGTTAATGTTGCTGCCCCCTGGACCACAGTTTGGGCGGCAACGATTTAAAGAATCCATTTTAAAGTCAGACTGTCTGAATGTGAAACCTGCGTTAAGAATACCAATATACGTCTCTCTTTGTAATGTTGGCCCTTTGGCTCTGGCTAACAACAATTAAAAGGGGTCATTTGGCCACTGGAAGGAAACAGACATTTTGGTGTTTGCATAGTATCACCCAGGATTTGGATTTCAAGTTATGATGCTCTGTTAGGATAGACATGGCTGACTTTATAATGTTCAAAAACAACTTTGAAAAGATTTTATTGCTTCAAAATTATAATTTCCAATCTCCCCCACCAATTACAGCTTTTTTCCCAGCACATCACCATAACTATCTAAATGTAATTTACAGAATAGGTTTGGGGAGGCAAAGGCAAGCTGTTCTGAAGGTAAGTCTTGCTCCTGGAATTTTCTTCTGTTCTAAAATAACTGATCCTTATTTTTACTTCTATAAGTTCTGGGGTACATGTGCAGGATGTGCAGGTTTGTTACATAGGTAAACATGCACCATAGTGGTTTGCTGCACCTATCAACCAATCACCTAGGTATTAAGCAATTCACGTGGCCAAGAAATATATGAAAAAAAAGCTCAACAACACTGATCGTTAGCGAGATGTAAATCAAAACCACAATGAGATACCATCTAACCCTAGTCAGAATGGCAATTATTAAGAAGTCAAAAAACAACAAATGCTGGCAAGGTTGTGGCAATACAGGAATGCTTTTACACTGTTGGTGGGAATGCAAAATAACTGATCTTTATATGAATAAAGACTGAATTTCCTTATAGACAAAATAAAAATATTTTGATGTGATTTAAAAGCTTAATCATTGTTAATGTAAAGCATTTACTTCACTGTCTAGCATATAACAAGAACTCAATAAATGACTTGTTATAATAATATTCTATGTAGCATTCCTTATCAATTAAAAAAGTAATTTTAATTTTTGTGGGTGTTTAGTAGGCATGGGGTACATGAGATGTTTTAATACAGGCATGCAATACATAATAATCGCATCATGAAGAATGGGGTATCCATCCCCTCAAGTATTTATCCTTTGTGTTACAAACAATCCAGTTATACTCTCATTGTTTTAAAATAGGCAGAAGACAGGTGATAACCATCAGATGGCTTGTGCAAAAGAAATAGGATCAAGCTTAAAGAAGAAAAAAAAAAAACTGGGCTCTTCTAGTTCAGATGGTAAACTGAGTCTACTCTACACCCACCTACCTTCCCAAGGATCTTCCAACTCTCAAGAAGCTGGTCTCATGGTCCAAACTTGGAAGCACTCTCTGGACTTCTCTGATAGAATGACTCAGAAGAGCAGCAGAGGACTTTTTAGTCCAGTCAGCATGTATAATGGCTGAAAATTTACTCCCTGTGCTTGAGAGATGGTTTTAGAAATAACAAAAATGGGCCGGGTGTGGTGGCTCATGCCTGTAATCCCAGCACTTTGGGAGGCCAAGGCAGGCAGATCACTTGAGGTCAGGAGTTCGAGACCAGCCTGGCCAGCATGGTGAAACCCCGTCTCTACTAAAAATACAAAAAATTAGCTGGGCGTGGTGGTGCACACCGGTAGCCCCAGCTACTCAGGAGGCTGAGGCAGGAGAATTGCTTGAACCCAGTAGGCGGAGGTTGCAGTGAGCCAAGATTGTGCCACTGCACTCCAGCCTGCACGACAGAGTGAGACTCCATCGAGAGAGAGAGAGAGAGAGAGAGAGAGAGAGAGAGAGAGACAGAGAGAGAGGGAGGGAGGGAGGGGGAGGGGGAGGGGAGGGGAGGGGTAGAAAACAAACTTATATGAGGAAAAAAAGAAAGAAAAAACCCTGAGTTTATAATACAGCCTGAAGGTACAGGACTTCTTCTTTGCCAATTCAGACTTGAGCTAAAAATCAAACAACCTACAAAACACCCAGTTTTCATGAGTTCAATTAAAGCCATGGATGCCCAAATGTACAGACTATTCTGCTTTGTGCAGTGATTAGATTGCTCTTGTTCACGTGTAATCTGTTTTTACTACTTTTTTCAACATTCAGCCAAATTCTTTACTTGTGTTCAAAAGTCAGGGATTAATTTGATCTCTATGCTGTCCATATTTTCTCCTAGTTTTTTCAGTTAAGCACTTTGACTAATCTTTGCAGAAGAGGAGATTAATGTCAAAGAAATAATGAAACATTTGACTGATATTAGTTGCTTGTCATTCTTCATTAAGTGCCCCTGAGTCACCTTCTTAAAGCCCTGCAAACAGAATAGAATGGGCTATGATGATAGTCCATGTCGCATATTAATAAGAGGAAATGTAAATGGGAAAAGACTTCCATTTTGCCAGAATAAACAGAGCAATATGCACATCTCCATCTCTCAGCTTTCTGTAGTTTCTCCAGGGGCTCAGTCCAATTAGTTATTTCATATTAATCACTGTTTGTGCAGTTGATTCTTCCTGTGGAAACTTTCCACTTTCGGTTGCCTGGTAGACCAAAAGACACATATTTCTTTGGATACTCTACAAGATCCAGGGAAATAAAAATAAGAATACCTTTTGTGTGTATTAAAATTTATTCTTTTCAAAGTTGGTTCACATTTTAGCTCCTTTGACTCTCAAGAAATCTCTTAAGAAATGCTCAAGCCATGTGCACACCTTAGTAACTAGTGTTCCACTTTGTACCTAGTAGGTAATCAAAATAATAAATGAAGCACAGGGATGCAGGATGGAAGAAGACAGAAATATGTAATGGCAACAGTTAGATGAGTTCCCATTTCTCTCGACAACTTGCTTCAATGCTAAGAGATATTCAGACTTCAATAGCTTATAAAAGATTTAATTGAATCACTCTGATCCAGTGAACTACAAGTAAGGGTATATGCTAAAAGGCCACATCAATAATAAATTGAAAATATTTATAGCACTTGTATTTTCAGACAATATTGCCTTCAGAGTTTTTGTAAAGCAATCAAATAACACAAGTTAATTTAGTCACTGGTTTTCTCATTATTTGGAGAACTGTTTTAGGTCAATGTACCTCAACCTATAATTTTAAAAATGCATTAAAAGGATAATGTGTATTGGTTCTTCCTCAGATTTATACATGAACATAATAGAGAAATGATTTTTGCTTTTGAAGTTGATAATTTAGATTCAATCCCCTTTGAAGCATATATGGCTATGACTTCCTCAGACTTTCCTTTCATAGAATTGCTAACCATTCTTTTAGTAATGTTTTCATGTGTATTGTATTTTCAGAAGAGCTATCCTCTTATATTAGAGTTACCAATCACTTTCTCCAGTACCATGTAGCCTTGGTACTATATGTGCCATTAAATATCCCATGTAATATGATACGTGAACCCAATCTCTCTGGACACAGGTGATTAGAACAGAGTGGCCCTTGACTACATTATCTGTCCCATGTTTTTAAAGTAATACCTACAATACCGAGTAAGTTGTTTTGAAAAGATAGGTTCAGGAGCTGAGGCTGCCCCTTTTAAGCAGCCACAGTTGGCCATGAGTAAAGAGATGAGTTGGGAAAGGAGAGGGAAGGGGAGGGTAGAATTAAAAGAAGATGGGGTAAATCCCACTTACTATTCCCTACTTGATTAACACATTAAAAGGAGGATAATCCATTTAATGTGTTGTTTAATTCTATTTGCTAGTATTTTGTTGAGAAAGATTGCATCTATATTCATCGGGAAATTGACCTGTAATTTTCTTTTTTTATAATTTTACTATCTGGTTTTTATATCAGGGTAACTCTGGCCTTGTAAAATGAGTTAGATAGTAATATTTCCTCTTCAACTTTTTGTATTAGGTTGGTGCAAAAGTAATTGCAGTTTTTGTCATTACTTTCAATGGCAAAAACCACAATTAATTTTGCCCCAACCTAATAACAATTTGAGGAGGATTGGTATTTTGGCTCTTCCAATGTTTGGCAAAATTCAGCTGTGAAGCCATCAGATCCTTGGCTTTCCTTTAATGGGAGATTTTTATCACTGACTCAAACTTCTTACTCTTTATTGGTCTGTTCAGATTTTCTGTTTCTTCATGATTCAGTCTTGATAGGTTTTATGCATCTAGGAATTCACCCATTTCTTTTAGGTTGTGTAGATGTCCTTAGAAAGAAACCATATTAATAGAATTACAGAGTTGGGGGTTGAAAAACATTACTGAATCAAATATAATGCCCTGTCTAATTCTGTAAATCCTTTTATGCAAACTAGAATCATTCAATACAACCTGACAGCTTGAAGTCTATTTTTTTAACTACAATATGTTTTAGAATAAAAAGCAAGTCTGAGGTTTTCATTTGAATAATAGAATAGATTATAGACTTTGGAGGCAGAAAGACTGAGCTTGAGCCCTTGTGCCACCACTTACTGTTGTTTTGTTTTGAGGAATTTAACTTAGCCTACCTCAGGCTGGATTTCTTCATCTAAAAACTGGGTTAATGACAGTTCCAGCTTCTTAAAATTGTCATAAGAAATGCATGAGGAAATGAACATGATGGTCTAACAAATAATAAGCGACAAATAGCTTAGCTGTTGCTTTTTCGAAGTGAGAGGAAAATGGTTGGAGATATTTTATGTATGATGTAAACCTACAGAATCTGAAGCATCATGATGTCACCATATATACAGCAATCTGTGGCTCACAAAGCACTTTCATGATGTATTATAACATTTCTGTCTCTTCATTCACTTACTTATGCTTTTCACAAACATCTGTTAGATGCCTGCCATATGCCTGATTCTATGCTATTCACTGAGGGAGGATTCAGTTATGGAAATAATACAGATAGTCTCTGCCCTCCTGGAGCATACAGGCCCTCTGATACAGATTTGGCCAGTTTTCTTTTTTATTTTCTTTATTTTTAAGATGAAGAAAATGAGGGCTAGAGCACTTAAGTGACTTGTCCAAAATCACAACAGTTGGAGAGGGTGATGCCAGCATTGAATTCTCAGTCTGATTCTAGGGATAGAGGAAGAATTGTTCTCTTTAGGTCTGTGGAGGGGTCTCTGCTTTTAGAACTGAGATGCCTTAGACAGAATTAGAATAAGTTATGGTTCTACTGAATATATTTTTACTGATTTAGTTTCATTCGCCTCAGGGCTAAAGCCAAGCTGGAGCTATGATTCATAAGCCTCATTTTCCATATGTTTGACTTGGGATTTTCTCTAAACAGCAGTTGATTAGCCATTCTTGTGATTTTTAGCTCACTGTTGATAACTTGACCCAATTTCAGTTGAATTATATTAGCTTTAAGATCCCTGGAGAAAGGAGCAGAACTCCATTGAGAGACTCCAATTCAGCCAAACATTCTCAGCTTCAACCAAACCAACCATCTCCATGTGCCAAGCCTGGTGTCAATGCTGCCTGCAGACTGCTTTAGATGTGAAGGCCCCCTAGTTCTTCAACAAATAATACCCAATACTTGATTAACATATTAAAAGTTGGATGATCCCTTTAATGTGTTGTTGAAAGGAGTGATGAGTTTCCAAATCTCATACTGCTATAGATCTAATGATAAGGAAGTTCTGGTTTATAGTTTTACCATGCAAATGTAGGTGAACTTTCTAGCATTTATACCATTTTTTCTGGCTGGTCACAGTGGTTCATGCCTGTACTCCCAGCACTTTGGGAGGCCACGGCGGGGGATTACTTGAGGTCAGGAGTTCAAGACCAACCTGATCTATGTAGTGAGACCCCCAATCTCTATAAAAAATTAAACAATTAGCTGGGCATGGTGGTGCATGCCTGTAGTCCTAGCTACCTCTGGAGTCTGAGGCAGGAGGACTGCTTAAGCCCAGGAGGCTGAGGCTGCAGTGAACCATGATTGTGCCACTGCACTCCAACCTGGGTAACAGAGAAAGACTGTGTCCCTAAAAAGATACAAAAAACAAAGACAAAAACAGAATGCTTCTCTGCTTAATGCCCTTCAGCAGATCCCTACTGCAAATGGAGAAAATCTAACTTCCTTAGCATAGATCTAAGATTTTCATGACCTGGACTTCACACTCTTTCAGAGCCTCATTTTTCATTAATCTTCCCCACATTTGCTATGGTTCACAACAACCAAAATTTCTATGATCCTGCATCCTCAGACATGTTCTGGTGTCTCACATTTCTCCATCTAAACTGGTTATGCCTGTAAACATTGTCTTTCTATTATTATTATTATTATTATTATTATTATTATTATTACTTGTACATGCTATGGCTTCTTTCTATGCAATCTTCAATGAAAGAATGAGATCCAAAGCATTTATTTAGGAAGAATATCAATAGATACCAAATGTCATAAGCTCATCTCCTCTCCCACCTCATTTTTATTTAATTGCCATGTACCTGTTTTAATGCAAACAAATATAATGCTATTTATAAGAAAGGCAGGTTATTGTGAAAGGAAATCAATGTGAGGTCAGATTCAGTGGCAAAATGGGAAATTTACCAGGTTGAACTGGTTGGCATATTCTGTTTCAAATTGTGCTGCCTAATGTGACTCCGATAGAATTTTGTAAGACTGATTAGCATCCAGGATATGTAAGTGAAGGCCACAGTAGTAAGAGTTATTAGATATCTAAGCTGTGAACTAAATGAGTGTTGGGTTTTGGGGACACCCAGAAAACTTCCCACCTCTAACCAAAACCTCTAACCAAATTGCGCTTTTTTTGTACAACACATCTGAAGTGGGGAGAAATTTAGATCCTATAGCAAGTGCTTTTGACAATACTTCTAAGAACAATACATTCTCTTAGAATAGTGTAATTGCAGGACAGTCTGCATCAAGGACATCTCTAAATTTAATCTACTGGAACCTATCTTAAGAGTAATTATAACATAAACAAATGAGAGTTTATGACACTGTGCTGCAACGAGTGATCTTAAGGTAAATCTTATAAATACAGATTCCCAATAAGCTACAAATATTCATCAAGCATCCGGAAACATACATATTTTAGTTTTGATTTGCAGTGATCTAGTCTATTAAAGAAAAGATACTTTGCAAATCTGTCAACTACGTCCCCTTAAAACCTCTTTAAAATAATCATATTCAGCATTTAAAACTATTCACATTGAAGTGTGTAAACTGAAAAGCATTTTGATTAATGGGACTATTATGTAGACAACTGCAGTACAGTAAATTTAATAATCTTAGATGCCTTAATAGGATATAATGTTGGCTACCTTGGCATTTTTTTTTCATCCTTCTTAAAAAATGACCATCCTTTTCTGTTCAAAGTCTACAAGACAGGTTTAAATTTTTCAAAGTTAATTCTACATTAGATAATCTTATTTCCTAGCCAATTCAATATTCAAGGTAGAAAGAAATAATACTTCACCAACAAATACTAACTAAGCATCAGTAAAAGGTAGTTATGAGAATTTTAAAGAAAAGGGTAGAACTTAATGAGCTGGCTCTAGAAGCAGATGGCCAGTATTGAAATCCTGCTCTGGAACTTACTAAGGGCAATCTTGGGAAACTTACTTAATTTCACTGAGACTCCATTTCTTCATCTGTAAAACAAGGAGATAATAATGGTGCCTGCCCCATAGAGTTGTTGTAAGGATTTAGTAAGTTAATCCTCAGCATGTAAAAGCTGAGAAGAGTGACTGGCACATAGTAATTGCTTGCTAAATAACAGCTATTATTATTATGGCCCAAAACAAAAGTAGAGTTGTTTTATTGTTTGGAGAAATATAAATAAGTTTTTGGCAGTAAGAAAAATCATATATGAGACATAATATTTTTCAGAACCTGAGACACAGATTACCTGTGTTCAAACACCATTATGTTTTCCTTGTGTTACTACTATGGCGTTATAACTGATATTGCAGTCTTACCTCTCCCTAAGCCACTCTACAGAGGCACTCAAGCAGAGTGATCCTTTCTAACTCAGGTCTGTTTAGGTCTGTTTCTTTAGATTACTCCAGCTTCCTCTCCCCCTCACTATGTCACAGTTATTGTTTTCTAATGGGAACACACTCTGATCCACTCCCATCACCCCTCCTCTTCTACACCTACCCCATACAGTTACACAAATTCATCGAGACAACACATATCCATTCTTTGAGTCCAAACCTCACAATTTATCCAGAAACTCTTCTCTGGTCCCTTTAAGATTTGGCAACAGGAAACTTCATCTGTGCCCTGTGGCACTTTGGGCATCTCTGAATAAAGCTAGATCACTGACATATCTATCATATGATAATATTGAGTTCACTTTCCTAGCTAAACTCTAAACAATGAGGGGCAACAAAATTGAGCATACTGTAAATAATCATGTTTTATTTTCAATTGAAAATTCAATGGAATATTTTTTAAAAAAATATGTACATATTATTACTATTTGTTTAGTATTTATGTTTTAAAATGACCTACCTAATGGTTTTATAATGGAGTATAAAAGAGTAGTGCAATACAGACATAAAATATGGCTCATCAACATACAGCTCAAACCCAATGTTCTCAATTAGTTTTTCACCACATCCCCCTTAATCATTAAGACCTAACCACTCTGAATACTATGTAGTGCTCTGATACTACCATGCCCTTCTATATGTGAAAGCCTCTTAGCATTTACAGAAGATGCTCTTTTCCCCAGAATTCACACTCCACATTTCTCTGCCTGATAAAGAGACCTCCTCATCTACAGAGCAGGTCAAATGTCTTCTGTCTAGCCAGATCTCAGCACAAACCCCGCTTTCTCCTTACTTACCTCTTTCCAGAAGAGTTATTCAGGACTCTATTAATATTAATCCATACTTGTGCTGTCTAATACTGTAGCCACAGGCATATGGAGCTATATAAATTGAAATTAATTAACAGTGAATAAAATTTAAAATTCAATTGCCGGGTCACAATAGCCACATTTCAAGTGTTCAGCAATCACATGTAGCTAGTGGCTACCATATTGGACAGTGCAGAATATTTTCAAGTTCTATCAGAAAGCACTGGTCTATACCTTGTGCCTACCAAACTGTCACATAGTAGGCACTCAGTAATATGTCTATGATTGTTGAATAAACGATTAATGAATAGAATCAATTAGTATCTCTAATATAATTCTTGCAACTGTCAAGAGTTTGGGGAGGAAACAAACTTCAATTTAGCCATTCAAGTGAAGACAGTTTAAATAAAGGATCTATTTCTAGGTTATTGCATGACAAAGGGAATAAACATGAGATGTTCAAGCACCCAGAGAAAAGCAACGATGGAAGTCACTATAACTAAAAGAGTTGAAGGAACAAGGGATGAGGAAGTCCTGTTGCCCAGAACCATGTGGGAGTTGACGCTGCAGAGAAACAGAGAGGACACCAGGAGAGTAATCATGGAGATGCACAGTCACTGCCAGAAAGTAGATGCTGGAACAGGAAGAGAGGAAGGAAGAAAAACTCTGGCCCCTCTAATCTCTTGCCAGTGACTCATTGGCTAAACCCAACTTGAATCCAGATGGTAAGTGGGAAATTCATTAATGTCACCCTCCCAGGGCACAAAGCACGGAAAGGAAGGGTAAAGAATGAGTCTATGGGGTAGATAAGTAAAGAATAACATTCTTATTCATTATACAGCTTCATGCATCTAGTTGCATATCTTTGTCACCCTCTAGACTGGAATCACCTTAACTAAAGGAATGTGTCTGATTTACCCCCAATGCATACCACAGTGAATGACACAGTGGGTATTCAATAATTCATGTTGAATAAATGAAGTAATCTTAATCCTTCCTATGTTAGGTGGATGTTTTCAGAAGATGGGGTTGCTGTTTGTGTGGATTGCTTGTCTTCATATGATTATGGTAAATACATGGACTTCAAATCTTGGAATTATTTGACAAAATAAAAATACTCATATATATTTTAACCATTGAAGCCATGCTTTCGGGTTTTGACACAATTGTCAATATATCCTCTGGCAGGCTTAGCAAATATGTCTTTTTCATTTTCCTTGGCATACATCTTATCCTGATATCATAAGCAGCTGACAACTCAGTCCCCAACAGAAAAGTGATCAAACACTCAACAAAAGCACCACTTTCTTCAACAATAGGCATGATATGCTATCAGATCTCCTGGCAGAATTTCTGAGAAAATGGATTGAGTCAAAAGGAGCACCAGACCACAAAAAAATGGCTTAAAAACAACATAACAGAGAACCTGCGTAACAAATGCAGAGGACTGGGTGATGTTTCATGGATCAACAAAAATATATTTCATTTGGCTTTATTTTCTGTTTGGCAGAATGTCACACATGAAGCAAAGCTCCATATAATTACCAATATGTTGTCATCACACTTAAGTTACTTTTATATAATTTTAAAGAACTCAAGTTCTGCCTTCTATCAATTTTAACTTATGTGATATCGCAGCACAATTCCCATTACATAATCAGACTCCTTCACATAATCTATGTCAAGCCTCCATAATAATAGTTCAATTTGAGGTACTAGTTTGAGAGAGAGAAGAATTTCCACTTTTCTCACTGATGATGTTAATAAGGGCTCTGATTTGATGGTCACAAGCCTAGAGGCCTGTTATTTAATCAGGTTTTCTGTTCAATTTCGAGGGAGTGAATGGAGCCATCCTGTCCCAAAAAGAATGTTCTATCAAGTTTAAGAGCGAAAATTTGAAGTTTTCTGAAATTCTTTTAAACAAACTGTTGTATTTGTGTGTTAAGTACTAACTCAATCCTCTAGAGTTATTCCATATTATCTAAGAATGTCCACGTCCCACGGTGTAACTGAGAAAATGATTCTGGAGACAGACTGCCTAGGTTCAAAATCTGTCTCTGCCACTTACTGCTGTGAGGCAATGGTAAGCCCCTTACCTACCTGAGTTTCACTTTCCTCATTAGTAAAATAAGGATAATAGTAGTACCATTAAGTAATTTCAAGGCATTTAGCCTAGGTCCTACAACAGTGAGACAGCCAGGTGGCCTGGCAAAACTCCAACCAGCCTGTGCACTGGGAATGCACACTGGGGTGGAGACACAGAAGTCCGTGCCATTTTCAGCCAGGAGGAGCCTGGCTGTGTGGAAACTGGGATTCAAACTGCAAGGTGGGAAGCTCTCTAGCAGGGATTCTGGCTTTGTGGAGAGTCCCCGTTTACCTTTTTTTCTCTTTTCACTCAATAAAACCCTGCTTTACTCACCCTTTAAACCATCCACAAGCCTAAACTTTTGTGGCCATGGGACAAGGACCCCATCTTTAGCTGAACTAAGGAAAAGTCCTGCAACAACAGTGTTCCATAAATGTTAGATATTACTCTTTTTATTTCTAACTACTGGAAAAAAACAAACAAACCAAAAAAAGCAACTCAATAGTCCCTTTAACTTAAGAGCTTCTATCTCTCCTTCCACTTTCAGCCCATGTGATCCAGCAGATGTGCCCAGGAGAAATATTCCATAAACAAACAATTTGCATAAAATCATCTGTGCCTCTTCAAACTTGTACAGATACTCAGTTTGGTCTCTATTCAAATTTCAAGCTCAAGTTCCTGCCAATTTTATGTTATCAAAACAGGCTTGCTCATCTCAGAAGCTTCATAAAATGATCTGTTGCTTAAAGATTGCTCACCCTTGCAGGGAAATATCAAAACTTAATCCCCAATCAAAGATACAGAAAGTGGTTCTATTTTGCACTTGGAAGTCTGAGTAAGGAAGGCAATTCCAGGTTTGACATACTTCACTAATTGATGGTAAAACTAGCCACAACACTTATCCAGTCACTGACTTGGCTCCTCAATATGGCAGGCATACAGCAGAATAAGAAGCAAACTCAGCTTCCCGGGATCCAAGCAACAACAGATGCTCTTCATTTGAATTATTCCTGAACATCGTCTCCTGAATTTATCATCTCTATTCATTCTCTGCCTCACATGAAATTCTAATTTGCACTGGAAATCGCACTGGAAACCATGCTGATCTGCACAAGATTGGCTATTTTGTTGCCTTTCACTGAAGTGATAACGATTCAATATACTTAACAGGCAAACCCTCTCTCAGAGGATCTTACGTCTCTGCACCGTAGCAGCAGTCAATTCCACTCTTCTCATTCCCAAAGAGAGATGAATATGACCATTAATAGTTTATTGTTCCACTGGGACTTGAGAAATGAGCCATAATAACATTAATAAATATAGATGAGCATCTAAAATATTTTACCACAATCAGATATTTTAATTTCATAAGTTAACCAAGATTATATGACATCTTGGTGAAATTTGTTTTGAAGTCTTGTCTAGACTTTGATATCTTCTGTACGTTTTGAAGTCATTTAAAGTTTTTTTTAGTTTTTGTTATTAAAGGCATACAATTCTAAAAGATGTTGAGGTCCAGTTTGTAATGAAGAGAGCCATGAAAGGGAAATGATGAGAGAAAGACTCTCAAATGCAAAATTGAAACAACATGGCAGGCTGAAAAAAATGAAATGTGTTTTCATTTGCGGAGTTTTAAGCAATGCATTTCTTTGGCATTCTTTGGCTGCAAGCAAATTTTGAAATGGGTTATTTGCATATAGTTTGAGGTCTATAAAATATTATTTTGTACAGCAAAGTTGGAATAGTTTCTATTAGCAGATCACAACTTAATAAGAATGGGACCATGTCAAGGAATGCTATAGATTCTTATTGCATGATGCCATGAAACATGCACAAAATTAAAAATTCAGAAACATGAATGCAAATCCCGCAGGTTCTATGATCTCAGAAAAGTCTCTGGATGTCCATTCATTCAGGGAGTAAGCATTAAGTATCTTCTTTGTGCTAAACATTGGTCTTGCGGAGTTGAATGGAAGAATGAATGGGACAGAGAAACTGCAATCATAATTCCCTGGAGAAAACTGATAAACATGATAACTTTTGTGTGATGTAATAAACCCTGTGTGTGGGCATCCTTCGAGCTGTTCACGGTTTCCTTCCAGGCAGATTGCACTTCCCACCCCCTGAGAAAATAGATGTGTCCATATGACTCGCTTTAACCAAGGAAAAATGAGCAAAAGTGATTTAAGTTATTTCTGGCAAGGAGTCTTAAGTGCCAGTTTATGATTTCCTGTGTTCCTTTCTCTCTGATATGCAATCATGGAAGTGCTTGTCAAGATAGAATTTTCATCACCCTTAGTCTCTTCTGACCTAAACACCTCCCAAAAGGATCTACCTCCCAACACAGTTGCATTGGGGATTAAGTTTCCAATACATAAATTTTGGAAGGCACAGATTCAAACTATAGAAGATAGATAGACATACATATATATGTGTATCCATATATTTATTTGCAAATTATTGTTTTTTCTGAACCATTTAAGAGTAAGTTGGAAACACAATCTTCCTTTACACCTTTGCTGGTTATGTAAGAGGATGTAAGATGACATCCTCTTACATAACCAGAGTACAGTTATAAAATCAGGAAATTGTATACTAACAAAATACCATTTTCTAGTTCGTAGGCCATATCTAATAGTTTTCAGTTGTTCTAACAGTGACCTTTAAAGCTATTTTTCTGCTGGCCCAGGATCAAATTTAGGATCACACATTGCATTTAGTTGTCATGTCTTTTTCATCTAGAAGAGTTTCTTAGCCTTTCTCAGTGTTCCTTGGCCTTGGTATTTTTGAAGAGAATATAAAAGTTATCTTGCAGACTGTCTCTCAATTTGAGTTTGTCTGACATTTTCTCACAATTAGATGCAAGTTATCCATTTTCATTAGGAATGCCATCAAAGTGATGTTGTGTCCTTCTTAATGCATCGCATCAAAAGTTACATGATATTGGTTTTCTAACATTGGCATAAGCTCTGAACATGTGCTTCTGGTAGTATTTGTTGAATTTCTGCACTGTGGTGAAATATTATGGTATTAAGTAAATATCATGCTCCCTGACAAATTTCTGCCACTAGCTGTAGTGTGCATTAATTGTCTAACTCTATCTGTCCATCTATATTTATTAGTTGGCATTTAACTGTGAGAACCTCGCCTTCTTCCCCTTTATGTATGTATGTGTGTATATATATATGCGCATTTGTTTATTCACTCCTTCATTTGTATTCAATAGGCTATATTCCATTACTATCATTATTTATTTTGATGTTCAAATCATCCCACATTTAATCAATGGGACTCCCTTCAGCTGGCTTCTGTGTTTTTCTGGTCCATCATAATTTTACCGTGTCCTTACCTGCTAGCAGACAATATACTGTAGGCTCATCTTGCACTTACTCTGCCCTACCTCTAGAATCAGCCTTTTTTGCCAGGTTCCTTAGTTCATTTTAATGGAGAAGTATATTTAGAAACCAAGGTTTAAGTGTACTATGTCCTGATTGCTTTTGAAATATCATGAAAACATACTCTGCAAGATTTTAATCTTCTGAAATTTATTAAGATGTCATCTTTAGGTAATAATAGAGCAACTGGGACTATGCTTGCCCTCCCTTCATAAATAACTAGAAAAATGAAAAAAAAAAAAAACAATTATTTTTCGATACTGGACAACAACCAATAAGGACTCCAATCCCTGAGAGAGGTAAAATCCATGAGATGATACCTTAATCATTTCAGCTTCTTCTTTGAAGATCCTTGCCATACCTTGGTATAGAAAGAGAAATTACAAGCAAAGCCCAGCAGTTTTGATAAGTAAAGAAGACAGAAAAGCCAGGCATGGTGGCTCACACCTGTAATCCCAAGCACTTTGGGAGGCCAAGGTGGGCTGATCACCTGAGGTTGGGAGTTCAAGACCACCTTGAACAACATGGAGAAACCTCGTCTCTACTAAAAATACAAAATTAGCCAGGGGTGGTGGGGCATGCCTGTAATCCCAGCTACTAGGGAAGCTGAGGCAGGAGAATCTCTTGAACCTGGGAGGCAGAGGTTGCTGTGAGCCGAGATCGCACCATTGCGCTCCAGCCTGGGCAACAAGAGAGAAACTCCATCTCAAACAAAAAAAAAAAAAAAAGAGAGAGAGAGAAAGAGAAAGAAAGAAGGAAGGAAGGAAGGAAAGAAAGACAGACAGACAGACAGAAAGGAAGAAAGAAAGAAAGAAAAAGAAAGAAAGAAAGAGAGAGAGAGAGAGAAAGAAAGAAAGAAAGAAAGAAAGAAAGAAAGAAAGAAAGAAAGAAAGAAAGAAAAGAAAAGAAAAAGAAGAAAAAATATATAGATGAAAATTCAGGGAAACCAATGTGGCTAGAATTGTTTGTCAAAGTTATAGAGAAAATGGCTACAGAAATCTGTGTGGTGGTCTCCTTGAGAATGTTACAAACTCAAGAAGGTCAACAAATTTCAGGCATGATACAAATAAAACTATACCAGAAAACTTCATAATCAATTTTCCTAAAACAGGTGAGGAATCAAAAAATTTGAAATTAGCCAGAGGAACAAAAAGGGACTGCCTGCAGAATAATGAAGATAAGAAAATGACAGGCTTCTTATCAAAAAGTACATAAGCCAGAAGACAACAGAAAAACACTGTAAAATCATGAAAAGAAAAAAAAAACCTGTCATCTTAGAATTTTAGATCTATCAATAATGTCCTTCAAAAATAAAGGCAAAATAAAATAAGTTTTCAGGAACAAAAGTAGAAACAATATCTCATATTCTTACCTGTACTATCATGGTAAAGAAAGTTTGTGGAGTCAAGTGAAAATGATACCAGATGAAAACTTTCATCTACATAAATGACTGAAGAGCTCCAATATATATATATATTATTTTGTATTTTTAAGTTAAAATATATTTTTAATTAGTTATTTAAGTCAAAAATAATTCTAATGAGTTTGGCATTTATATTATTGGTAGAAATATGATATATGACACCAATAGCACAAATGATAGAAAAGGAGAAATGGAAATATATCATTGAAAGATCTTTACATAGTAGTTATATTACTGAAAAGTAGAATACGTAGAATATTATTTGGAGGTAGTATAATAATGTAGAGATGCATATTATAAATCCTATAGAAACCTTAAAAGCCATCTTAAAAGTATGGATAAAAATCCAATGGTGAGGTAATACTAGGAAAGATGGCAGATAGGAGACAGGGCTGATGTTCAGCTCCCACCTGGATGGACTGAACAGCATGTGGAGACTCACACTGTAGACTGTGGCTCCAGGAACCACCACAGAAACACACCAGAAAAATCCAAAAGAATTAACAGATCTTTGAAAGAAGCAGCAGGCCACTGCAAATTCCACAAGACAGGTGAAAAACTCTGCTGCTGTCTTGAAAGCACCACCTCCTGGCTGGAGGCCAACCAACTCAGGACATTTCAGCAACTCATGACACAGTAACTGTGCTTCAAGGAAGGAGAAAACAAGAGCTAAGCTAATTCCACATTCTGGCTAACCATTGGTCCTGAGTCTGTCCACGTGACAACTTCACTGCTAGCATAACGAGCGTTTGAGAAAGCCAGCACACTAAACATATATACAACCAAGGACTCCCCACACAGTCTACTTCACTCCCCTGACATCTCCACCAGAGCAGGTGCTGGTATCCATGGCTGGGGGACCTGAAGACAAATTGCATCACAGGACTCTTGGCAGACATTTCCCAGTACTAACCCAGAGCCTGGTAGCCTGGCTGGGTGGCTAGACCACAAGGACAGTAACAATCCCTGCATTCTGGCTCACAGGAAGCCCCATCCCTAGGTGAAGGGGGAGTGCACCACATCAAGGAACCACCCCATGGGACAAAAGAATCTGAACAGCAGCCCTTGAGTTCCAGATATTTTCACTGAAATAGTCTACCCAAATGAGAAGGAATCAGAAAAGTAATTCTGATGATATGACAAAACAAAGTTCTATAACACCCTGAAAAGACTACACTAGCTCCCTAGCAATGGATCCAAACCAAGAAGAAATCTCTGATTGTCAGATAAAGAATTCAGAAGGTTGATTATTAAGCTACTCAAGTATATACTAGAGAAAGGTGAAACCAATGTAAAGAAATTTAAAAAATATATATGATATGGATGAAAAATGCTTCAGGGAAATAGATATCAAACTAAAAAACAATCACAACTTCTGGAAATAAAACACACACTTAAAGAAAGAAAAATGCGCTGGAAAGTTCAACAATAGGATTGAACAAATAGAAGAAAGAACTTCAGAGCTAAAGACAAGGATTTCAAAGGCTTTCAAATGAAAGACAAGCCTTTCACATTAACCCAATCAGACACATACAAAGAAAAAAGAATTTAAAAATATGAACAAAGCCTCCAAAAAATGTGAGGTTATGTTAAATAGCCAAATGTAAGAATAATTGATATACCTGAGGAAGAAGAGAAATCTAAGAATTTGAAAAACATATTTGAGAGAATAATCAAGGAAAACTTCCTTGGTCTTGCTAGATATCTAGACATCCAAATACAAGAAGCTAACAGACACCCAGGAAATTCATGGCAAAAAAAAAAAAAAAATCACCTAGGCACATAGTTACCAGGTTATCTAAAGTCAAGATGAAGAAAAGAATCTTAAGAGCCATGAGACAAAAGCAGCAGGTAACTTGTAAAAGAAAACCTATCAGATTAACAGCAGATTTCTCAGCAGAAACCCTACAGGCTAGAAGGGATTGGGGTTCTATCTTTAGCCTCTTCAAACAAAATAATTTGCAGTCAAGAATTTTGTATCCAGCAAAATTAAGCTATTAAGCTTCATAAATGAAGGAGAGATAAAGTCTTTTTCAGACAAACACATGCTGAGAGAATTCACTACTACTAAGCCAGCACTACAAGAAATGCTAAAAAGAGATCTAAATCTTGAAACAAACCCTCAAAACACACCAAATTAGGGCTGCCTTAAAGTATAAATCTCACACATCTGTAAAACAATAACATAAGGACAAAATAACAAGGTATTCAGGCAACAACTAGCACAATGAATAAAACGGTACCTCAAGTAGCAACACTAACATTGAATGTAAATGGCCTAAATGCTCCATTTAAAAGATACAGAAATGCAGAATAGATAAAAATCCACCAACCAAGTGTCTGCTGTGTTCAAGAGGCTCACTTAACACATAAGGACTCACATAAACTCAAGGCAAAAGAAGTGGAAAAAAATATTCCATGAAAATGGACACCAAAAGTGAGCAGAAGTAGCTATTCTTATATCAGACAAAACAGACTTTAAACCCACAATGGTTGAAAAAGACAAAAATGGACTTATATAGTGATTAAAGGACTAGTTCAAAAGGGAAAAATATCACGATTCTAAATATATATGCACCTAACACTGGAGCTCCTGAATTTATAAAGCAATTATTACTAGACCTAAGATATCAGATAGACACCAACACAATAATAGTGGGGGACTTCAATACTCTACTGACAGCACTAGACAGGCCATGAAGACAGAAAGTCAACAAAGAAACAATGGACTTAAACTATACCCTAGAACAAATGACCTTAACAGGTATTTACAGAACATTTTACCCAACAACTGCAGAATATACATTCTACTCATCAGCATATGGAACATTCTCCAAGACAGACCATATGATAGGTCACAAAACAAGTCTCAATAAATTTAAGAAAATCAAAATTATATCAAGTACCATCTCAGACCACATGGAATATAAAATTGGAAAATAACTTCAAAAAGCACCCTCAAAACTATACAAATACATGGAAATTAAATAATCTGCTCCTGAATGATCTTTGGGTCAACAATAAAATCAAGATGGAAATTTAAAAAGTATTTGAACTGAATGATAGAGATACAACTTATCAAAACCTCTGTGACACACCAAAAGTGCCGCTAAGAGGAAAGTGCATAGCCTTAAACGCCTACATCAAAAAAGACTGAAAGACTACAAATAGACAATCTAAGGTCACACCTCAAGGAACTAGAAAACAAGAATAAACCAAACCTAAAGCCAGTACAAAAAAAAAAAAAAAAAAAACAAAGACCAGAACAGAACTAAATGAAATTAAAACAAACAAACAAACAAAAGATAAAAAGCTGGCTGGTTCTTTGACAAAATAACCAAAATTGATAAACCATTAAGAAGATTAACCAAGAAAAGAAGAAGATGCAAATAAGATCAATTAGAAATGAAATGGGAGATATTACAACCAAAACCACAGAAATACAAAAGATGATTTAAGGCTACTATGAACACTTTTACACACACAAACTAGAAAATCTAGAGGAGAGGGATAAATTCTTTGAAATATACAACTCTCGTAGACTAAATAAGAAAGAAATAGAAACTCTAAGCAGACCAATAATAAGTAGCAAGATTGAAACGGTAATTTAAAAATTGCTGGGCTGGGTGCAGTGGCTCACGCCTGTAATCCCAGCACTTTGGGAGGCCCAGGCAGGTGGATCACGAGGACAGAAGATCAAGACCATCCTGGCTAACATGGTGAAACCCTGTCTCTACTAAAAATACAGAAAATTAGCTGGGTGTGATAGCGGGTGCCTGTAGTCCCAGCTACTCGGGAGGCTGAGGCAGGAGAATGGTGTGAACCCAGGAGATGGAGCTTACAATGAGCCAAGACTAAGCCACTGCACTCCAGCCTGGGCGACAGATCAAGACTCTGTCTCAAAAAAACAAACAAAAAAAAATTTGCCAACAACAAAAAAAGTCCAAGATAAGATGGATTCACAGCTGATTTCTATCAGGCATTCAAAGAGTAATTGATACTAATCTTACTGATACTATCCCAAAAAGTAAAGAGGGAAAATATTAGCTAACTGAATCCAACAGTATATCAAAAATATAATACATCATGATCAAGTGGGTTTCATACCAGAGATGAACAGATGGTTTAACTTACACAAGTCAATTAATATGATACATCACATAAACAGAATTAAAGACAAAAATTGTAGATTATCTCAATAAATGCAGAAAAATCATTTGACAGAATTCAGCATCTCTTTAAGATTAAAACCCTCAGCAAAATCTGCATAGAAGAGACATACCTCAAGGTAATAAAAACCATCTAGGACAAACCCACTGCCAATATTATACTGAATGGGAAAAAGTTGAAAGCATTCCCCCTGAGAACTGGAACAAGACAAGGATTCCCATTTTCACCACTTCTAATGAACACAGTACTGGAAGCCCTAGCCAGAGCAATCAGACAAGAGAAAGAAAAAAAAGGGCATCTAAATTGGTAAAGAGGAAGTCAAACTATCGCTGTTTGCTTATGATATGATCTTATACCTCGAAAGCCTTAAAGAATCATACAAAAAGCTCATAGACCTGATAAATAAATTCAGTAAAGTTTCTGGATACAAAATTAATGTACACAAATCAATAGCATTGATATACACCAACAGTGACCAAGCTGAGAATCAAATCAAGAACTCAACCCCTTTTACAACAGCTGAAACAAAAAAATAAAATACTTAGGAATATACCTAACCAAGGAGGTAAAAAATCTCTACAAGGAAATCAACAAAACACTGATGAAAGAAATCACAGATGACACAAACAAATGAAAACACCTTCCATGCTTGTGGTTGGATAGAATCAATGGTGTAAAAAGAAATCTGGAAGCATCACATTGCCTGACTTTATACTACAAGGCTATAGTTACCAAAACAGCATGGTACTGGTATAAAAATAGGCACATAGACCAATGCAGCAGAATAGAGAACCCAGAAATAAAGCCAAATATTTGAAAACCCGGAATAGAGAACCCAGAAATAAAGCTAAATACAGCCAACAGATCCTTGACAAAGCAAACAAAAATATAAAGTGGGGAAAGGACACCCTATTCAACAAATGGTGCTGGAGTAACTGGCAAGCCACAGGTAGATGAATGAAGCTGGATCCTCATCTCTTACCTTGTACAAAAATCAACTCAAGACGGATCAGAGACATTTTTAAATCTAAGACCTGAAACCACAAAAATTCTATAAGATAAGATTGGAAAAACTCTTCTAGATATTGGCTTAGGTAAAGAGTTTATGACCAAGAATCCAAAAGCAAATGCAACAAAAACAAAGATAAACAGACAGGACCTAATTAAACTAAAGAGCTTTTGCACAGCAAAAGATAGAATCATCAGAGTAAAATGGACAACCCACAAAGTGGGAGAAAATATTTTAAACTATGCATCCTACAAAAAACTAATATCCAGTATCTACAAGAAACTCAAACCAATCAGCAAGAAAAAAAAATAATCTCATCAAAAAGTGGGCAAAGGACATGAACAGGCAATTCTCAAAAGAAGATATACAAACGGCCAACAAACATATGAAAAAATCCTCAAAATCACTATCAGATAAATGCAAATCAAAACCACAATGAGATATCACCTTACTCCTGCAAGAGTGACCATAATTTAAAAATTAAAAAAAAAACAACAGGTGTTGATGTGGATGTGGTGAAAATGGAACATTTTTACCATGTTGGTGGGAATGTAAATTAGCACAGCCACTGTGAAAAACAGTGTGGAGATTCCTTAAAGAACTAAAAGTAGAACTACCATTGTATCCAGCAATCCCACTACTGGGTATCTACCCAGAGGAAAATAAATCATCATATGAAAAAGACTCTTGCACAGGCATGTTTATAGCAGCACAATTCACAACTGCAAAAACATGACACCAACCTAAATGCCCATCAACCAACGAGTGAATAAATAGAATGTGGTACATATATACTGTGGAATACTACTCAGCCATACCAGGAAACAAAATAATGGCACTTGCAGCAACCTGAATGGAGTTGAAGACCATTATTCTAAGTGAAGTAGTTCAGGAATGGTAAACTAAACATCGTATGTTCTCACTCATAAGCGGGAGCTAAGCTATAAGGTGGCAAAGGCATAAGAATGATAGAATGGACTTTGGGGAGTTGGGGGAAGAATGGGAGTGAGGTGAGAAATACAAGAGTACACATTGAGTACAGTGTACACTGTAAAATATTTATAATTTATTCCAAAGAAAAAATAATGTATCAATATTTGCTCATTAATTTTAGCAAATGTACCACAGTAATGTAAGATGTTAATAACAGGTTAAATTATGAAGTGGGGGTGAGGGGATAGAATGATATTGGAACTTCGTATACTATATGCTCAATTTTTATTTATTTATTTTCATTTTTATTTGTATTTTTTGAGACAGAGTCTCACTTTGTTGCCCAGGCTGGAGTGTGGTATGGTGATCTTGGCTCACTGCAACCTCTGCTTCCCAGGTTCAAGCAATTCTCCTGCCTCAGCCTCCCAAGTAGCTGGGACTGCAGGCATGCACCACCACACCCAGATAATTTTTGTATTTTTAGTAGAGATGGGGTTTTGCCAAGTTGGCCAGGCTGGTCTCGAACTCCTAACCTCAGGTGATCCACCAGCCTCAGCCTCCCAAAGTGCTGAGATTACAGGCGTGAGCCACCGCACCCGGCCTATATATGCTCAATTTTTATTTCAATCTAAAACTCGCTAAAAGAATATATTAATTTTAAAAATAAAAAATATTTCATAAAAGCTAAAACATCCAGTGGTGAAAATAAATTGTAATATGAAAAACTGGCCAATTAATGTGAAGAGAACAGGAAAGAAGAAAAAAAAAAAGATTTTAAAAGAGCAAGATAATGAGTTTAAACCTAACTATATAATAATTGCATTATAAGTAAATAATTTGAACTCTCCAATTCCTTGCCACCATGACTGACTGCTTCTCTGTAATTTTACATACTTTCTTATATGATTCCATCTACTCTTCTGGGTTAAATCCACTTGCATGATTGTAATACCCAGATTCTGAGTACTATCTCTAAAAGGAAGATTAGGTCATAGTCCTACTTAAAAACTTTATGTTGTATTAATAAAGAGAGGAAAGTACATTTTATTATACTCTCATGGAACCTCTAATAGCATATCATTGTTTATATTAATACTGCCAGAGCTTAATATACAATGAAAATTTCTCAGAAATCAGAGAATAGGTTTTATACGGATTTTCCCTAGGACTTTATATTAGGTGCTCAATAAATACTTGTTGGTTATTTTATCTACTAGTAAATGTATAAGAATCTCATTGCTGCAACTGGCCAGGTGCAAAAATTACAGACTCACAAGCTTTTTTATTTTGGCCCTCCAATTCTTGTAAAACTAGAAAGGAAAACAAAACAAAAATCTCTGACCTATAATCATGTCTTCTGGTAGAAGTGAAAATAAGTATATTATGCATGGTTGACTATCACTTTCATAAAATAAAAATTTATTTAAAAAAGAATTCACTCCTATAAATCTCTTACTTACAATCAGAAAACAAAATCCTTTTAATTATATGTCTATGTCATCAATTCAGGGATATGCATGTTCCTTACATTTCACTTAGTTTAATGCACTAGTATTAATTACAATTTAAGATTAACTCATTCTCCACAAAATCAAAGGTCTGAAAGAGAATAATTTTATTTATTTGCTTCATATTATCAGAAGTATTTACTACTCGAACAGTGAGCAAAATGGTTTACTATAAGGTTGAGGCTATTATTCATTTAGAATTGAGGTGAAGATACAATACTTTGTAGGCAAAAAAAGCAATTTAGTAAGACTGTTCCAGGCCGGGCGCGGTGGCTCACGCCTGTAATCCCAGCACTTTGGGAGGCCGAGGCGGGCGGATCACGAGGTCAGGAGATCGAGACCATCCCGGCTAAAACGGTGAAACCCCGTCTCTACTAAAAATACAAAAAATTAGCCGGGCGTAGTGGCGGGCGCCTGTAGTCCCAGCTACTTGGGAGGCTGACGCAGGAGAATGGCATGAACCCGGGAGGCGGAGCTTGCAGTGAGCCGAGATCCCGCCACTGCACTCCAGCCTGGGCGACAGAGCGAGACTCCGTCTCAAAAAAAAAAAAAAAAAAAGACTGTTCCATCTCATTTAGATTTCAATAATGTATTTTTATTAAATAATGGGGGAAAAAAACACTGTGAATGAAAAGGCATCAATAACCTCGTCCACTATTTTGGTTAAGGGAATTCAAAATGTAATTTTTCCCCAAGATTGCTGTTAACATCTGCCATTTATAGTCTTTTAGCATGGTGCTCTATGATTTTTAATGATTTGACTTCAAAAAAACAACAGTTACTCTTTTCTAATCAGAAAAGCAATACATATTTTTGTTACACAATTTGGAAAATGCAAAAACTATTAAGAAGAAAATGAAAATCGCCTGTTATCCTATCACCCTGAGGAGTTTTTGTAGCATTTCATGCATATGTATGTGTACTTTGCCACACAAGGATCATGCTGCATAGCAGCCAAGAATTCAAATGCCAGGAAGGTGACATCCACGAGTGCAACAGGTCAGGGGTAATGGTCAGGAGTGCTGCGGAGTGTGGCCAGCTGGAGAACACCTGCCAGGTCTAGGGTCCCAGCCTTCCCAACTCCAGCTGATTGCTGCTCCCAGGTGGTATGCCATGAATGCTACCCAATATCTAGGATTTTAGAAAGGACCTGAACATACAGTTGTTTAAAAGTAAAATATCCTAACTTTTAAATATTGGAAATGAATTTAAATAATTAACACCATGTGTGGCAAACTAAACAAATCTACAGACGAGATTCCACCAAGGAGTTCATCTACCACTTCTACATTTATGCCTTCCTTTCCTACCTTTTTCACTTCATTTTACCAACTGAGCATTTCCCACATCATTAAACAGTCTTTGTAATTGTAAACAATAACTTTTATGGAAATTCAGGATTATATAACAGGCATATGCCATTATTTATACTAACACATCCCTAATATTTGGAGATTATATTGTTTCCTTTCTGTTATTCTTACTAATGCTGTGATGAACATTGTTATACACGAACCTTTGTGTAAAACTCTACATCTGTACTATTAACTTCTAACAGGCACATTACTAGTTCAAAATACAGTGACATCTTAGAGGTAAATGTAACTAAATTGCTTTCAAAATCATTACACAAATTTCTAGTCCCACAGCAATGTTTTTAAGAACACTATACCTCTGGCAGCCTTAATATTATTTTGTATTATATTTTGTTTTTAATTGTAGAAATTTAACAGATGAAAATGACGTCTTAATGGCACTTTTTAATTTACTTAATAATGTTGGGGATTAGACTTTGAGCTAGGCACACTGAGAACATTTTTCTCTCTCCTGGAATTACTATATTTCATAAAACAATAACAACTTATGAGGAAAACAATTACCCAGACAAAACAGTTGTTCATTAATAATTACCTTACCATGAACTAAGTGTAAGTCACCTTGCCAGAATGCAGTTTAATATTTATACACATTCCATTTCTTTCATTTATTCAGCTTTGGGGACTGATTAAACCAAGAAACAGCTAAGGAAAACTACTATGTTTTTGAAGAGTAAATGACAATGCATATTTCAAAGCGTAAATTTCTCTTGCTTTGCAGGGCCAATACATTTCAGCAAAATTGGCTATAAAGTGAGTCATGTTTCCCTACAGATTTTTGATATAAAATCAGCAATATGTTGTTTTAGCAAGAAAAAAATGACAAACTTGAGTAACAAAAATAGCTTCAGTATAAATAAAGATTACCAGGTTGTGGCATGTTATATAGATTCATTTGTTCATTCAACAGATATTTGAGAGCCTACCATGTTCCAGGCCTCATGTCAGGGACTGTGGATTCAACAGACAGACACTAAGACTATATGTCATACCTTATAGCGCTTTTCTAGCTGCAAGTTCACGCCTCACCGGAGGGACTTGTGTCTCATGCAATGGGCCAACTTTGGTGTCATTTTGTCCCCAGTTTCCAGGATGAGTTGCCTTCCTCCTATGCTCCAATTGTGACGTATAATACAATTAACATGCAACGGTGCAGTTTGCAGGCTGTGTCTGTATGCAGTACATGTCATGTACTCATAGATGAAGAAGTTGATTTCATTAGGCACTCTATCATTTTGTAAATTTGATTTGGCTAAATAAATTTTCTTGTAATAAAGAATACTTTATCTTATCTAAGGACTTATTCCTAATGTTCCCATATTCGCCTGTTAGTACAAGACATTATAGATGCTGAGAAGTGAAAATGGTCAAGCTTTTATAGGCCCTGCTTTATGGGGCTTGCATTATATTAGGGGATTCAGACTCCCAAAAAAGTGAATAAACAAATTAATTAATTACATGTTATCATTTTAAGTGCTCTAAAAAGTAAGCCTACTTTAGGTGGGATAGCCAGAAAAAGCATTCCTGAGAATATTAAATGGTATTCAGGTGCCTCACATGTGAAGGCTGGGGGTAATGGTGTTCCAGATGGATTATCAAGTCCAAAGGTGCTGAGGCAGGACAAAAAAAAAAGAAAAAGACTGCTATACTTTTAAAACAAAGGGCCAGCATAGTTAGAGTACAATGGGAAAGGAGAGAGAGACAAGAAATGCATCAGGAGAGGTACATAGAGACCAGACTCTTCAGGAACTTATAGCTCATGGTAAGGAATTTAGACTTATTATAGGTGAAATGAAAAGCCACAGTAATAGAAAAAAAGCTGTAAAAGGCACACACAAAAATTCGATGGTGTTTGGGGGTAAGGAGTAGCACTAATGATTTCCCGGGACTGAAGTTGTAACAGAGACATAGGACTGACTAAATTTCACCAGTTGTAGTATAAGAATGGGTATTTTTTAAAGATAAAAGACAAACTATACCCAAGATTAAAAGAAAAGTTAGGCATGTTATGAACGAACAAAAGAACCGTAAGAGTATGTGAGTAGGTAGCATGTGACTGCACGAGAAAGACTTGCAGAACTTGTTTCCAGGGGAATGGGGGGCAGAGAAGTTTGCCAAGAAGGTGATGCAGAATATGAGCACTAGAATTGTAAAAGTCTCCACCGTAGGCAATACCTGTACAGGCAATTCTGCTGTGAACATATCCCCTGAGTATACTGAGAGATGTCTCTACACATATCAATACATACATGTATATATAATATCTGTTATATACATATATACACACACATATATCTATATCTGTTGATTTACCACATTGCATAGCAACCACACTGCAGAAATTTGAGTCAAGTTTGTGTTACTAAAACAAAAACATACCCTTTATACTACAACTACCAGATAATGGAGAAATATGTGTATTCACTCAGCAACACAAATATATACCAGGCTCACTGTACAATGATGAACACAAAAAGACTTGGTCCCTTTTTTCATGGGCCTTGTAATCTAATAAGATAGACAACCAAAAAATTAGACAAATAAATATAAAATTGCCTGCCATTGTGATAAATGCTTCACGGGAAAGTTACAAGGAGATACTGAGCATATATAACAGTGAGAGCTATACTAGACTGCAGGCGAGTAATGATTGACTTCCTTGTGTAAGTGACATCCGAGCTGAGAACTGTACAATGTGTAAAAGTAAAATAGGGAAGAGCAAGATTGTTGGAAAAGATAAGGGGACATGTGTTTCTTATAGCATGAGGAATGATTCTCTGAGAGACAAGAATACCAGAATAAAAAGAATAAAGAGAAAGGGGAAAGAACTGTGAAGGATGAGGTTGGAAGGATATATAGGGCCTATATTTTTATACATACATGGCAATATCAACTTTTACTGAAATCTTTTTCTGAACTATGTACCATTCTAAACATTTTACTTGTATTACTCACTTGAGACAAAACCTTATAAAGGAGGCACTATTATTTTCCACAGTTAGCTGATAAGGAAACAGAGCCCACAGAGATAAAGCTTCAGCTAGGAAATGGTAGAGCCAGGCTTTGAAGCCAGGAAATCTCTTTTCACAGTCAACTCTCTTCATCAGTACTCCATAAGGGCTTCTCCAACTTAGAAAACTACTGAAGAGTAGTGTCTGTGGGCTGCTGTTTATCACTCAACCTCTCTGTGCTTGTTTCTCCATGATGGACTAAACGCGTACAACAGTCTGACTTCTTGTGGGGATTTAAAAAATCAGTATACATAAAGCACTTAAAATAGTGCCTGGCATATAATGAGTAGTATAAGATGCCATTTAACATGTTACCTGTTGTTGTGGTGGTGGTTGTTTCTGTTGTTTTGGATAATAATATAAAGTTGGATGTGTGTGACTTGGTTTGATTTAAGTTTTCAAACAGTCACTCCAACTACATTGAGAAGAGTGGATTGGAGGCAGGCATGCAAGTAAAAAGAGGATCATTTATGAAGACACTCTATTGTCTAGGAATTAGATGGTGGTAGTATGGGCTAGGGTGGAAGAACTGAATATGAAGAGGATTGAATGGGGTGAATAAATATAAAGTGGTCAGGACTTGTTAAGAATTGGCCGCTAGGGAGGAAGACAGAGTTTGGGGTGTTGAGGATAGCTATCCAGGCTGGTGTGGTGCTTCTGTCCACTGAGGGTGGGAATAACGGATCGATACAGGTTTGGGGAAAAAGATCCCAAGTTTGATTTTGAATCTGCTGAGTTTAAAGACTTTGATATGTCTAAGAAGAGATATATAATTATCAATTTCTATACTGCTTAACTCTAAATAAAGGACACAAAGCTACTTACAAGGTACAAATTGATGAGTCCTATGTACCAGAAACTTCAGTGTATGTTTTACATGCCTTATTTCACAACAACCCATGAGTGTTTATTATTCCTCACGTTTTTCAGACAAGTGTTCACTTACCCTGGGGCCTCAATAGTCTTACTTCTAGTACTATCAGAAAATTTAGTCACAAACCCAGTGTAAGTTATCAGGCTAATTCTTGCATATAGCAGTAAACACATGGAGTTTACAGTGTAATGAAAAAGGCAAGCATTAAACAGGTGAATTAAACAGTGATGAGTGCTATGAAAAAAAGTTGAATGTGTTATAGGAATATGGAGTGGAAGATCTAGGTTCATCAGGCAGAGGAGAAATCAGGGAAGGCTTCCTTGAGGAAGTGACAACCAAGCTGAGACCTGAAAGACAAGAAGCATTTAGACATATGAAAGGGTTGGGTAGGGAGAAAGGAAGAATAATCAAGTAGGGAACATCAGGTTGTGTGAAGATTCAGATTCCATAGAGGATATGGCAGATCAAGGATCTGAAAGAATGTCAATTTGACAGGAGCAGAATGAAAAAAGTAAAAGCACAAATGTGGCTGAAGAGGTAGGTGGGGACTGGATTATATCAGACCTTACAGCCACTTGAGGGAGTCTGGACTTTTTCTTAAAGACAATGGGGAAGAAACAGTAAAAGATTTAAGATATTTTAGGAAATTTCTCTGCCTAGGGGACATCGCAGCTCCTTCATAGCTCCTTGCTATTTTGAAATAAGCAACTTACTTTTGATAGCCTTATTGGAAGGGAAAAGAGTAGGAACTACAAACTCCTTGTGGTTCTCTCTCTGTCTTTCCCTTTCTATTTTTGTATCTATCATTTCTCTACATTCTTATTACCTGCATGTTGCCTGCTCTTCCTTTTGGTTTTATTTTTTAAATGTTGCTATCCAGAGAAACACCTCCAATCTCTGTATGGATTCAGGTCTTTACCCTCTTCCATCCCAATTTCTGTGGTCCTTTCTCTATTATACCACTAGCAATAAAATTGGGACTCTTTAGTCTGAAAACATGTCTGTTTTCAGTCAAAAGAGAAAAGCCTGTTTGCTTGGTGAATGTCTTCTTTATTTTAACAAACTTGAGTCTAAACTGGCAAATATGGTTTTAAACATTAGGAAAATGTCGCATGTCATCTTAAATATCTAATGGAAGTCTAAACATGGTTAACACACACACATACACACACACACACACACACACTTTATTATTATATGTTGGCCATTCCTAGAATCTCCATAGAGTGTTTGGTCAAAATGTAATCAGCCCAGAGCACACCATTCTGGCTGTGACAGGAATTAAGCACGTGTCAGCATAAGCCATGAAACAATATACAATCACAGTTCAGAAATAAGCATTTATGGTATTGAATACTGTGAATGCAATCCCTCACATTTCTCTTTTCAATTATGAAAAATGCTACAGAAGTATGTTAAAGTAGTAGTGATTGAAATATGTTTTAGTTCTAGTTATTAACATAATTCTACCCAAGAAAAGTGGGCCTGCGAACCAAGAGCTTCTCCTTATATTTCCTCAAGTAGTAACACTTCTGAGTACCTGTACTTCTTTAATTCCCTTTTTGAGAAGAAACGAGACTAACTGTTGACCGTCACTTGGGGTAAGCCAAGAGGTGTTGTCTTCCCACTCTTACTTTACCACCAAGTCGCACAAACCCACAAAGATGAAACAGATGAAAATAGGGGTACATTTTCAAGGATTCTATGAATATTAATAGATATTAATATGGAAAAATTATTGGAAAATTAATATGAAAAATTATTAATATGGGAAAATATTAATATGGAAAATCGGAGTTCTGTGACCGTTGATGGCTTTCATTAACAGATATCTGAGTCACCTAAGCAGTCTTCAATCCCCTTGCCATGATAATTACTCAGGAGCCAAAAAGAGAGTGGGGGGGGAAGTATTTGATCTGCAGTTTACAGAACCATTCATGTTTATTAGAACTGACTTAGTGAATATTTTTATAGAATCTTGTATGAGGTTTTTATTTCAGTTACTTTTTTCTGTGTTAGGTGACTGAGTCAGACAAATGGAGGCTTAGAGCAACACTCTACTTAAACAGAGCTCTGGAGCCTTGACATAATCTGAAAACAGATGCAGGGTTGATCACAGAGGAGGGTCAACTCAGCTGGCAGTTTCCAGATGCAGAATAAAGGGGACAGATGGGACTCACCCTTCCATTGTCCATCTGACCCTGATGGGATGCTGACAAGAATGTTAATGCAGAAGTCTGTTCAGCTTCACTGCACCCTAAATTCATACTCATTTATATGAATTCCTATCTTAAGAAACAAAATAAGGCATCAATAGCTAGCATTCTGCCATCAGCCTTGACTGAAAGATAAGTTCTGCTGTAGTCTAGCCCAAAGAACTGGCCCATGCATGTGGACAGCCAAGGGTAAGTCTTGAAATCTTCCTTCAACCTCCTTCTTAGACCCTGGTGCCTTCCCAGACACTGGTGTTGGTCTGGGGAAGGTCAATCTCCATTGGAACACAAAGGTTTCATCTTACTCCAGGGTTATTTTTTGCATAAGAAAGCATTAAGCCTCTCAGATAATCCTGAACTTTAAACAACCGTGTCCAGTTTCTAGCAAATAGTAAAGGTTCAATAAAACTTATTCCATAATTAAACATCTTTTGAGAAGTTGTTTCAAAACTACATTTCTTGGACCATCAAGTACCAGCCTTAACTCCCTAGGGGGTCACAAGATGTGCCACCTTTTCAGAATACAGTTGTTACCAGCATGGTAGATCAAGTGGCCTTAGTGCCATTGTCTCAGAATAGACAAAAGTCTGAATTATACCAAGTGAGCATATAATCAGGACAGTCATCATTCATCATGTTGTCTTGTACCAGGCTGGCCTATCATCCTCTTCTGAGCCTTCAAGTATATTCTCTCGGGTTCACTCACATCCCACTCCATAGAGCCATAAATTTATGTCTCATGATACAGACAGTGAGAAAGACAAAGGAAAAGAAAACCTAAATAGGAAAAGCATGCTTTTTTCCCATTAATCTGCTTATACAATCTACCGTGGTTCATGGATGCTCTACTGTGGGGTCAGGTCTCAGGGACATCACCTGTCTGGAATCAGCTAACCGAAACACAGAATGAAGCTAACCAGAACATAAAATGAAGCTAACCAGAACATAGAATGAGAACTTGGAACAAGACCTATTCTCTCAGGAGGGACTGTCCCCAGTCAGGAGTCATTAGGAAGTCCAACACAGAGTATCTGGCCAGTTGAGTGAGTGGAATGTGGTATCAGAGTAGACATAGGTTTCAGGAAGTCAAGAATGCCAGACTGCATGGAGAAATCTAATAACCTGTGACTGTTCTGGCCTCTGGACCAGGTTCTGAAGCAAATTTACATTCTTGGGAAGAGATTAGAGGGAAACCAATACAGAGCTCTAATCCTAGAGGGACTAAACTACTAGATGGATTTTCAGGACTAAGACTTAGGAACAATCCAGAAACCCAGTAATATAAACTGAGTACAATGAGGCAGCAGAATCCAGAGAGCAAGAAAAAGGCCCAGTTATCATTAGAGCTAGCCTCAAGCATGAGTTGAATCTAAATCCTAGGAAGGATTAGGCTAGATATGGGTAAATGATTCTTTTCTTAGGTAAAAAATTGGGGGAAGACATAGCTTGAAGGTGATAGTGTCTCTCACAATAAAGAAAAAAGATATGCAAAGTTTGGAACCAGGCTTGATGGGTAGGGGAAAAGAGAGAGAACAATGTTTCTTTTCTTATGCTTTCTTGTTTATGATTTTAAGAGCAAATTAATAAAATACCATGTTTTAAGCTGGGAGCAGACTTCCACAGGAATGCCCTAATTTAATGCTTCTTAAAGCAAGCTGTGCATCAGACTCGCCTGGGGAGCTGATTAAAAGTGAAGGTGTGCAGGCACCAGACCAGATCTACAATTCAGAATCCCAAGGGGCCTGGGAATCTGTATTTTCTGTTATTTTATTTTATTTCTTCAACTTTTATTTTAAATTCAGGGGCTACATGTGCAGGTTTATTACTTGGGTATATTGTCTGATGCTGAGGTTTGGGGTACAAATTATCTAGTGACCCAAGTAGTAAGCATAGTACCCAGTAGTTAGTTTGTAAACCCTTGCCTCCTCCCTCTCCCCTCTAGTAATCCCCAGTGTCTACTGTTGTCATCTTTATGTCCATGCGTACTCAGTGTTTAGCTGTCACTTATAAGTGAACATGCAGTGTTTAGCTTTCTGTTCCTGTTAATTCACTTAGGATGATGGCCTCCAGCTGCATCTATGTTGCTCCAAAGGACATGATCGCATTCTTTTTTTATGGCTGCATAGTAGGAATCTGTATTTTTAACAAGATCTCTTGGTGATGCTTACACAAGGCTAAGGTGGGATGCCATTCCCTAACATATCAGGAAAAGTTACATACAACTCGTAAGGAATAGAAAATTTCCAAAAATTAAAAACATCACCATTGCATGATCCATGTGTCTGCCACACCATAAGGTCTGAAATGGTTAAAATTTACTGGCGTTTCATTCTATCTCTGTCTCTAACACACACACTTGTCCTTTAAAGTAAATTTCCCACTTAATCTTTTCTGTACTGATCTGTTAAATATTTGAACTCAATTGTTGAAGTGATTATTTGAAATTTGCATCTGGTATTTAAGATCTCCAACTGAATAAATACCATGCTGTTAATCAAACAAATTCATTGTGAAAAGGTAAAAACATGCTCTGTATTAATTTCAGTAACTATTTCAGGCATTCGCCAACAAATAAATACCCAGTGTAAGTTAATCATCTAATCCAAAGTTCCCAAAAGTTCACAATCAAATAAACCAAAACCCCAGCAATGATAGATTCTTGTAATTATCTTTATCACGTTAATGTCTGTGTATAATTACTCACAATATAAGATTATGTGAAAACAGTCAGCTCTGGGACTGGTTCCCGAAACAACAAATGCTTTATCTTATAAATTAATAACAACAATTAGCACTTTACAGACCTTTTCATCCATTGGTCTCATTGCAAAGGCGAATTAATTTGATTGTAACATAACTTCCTGGAACAAAAGCATCATCCTTGAGATTAAAAAATGCATTTAAGTCATTGTCATGATGAGAATCCATTTTTTGGTACAGTTTCTTTAAAAAATGTGTTTTCCAATTATAACCCTATCCCTTAACTGCATTAAAAGGCAAAAAGAAAAATGTCTTTGGAGAAAAAAATATTTCATAATTTTATTTCATTTATTATTATTATTTTTGAGACAGGGTCTCACTCTGCTACCCAGGCTGAAGTGCAGGCTCAGCTAACTGCAGCCTGGCAGCCCAGGTTCAAGCAATCGTCCCACCTCAGCTTTCCAAGTAGCTGAGATTACAGGTGGGCGCCATCAAGTCCAGCTAATTTTTTCTTTTACTTTTAGTAGAGTCAAGGTTTCACCATGTTGCTCAGGCTGATCTCAAACTCCTGGGCTCAAGCAATCTGCCTGCCTTGGCCTCCTAAAGTGCTGAGATTACAGGCTCACAGCCACCACTACTGGCCTATTTTGCAATTTTAAATGTATCTCTGGTGGGAAATAGGACTGTAAGCCAAGCCTCTTCACTATAAGATTAAGGTTCTGTCCACAATACCACCCAGAAAATGAGAATGTTGTATGGAATGTTTCAGAGAACACGGAAGCCACAGCTACTGCACATGTCTAGGAACTAATTTCTCTATCCAATTAGTCTTCACTCATAATGTCCCTTCTGAGTCCATAAGGAGTTCTCAAAACATCCTCCTCTCCTAAATCTTTCCTGAGTACTAAGAATTAGGCATCAATCTCAGTACTTGACACATTTCTTACCCTTAAAACCATAGAGGTTGACTTTTATGGATTTATTGAAACCAAAAATAATGTCTATATATCAACCATGCAAGCAAGATGTATGTTGTTAAACCTGAGGGATTCTTGTTAGAGCAAGGATACTATGCCCATCAGCTAAAGATAAGTCCTCACATGGTGTTCATAAGACTAGCTGGGCTTCCTAAGTATTCCCTCCTCCATACATGCCACGGTGTGATTCTGTACTCAGTCCCTGACCTCACAGCCAGCCCAGGAACAATTAGAAGTTGGAGGTGCTAGCAAGGGGACATATAATCCCTGACTTCAGCAACTCATCAATTTCTTTGTGTGAGTCTATTTTCTTAAAAAAAAAAAAATGAAGAGTCACCTGCTCTGTCGCCTGCCACCGCTGCTCGGGCCCGAGTGGTTCACTGCACCGTGAAGACAGATTCCAGACACCGGGAACTCACGCCTCCAATCCCAGACGCTATGTCCAGCAAAGGCTCCATGGTTCTGGCCTACAGTGGTGGCCTGAACACCTCCTGCATCCTCGTGTGGCTGAAGGAACAAGGCTATGATGTCACTGCCTACCTGGCCAATACTGGCCAGAAGGAAGACTTCGAGGAAGCCAGGAAGAAGGCACTGAAGCTTGGAGCCAAAAAGGTGTTCATTGAGGATGTCAGCAGGGAGTTTGTGGAGGAGTTCATCTGGGCGGCCATCCAGTCCAGCGCACTGTATGAGGACCACTACCTCCTGGGTACTTCTCTCACCAGGCCCTGCATCGCCCACAAAAAAGTGGAAACCGTCCAGCGGGTGGGGGCCAAGTGTGTGTCCCACAGCCCCACAAGAAAGGGGAACGATCAGGTCCAGTTTGAGCTCATCTGCTACTCGCTGGCCCCCCAGATGAAGGTCCCTGGAGGGCTCCCTGGAGGATGCCCGAGTTCTACAACTGGTTCAAGGGCCGCAGTGACCTGATGGAATATGCAAAGCAACACGGGATTCCCATCCTGGTCACTCCCAAGAACCTGTGGAGCATCGACAAGAACCTCATGCACATCAGCTACAAGGCTGGAATCCTGGAGAACCCCAAGAACCAAGTGCCTCCAGGTCTCTACACAAAGATCCAGGACCCAGCCAAAGCCCCCAACACCCCTGACATTCTCAAGATCCAATTCAAAAAAGGAGTCCCCGTGAGGGTGACCAGCGTCAAGGATGGCACCACCCACCAGACCTCCTTGGAGCTCTTCATGTACCTGAACGAAGTTGCAGGCAAGCACGGTGTGGGCTTATTGCCATCGTGGAGAACATCTTCACCAGACAAAGGCCCAAGGTATCTACCAGACCCCAGTAGGCACCATCCTTTACCATGCTCATTTAGACATCAAGGTCTTCACCACAGACCGGGAAGTGCACAAAACCAATCAAGGCCTGGGCTTGAAATTTGCTGAGCTGATATACACCAGTTTCTGACATAGCCCTGAGTGTGAATTTGTCCGCCCCTGCATCGCCAAGTCCCAGGAGCCGGCAGAAGGGAAAGTGCAGGTGCCGGTCCTCAAGGGCCAGGTGTACATCCTTGGCTGGGAGTCCCCACTGTCTCTCTACAATGAGGAGCTGATGAGCGTGAACGTGCAGGGTGATTATGAGCCGATTGATGACACCGGGTTCATCAACATCAACTCCCTCAGACTGAAGGAATACCATTGTCTCCAGAGTAAGTTCACTGCCAGATAGACCCCTGTACCATGAGGAGCTGGGGCCTCCTCAATTTGCAGATCCCCCAAGTACAGGTGCTAATTGTTGTGATAATTTGTAATTGTGCCTTGTTCTCCCCAGCTGGCAACCTAGTGGGGCTGCCAGGCCCCAGCTTTGTTCCGTGGTCCCCCCAAAGCCTGTAAACATCATCATGGAAGGGAAGGGTGTGGGGAAGCTGCGGTGGAGAGCTATAAAATGACAATTAAAAGAAAAAAAGGCAGGGCACAGTGGCTCACACCTGTAATCCCAGCACTTTGGGAGGCTGACGTGGGTGGATCATGAGGCCAGGAGTTTGAGACCAGCCTGACCAACATGGTAAAACCCTGTCTCTACTAAAAATACAAAATACAAAAATTAGCTGGGTATGGTGGTGCACGCCTGTAATCCCAGCTACTCAGGAGGCTGAGACAGGAGAATTGCTTGAATCTGGGAGGTGGAGGTTGCAGTGAGCTGAGATTAAGCCACGGCACTCCAGCCTGGGCAACAGAGCGAGACTCTGTCTCAAAAAAATAAAAAAAAGAAAAGAAAAAAATGAAGAGTCTCTTGAAAAAGATTTGCCAAAATAGGCTAGTACTGTGTGATTAAAAAGAAAAATCATGGGTTAATACAATAAACATTTATGTCAGCATATCTGTGGGTCTGAAATTCAGGAGCTGCTTAAATGGTTGGTTTTGGCTCAGAGATTTTTCAAGAGGCTGTGCTCAAGATGTCAGCCCAGGTTGCCACCATCTGAAAGCTTGAATTGAGCTGTAAAATCCATTTCCATGATGGCTCACTCACATGGCTGTTGGTGGCAGGCCGCAGTTTCTTAACACATGGACCTCTTCATAGGTCAGCTTGAGTGTCTTCATGACAATGTAGCTGGCTTCTTTCTGGAGAGAGATAACAAGGAGAAAGCCTTATATACCCTTATGTCAAACATTACACACTTTCACCTCAACCATATTCAGTTCATCAGAAGCACGTCACTAAATACAACCCACAGTTAAGAAGAGGGAAATCAGAGCCCATCTTTCAAAGGGAAGATTAACATTGTGTTGACATATTTTAAAAACCACCACAGGGTCTATTCCAGGCTTTTGCTATATTCTGCAATGCCTGCATTACAAACCAGGGCAGGTCCTAAAGATGATCCACTCTTTTTTTTTTTATTTTTTGTCATGACTTTTGACATTATATTATTATTTTTTAATTCCACAGGTTTTGGGGGAACAGGTGGTATTTGGTTACATAAGTTCTTTAGTGGTGGTTTGTGAGATTTTGCTGCACCCATCACCTGTGCAGTAAACACTGAACCCAAAAGATTACCCACTCTAAACTGAATATAATGCTGATCCCATGCATGCCAGTAACAGTGGCCTACACTGAGGGAGAGAGTCAGGAAACAAGGGACAATGCAAGACACTATGGTTATTTTTAAGGCTTTATAAAGTGATTTAAAATCTGCACTGGCAATTTCAGGACAGTTTGTATAAATAAATAATAGGATTAAACAGTTGCACCTCTCATGGACAGTTTGACCGCCCACTAGAATTGAGTCTGAAGTGCTTCACAGGATATGCTAACATTGGACAGTCAACCTCTGAATCCCCCACACTTATCTGAGCACGTTCAACTTTACCATCTTCTTCTCTCTGCTAAGCTGAAATCAGTGTATTGATGTCTTGGTGGGAGAGTGGAACTAGAGTTGCTAAACTATTCCCTGGATGGAAAACTGAAGAGAGAAGGTGTCTTCTTGTTCCTATGAGTCAGGATATTTAAGTCAAACTCTGCTAAATATTCCTCTATGGAGCAATGGAGGAGACATCAGCCCCAAAATGAATATTCTTCTCTGTCCACTGTTTTTGTGGCTTACTCTGCTTGGATGTTGCTCCCAGAATGCTGTATTCAGGGAGTAATTTAGAAACCTCTCTCTCTGTGTCTTGCACACACGCTCACTCATGCATACACCACCCTAGCTAATGTATCAGATTTTTTAAAAACACATTGAAACTTTTAGGACACTAGTGTCTCGTGTAGAGGTTAATGGAACCATAATATATCCTTGGTTATGCTGAGTGACGCCTTAGTGAGATGTCTAGCATTCCCAGAGTACAGAAAGTATCTTTTCAAAAGTAATAATGATGTTGTTGATGATGATAATAAAGTGTATATTATATTCCAGAAGTTGTATTAGCAGCTTAACATACATTCTCTTATTCATTTCTCACAACACTGAGAGGTGAATAATATTATTGTTATGCCCACTTGACAAATGAAGAAACTGAACCTTGAAATTCAGTGGCTTGCCTGAGGTCAGCCAGCAAATAAGTGGGGAAGTAGGGCTTCCAACCCAGGAAATCTGAGGCCAGATTCCACACTGGTACCTAGCACTGACCTTAGAATGAGTGCCCCAGATGATTACTTAGTAGAGGAGCGAATGGATGAAGAAGGAAAAGAAGAGTAAGGTCTTGTTGAGTCTTTCTCTCTAAACAGTATCATGGCCACCAATTATAAGGCTTGATCACTCGTTATTTGGACATATATTTTTGTGTCTCAACTAGACTGGCAACTTAATGAATAAATCTTGTCTCATGGGACTATCTATTCCCTCCTGGGTAAATAGAAAATTCTGGATAAATTACCTCTGTAATAGAAAAAAATTCATGTGACTCAGAAGTCTCAGAAGACTATATCACCTCTTCATGTTCAGTAATTTATTCTTTATTTCTGAATTTCTTAATCTACCAAATAATAGTACCCACCTCCTAAACATTCATGAGTATAAAACTAAATGAGATAATATACATATTAAAAATAACAATCTATCACATAGTAGGCACTCAGTGTAATTTATCATTAATATTATTCTACAAGTTTCCATTGGTCCAAAATAAAATATATATGTATGTATGTATATATATATATACGTGTGTGTGTGTGGAGATATATATATACATATATAGATATTTATACTACTACCCCTGCTATTTGAAATAACTACCATTTGTTATGTATTTAATATCTTGCAAGCATTTTAGAAGGTGATTCTTATATATTACTAATTTTAACAATGGCACTCTGAGGCTCAGAGGGGTCTGCCAATTTACCCATGATCATACTGCTAGAATGTGCAAGAGGCAGAACATAAACTTAAATCTATGTGATTCTAAATCCAGTGCTATTTCCACTAAAATGAAGAACATAATCTGAACCAGGTTCTCTTTGTCTGCTCCTCTCAAAATGTGAAGTTCAGATTTTCACCACACATACATAGTATTCCAGGTAGGAATTCTGCTTGTCTCTCATTCCACAGGCATGCCCTTACATCCTATCCTGAGGTAGAACATTGTTTTCAGAGGAGAAATTCCACCTTTTTCATGAGGCTATTGATACTGCCATGCTGTCATTTCAAAGAAGACGGACTTGGAGAAGGCAGTCACCACAACCCTGTTGGACATTAGAATTCCTCACTGATGTGAGGAATCTAAAATCAAAACTAGAAAAGGTAATCTACTCTCATTGACCTACAGCTGAGAAGATAGAGCAGACTTGCCTCTTAAAAAGGTCGGAAATGCTGACCCAGCATCTCTCAGGACAGTTATGGAAAGGAGAAAGTCCATTCAGGCCACAGCTACCTGTCTTCTGTGGCAGTAAACATCGTTTCTATTGCAACAAAGGGCACCTAGTATCACCCCCTACTGAGTAATCACTAAGAAAGCAATTCTATTAACAAAGGCCACAATGTCAGTTTCTTACAAGCTAGCCTAAGCATTATGTATAATTAATAACTCCTCCTTTATCTTAAATCAGATTAATAAAGCAAGTGTGTTTTTAAAACATAACCAACCTTGGGATCTGAATAGGACAGGGGTAGGGGAAGTGTAATGTTTACCAACCACACTGCTTTCAGAGTCTTTGCATTTACGTTTATGCTACTTTTCTACAAAGCGAGTGGAAAATAGACACCCTTATTTGAATACTGATTATATTTACATGGAGTATTCTTAATTTGTTGTCAGTAGTGGAAGGTTATATGCAAGAGAATATAAGTTACCAATAATTTTTAATCATATGGCCTTCTGAAATCTGCTCATAGATACTTAGTAGCTTTACTTCATTTTCCTGACTCTTCTTATTCTGATAATCAAATCAGAAATATACTAATTCTTAGCAATATCAACTTTAACAACTAATAACTACTGAGTGCTTACTCTGGCCCAAACACTCACAATCTCACTCAACACAACAGCTCCATGAGATAGGTATTATTATTTATTCTATTTTACAGTTGAGAAAACTGAGGCTTAGAGGTTTTAAACCAACTTGCTTAAAAAGTCCTTACTCTTAACCAAAGGTAGAGTAAATACTTAATACCAGGTATGTCAGTCATTAGTCTCTGCCCTTAACTACCACACTAGAGTACTTCCTTATAAAGAAAGGAGAAGCCCAGAGCGGTAAAAAATGTTGCATTCTAAACATGTCTGCTTTGGTCAGAGTATTTCCTAAAAAGCGTTCCAACTCCCATTTCCATTTTCTTGGTGGCCTAGTCCAACCCAAGATCTTTCCTTGGTCTACAAGACAAGAACAAGCAACTGCAGTAAGAATTCATTTATGCCATCTATTCCATGAATACTTACTGAAGACCTAGTCTACATCCAAACCAGTAGACTAAACACTGAAGAAACGTTGCCTCAAGAAATAGAGTCTACCCATTCAGTGCACAAACTACACATAGAAGCGCATAGCTGGACACCTGGCTCAGAATGACCCAGGGGAAGTGTTATCACAGCTGAGACCTGAGGATGATGAGGGTATTTTCCAAGGCAATGTGTATTTATATGAGCTGTGGCCTCAGTATGTCCTCTTCTTCCTCCAGAATATTGAGACTGGTCCTCTTCGTGGATTTTGCAAAATTAAAACAACAATTCCAACCACCTATCAGTTAAGTAAAAAGAAATGTAATATTTTGTATCAAAGGGAAATGTAACAGGACCATAATATTATGATGCAGGAAGTGAAGATAGATGCACAACTTTCAGTGACCTTAGCAGACTATCAGCATTTCACTGAGCCATTCTCTTTCTTGTTATTGCTGCATAAATATGTATATAAAAGCATATATATATATACACAAGTAACTGAGGGTCAAACACTCAGCTCTTCAGAGTATAGAAAGGAAAGAGGGTCACAGGCCGATATTCTTATGGTAAGGTGACAGAGCCCCTCAATCCTGTGATTGTAGCATGTTCTTTTATTTGAGTAAGGTGTACAGTTGTTGGAGAATTATATAGCTGTCACTCAAAATGGTGTAACTTACTCATTGGTCAACCCAAGCATTAAGTACATTTGCTCCTTCAGTTGCTGTCAAGCCCAGAGGGAGTGCTGAAGTCAGCTACTGCCCTGGCTGGAAGGTCTCAGGGAAATAGAGAATTGGGTGCTTTCCTTGCAACAAGAATTGGCACTCAAATCGTCCCTGGTGGGGATGGCAAATTAGGATTAATGAGAACAATGTGTCTGTGCTCTTTTGCTGAAACATTGGTTCACTTCTGTTTCAATTGACACCCAAGATTATTTTTTTTTGCTTACAAAGATTTTCTTATTAGGGAAAAAAGTGGCAGATTTGCCATCCTAGAGCCTGCTGAATGACAAATGCCACACTTATGTGTGTACATAGGATAAGACGGTAAGCTTTGCAAATGTTTCCTAGCAGGAAACATATCCCAGGCAAAGGGAAGAGCATATGCAAAGAAAACATAGTATGTTCCTAACTTCAAGCAATATTTTTGTCCTATAATAAAGGTCCTGGTGAAGAATGTCAAAAGTGTTTAGAAACTAAACAGGAGCCAGTGCACAGGTCATGTAAAGAATTTTGGCTTAAGTTAGCTGGTCTAATTAGATCATGCTATTTAGAGTGTAGTGAGAAGTTTCCTAAAGAGAAGGTGCTAGCCCACAATCTGAGAACTTGAATGAGTTGCTAGAAGATGCTCGACCTCAGATTTCCATAGGTTCTGTCTTCATTGGCATTGAGGAAGAATCCTGAAAGGTGCTTAGTTACCAACTATGGTGCATAAATGGTTTATGCTGCCTTAATAAGATTACAAGGAAGGGATCTTCAGTGGTAGATTGCATGATCATTTCCTCTCCATCCTGTAAGAGGATGATATATCCTCAACCACAGCTGTGTCTCTTGCAGTATCCCTGCCCTAAAAGGAGTATACATCCTGTAAAGGAAAATTTTAAATCTCAGGACCTCCCAAACTTCTTATGCAAAAGGATGCTTAAACCCAGAGGAAGCTGAGTCATTGCAACACCCTCTTCCAAAGAAATAGCTGTTACTAACGCTGTGCATCAGCAAGATCCTCATGAAAAGGTAAAAGCCTCAGACATCTGCAAAGGGCTGCCCCCACAGATCATTCACAAGTAAATAAATTGCTGGCCTCCCATAAACAAGGACATGCCAACTGTAACTTTAGGTCTACGATCTAAGTCTAGCTCCTAAAACCCACATTGATAATGTTCATCACAAGCTTATTTTCCCAAGTGCAGAACAAATTCAAGACTCATTTCTTCAACCTACCCAGAGATGTCTGCATAGTTGACTCTTTTTACTTCCTTTTTTCTCTTCAGAAATTTACCTTATCTCATGGAAAATGTAGATTTACTGGGCACTGACCAAAGTCTCACAGGAATGTAACTATTCACCTTACTGCCCACCTGCCCCTCTTCCTACATGCCTTCCACACCTTTAAGGAAATGTATAAATACTAAACTTCCTGACAACCTCTTTGGAAAAATAGCCACAGTTATGTCTGTGGCACTTATTTTCCTCAGATGCATTCTAAAGCTGGCTTAGTAAACCTCCATAATTGAGACCTGTGTCAGTCACTCATTTTGGTTATCAATCCCCACTGCGTTGATGTTGGATTTGGCCTTGAGATGTGCTTTCACCAGAAGAATGTGAGGAACTTGACATACACATCAGAGCAAAAGTATTAGGAGGCATCACTTGTTTCTGCCAACCCTCTTGTTCTTCTGTCCTCTACCATAAAAACTGCATGTCCCAAATTGGGTCTGCTCCTTGAGCCTGTGTCCTGCCATGCAGCAATGAGGAATTGCAGAGCAGAGCCACAGCAGTTGACTCACAGTCCCAACACATAATGTAAGCCAGAAATACACTGTTATTCTAAGTCACCAAGACAGTGTGGTTATTTGTTACTGCAGCAAATCTGCATAACATATCTTCTAAGACAGCTCTTTAGATTTCATTGCCAGCCAAACAGAAAAATAACAAGCAAAACAAAACAAACAAAAACCTCAGGGTGGGATAGCTATATATGCCTATGGCTGAGCTTTCATACATGTGTCAATTCCTATGATTTTTTTAATGGTTGTCTGGAGCGCTATGACAAGAATGTTTGTGTAGTCATTTCTAATCTCAACAGGGAAAATTGGCATAATCAATTATTAATGTCTGCCACGAGCATGAAATTGAGAGGTGGTGACACAGATGACACGTTTGCTGGTCTAAAGCCGACTTCTCCCACCCTTGTAGCCTTTCAAAGAAAGAAATATTGTGTTTTCCCCTGTATCCATCATCTTTCCTGGTTCCTTCTAAAGATTCATTCCCTCTCACAGGACTCTCACACCTCTGGTTGCAGCAGCAGAGAGTGTGATGGCAAATGAGGCTGGACTTTTTCTACCACTGATAATAAAGGATCAGCATAAATACTTATTTTTTCTCCTTGGATGACCTGTCCATGTGCTTCCCCATCTGATCATTCCTTCCTGTGCTTCTGGAAAGAAGTGGTCAGTGTTACTGATCCTCTAACCAGTCTTACACAAAATACATACAGCTCTTCACATGGCTGAAATGAGTATGGGTATTTTCACAGAACCCCAACCCTCCAATCCTACTAGCTTACTCGAGGTTAGGCTGGAACGGGGCATATTTCATGTGGTAATCAGGCACCTGGCATATGCCACATTCCTTCTCACAAAGACCTACCCTCCAACAACCTCTCTTACATTGCTAGAGCGCCACCTAGAGTTCACTGTAACAAGTTTGGTTCCCCAAGCCTCCCTATTAGCTTGCTATGAAAAGGGCCACATTACAGAAGAGAAAGAGGACAGAAGAGAAGCAATTTTTGCTATACATTTCTATGTGCTAGGGTGCTATTCTAGGAGGCTAAATGCTTCACTTATCCATATAAGGTAATTGTTATCCCCATTTCACAGATGACAGTAGTTTGCTCAACAAATAGAGCCAAGATTCAAAACCAGGACTTGCTGACATCAATGCGGATGTTTCTTCCATTATTCAACACTTCTAGCTCTTAATTTCATTCAGCACTCCTCGATTTCAGGACGTTCTATGACTCCCCCACAGAATATGTCAACCTCAGTGGAGAAAATTTGTCTATGTAAAACCTAAATGCATTTATTTACACATTTCCTATTGCTACTTTTCCATGCCTTTTTCTCCTATGCCAGATATGTACTAAGCATCTGTTGAATAAATAAATGACTAAATGAATGAAATGTTTTTTTCTTGACTTTTTTCAAACCCTTTTCAAAATTCACATACCCAGAATAGCTACACCCACATCTGACTACTCTGTTACTTTATATTCCCACCTTGTGAAAGGTCTCCCCTGTTATGTCCCCACTATCCTATAAATGAACCTCATATTACCACAATCCATACATTTCTAAGAATGAAGTGATTAAAATTACTTAGGACACTTCATATGCAAATGAAAGCCTACACAAAACTACTTTCCTTCAATAAAGAAGTCACGTAATTATCTGAATCATCAATTATCTAAATCATCACTTATTTACCTGCTTTATTGAGCTAATTTCCTAATACTAGTTTATATTAAATAATGTGTGGGTATCTATCTGTCTCTATCTATCTATCTATCTATCTGTCTATCTATCTATCTAACACACACACATTAATGTGAATTTTTCAGTGACATACAGTTAAACATCTGAAGCATTTTTTCTGGGACTATGTGCACTGTCTCAGTAAGAGTATGAGCTCTACGAGGGCAAGTACTAATTTTAAAATTGTGCTATAATCTTCTAATCCGAACTGTAATTTCTTCAGCTATCTCATTAAATGTTTATGACTGACCAATGATTCCTCCTCTTGTCTAGCTATTCTCTAGCAATTCCTTTGAAAGAAATACTAATGAGCAATTAAATGTTAAAAAGGGGCAAAAGAATGAGGAGTGGATTTTCCCAGAAGGTAATTATGAGTGCCTACCATGTTCCAGGAATCACTTGGAGTGATGAGAGGACATAGTCTCTGGTCTCAAGGATATTGTCTCCTGGGATAAACAGACAATTACAGCACAGTATTCTGGGTCAGCAGAGGCCCAGAGGTATCCTACACTTAGACAAAAGGCAAAAATGACTGACTGCTGAGGTCTCTAATTACTGAGATTCCTCCTGAAGTGATGGTAAATGCTATAATGCAATTATAATAAATATAATGCAATTACAATAAATGTCTGTTGAATTGAATTAAATCAAATTGATGCCTCGCTCTCCAGAAGCTCAAATATACACCATGAAAAATGGAAATGCCATTATTTAAAAAGAAATTCAAGGCCTCCTAGTAAGTTATCCATGGAGATATTTCAGAAGATTTTTAACCCATAAGAGTCCTTAAGAAATTCTATAAGCTTCTGCCCTACTCAAGTGGCCCTCTCATCTGATGAATGGACCCTTATAGAAGCTTCTTTAGAATATTCTCAGACATTTGAGGTAAGGTCCTGGCAAAATGAGAATGGTTTTTCTGCCACTGAATAACTTAAGGATGATAATGACAACTAAATGTGATTGATAGCAGCCACAATTTGTGCTAAATTATTTCATATAAAAATATGGCCCCCAGCAAAGCATATCGTTGAATGCTGTTTTCTCAGAATTTGGTACATCTTTTGCCTCTTTTCTCCCTCCTAAATAAGTTCTTTGACAACAAGGTTGCGTCTTTCTTGTTGATAATAGGATGAATGAGCATATGATAATTGAATGCATGAAAATGAATTTAATAGATGGTTCCTCATAATGGTCTGACGTTTTATGGCATTTATAAATGGGTACATCTCACTGGCACTCTCTACATTGAGCAAATGTATTTTCTTTTTAATTTTCACTTTCTGCTTTATTGCTTTCTTTTTTTCATCAGACAGGGAAAGCATGCTTTTATAGAAGTATTAGAAAATAAAAATAAGCAAAGTTTTTAAAACCAAAGATTTCACCACCTAGCATTAACCAATATTAACATTTTGTTTCTGTCTTTTCCAAGGTTTTCCTATACAAATATACACTTTTTAAACAAAAATATTTTTTTCTGATATATACAATATTTTGTAATTTACATATTTATAAATAGTAAATAAACATACTTTATAAGTATCCATGTGCATCCTCATCTTTAGTAGTTACAAAATAATCCATTGTGTATATCTCAACATTTATTGAAACTATACTTATTATCAGGCAGCTGGGTTGTTTCCACATTTTTGCTATTTTAAACAACATTATAATAAATGTCTTTCTACGTACAACTTCTTGTATTTATTTGAGGGTTTCTTTAAAAACCGGTAGAATTGCTGGGCCAAAGGGCAAATCCCATTTTAAAGGCTCCTGTTGCTTATGACTGAATTTCATACTATAACTGCTTTATACCACCACTGTGTCAATCCTAGGTGTTATGATCTTATAAGCTTAGATGACATATAAAAAAATTAACATGTTTGTTTCCTACATTTAGTGAATATTATAGTGATTCCATAAACCTTGTTTATGTGTATAAAAGCAGAATGTGTAATGATTTCGAAGCTGGTTTCTCAAGCCAGATTATTTGATCTCCTATGCTGGCTCAGCTGTTCACTAGCTCTATGACTCAAACAGGTTAAAGAGCTTCCTTGGGTGGGCTTCAGCGTCCTCATCTGGAATATGATATAATTAAAGTATCAATCTCTTAGGGTTGTTCTCAGAATTAAGTGATTTGACCCATAAAGTGGACACAGAACAGTACCTGGCACAGGTAAGCATTCAATAAATGCTACTTGTTCTCTTGTTTCTAGGAACACAACTAAATTAATTTTTCAGCCTTTCTTGCAATTAGATACATCTATGAGACTAGACTGTAAGATAAATTGATGTGTGTCATTTACTGGTCTGGCTCATAAATACCTTGAAGACACGATTCTCATTCATTTCCTTGTCAACCAGCAGAATAGAGATCACCCAAAGGACCTAGAGCAGGTGGAATCACAAGATAAAAGGAGCCTGGATGTATAAATGACTATGGAAGAGAGCTCCACCACCACCAACCACATGCAACCATCATTCACCAATGAGAAATAAATGTATATCGCATTGCATTTTACATGTTTCGTTGCTCTTGTCATAGCACTCAGCCTTTCTTGACTAATAGAATTGCCTATTGTTATTCCTTTATCACATATTATCTGTTTTTTAAAAAGAGAGAATTTTATTTCAAAATATGAAGAATGGAGAGGCGTAAAAAGTTCAGGACTTGAAATCCACTGTAGAAAATCTACACCTTGATAATATATGAGTCCATGGGTCATTTATCTATCTAGAATGTATATTATCCCACATCTTTGTTTCTTTATATTCCACATTCTGGCTCCAGGCTACAGAGGTTAATTTCAATACAGCTAAATGTATTTATTCAGCTTACAGACACAGATTCCTCATATTCCCTCTTACACTGACCAGTGAACATCGTTTTCTTACATTTACTAAATCACTTAGGCCATAAATACCAAAGTACCAGCTGAGAAAATCCAGGAGGAAACATTCTTTGGGAAAAAGAGAACTATTCAAAAGAAATGCTATTGCATAAAAAAAAAAGTTCCCCATAATGGTTCTGCAGTTCTGAAATGTCTACAGGAAAGTCATACCAAACAGGAATATATTTCCCAAGTTTTCCCCTTGAAGATCCTAGACATGAAAGAAAAATGCTCAATTTGAAGCATTGTTCATTTTGCAAAAAATATTATTTGTTACCAAAGGAAGGGAAAAGTAGAAGGATACCAAAAATGATTTTATATGTGTGTGTGAATATATATATACATATATGAAATTTTATGAGCTTTCAAGCAAAAAATTTATTCAAATATAAACCATGAAACACTTTCCACATGGTTTACTTTCTAAGGTTAGAACTTCCAACTGAAACTAGCTGGAATATTTTTCAGAGTGTTTTGAGTCTCCAGGGACCATAAGACATTAAATAACACTATCAAATGAATCTTTCTAAATATAGAGTTAAATGGCTCTCCCCTTACATTTGCATCATGCTCCACAATGAGTTTTCTGTGTAGGAAGGTATTATCATTCCCATCCCACAGGAGGGGATACTGTAATTCAGAGATATTAAAGGGTCTGTCCAAGGTTATCCGGATAGTGCTACAAGGCAATCCAAGTAATCCTCCACTAAGTAATCTGCAGACTTCAGTTTTCACATATGAATTTTCTAAAAATGTTCAAAGTGACAGCTACAATCAAGTTAATCAATGTAACAGTTACAGATGTGTCTATGAGAGAAAAAGGTAACCAATAGGATGCATTTGACCTAATCCCAGCTTGCATCATAGAAAAGAACAACTAAATAACCTGTGGGCAGTAGGTTAAACCCTAATCCGATAATTCCAGTGCAAATGCCAGAAATGTAAAATGTTTATCATTCCCCACCCTAAAAGCATACTTGTTTCAGGAAACAGTAAATAAAACAAATGTCTAGGCTAATAAAGTGATTTATAGCTTTTAGTGGTATGATTTAACCACCATATGTGTTCTTGAGAGACAGCTATATAACAAATATTTATATACATATTTAAATACCATTTCCCATTTATTTTCATTATTCTATTTGAAGTATAATTCTTTAGAAAGAGAAGAGTGGCTAAGAGACCTTTTTATAAAATCACACAAATATAACAAAATTGTAAATAATTGTGCATTTAACAGAAAATTATACTTTCTTGAAAATGTATTAAGAACAGTCCAAAGAAAATACAAAGTAGGAACTCAGAGTAAGAACTAAAAGACATTTCAACCTGTTTCACTGTGTAATTTTTATGCTCAATTGAACAAACACAACAACAAAACCACAAAAGAGTTGGAAATGCCTTTCTGTCCTACATCGGTTTGCCAAATGTGCTTAGAATATTCTCTATCAGTAAGCGTGCCAGCAGAAAACAGATTTCACCCCAGAAGACTCAAATGAAGACACTTTAATAAAAGTGCTATTTATGAAGGTATAGTCAGGGTTAACAGAATGAAAAGGGAATGATAAAACTAGGTAAATCTTTCTTTTCATATTAAAAAAAAAGAAAAGGAAAAGGAGAGCAAAACATTGAAATAGTAAAGTCCATTTTATGTATTACAATTAGCACCTCAATTTTGTTTTGATGTTTTGGCAGGTAAGGTTAAAGAAGGCTATGAAAGCTATGTTTGGTTACATCATCTTTCTCAGTGTCATCATCACCATCATCATCCTCATCATTATTCTCTTAAAAATATTTCCTATTCATTGAGTGCCAAGGGCCTGGTGAAATCATATAGTATATATAGCCTTTTAAAATTGGCTTATTTCACTTGGTAATATACAATTAAGGTTTACAGAATTGCTTGAATGTCTTGCCAACAATAAATATTCAACAAAAGTTAACCATCATTACTATTATTATCAGCATTATTATTTTATAAATGTTCCATTTCCCTAGGGGATCAAAAAGAAGATCATACATTTTTCTAGAATCATGAAAGTCTTTGCTAGTTCCCTCTGTCATATTTACTTCCTCAGCAACTTTTACTTCCAAGTTTCTTGTTTGTTTGTTTATTTGTTTGTTTGTTTTTTGAGATGGAGTCAGTCTTGCTCTGTTGCCTAGGCTGGAATGCAGTGGCACAATCTCAGCTCACTGTAACATTTGCCTCCCCAGTCTCAAGCAATTCTCCTGCCTCAGGCTTTCGAGTAGCTGGGACTACAGGCACAAACTACCCTGCCCAGATAATTTTTTGTATTTTCAGTAGAGACGGGGTTTCAGTATGTTGGCCAGGCTGGTCTTGAACTCCTGACTTCAAGTGATCCACCCACCTTAGCCTCCCAAAGTGCTGGGATTATAGGCCTGAGCCACCACGGCTGGCCCCAACTTTTTTGTAACATGCATTTCACTCTTAATATACTTGCCCAGTCCTCTACTTTCCTCGAAACTGACAGCTTTTTGAGGACACAGACCACTTGTACTCCCTGTCTGCTACCCTATTCCAAGTATTTAGCAAAGTGCCTGGCGGGTGGCAGGTGCTCCTCGAACATCTACAAAGTGAAGAATGTTTGGCATGGTGGCCTGAATTGAAGGTACAAAAAGATGCAGTGACACAGCCTTGGGGGAATGAACAGGAGGGAAAGGCTGTTATGAGACCATATTCCCTGGAGTAGAATAATGGTGAAGACTCACTACAGTTTCACGGCACACAGACCCAGGGACTCAAGTATTTTCTACAGGGAGACTCTTCATTTGCATTATTCCCCAATTTCAACTCATAGTAAGTAAAATTTCTTCATAGCAGGGAAGGTCTTAAATGAATTTAGATAATATATTTAAATATGTTACTCAAATATGTAAAATTTAATATCTAACCATTAACTTTGGGAATTGCTGTTACTTACTGAAGTCCAATTCAGATCAGAGTTAATTTCACCCTAATTTTCTTTTACATGCAAAAAAATTTTGCCTATCCACAGTTCTACCTAGAATAAAATCAGCACTGCAGTATATGAGTCTTCCTCAGGATTTACTCCACATAAAAGAAAACAGAGTTGTTATTTTTAAAATTTATATTTCTTCTCTGACTCATTTCCAAAGTATTCAAAGCATCTCTTTTTGTTCCGGCACATTTTTCTCTTTATGTTATTTTTATTTTAAACTAATGGTTATGATACTTCATTGACGTCACTATAGCAAAAAGATTAAGAGAAAGCTTTCTTCTAACTAAAATATTTCTTTAACCCACTACAAAACTCTTAAAGCTAGATACTAATATGTCCTGTAATTAAGAAATGAGCTTCCCAATAGGATTTATTTTCATAGATTTAGATTCAATGCCAAGAAGCTACAGTTTAAACTGTCACAGTGCCCAATAGTAAAAACTTGCAAATCCTCAGAGACCAATTTTAAATAAATTTGTATTTCAGAAAAAAATAAAGTGCAATGAAGATATCCTTCTATTCCTTCTGTTACCCTCACTTCCACCCAAAGTAAGGCAGACACGGAAAGAGAAAGTGAGCGGGTAGAAAAGAAAGAGAAAGAGAGAGAGAGAGAGAGAGAGAGCACATTAATATCCAAAAAACATTACACTTGGTTTTGCTGTGAGAACTTTGACGTGGTTTTTCTGGCTAGGCCTGCTCCTCTGAAGTCCAAAGCAGTTACAATTCCATTCCCTAGGGTGCCTGCAGTTAACTTAAGAGTGAGAAAAAGAATGAATGACAAGGTCAGGGGTCCTGATTAGATTCTTCTCCGCTGCCCTGAAGGACTAAGGATGACTGCAGAAGGCAGGAAAAATCCTTCCTGTTGATTCAAAAGAAACGGAAGTTCAGTGGATTCAAGCAGCTCTTAAATGTAATAGTTAACAGCACAGGTTTTGGAATGAGACCCCGTATTAGTTGTGTGAATTTGGGTATTTCACATAATCTCTCTGAGCCTCATTCTCTTCAGCGTAAAATACAGAGGATGATTCTTCCTCTCACTAGACTGTGCATGTCAATGTAAAAAGCACCGTGGCACTCAACACATTTTTATTTTTGTTTTTGTTTTTTTTTAATTATACTGCCTTCAGCTAATCTTCTAAGAATCCTCTGGAAAGAGGACAGGGGAGGTCAGGAAACTCCCAAATTGTCTTAATTTGGGACACAATGAAACAGATCAACTGCACTTACAAGGACCTTGAACTGAGGAAACGAGATTTTACTTAGAATACACAAAATCGAAGTGAAGAAATTCGATTAACAACAATAAACCTGGTAAATGGGAGGATCAATGAAATTCTGTTTTATCCTAATTAATGTCACGTGTCTTTCTAAGAAAATCAGAGACAATAACCCCTACCGCCAAAAAAGATGTAATAGAGAGTATAGCTTCTGACAGCCTAGACTGCAGAAGCGTGGGGTTTAGAGGAAAGTTTTAAAATCACATTCACTATTTTGTTTATCTGATACATTTTTATTAAGTACCGGGGATATAATAGTGAATCAAAATGACATGGCCTTTGCTTCAAGGCTCTTACATTCAAATGGGGGAAGAGAGTGATAAATATGTAGTTGTACAAATAAAAAAATGTAAAGATACTGTAACCACTCTAAGATAAAAGTGTGGTATATTAATAGGTATTCTAGTTTAGATTGAGAAAGCCTCTCTGGGGAAAGGCAATTATATTCTTTCCTTCCTTCCTTCCTTCCTTCCTTGGCATGGGCTCTCCCAAGGCTAATCTTGTGATAAAAGCCTATGCATGAATAGTTTATTAAGGAGCAGGTATGAGAGACATGGTAAGAGAAAGAGAGCCAGTACAAGTTTACATTATCAAATTTGCCACTGCTCTACGAGACGGAAACTGCCTTTGCAAAAATGATAACTAAGGAAATTATGACAGTGAAAAAGATGAAACCTAACCAACTCCATCTTGCTTCTAACCTTTAATCTGTCCTTGTTCATTCCTGGGTGTAGGCCAAACTAACCTAGGGAAGAAATTTAGTGTATGGTTTGACTCTGAAACAAAATTGATAATGGCCCTTTCCGGAAAAGACCCTCTTCTTTCCTGGGGACCAGTCTGCCTTTGCAGGACTAACAAATTAGCTACAAGATGAGAAATTATGGTTTAGGGGTTATGCAGCCTCTGGCTGCAAGAGTCTGAACCTCCCAAATTGCTCCTGTGGATAATATCACTATTGTAAAACTTCAGATCAGTGCTTGAGATATTTTGCAGACTCTTCACTCAGTGAATCAGCTGACACCACACCCAGACTTATAATCTGACTCAACCAGTTCTGTGATCCCACCCAGGAACAGAAGACAGCAAGAAAACTTCACTTTGACCCCGTTTGATTCCATCTGCAACGTGACCAATCATCACTCCTCAATTCCCGAGCCCCTACTCACCAAATTATCTTTAAAAACCTGATCCCCAGATGCTGGAGACTGATTTGAGTAATAATAAAACTCCGGTCTCCCACACAGTCAACTCTGTGAATTACTCTTTTCCATGACAATTCCCCTGTTTTGACAAATTGGCTCTGTCTAGGCAGCAGGCAAGGTGAACCCACTGGGTGGTTACAAGACAAGTGGCTGCTTAGGCCACAGTGCCAGGTGAGAAGTCTTAGGAAATGCCTCTTTGAACCATCTTCTGAAAAAAGAACAGAAAAGGATTTTTCTATGGTCTTCTGTCCTACATTACTCAAAGGTTGCTCTGTATATGCTAACTTCCCCAAATCCTGGGTTGCACATACATGAGTGGCTAGTATTGAATGCCAATCAGGCATGCCCAGGCCTGCAGCAGAGAAGTCCCTGGGCAAAGCAAGAAGTATAGAGAATGGTTCCCAAACAAGGTACTGCCATTTGCACACAGATAAAGCTGTCCCCCAAACAGGAGCTAGAATTAGAAGAAAGGCCAAGAAAATCTGACATGGACCAGACAAGTGTTCTGATGTACCTCCTGTCTCTGAGACATCCTACATTCTAGTTCAGATTAGTCACTCAGTACGTTTTTATCATGTCTCTTTATTATACTGGCCTCAGCTAATCTGAGGCCAAAACTTGCTAGTGGTTCCCTGTTACCTGCCTAAAAAAGGGCCAAACACTTCAATATGAAGTCAGGGATTATCAACATTTGGAGAGTAGCTAGAGTCACAGGCGTCCCTGAAGAAAATCATAACTAATATACCTTGTGAAATATTTAAATGTGTCCAACAGTAGGGAAGTAGTTTGATAGATAATAATAAAATATAAAATAGCTATTAATAATGATACTTCAACAAAATCATAAAGGTAGAACTGCTCAGGATGTAACAGTAAGTACAAATGCAAAATTCCTATATTTTCATTCCTTCGTTCCCCCCCCTTCTTAACCCTCGTATATGTATGGGGGAAAGAGGCCCTTGGTAAAACGGAATAAAGATACAAACATGCTTATGTTGTTCTCTTTGCTTAAGTGTAGTTTTTCAAATTTTGTACCATAGGTTGGTTTTATTTTATAATTTAAAAATATTAACTTAAAATTATGATTATAAAAATGTAAAACATATTTCAATAGAATGAGAAGCCAGCTCTGAGTTGATGTCAGAAGAGAATCTGGGAGTCAAAAATATTGCTGCTCTAAGTTTATTCTTGGCCATTCTTTGTAAAATCATATAAGTTGGCCAGGTGCAGTGGCTCACACCTATAATCCCAGCACTTTGGGAGGCCAAGGCAGGCAGATCAAAAGGTCAAGAGATCGATCGAGAACATCCTGGCCAACATGGTGAAACCCCATCTCTAATAAAAATACAAAAATTAGCTGGGCATGGTGGTGCACACCTGTAGTCCCAGCTACTTGGGAGGCTGAGGCAGGAAAATCACTTGAACCCAGGGGGTGCAGGTTGCAGTGAACCGAGATCTCACCACTGTACTCCAGCCTAGCAACAGAGCGAGATTCTATCTCAAAAAAGAAAAAAATCACGTAAGTTTTTCTGCACTCTGGCATTGTCTCCTCATCTTAATCCCTAGGGAGCCAAACTCACTGAAGCAATAATCAGGTGCCAACAACTAAATTTCAGAAGGAAATGTCTCAGGGACTACAGTAAAAATTTTCAGTGCCAGCCTATTATTTGAGGCTATCACGTGTTTCACTTATATAACCTCAATAAATATTATGCTGATGTTCGTTCAGATTTAGAAGCTTTTTTCATCCTATTGCTACCAGCATATTTTCTGCACATTAATAAGCATCACATTTTATATGAAATATGACCCTCATTTTTAAACAAATTACAAAGCCACAAATTAGCTATTTGCTGAAGAATAGAGAAACTTAGAATTCTCATGTCTTTGCTTTTGCAACAAGCCCAAAAGAGATGAAGCTGATTATTTAACATGCCCCTTCCCGGCACACAAGCTCTTGTTAGTCAATAACTATTTTGCTGTCATTTTTTCTATGCTTCTGCAAATTTTAAACCTTTTCATTCATCCATTATTATTAGTTGATAAGATTAATTTGGTAGTATTTGGGCAGTCTGATCCTTATACTCAATTTTGAATATTTTGAATATATAATACTGTCCTATAATTACCTTCTAAAATCCTCAGAGGATTGGACAATGGACTGTTACATTCCCATAGTCTATTTTCCCCTTTTACCAATGAAAGCCAAAATACTTGTTTTTTTCTTTCTAGAGTTTTGTCCATTCCAAATAGAATTATATTTTTTCTTCTCTACATAAATCTAGGAATATTGCAACGGTTGCCAGGAGAAATAAATTACAGTGTTAGGCTGCAAATCTGTAGGTTTAAAGGTTCACCTTCCTTCAACATTATTTTAAAGGGAAAATACTATATTTCAGCCAGCAGAGAAGACAGGTTCTTGGTTTTATTCTCTAGTATTAAGCTCAGTTCTCTGTTTTGTAATGCCTAAAGGGATATTATGATTCTTTACAGAAAAAAGACATAATTTTAAATCCTTGTGCTTTGGCTGAATGAAGAGTGAGGTGATAGAACCTGGTGGAGGGAGGGGCAATAGGGGAGTGGGAGGGTTCCATTCTTTGTCAGTATAGTTTCCATGCCTCTCCCTCTCTCTCTCTCTCTCTGTCTCTCTCTCTCTCTCTCTCTCTCTCTCCTTTTGATGCATAGCCAATTGCAATCTGCACACAATTTAGATGAAGACATTTAACTGAATATCCAAAACCTAAATTTTCTTTTCTTTATAGATCTAGAATTTTTCAACGATGTTGCTTTTGTAACATACAGTTTGGGAAGGCAATATTATTGGATAAGGTTTTGTGTTCTTTCAGGGGAGAAACCATTACTCTTTAGAATTACAATGATCAATGTTGAAAGATATTCTCAAATACACACAGACAACCTTCGTCAGCATGAATTATGTGGGGGCAAGAATCAGGTTTGCAATATGCAGTATTTTGCTCAAAGGACTTTCACCTAATATATCTGAGTTGATGAGTATTTTATAGTCAGCAATACATTAAACATATTTGTAAGAAGCTTATTCTGTGCCAATGGTGCTAGAATTCAGAGTTTCTGACTTCATTCAAAATGCAAGTGTTTGAACCAAGCCAACAGCTTCAGAGGGAATCAGTGTAGTATAAAACATGGCTAAAAAGAAGCTGCTGACTGACCAACTTGCGATCAAATCATTGATATGAAGACTAGGAAGTTAAGAATATTGATGAAAAAGAACTTGAAGTTGTAGACCATGGGATGTTGGGTTGTTCTGAGGGTACCAAGAGACTTAGATAGATGGTCTAGATAAGAAGTGGCAAGAGGTAGTGGTTAATAAGTGGAATAAAGGTGTTCAGACTTTTGAGATGGAATACAAACACTATGCAGCAATTAGGTAATGACATTGGGATATTTTCCATGAAACACTGTTAAGTTTTAAAGTGGGATATAAAACAGTATGTGGAGCAGGATCTTGATAAAGCCAAACAAAAATAAAACAAACAAACGAATGTTAATGGCAATCACTTTTGGGAGGTTAGGTTGTGGATACTATAATAACAGTTCACCCTTATATCTGCAGTGCCTGGAAGAGCACAGAAAACAATATTTAGTGGGTACTTACTTTCATTTTACATCCAGTTTCTACAATGACACACAGTGCCTTTGCAATCAGAAAAATAAAAGTTATTTTAAAACATACTTGTTTTTGAAATGAGGTAATTACAAGGAATGATGAAGAATAGATGTCATAACTATCCATAGTTGCTAGATAACTTCCCCTAGTCAGATGTACATCTAGATAAAAGAGGAAGTATAAGGGAGAAATCAAGAAGATTTTCTTGATGACCCCAGTAGTTTCTTATCTTGAAGACATTATAGGCAAGGCTCCTTCAGATCAGCAGCAGAGGGCAATGGGAGGCATACTCCAGGCTAGGATCATATGGATAATACTATTGCTGAGCATAGTAAATTATTTTCCCACTTGTGACCTCAATTATTTTGCATTTACAGAATACACAATAGCATCATACTGACCCTGCTGCCCAAGCAAACTTTTTAAGTGGGCCATGAGCCCAAGTTGCTGTTAGAATATATCACCAGACTCTTGCCTTCTGTAACTGCGCTCCATGAGTTGGAAGCTCTCAGGGGTCTTGATCTCAGTGTAATGATTTCTAACTAAAATAATTTGCAGGCACTACAAATATTGTAGAAGAGGAGACTAGCCTTGTGGCCTTCATCATCCCAACCACCTCAGCTGGTGATGGGTAGTCAAGCACAGCTGTAACATCTCTATATGGGATCAATACTCCCCATAGTCTTTTGTAGATTATTTGAGCCCTGGATACCCTCGACAAAATAGTTGGGCCCCTTTTCTGCATTTTCTGTCTCTAGGTCCTAGTTTTGGTTATGGACATTGCACCTTGTTTGATGCCCACAGTTTTCATTGACAACCTTGCCTCTTCCCCAGCTTGCCTCATTGAGTGATACTTTTACCTGGTAGTCAACCAACCCTTGGCCTGGGAGCCTGGCCTCTGCCTAGACAGTCTAGCCAAGCTCTCAGTGGATCTCTATTGACCTCATCTGTCAGGGGTCCATGTCTGAATAATTTCCTACCCTTTCCCTCTTGTCTCAACTTTTCTGGTGTTTGACCCAAACCCAGAAGCTCCTTCCTTTTCTCTGTAGATAACTCTCAGCTAACCAATTAACTATGCAGATAATTTGAAATAGTGATGTTTTTCAGAGTGATCCACACCACCAGAATCAGAAACGCCTAGAGGTTTGTTACTCAAAATCTGGCCAGAAACATTGGCATCACCTGGGAGCTTGTTACATATGCTGACTCTCAGGTTCCACTCTAAACATCCTGAATCAACCTCTCTAGAGGTGATGGATGGGAATCTCTGTTTTAACAAGCCTTCCTGTTGATTCTTATGTTAAAGTCCAAAAAACATCGTCTATTATGCTTGCTAAAAATGTAGATTCTCTGGCCCTGTCTTAAACGAAAATCTGCATAAATAACAAATATTCCAGGTAATGCCTTCCCATATCAGATTTATAGGGCTTGAGCTCAAATGCCAGCTCTGCCTCAAGCCATCTGTGCAATCTTGGACAAAGCTATTTAATTTCTCTGTGGTTTGATTTTCTCATTTTTCAAATTAAAAATTCTTCATCCTAGGTTTATTGAGAGGATTAAATTAGATAATGCCTTTGAAGTGCTTAACATAATTCCTAGTACAAAGGAAGCACTAATAAATGTTTGTCTTTGTATTGTATTAATGTTTATCAACTGTAAGGTGTTAATGTGCTAGCCTTTCTCCATACCCAGGAAACATATGTGCATTTTTGGTGACAGTTTCTGATGACAATACCTTAGATCAAAGAAATAACCCAAGGAGGAGAGAGGAATTGGGAGTTATTGTTTAAAAGGTACAGAGCTTCAGTTTAGAAAGACGTAAAAGTTCTCAAAATGTATAGTGATAATGGTTGTACAACCATGTGAACACACTTAATGCCACTGAACTGTACATCTAAAGTCATATATTTTATGTATATTTCACCCAGTAAAAATAAATAAATACATGCATCAAAAAGAATGGTTAAAATGATACATTTTATGTTAGGTAAATTTTACTATATTTTAAAAAACATTTTTTGAGGAATAACTCTAAGGACAATCATTGAAGGAAGCATCTTAAGATTGATAGAAATTATTAGGAAGCAACAGAAAGAGAGAAAAATGATTGGTATTGCTGAAGCTTTGTGTTGCACTAAATTTCTTCTGGATTTAAAGGAAAATATCAAGTTGGCAACCAACTTAGTATTTCCTATGTAATACCAGTCCAAATCTCATTTTCTGGCTGGAATGCTAGTAAAGGAATTGTAGGATTCCCAGAGAGATGATAAACTAAAAGCAAAAATTTAGGATATTCTATTGAGGTAGAACCTGTGGTTGACTATTTACTTAAAAGGTGCTACCATAGAGTGGAAGAAGTTATCATGGAATACTTATGCTGGGCAAGACCTGTTACAATATTATCTTATTTGATTTTCATAGTCCCCATGTAAGGGTAAGTATCAGACCTATTTTATAGATGAAACAATCTGAGAAAGACTAGGTGATATTCCTAGAGGCCATACCCATAGTAATCGTAAAAAGCAAAGTCAGGCTTTAGGAGGAGATCCATCTGACATCCATGCTTTTTCTCCTTTGCATTCATCAGAGCTTCCCATATGGAAATACAAAACTCTCATAAGAATCCCTGCAAGTCATGGCTTCAGGATGCAATCTGTCAGCCATCTCTGTGGTGCCTCTGTCAGATTCTAAATCTCCCTCTTTGCCTCTCCTTGTAGAAGCCATTCAACAAACTGGGTAGCTGAACTGTTAGAGAGGTAGGCATATGTCCCAAACTAAGCCAGTTTGGTCTTCCATCATTTGAACGCAGTTATTCCTCCAGAGACAATCATGAAACATAAGCCAAGCCAACTAAAGTGGTAAAGTATAGTTGCTAAGAGAGTGAGATCTAAAAAAAACAAAAAAAACAAAAAAAAAATCCAGTCTTCCTTTGAATGCAACTTTTGTCACTTTTATTTAGTGTTTGTATGATCTTAGAGAAATGTCTCTGAGCCTTAATTTCCTAAAAAAGAAGACAAAAAGATAATAATAGGAGGTATCTCATATGATTATTGTAAGGATTCACACACACACACATACACACACACATAACGACAAGAAGGCAGTGTCACCTTATTCCTCGGCTGAGAACTTGTGCATGAGGTGAATTAAATCTTTTGCTGTTCTGTTATGTGTGCCGATGAATGACCACAAAATTTCAGTGAACTTTCAAATACAAAATTCATGAATAATGAGGATTGACTATATTTATTCATACATATCATTTTATTTCTACTATGACATGCCTATTATGTAAATATCCATGTTAAACATATAGAGACAGATGCTTAACAATTGCCTTGCACACATTGTATATCCAATAAATATTAACCTCTGTTTTTCGAATTATTATTTGTTATTACTACTCTGAGGGATTTAAAAAAACAAAACTAAACTAAAGCTGCCAGTGATGATTATTTTGCTCTCTGTTCAAAACACTACAAGTATGTGAGCCCCAATCTGCTGGCAGCCAGATCTCCTGCCTCATGGAAAAGATACCAAGTCAGAGAGAAGATAGAAGAGCAATGAAGAGAAAGTGGTGACTCTGAAGGCACAGGCTCATGTACCTGTTTAATTCTGAGGGCAAAGCAAGAGAACTGAGAGAAACCCTACAGGTCATGGGGGCCTTACACTGAGCTTGAAGAAGTGACATTCTGAACCTAGGGAAGATTCAGGAGAGCTAAACAAAACCACACTGTGATACAGATTTGCAAAACTTACTGAGGTATAAGGGTAGAGAAAGAGAATTTCAAAAACCCGGCAGGCATTTTGAACCTTACATATAATTAAGAACTAATCATCTATGACTGAGAGATGGGCAAGAGAAATGAGAAAGATTTACACTGATTTTCAGGTGCATAGGTCTTGTTAAAGTCTGATGGCCAAATACGAGAAATGAGACATTCCTCCTAGGTAGTCAGAACCCAAACTCTGAATTAAAAAAAAAAAAAAATGACTCCACCCACAATTAATTTGATGCTTCTAAAAAGCTGAATTTAACTAAAGCAACAGCAAATCTCAGAGCCAGCTCACCTATAGACTACAACTAAATTGCTCCAACACACCCTGCCACCCCTCACACACTAACAGTTTGATAAAAGAAGAACAATGTCATTTTCTGGGTATAAATATTATTTACTTTAGTCTCTGCTATTCTTTTATATGTAATATTTGGCATTCAATTAAAAATTATGAAACATTCAAAGATGCAAGAGAATATGGCCTACTGTTAAGGGAGGAAATAATTAATAGAGACAAACATAAAGATGACTCAGATGTTAGAATTATGAGACTTTAAAATAACTGTGATGAATGTGTTAACAAATCCAGTGGAAAAAAAATACACAGAAAGGATAAATGGAATAAAAACTATAGTAAAAAGAAATAAAACTATACTAAAAAGAAATAAAAACTATAGTAAAAACATATCAAGTGGAAATACTGAAAATATTTTTTAAATGATAACAGAGGGGAAATGATCAGAGAACTGGAATACAGTGAAAAGAAATTATTGGCTCGGTGCAGTGGCTCACATCTGTAATCCCAATGCTTTGGGAGGCAGAGGTGAGAGAATTGCTTGAGCCTAGTAGTTTGAACCAGACTGAGCAACATAGTGAGAACTTGTCTCTATTAAAAAAAAAAGAAAAAAGAAACTGGCAAGGCATGGTGGTGTGTACCTATAGTCCCAGCTACTTGGGAGGCCAAGGTGGAAGGATCTCTTGAGCCTGGGAAATTGAATCTGTAGTAAGCCATGATTGCAAAACTGCACTCCAGCCTGGATGACAGAGCAAGACTCTGTCTCAAAAACTATATATATATGTTATTAAAACTTAAACACAGAGAGAGTAAAAATAATAGAACATCCAAGATCTGTGAGAAAATATCAAATTGTAAAATATACATAAAACTGGAGTCCCAGAATACATAAAGAAAGAGAGAGAGAGAATGGGGAAAAAAGAAATAGAGATAACGGCCAACAATTTTCCAAACTTGGTAAGAGACATTACATTAGTTTTTTGTTGCTGCTGTAGAAAATTATAACAAACTTAGTAGCTAAAACAACACAACTTACCCGACAATCATGGAAGTCAAGGCAAAACAGGTCTCACTGGGCTAAAATCAAGGTGTCACCAAGATAGTGTTATTTTCTGCAGGCCATAAAAAAGAATCAATTTTCTTGCCGTATCAGCTTCTAGATAATGTTCCCATTCTTTTGACTTATTTCCTCCTTCCATCTTCAAATCCAGTAACGACTGAATCTCTCTCACATCTTATCTCAGTAACACTGACTCTTCTGCTTCCCTGTTAAACATTTAGATTTATTAGCATATTTATTATTTTTTTTAAATCTTTGTCATTTGACATTTTTGTCATCTGAGTCACTTCTATGTCTGTTTGACCTCTAAGTCATTTCTATGTCTGTTTCTATTGATTATTTTCTGTTGTGATTACATTGGGTTCACCCAGTTGATCCAGAATCATATCCTTATTTTAAAGTCTGCCAATTAATAACCTTAATTTTATCTGCAACCTTAGTTGCCCTTTTCCATATAATCTAACATATATACAAATCCCAGGAATTAGGGCATAGACATCTCTTTGTGGGAGGGGACATTATTCTGCCTACCACTGATGTGTGTTCATAAATCCATAAATCTCAGCAAATCCCAGACAGGAAAAACACAAAGAAAACCATACCTAAGCAGATAATTATAAAAACACTGAACTACTAAGATTTTTAAAAATTCTTTAAAGTAGCCAGAAGGGAAAACATACATTACATGTGTGGAAAAAAGAAGAATGTCAGCATACTTTTAATCAGAAAAGTAGTTGAGGCTAAAAGACAATGTAAACGTATATTTAGAGTGCTGAAAGAAAAACAGACAAACTAGAATTGAATTTTATATTCAGTGAAAATATTGTTCAAAAATGAAGATAATTTTTTTTTTAGAAAAAGCAACTTAAGAAGATATCTTCAATAGGCTTGTACTACATGAAGTGTTTTTAAAAAGTTTCTTTGGCTGAAGGAAAATAATCACATAGGAAACTGGTGATGCAGAAAGAAAGAAAAAAATTCTATAAAGCATGAATATTTCAGTAAATATAAATGCATTTTAAAAATTATTCTTAATGTACTATATAATTTTTAAGCCTATTTAAAAGGCTATTGACTCTTTAAGGAGAAATAATTTAACAGTGTAATGTGTGGTTTAGAGTGTGTGTAAAATTTAACTATTTAACAAAAAGAGTACATGAGTCAGCAGAGCAGTAACTATATAATACATTTTTAACATTATTATATTGATTGTGAAGTAGAATATTTTATGAAAGTAGATGAGGAGAAATTAAATATGCTTACTGTAATTTTTAGAGTCACTACTGAAAACAATTAACAGAGGAGGGTATAATTAAAATCAAAAGAGAAGATAAAAATGAATATTTTAAAATAATTTATGCAAAAAGCAGGCATGAAAGAGAAAACAGAAAAACAAAAAGTAGGTAGGACTTATAGAATCCACATATAAACAAATAATTTCATGAAAGCAATAAAGACTCAAATTATAAGTCGGAGATTGCCAGACAATATAAAACCACAAGACACAACTAATGATGTTCATAAGAATGTTTAAGAATATAGAATGTTTGAGAGTAAAAGAAGATAACTGGTATAACATGCAAATATTAAGCATAAGAAAACTGGCATTGTTTTGTTAATATTAGAAGTAGACTTCAAGATGAAGTTTATTATCAGAGACAAAGAAAGGGCATTTCATAACGATAAATGGGTCAATTAGACAAGAATACAAACCAATCTCAAGTGCATATAATATGGTTTTCATACGTGTTCCCACCCAAATCTCAAGTCAAATTGTAATCCCCAGTGTTGGAGGTGGGGCCTGGCGGGAGGTGATTGGACCATGGTGGGGGATTTCTCATGCATGGTTTAGCATCATTCTCTTGGTACTGCTGTCGTGACAGTAAGTTCTCATGAGATCTGGTTGTCTAAAAGTATGCAGCACATCCCCCTTCACTCTCTCTTTCTCTTTTTCCTGCTCCTGCCATGTAAGGCAACTTTTCTTTCTTTGCCTTCCATAATTAGAAGCTTCCTGAAGCCTCCTGAGAAGCAGATGCTGCTATGCTTTCTGTACAGCCTGCAGAACCATGAGCCAATTAAACAGCTTTTCTTTGTAAATTACCCAGTCTCAGGTATTTCTTTACAGCAATGTGAGAACAGATTAATACAGAAAATTGGCACTGAGGAGTGGGCATTGCTATAAAGATACCTGAAAATGTGAAAGCAACTTTGGAACTGGGTAACAGGCAGAGGTTAGAAGAGTTTGGTGGGTTCAGAAGAAGAAAGGAAGATGAGGGAAAATTTGGAACATCTTAGAGACTGGTTAAGTGGTTGTGACTAAAATGCTGATAGTGATATGGACAGTTATGTTCAGGCAGAGGAGGTATCACACGGAAATGAGAAACTTATTGGGAACAGGAGCAGATGTCACTTTTATCATGCCTTAGCAAACAACTTGGCTGCATTGTGCCTCTGCCCAAGGGATAGGTGGAACTTTTACCTCAAGAGTCATAATTTAGGGTATCTGTAGAACAAATTTCGAAGCAGTAAAGCATTCAAGATGTCACCTGGGTGCTTCTAACAGTGTTTGTTCATATGCAAGAGCAAAGAAAATACCTAAAGTTGAAACTTATATTTAAAAGAGATACAGAGTATGAAATATTGGAAAATTTGCAGCCTGGCTGTGTGGTAGAAAAGAAAAGCCCATTTTCAGGGGAGGAATTCAAGCAGACTGTAGAAATTTGCATAAGTAAAAAGGAGCTAAGAGCCAAGACAATGGAGAAGAGGCTTTGAAGACATTTCAGAGACCTTCAGGCCAGCCCCTCCTATCACAGGCCCAGAGTGCTAAGAGGACTGAATGGTTTCTTGTACCAGGCCCAGGGCCCTGCCACCCTGTGCAGTCTCAGGACATTGCTTCTTGCATCCCAGTCACTCCAGCTCCAGTCCAGGCTCAAAGGGGTCCAGGTGCCTCTCAGGCCACTGCTTCAGAAAGTGCAAGACATAAGCCTTGGCAGCTTCCACGTGGTATTAAGCTTGTGGGTGCATAGAATACAAGAGATGAGGTTTGGGAGCCTTCACCTAGATTTTAGAGGATGTATGAAAAATACTGGGTGCCCAGGCAGAAGCCTGCTGCAGGAGCAGAGCCCTCATGGAGAACCTCTACTAGAGCAGTGAAGAGGGGAAATATGGGATTTGAGCCCCTACACAGAGTTCCCACTGGGGCACTGCCTAGTGGAGCTATGAGAAGAAGGCACTGTCCTGCAGACCACAAAGTGGTAGATTCACTGACAGTTTGCATTCCTGCACCTGGAAAAGCCACAGGCACTCTAGATCAGGCCTTAAAATTAGCACCAGGGGCTGAACCCTACAAAGCCATAGGGGCAGAGCTGCACAAGGCTTTGGAAACCCACCCTTTGCACCAGCATTCTCTGGATGTGGGATATGATGCCAAAGGAGATTATTTTGGCGCTTTAAGATTTAATGACTGCTCTGCATTCAGTTAAGTCTAAGTCAGTTTTCGACTTGCATGGAACATGTAGCCCCTTTCTTTTGCCTATTTTTTTCACTTTTGGAATGAGAATATCTACCCAGTGCCTGTTCCCCCATTGTATCTTGGTAGTAACTAACTTGTTTTTGCTTTTACAGGCTCATAGGCAGAAGGGACTAGCCTTGTCTCAGATGAGACTCTCGACTTCAGACTTTTGAGTTAATGCTAGAATTATTTAGGAATTTGGAGGATTATGGGGAAGGCATGATTGCATTTTGTAATGTGAGAAGAACATGAGATTTGGGAGGGGAAAGGAGTAGAATGATATGGTTTGGATCTGTGTCACTGCCCAAATCTCATGTTGAATTATAATCCCCAATGTTGGATGTGAGGTCTGGTGGGAAAGGATTGGATCATGGGAGGGATTTCTCATGAATGGTTTTAGCACCATCCCGTTAGTGCTGTTCTTATGATAGTGAATTCTTGTGAGATCTGGTCGTTTAAAAGTGTGTAACACCTCCCCTCGCACTCTCTTTCTTGCTCCTGTTCCTGCTCCTGCCATGTAAGATGCTTGCTACCCCTTTGTCTTCCACCATGATTAGAAGTTTCCTGACACCTTTCCAGAAGCAGATGCTGCTTTGTTTCCTGCACAGCCTGCAGAAGCATGAGCCAATTAAACCTCTTTTCTTTATAAACAACCCAGTCCCAGGTATTTCTTTAAAGTAATGTGAGAAAGGATCAATTCAGCATATTTACCCAGTAAAAAGGCATCCAAACACATGAAGCAGAAATCAACGAAACTAAAGACAGAAAAAAAAATCTACAAAGTTGAAGACTTCAACTCCTTTCACAGGGACATAATAAATAGGGAAAACTGAGTGAACATATCAGAAGACTTAAACAGCATTGTCAGTCGACTTACATAATTGAAATTTATAGAATAAGAATGTACCCAATAACAGCCAAGTAGAAATTTTCAGATACATGTGGAACACTATTTTTTGTTTTGAGGATTTTCTAAAAAATTTTTTATGTTTAATGTTTGTGGATACATAGTAGGTGTGTGTATTTATGAACTACATGAGATATTTTAATACAGGCATGCAATGTGTAATAATCACATCAGAGAAAAGGGCAGAAAAAATGGTAGATAGGAGGCAGGACTAACTTGCAGCTCCCACTTGGATGGACAAAGCAGCATGTGGAACTCACACCATGAACTTTTGCTCAAAGAATTACTGCAGGAACATACCAGGAATGCCAAGAGAATCTACAGACTCTTTGAAGGAGGTGGATTGCTGCTGCAGGCTCCATGGGACAGCTGAGGAACTGTGAGTAGGCTTGCTTTCTCAGCTGGGTGGCTTGTAGCCTGGGGCAAGTTCTCAGCCCTGCTCACTGGCTGCCTGGAAATAAATTTGGTGCTATTGAGTGGGGGCATGGTGGGAGTGAGATGCCTTGTGGGCTGTGGGCTGCATGGGAGCTAGGTGAGGCCTGTGGCTGCCAGCTTTCCCCAACTTCCCTGGTGACCTATATGATGCAGCAGAGGCAGCTATAATCCACCCAGGAACGTAATTTCATTGGCCTGAGAACCACACTCCCATCCCCCACAGCAGCTGCAGCAACTCATGCCCAAGGAGAGTCTGAGCTCAGACACACCTAATCCTGCCCCTACCTGATGGTCTTTCTCTTGGTAGTCAAAGACAAAGGACACAATCTCTTGGGAGCTCTGTGGCCCTGACCAGAGCCTGACCCTAGGGCAAGCTTGTATCCTCCCTATGTTACTACAGCTAATCTGCTCTTGAAAGTGACAACTCCTGGCTGGAGGCCAACCAACACAAAACCAGTGCACAACAAAAGTACAACCAAGGACCCTCACAGAATCCACTTCATTCCCCCACTACCTCCACTGAAGCAAGTGCTGGTATCCATGGCTGAGAGACCTGAAGACAGATCACATCACAGGACTCTCTGCAGTCACATCACAAGACACTCCCCAGTACCAGCCCACAGCCTAGTAGCTCCACTGGGTAGCTAGATCCAGAGGAAAAATAACAATCACTGCAGTTCAGCTCTCAGGAATTCCCGTCCTTAAAGGAAAAGGGAGAGCACCAAATCAAGGGAGTACCCTGTGGGACAAAAGAATCTGAACAGAAGCCCTTGAGCCCCTGATCTTCCCTCTGACATAGTCTACCCAAATGAGAAGGAAGGAGACAAACAATTCTGGTACTATGACAACAAGGTTTTTAACACCCCCAAAAGATCACACTAGCTCACCAGCAATGGATCCAAACCAAAATGAAATCTCTGAATTGCCAGAAAAATAATTCAGAAAGTCCATTATTAAGCTAATCAAGGAAGCATTAGAGGAAGGTGAAGTTCAACGTAAATAAATAAATAAATAAAAAGTTACAGACTATGAATGGAAAAATCTCCAGTGAAATAGACAGCATAGATAAGAAAACAATCACTACATCCAGAATGAAGGACACACTTAGACAAATGCAAAATGCACTGGAAAGTCTCAGCAATAGAATCAAACAAGTAGAAGAAAGAACTTGGCAGAGCTCAAAGACAAGGCTTTGGAATTAACCCAATCCAATAAAGACAGAGAAAAAAGAATTTTAGAAAATGAACAAAGCCTCTAAGAAATTTGGGATTATGTTAAATGAACAAATCTAAGAATAATTGGTGTTCTAAAAAAGAAGAGAAATCTAAGTTTGGAAAACATATTTGAGGGAATAATTGAGGAAAACTTCCTAGAGAGCTAGACATCCAAATACAAGAAGCTCAAAGAACAGCTGGGAAATTAATCACAAAAAGATCATTGCCTCAGCACATAGTCATCAGGTTATCTAAAGAAAAAATGAAGAAAAAAAATATTTAAGAGCTGTGAAGCAAAAGCATCAGGTAACCTATAAAAGAAAACCTATCAGATTAATAGCAGATTTCTTAGCAGAAACCCTACAAGCTAGAAGGGATTGGGGTCCTATCTTTTGCCTCCTTAAATAAAACAACTATCAGCCAAGAATTATATATTGACTGAAACAAAGCTTTATAAATGAAGGAAAGAGACAGCCTTTTCCAGACAGACATATGCTGAGGGAATTTGCCACCACCAAGCCAGCATTACAAGAACTGCTAAAAGAAGCTTAAATCTTGAAACAAATCCCAAATTACACCAAAATAAAATCTCTTAAAGGATAAATCTCACAGGATCTATGAAAGAATAACACAATGAAAAAAAAACACAAAGTATTCAGGCAACAAATGACACAATGAAAAGAATAGTACCTCACATCTCAATACGAACATTGAATATAAATGGCATAAATGCTCACTTAAAAGATACAGAATGGCATAATGCATAAAAACCACTAACCAAGTATCTGGTGTCTTCAAGAGACTCACCTGACATATAGGGACTCTCATAAACTTAAGGATAAGGGGTGGAAAACAATATTGCATGCTCATAGAAACCAAAACAGAGCAGGAATAGCTATTTTTATATCAGACAAAAACCAACTTTAACAGCAGTTAAAAAAGACAAAGAGGGACATTATGTAAAAATAAAAAAACTCACCCAACAGGAAAATATTACAATCCAAAATATACATACATCTAACACTAAAGCTTCAAAATTTATAAAACAATTACTTCCAGACCTAAGAAATGAGATAGATAGCAACACAATAATAGTGGGGGACTTAAACACTCCACCAACAGAACCAGATAAGGCATCAACACAGTCAACATGGTATAAAAGAAATTTAATACCATACCCTGGAAAAAATGGACTTAACAGATACTTACAGAACATTCTACCCAATAACTGCAGAATGTATCTTATTTTCATCAGCACATGGAACAGGCTCCAAGATAGACCATACGCTAGGTCATAAAACAAGTCTCAACAAATTTAAGAAAATAAATTAAAACAAAAAAAATTGCAAAGCAGAATTAAATTAAATTGAAACAAAAAAATTAAAAGATAAATGAAACAAAAAGCTGGTTCTTTGAAAAGATAAAAAAAATTGATAGACCATTAGCAAAATTAACCAAGAAAAGAAGAGGGAGGATCCAAAGAAGCTCCATTAGAAATAAAATGAGAGATATTACAACCAATACCATAGAAATACAAAAGATTATTCAAGATTCAAGGCTACTATGAACACCTTTACATGCATAAACTAGAAAACCTAGAGAAGACCAATTCCTGGAAAGATACAACCGTTCTAGATTAAGTCAGGAAACAATAGAAAATCTGAACAGACTAATAACAAGCAGCAGGATAGAAATGGTAATTAAAAAGTTACCAAAAAAAAAAAAAAAGTCCAGGACCAGACAGATTCACAGCTGAATTCTTTGTTTTTGAGATGGAGTCTCTCTGTCACCCAGCCTGGAGTGCAGTAGCATGATCTCTGTTCACTACAACCTCCACCTCCCAGGTTCAAGCAATTCTCCCATCTAAGCTTCCTGAATAGTTGAGATTACAGGGGCGCCCAGCCTCACAGCTGAACTCTATCAGATATTCAAAGAAGTATTGGCATGAATCCTATCAATGCTATTCTAAAAGATAGGGAAAGAGGGAATCCTCCCCAAATCATTTTATAAGCCAGTATCACCCTAATACCAAAACCAGTAAAGGACATAACAAAAAAAACAAAACTACAGACCAATATCCCTGATAAACATAGATGCAAAAATCCTCAACAAACTAACTGAATTCAACAGCAAATCAAAACGATAATCTACCATGATCAAGTAGGTTTCATACCAGGGATGTAGGGATGGTTTAATATACACAAGTCAATAAATGTAATACACCACATACACAGAATTAAAAACAAAAATCACATGACCATCACAATAGATGAAGAAAAAGTATTTGAAAAAATCCAGCATCCCTTTATGACTCAAACCCTCCACAAAATAGGCATAAAAAGCACAAATCTTAACGTAATAAAAGCCAACTATGACAAACCCACAGCCAAAATTATACTGAACAGGGAAAAGTTGAAAGCAACCCCCCAGAGAACTTCGACAGGACAAGGATGCCCACCTTCACCACTTCTATTCAACATAATACTGGAATTCCTAGCCAGAACTATCAGACAAGAGAGAGAAATAAAGGATATAAAAATTGGTAAACAGAGCCAGGCACGGTGGCTCATGCCTGTAATCCCTGCAATTTGGGAGGCCGAGGTGGGTGGATCATCTGAGGTCAGGAGTTCAAGACCAGCTTAGCCAACATGGTGAAACACCATGTCTACTAAAATTACAAAAATTAGTCAGGCATGGTGGTGGGCGGCTATGATCCCAGCTACTCAGGAGACTGAGGCAGGAGAATTGTTCTAACCCAGGAGGCAGAGGTTGCAGTGAGTCAAGATCATGCCATTGCACTCCAACCTGGGCAACAAGAGTGCAACTCTAAAAAAAAAAAAAAAAAAAAAAAAAGGTAAAGAGTAAGTGAAACTGTGGCTATTTGCTGATGACATGATTGTATATTTAGAAAACTCTAAAGACTCATTCAAAAAGCTCCTAGAACTGGTAAATTAACTCAGCAAAATTTCAAGATACAAAATTAATGTATAAAAGTCAGTAGCTCTGCTATACATCAGCAGCTACTAAGCTGAGAATCAAATCAACAACTCATCACCTTTTACCATAGCTGCAAAAAATAAAATAAAATAAAATAAAATACTTAGGAACATACCTAACCAAGGAGGTGAAAGACCTCTACAAGGAAAACTCCAAAACACTGCTGAAAGAAATCATAGATGACACAAACAAATACAAACCCATCTCATGCTCACACATGGGTAGAATTAACATTGTGAAAATGACCATACTGCCAAAAACAATCCACAAATTCAGTGCAATTACCATCAAAATACCACCATCCTTCTTCACACAACTAGAAAAAACAATCATAAAATTCATATGGAACCAAAAAAGAGCCTGCACAGCCAAAGCAAGACTAAGCAAAAAGAACAAAACTGGAGACATCACATTACCTGGATTCAAACTATACTGTAAGTCCATAGTCACCAAAAGAGCATGGTATTGGTATAAAAATAGGCATATAGACCAATGAAACAGAACAGAGAACCCAGAAATAAAGCTACAGTCAACTTATCTTTGACTAAGCAAGCAAAAACATAAAGTGGTGAAAAGACACCCTATTCAACAAATGGTGCTGGGATAATTGGCAAGCCACATGTAGAAGAATGAAACTGGATTATCATCTCTCACATTATACAAAAATCAACACAAGATAGATCAAGGACTTAAATCTAAGACCTGAAACCATAAAAATTCTAGAAGATAACATTGCAAAATCCCTTCTAGACATTGATTTAGGCAAAGACTTCATGGGCAATAACCCAAAAGCAAATGCAACAAAAACAAAGATAAATAGACAATAGACGGGACTTAAACTAAAAAGCTTCTGCACAACAAAAGAAATAATCAGCAGAGTAAACAGACAACCCACAGAGTGGGAGAAAATCTCCACAATCTATACTGCCAACAAAGGACTAACATCCAGAATCTACAAGAAACCCAAACAAATCAGCAAGAAAAAAAATAAAATCCCATCATGGTCTCAAACTCCTGGCCTATTTTAACATTTTTTTTTCTTTCCAGGGGATGTTGGGGAAGCTACTGCTACTTAGCTGTGTAGGGGAAATCTGTTCTTACAAGAAATGAGGAGGGGGATAATCCTTAAAAATTTCCCCTTCAAATCCACCCTCTGGGTTGTTTAAATGAGCATCTCTTGTAAAATGGAAAAGATTAAAAATAAAGAGAAAGACAAAAAGCAAAAAAAAAAAAGGGCTAAGGACATGAATAGACAATTCTCAAAGAAGATATACAAATGACCAACAAACATGTGAAAAAATGCTCAACATCACTAATGATCAGGGAAATGCAAATCAAAACCACCATGTGATACCACCTTACTCCTACAAGAGTGGTCATAATCAAAAAATCCAAAAATAATAGATGTTGGTGGAGATGTGGTGAAAAGAGAACACTTTTACACTGTTAGTGGGAATGTAAACTCATACAACCACTATGGAAAACAGTATAAAGATTCCTTAAAGAACTAAAAGTTGCTCTAACATTTGATCCAGCAAGTCCACTCCTGGGTATCTACTCAGAGGAAAATAAGTCATTATATGAAAAAGATACTTGCACACATGTGTTTATAGCAGCACAATTTACAATTGCAAATATATGGAACCAGCCCAAATGCCCATCAATCAATGAGTGGATAAATAAAATTCCACACCATGGAATACTACTCAGCCAACAAAGGAACAAAATAATGGTATTTGCAGCAACATGGATGGAATTGAAGGCCATTATTCTAAGTTAAGTAACTCGGTAATGGAAAACCAAACATTGTATGTTCTCACAAGTAGGAGCTAAGCTATGAGATGCAAAGGCATAAGAATGATACAATGGACTTTGGGGACTTGGGGAAAAAGGAGTTTATTAAGTATTAACTCACACAATCACAAGGTCCCACAATAGGCCATCTGCAAGCCGAGGAGCAAAGAAAGCCAATTCAAGTCCCAAAACTGAAGAACTTGGAGTCTGATGTTCGAGGACAGGAAGCATTCAGCACAGGAGAAAGATGTAGGCTAGGAGGATAGGGCAGTCTAACCTTTTCACATTTCTCTACCTGCTTTATATCTTGGCCATGTTGGCAGCTGATTAGATGGTGCCCACCCAGATTAAGAGTGGTTCTGCCTTTCCCAGCCCACTGACCCAAATGTTAATCTCCTCTGGCAACACCTTCACAGACACACTCAGGATCAATACTTTGCATCCTTCAATCCCATCAAGTTGACACTCAGTATTAACCATCACACTGTGCTTGGCTTATTTCACTTAACACAATGACCTCCAGTTTCTTTCATATTGTTGCAAATGACAGACTCTCATTCTTTTTAATGGCTGAATAGTAAGTACTCCATTGTGTATAAGCACAACATTTTCTTTATACATTCCTCTGTGTAGACACTTAGGTTGCTTCCAAATCTTGGCTATTGTGAACAGTGCTGCAATAAATGCAGTAGTGCAGATATGTCTTTGATGTACTGATTTCATTTCTTTTAGGTATATACCTAGCAGAGGATTGCTGGATCATACGGTAGCTCTAATTTTATGTTTTGGGAAACTTTCAAACTGCTCTCCATAGTGGTCGTGCTAATGTACATTCCTACTAACAGTGTACAAAGGTTGCTTTTTCTGCACAACCTCACCACATTTGTTATTACTTGTCTTTTGGATAAAACTAATTTTAACTAGGGTAAGGTGATATTATTGGAGTTTTGATTTACATTTTCTGATGATCAGTGACGTTAAGCACATTTTAATATAACTGTTTACCATTTGTATGTCTTTTTTTGAGAAATATCTATTCATATATTTTGTCTATTTTTAAATCAGATAATATTTTTATAGATAATTCTTATACATTCTGGTTATTAATCCCTTGTCAGATGGACAGTTTGAAAATATTGTCTCCCATTCTGTAGGTTGTCTCTTTACTTTGTTGATAGTTTCCTTTGCTGTGCAGAAGCCTTTTAACTCGATGTGATCCCATTTGTCCATTTGTTCTTTGGTTGCCTGTACTTGTAGAGTATTACTCAAGAAATCTTTGCCCAGTCCAATGTCCTGGAGAATTTCTGGAGGGTTTTCTTTTAGTCATTTAAGAGTTTGAAGTCCTAGATTTAACTCCTAAATCTATTTGCTTTTATTTTTCTATATGGCAAAAGATATGGGCTCTAGTTTCATTCTTCTTCATGTGGATATCTACTTTTCCCAGCACCATTTATTGAAGAGACCGTCCTTTCCTCACTGTGTGTTTTTAGCACCTTTGTTGAAAATGAGTTCATCCTCCATGCCGCCTTCCTGGGCTTCCACGCACCACAGGTACCTCCCCACTCCTCCTCTGAACTCCAGTACTCTCTCTTTAACACTGTAGTAGAATCTTAGTTGTTTATTCATTGCCTTGAATTTCTTCTTTCTTGTGGAGGAGGGGGATGAATGCCAGGTGCCTCTAGTCAGCTTTCTTGCTGATGTCACTCTGCCATTAAGTATCAACAGCTAAATTTATATTCAGCATTATATAAGAGGTCCTAACCAGACAAAGAAGAAAACTAAATTAAAAGTATAAAGGTTGAAATAAAAGGAAAATAACTATCTATATTTGTAGATAACATAATTGTGTATGTAGAAAATACTAAGAAATCTCAAAAAATATTACTAGGTCAATGAGTAAATTGAAGATCATAGAATATAAAGTCATTATAAAAATCAATTTATTTCTTTATATTGAAAATAAGAAATTGGAAAATAAAATTTAAAACAGTATTGTTTGTGATATTATCCAAAAACATAAATGTGACTTAAATTAATTTAACAAAAGTGGGCAAAACCTCCATGCTAAGAACTAAAACAGCATTGATAGAAATTAAGAGCCTAAATAAATAGAAAGATATGCCACTTTTATAGACTGAGAAATTCAATTTTATTAAGATGCTAATACTCTCCAAATTAATCTATACATTCATACAATCCCAATCAAAATCCTGACAATTTTTTATAGATATTACAAGCTGACTGTAGAATTCATGTGAAAATGCAAAAAACTATAGTAGTCCAAAGAATTCTTTAAAATAAGACATGCGGAGATTTACTGCAAAACTACAATTAGTATGTTCATGCAGTATTGGCAGAAAGTTAAGCAAATAGATCATTGAAACAATAAATCTTCCAGAAATCAATTAAGACATATGGCCAAATGATTTTTGACAAGGCTACCAAAGTAATGTAATTGTGAAATAAAAGTCTTTCCAACTAAAGATACTGGACAACTGGCTATCCATATAGGAAAAACAAACAACCCTTACCATACCCCATAACCCAATTAATTCAAAATAAATCATAGACAAAATACAAAAGCTAAAACTATAAAGCTTCTAGAAGAAAATACAGAATAATTAACCTTTGTGCCCTTGAGGTGGGCAAAATTTTTTAAAGAGGAAGCAGAAATCAATGATCACAATAAAAAATTTTTCATAGAATCTACCAAACTTTAAAACTTCTGGTAAACAAAAGACACCATTAAGAAGAGAAGACGAGCCAAACTATACAAACTATATATATATAGTTTGTATATATATAATTAATTTAACAAAAGTGGGCAAAACCTCCATGCTAAGAACTAAAACAGCATTGATAGAAATTAAGAGCCTAAATAAATAGAAAGATATGCCACTTTTATAGACTGAGAAATTCAATTTTATATATATACATATATATGTATATATATATGTATACACACACATACATACATACATATATATACTATAATTAAGTATATACAACACTTGAACAGATACTAAAAGAAGACATAAATGGCTTATGAGCACATAAATATATGCTTGAGATTATTAAAATGCAAATTAAAAGCACAATAAGATACAATTGCACACAGGCTAGAATGATTACTATTAAAAGACTTATCAACATTAAATGTTGATAAGGATGTGGAGCAACCACATCTGTCATACATTGTTGGGAGGAACTGGTAAAATTATACAGCCACCACTTTAAAAAAAACTCTTCAGCGGCTTCTTTAAAAAGTAAACATGTATCTACATTTTAAACAGCAATTACTCTTGTATTTATCCCAGATCATTGAAAATATGTGACCCTAAAATACACTTACAAAAATATTCATTGTATAGCAGCTCAAAACTAGAAGCATTCAGGTGTGCATCAATGAAAGAATGGATATGTAACTTGTCCCATATTCATACAATGGAATATTACTCAGGAATAAAAAGGAACACTTTTTACATAAGTATAACAGCATGGATAAACCTCAAAAACATGCTGAGTGAAAGCAGCCAGCCATAAAAGAGTGCATAGTGTGTAATCTTATTTATACAATGTTCTCAAAAGAGCAAAACAAATGTGCGGTTCTAGAATCAGAATAACACTTTTAACTATTATGATTAAAGCTGCTATAAATATATTTCTTACCTATTATGATTAAAGCTGCTCTAAATATTTAAATAAATTAATATTTTCTTGTAAACTGTTTTCTAGGGGCATACCTTGTTATAAAGAAGGATTCTACAGAAATTTCTAGGATGATAATAATGTCCTATTACTTAATAGGAATGTGTTATGTAGAACTGTAAAATTAATATCCTTACATGTCACTACATGTAAATAATGTCTAAAATCATGATTGTGTGTGAGTTCCCACTTTGAATTGCCCTGTATTAGTTCATTTTCACACTGCTATAAAGAAATACCCAAGACTGAATAATTTATAAAGGAAAGAGGTTTAATTAAGCCAGTTCCCCATGGCTGGGGGAGGCCTCAGGAAACTTACAATCATGGAGGAAGGCAAAGGGGAAGCAAGGATCTTCTTCACATGGCAGCAGGAGAGAGAAGAGTGAGGAGCAAACGGGAAAGAGCCCCTTATAAAACCATCAGATCTCATCAGAACTCACTCACTATCACAAGAACGTCATGGGGTAAATGATCCAATCACCTCCCACCAGGTCTCTCCCTAGACAGGTGAAGATTATGGGGATTATCATTAGAGACGAGATTTGGCTGGGGACACAGAGCCAAACCATATCATGTCCCTAAGGCAAATTCTACACTTATATATATTTTTTTTGAGTTGGGGTCACACCCTGTCACCCAGGCTGGAGTGCAGTAGCTCATTGCAGCCTTGACCTCCTGGGCTCAAGCGATTCTTCCACCTCAGCCACCTAAGTAGCTGGCACCACAGGCATGTATTACCATGCTGGGAAAAACTTTGTAGAGATGAGGTCTCACTATGTTGCCTAGGCTGGTTTCAAACTCCTAGGCTCAAGTGATCCTCCTACCTCAGCCTCCCAAAGTACTGGGATTATAGGTGAGCCCCCATACTTGGCCCTATACCTATCTTTATTAAGATTTGGTAATCAAATCTAACACATTATCTTTTATGTGTAAATTAATTCTAGTTAAGTTACTGTCATTCCTAAATGAAGAGGTGTGTATTAAAAGCAGGAGAAGCATTACTTTTTTCTTCCACTGTTTTGCCCTCCTTCCTGGTTTTGGAAAGTGGTTGTGATTTACTCTTCCTCCTCTGTGGCTTCTCTTGATTATTGACACCTCCATCCAAACAGTCAAATCCAGAAACCTGGCATCTCCCTTACCTGCCAACATCCAATTCATCCGCAAGACATATCTCTAAAACTTACAGAATCCCATAACTATCTCTCTGAGGTGTCAGATTTCACCAATTCTGTGAGTTATTGAAGCATTTTATCAGTCTGTTTGAAAGTCTCTTCAAATGTGAATAGCAGGGCTTATTCCATACCAAATAAACTCCCTGCAGATTACTTCTCTGATTGCATTAAATCTCTCTGGTGGCTTTCTTCTCTGTGGATTGTCCACCCATTTGGTGTGGAAGTCTTGGAATCTGGTAGTATGGGATGGAGACATATTGGATGGCAACATATTTTTTTTTTATTTCTGGAGCAGCAAACAATCTACCTTAGAACTGTACTACATTCATTTATTAGTTTGACTTACTGAGAACACACACTCCACCTCTGAGCACAGAAACAGCTGCAATAATTAAATTTGATTATACTGAGAAGATTAACATTTCAATACTTAGCTGAAAGATAAGATAGACGTCATGGGACTTGATCAGGCAAGGAAGCCAGCCTCCAAAATTTGTATAAATTAAACCAAAGGTAAACTCAGCAAATATAACCATATGATAAGGACTGTGGTAATGCATCAGGCTACAAAAATGAAGCAGAATCATCTCTGGTCTCGGAGCACTCAATCTTGTAAGGAACACAAATAAAATCTTGTAAAATGGTGTGATGCCCGCACACAGAGTTAATAGGTGTTCATATAACACACAGCGCTGCAGAGGTAAATTGGGTGGTGGTAAATATCATGGGCTCTAGAGAGATTGGTGAGATTCAAATCCCCATTCTACCCTTATGAAACAGTGGGACCTTGGATATGTAACTTCAGTTTAGAAGCCTTGGTTTCCCATCTACAAAAAGGGTTATTGAGACAATTAGATTTAAATATATATACATGTTTTAGTTACTAGTTCAAATGTGTTTATTATATATTAATAATGTTAGTACTCTATAATTTTAGACCATTGATAGATGATATCAATTTTTCTAATAAAATCTTATATTCCATTGTAATATAGACATATATTTTAATATTCTATAAATTTTTCGCTTACTCGTTATGGGCTAAGAATCTGTGAAGACCTCACAAATGGAAAGCTTCTCAGTAGGGACCTGAGGCCTGAGGGAATCAGCACCTTCTGGAGAGTTTGAACAGGCCCATGTTTCATGGGCACAGAGTGCGTGGGACAAATACAGAGTAGCAGCAGGTGGGGCCAGAGAGGCAAACCAAAATTAGCTCATCGGAGAGCAGGGATCTTGATCGCCATGCTGGAAAATATGGACAATATCCTACATTATCCTAAAGGGCAAGGGAAACCACTGAAAGATTTAAAGCAGAGTTCGGGCACATAATTATATTTTAGAAAAAGTCACTCTGGTAGGGAATGAACTGAAAAAGTATCAGCAAGGACTATCTCGAATTATTTTCCTAGGGGTTCTACTATAAGAAGTGGCCAGTATTACCAAAAGAGCAATTTCTTGGTCTTTCAGATGTTCCTCTCTGGCTGGACTGGGAGCAAATGCTTTTCTGTATCCTGCTTTTCGGGTCTTAAGCACGCCCAACCCTCCAGTTCACCACCCGCTACCACCTGCCCTTAAATACTGAGGGAAACTCCGATGTAACCAAATGATGGATTGTCAGAGCCAGAGGTTGAGAGGAAGAAAGGAAACCCCATAGATGGTGATGATGGGGATGCAGGGCCAAGGCACCCTAGGGAGGAAGGAAAAAATGAAGGACCCAGAAAGGAGGATTGGGTGTGACTCATAAATCACTCAAAGAAGAGACGGAAATGCTTTTCAGCATCCTCTGGATACATGTGTATGACTGACAGTCTGAAAAGAAAATAGCCTATGTTTTTGTCCTTCCAAATATTAGGGACAAATATTAGGGAGCTAACAAGTTATTGATTATGAATATCAATATTTAATGTCATTGTCACCAGTACTCTGAAGAAAAAAATCACTCTTTGGGAACAAATATGGGACCTATTGTATCCTGGGAAATTCAGGGAAAGCTTCCTCCAGAAGGTGGCAGGGAAACAAGCCCTATGATCTGAAGTAATCAGAACATGGGGTAAGTGGCCATAGGCATAGGCAATGACATGGACAAATGCACTGAGGTACTGAGGTGAGAAGGAGTTTGATGATTTCAAGGAGTTAGAAGAATACTGCAGTGGCTGAAGCATAGTGAACGAGAGGGACAGGGGTGCGTGATGAGGATGGAGAGGTAGGGCCTGGCAGGATTGGAGCTACAGATTTTAAATAAATGCATAACACTCTAAATGAGACAAAAAGTGCAAGCATTTGGGTATTTTATAAGATTATCAAATTCAAATGAATCATTTCCTATATTTGACCACCTTCCATGAAAAATTATACTTAGTACATCAGATAAAGTACAATTATTGTTTTGCTTCTGTGACTATTAAAGGCTATAGTTACGACAATAGAATGGTGTATGATCCCTTCTTTTTCATAGCTCTGTTTCTAATCTGAGATTGTATTTGCATTGCTAAAGACTTTTTACTAGGTAGGGAGATTAACAAGCAGTGCAGCAGAAATATGACAGTCATTACTGCTGATTAAATGATAATTTTCTAGAGCGACATTATGCATCAGAAAAGAAAATAATGAGCTCACTTGAATTTATGGACCCCGCGGCAGCTGGAGAAGTTTTCTCATTTGCTCATCAACAGCTTCCACACCAAATATTCAAAAGGATTATATAGATACTTGGGATAGGCACAGACTTAGAGGTTAAAAAGTAGGCACCTTGGCAGGGAGGCTTACATAATTGTAATCAGCCTGCTGGAGGTAATAAATAATGCTAGTAAAGACAATAAAAATATTTGCATATATATTGTAGTCTATCCATTACTTTAAGTCAGGAAGAGACAAAAACAGAAGCTGGTGGATGGAATGTAGTAAAGAGGAAAGCATAGTTTGACACAAGGAAAGCAATGGAAATAGAGTCAAAGAAAGGCCAGTTTGACGTAGAGAATGCGAGTCAATTATCCAACACATTAGTTTGCTGGAGCTGACATAACAAACCACCACAGACTGGGTGGCTTAAAGAACAGAAATTTACTTTCTCACAGTTCTGGAAGCTAGAAGTCTGAGATCAAGGTGTCAGCAAGTTTGATTTCTTCTGAGGCCTCTCACTTTGGCTTTTGGATGGCCAGCTTTTCACTATGTCCTCACTCTGTCTCTGTTTCACCTGTGTCCTAAACTTCTTATAAGGACACAAGTGATATTGGATTAGGGCTCACCACATAACCTCATTTTACCTTAATCTCCTCTTTAAAGGCCCTATCTCCAAATAGTCATTTTCTGAGGTACTGGGTCTTAGGATTTCAACATATGAATTTTGGAGGACACAATTCAACCCAAACACAGGACAAAAATTAATTGAGTACTTACTCTGTGCAGGGCATTGTGCAAGGCACTGCAGATAAAGGAAGACATGGCCCTGTCCTCATGGACCACAGGAGATGGGGGGAAGACAGGCATCCAATAAGGGATTGTATATAAACACATTATTTAACAATTAATCACCCCTGTGAGACATACTGCAAAGAGGAGCCTGAAATAGGGGAGGGTCCAGGAGGCATGTCTGGAAGAAGGAAGCTTTAAGCTACAACCGGAAGAGGGTGTAGGCATGAGCTGGAGGAAGAAAAGGACACGAGTGACCCAAGGATGAGAAAATAGCATGTTTCCTGGGGGCAAGCGGGAGAGATTGCTGTGTGTTGGAAGGGTTGCATGAAGCCGGTAGGACTAAGAGAAGAAAACAGATTTGTGCAATGAGTATGGAGCCATAAGCGGATGTCAGACCATTTGGAGAAAACTGAAGTATGATTGCTGGGGAGAAGTGTAGCCTGTGCAGAGTGGCATGCACTAGCGTGAGTACTCTTTATTGGTGCATTGGGAGGTAAATGAGAAGACAGTTGTCTAATAATTTTGAGAGGCTATTTAGTCCAATGGTTAAGAACTAGAGCTCGGTTCAGACTTTATGGATTAGTTAATCCTGCCTCTACCACTTACCAGCTTGTGACTTTTGGTGAGTTACTTAATCTCTCTGTGTATCATCATCCTCAACTCTGCATTTATCCTAATCACAGTATGCACCTCATAAGTGGAGTTAAATGAGTGGATGTACATAAAGTACACACGTAGATGTACATAACTAGCAGTTTCTGACACAAAGTAGCATTCAGGACATGACAAGTTTTATCATTAGTAGAAATAACAGAAGATAAAATCTGCATAGCACATGAAGAAGTTGCTTAAAGGTAAGATAAAGGTAAAAAAGCAGAACTCTCTCTTAATGATGAATTCAGCAAGCATTTGTTGATTAATTCCTCTTTCACTCTCCAATAACCTTTTTGATAACGATGGAATTTTCCTTTAAAAGACCTTTTAAGCAATTGATGGAAGCACATTAATGACAAATGTGCATTGGTTCTAAGTACCGCTGTGGTCTTAGAGATTAAATGTCTTCCAACTACACCTTTCCACTAAAATATCTCATCTAAGTTGCTGTTCTCTCTTTCTAGCAGTTTAAAATTTCTCTTTTCTACCTAGCCTGTTGTTTCACATGGTCACAGTGTACATATTTGACAAAAGAATGACTACAATAGAAAGCAATTGCCTCCAAATGAAAGAATGGGTCTAAAGGAAAATCCTTCAAATATTGGTACTCTCTGAAATCACTAGCGCCAACAAAATTCACTATGTAAAATGCTATCCCTAAGGTTAATAGTGTAATCTCCTCCCCCTCTGCCAGAAGACAAGTTATCAAAATCCCAACTTTATAAAAAAAAGTCACCTCAATTTCTTATTCTTACTTGTTTATAAAGAATTATGTGACTCATCTAGTTGGTTCATTAATAGCTGTGATGCTGTCATGAATTGCTTTCTGCTATAGTACATTTTCATATCTGACAGTATGGTTGCATTTTGAAAGTTCTATCATCACTTTCCTGTTGAATGCAATGATAGAACTTTCAAAAAAAGTTCATATGGAGTTGGGCACTCAATAAATATTTGTTGAATTAATGAATCAGAAATAGTCCTCAGAGCATTTCTGCAGGACAATGGTTATTTCCCCATTTAACCAATGTGAGAGCTGAGGTTGATGGATGTTAAATAACTCATTCAAGGCAGCACAGTGGTGAATGACAGGAGAAATGAAGTCCAGGTCTCCTAGATTCAAAAGCTGCACCATGCCTGTTCTGATTTTTATGAATGATGCCACAGAGTAGAAAAATCCCTGAAGACTGTGGTTTGAGGGTACCTTCTCTGTGCCACACCAAGCCTAGGACTTGCTACAGGACACATAGGTTTCTATTTCCTGCCATAACCCTCACCAGACTGTATGGATTACTACTGTGTCCCAGCAGTAACACAGGGATTAGCACTTACTAAATGTTCAGTAAACAAAATTTTCAAAAAATAAGATCGCAAATACAATGTGAAAGCAAAAATAATTTTGACTTCATGTATCTTTTAAAGTCTGCATATCTAATCTATTAGATCTCATAAAAATAAAGAAATATGTTTTGTGATATAGAATATGCACCTCATATTTGATGCCTCTGAAACTTTAGAGTGTTGCTCCCATTCATAAGGCTCCCATTCATTTAACTCTTCAACAATATCTTCCCATTCTTCACTTCAGGGTGACCTCAGTGTTCCCGATGATTCCATCCCTGTCCTTGTCTCTCTTTACCTCTTAGCCTTCCAACTCCCTGAGGGGACTCATAGCTACACCCATAACTGTGGCTGCCAATTTAGTGACACTGTCATGGATTCCTAGCTTTCCTTTACCACTGAAGGATTTATTCCTCCAGCTGCTGGGAGTGCTGACAGATAATAAACCTCAGCTCTCAGCCTCCTCTAGGAATTACCCTCAACTGAAGAGAGCTATTTTACCCAAGGCCACACCTTCCCAGGGGCAGTCAGCATCCAAAAACTGGCAACAGAGGATGTAAAGGCTGACTCTCCTCACTGGGCCATTCTAGCTTGAGTTTCCCTTGGGGTCAGCAGTAGCTGATGTTGAGTCTGCATTACACACATACCTTCCCTCTAGGCCACCCTGTGGCCTTCTATTCTCACACTAGTGTTAATTTCAGAACATTTCTAATACGCCTCCTGCATATAAATTTCCATCTGAGTCTGCTTCCGGGAAACCCAGCCTGCGAGAACCAGTGATTCTAAAGTCTCTATTTCCAGCTGCCTTCTTTGAGACGCTCCAGAACCATATATTTACAGAAATCTATTGGACATCTTCCATTTGGGCATCGTTGGCAATCTGAAGCCCAACATGCTCAAACTGAACTCATCTTGGTTTTTGAATCCTCACACTTTTGTTCCCTCTTGAGTTCTCCTTCTCAGGGAATATCACTAGCATCATCTCAGCCTCCCAATACACAAACCTGGTGCATTAGTTATCTATTGCTGTGTAATAATATTACCACCAACTTAGCTGCTTAAAGCAACATGCACTAATTATGTGACAGTTTCTGTATATCAGTAGTCCAAGCACAGCTGGGTCTCCTGTAAAGCTGCAATCAAGATGTTAGCCAGGACTAAAGTCTTATCGTGACCAAAGGATCTGCTTCCAAATTCATGAAGTCATTGGCAGGATTCAATTCCTTGCAGGCTGCAGGATGAGGACCTCAGATTTTTGCTAGATGTTAAGCAGACATCACTTTCAGTTACTCACTCTGTAGTCCTCTCCATAGACAGCCCACAACATGACAGCTTGCTTCTTAAAAGCCAGCATGGGAGAGAGAGACAGTTCAAACAGGACAAGTGTTAGAATCCTACATAACATAATCATGGAGGTGACACGCTGTTACACTTGCCATATTCATTTTGCCAGAAATAAGTCACAGGTGCTGCCTACAATCAAGGGGAGGGGTCCATCCAAGGAACACAAGGAGGTAAGGGTCATGGAGGTCACCTTAGAACTTTTCTACTACCGTTGGGGTATATTCTGGTTAATTTTGCCCTACCCAGAGTGATAGTCTTACTCTTATCAATAGCAAAAGCCTGGACTGGTAAGCAAAGAAAGATATTTGAAGATCTTCTAGAGTTGAGGAAATATACCTAAGAGTAATTATTCTGAGGAGTAAGAGAAAATCTGAGCATGAGTGGCCCTGTTCTCTCTGACCCCGAACAAAAACACTGCAGCAGTGTAACACGGTAGGCAGTGCAGAGTAACAGGAGCCGGCTATTCAAATTATCCAGAACAATAACTCTGGCACCACTTTTTTAAACCCATAATATAAACAAAGAGTTCTCAGTTTCTGCAACCTTTTTGGATTCTGTCAGTCTATGCATTGTCGTATCTGAAAGGCTTCCAGAATAGGAGGCTGATATTACTTTCAATTGGCATTGCTTTCAATGGCAAAAACTGCAATAACATTTGCATCAACCTAATAAATTCTTTCCTCCATTCTCATTTCAGTATCTACCAGACATCATTGCCAGGTTTCTTTTCCCAAATTGGCTCAAAAATATGTCACCATTATCATCCCTGATCTAGCAGATTCACATTCTGAATGACAGGCATGGTAAAGTTCTTATGAACAAGCCCTTTTGTTCACATAAATTTGAGTTCTTTCACTTGGTGATGGTGTGATTTTAGGCCAGCTTCTTAACCTGCATAGGCTTCAGTTTCGTCACCTGTAAAATGGCAATAATAATCGCCTCTATGTGGTAATGTTAAGGCCAGGTTTAAATACACAAACCATTTAGCACAGTGCTTGCCAAATGGCTAGAATTTCACAAACTCTAGTGCCTAAAATTAACATTATAATTATTGCCAAGAACAGTAATTAGTTGCCAGGCCAATAAAAATGTAAAAAACACAGAGTTGCCAATTTTTAGTTTTTCAATTAAATTCATTTTTTGAAACAATTATTTAATGTCACTGCTATTTTATCAAAGAAAAGAAACACATTAAACCAAAAAATTAGAAGGACATATTCTTGAATTAAAGAGGATTTTTTTTTAATGGAACAAATTTAGTTTTTGAGAAAAAAAAAAAACTTCACTATTTAACTTTGCTTTTTCTTATTTTGCCACCTCATGGTGAAAACTTCATCATGGATTTTCAATGATTCATAGCCCAAGATCCCATCAGAACAGAATAATAGTTGCTGCCCTCTTGTATCTCAATCACTAAATGAATGATTGGCTTATCTTACATCAACACACGTTTTTCGTTAAGATACCTGAAATCAGACAGGGCCTCAAACTTTCAAGCCATTTTGATTGATTTACTGTGAACCAAACCAGTGACTTCTTAGCAATTGGCTATCTTATTTTGGTGACAGATAGGGTTCAGGGGAGCCATTATACCTTGATGAGTTTGTTTGAAACATGCCGGCCCCCTCCCTATGTCACGGGGAAAATTTGAGGGGGTGGGAATTGTTATAAAAACCTCACACATTTTAAATACAGAAACATTCTGCAGTTTTTCTGGTAAATTACACTTGATTGGGCTAGAAGATAAATGTGACAATTGAGAGCAATTTGTAAAACTGCAACTGGAAATAATTTCTTTGCTCATGTTGTTAAAAAGAAATACACTCTACTCAATCGTAAATTTAAACAGAGTAGTGATGTATGGCGTGCATTAACTGAAAAATCATGCAACTCTGTATGACAGTTTATTTACATATAGATGCATGTGAGTGTCTATGTATTGGCAGTCATGAAATGTTTGGATAGCTTTAGGAGATATACCTAATGCTAAAGGACGAGTTAATGGGTACAGCACACCAGCATGGCACATGTATACACATGTAACTAACCTGCACATTGTGCACATGTACCCTAAAACTTAAAGTATAATAATAATAAAATATAATAAAATAAATAAAGAGAAATGTTTGTATTTTAATCTACTATTTCTGTCTGGATGGGAAAAGAAAGAACAGAGATGTGCTTTTTAGACCTTGGCTTTCTTGTGGAACCTTTTAGTAATGTGGTGCAGATTGATTCATGAAAAAAAAAAAAAACAGATTGCTACATTTTTCTGTATATTTTGCAGATTTCTGGATTACTCAGAATAATTTTAGTTGCAAATGACAGCAACCCAAAACTGGCTTGTGATGGCGGGGGCTGGAGTAGGGGAAATGCATTTTTTTTACGTAATGGAATCCTGAGGTATTTACCTTTAGGAACAGCAGTATCTAGATGCTCAAATGTTGAAATCAGAATTCTCACTCTATCTCACCATTCTGCATTCTTCTTTGTTGGCTCCATTCTCAGGCTCTCTCCAAGAAGTAGCAAAACTGGTAACTAGCAAATCAGAATTATATCCTATCAGCCTTTACAACATCAGCTAGAAAAGCATACCTTTCTTCTTAGCAATCCAATGATTAGTGGGCTTCTGCTAGGTCCAAATATCCAACCCAGAATAAATCACTAGGCATGGAAAGGTGGTAAATTTATTTATTGGAACTAGATCAACTGTTTATCTCTCAGACCTGGAAGTGAAGCCCAGTCTCCCATTCCAAAACCCATGTAATCTATAAATGGAGAAGTATGTCTCTTAGAGAGAGAGGTTTCTGCAGAAGTACAGTGGGTGGTCAGATGTAGATAGCCCCTACCCTTTAGTGATTATTATATCTGTTTCTGTGCACAACCAATTTAAGCAGTGCATGCTAGAACTCCTACACTTTCAATAAGTGACCCTATAGCGCTAAGATAAAGCATGTTACCTGCCTGGGTTAAAACTGGCAGCTTATCTGGCTGTATCTACCACAAAATAAGACAGTAATGACAACACCGTCAAAGAAAATGGATTATGTGGACCCATGAATGTTTCACAGTGTTCCCACATGGAATGAGCAGAGATAACATGTCTGCTCTCACAAGTAGAAAGCCTTGTTTGTATGTCCATTGCGTGAAAATCTAGTTACTTAACAATTACAGCTTTTTATTCCAAATGAGAAAGAGTACGATCAATACAGTAGAATAAGCATCCAAATTAGAATTGTATGGACTTGGGTTAAAATACTGTCTCAGATCCACAATAAATAATAGCTATTTATTTTTTAAGTCCATTGGCTATGTCATATTAGAATAGTTGTTTAACCTCTCTAAAACTAAACTTTATCATCCTTAAAATAGGAAATAATGATATCTACCTTGCAGATTCGTAATGAAGATTAGACATAGCAGAAATTAAGTGCAAGAGTCACATAGACATGAAATAAATAATAGCTGTTATCCTCAGGAATAAGAATAGCCTTTTTAATACTGATACAAAAAGCTACTTGTGAAGATCAAGTGATGTAATCACCCAGTGTGTTTAGTATATTGTCTGCTTTAAGGTAAGAAGTCCACAAATGTTAACTATTGGTGTTGTTAATAATAATACTCATTTTTATGGCTACCTTGAAGTTGAAATGATTGAATTTACTTTCATTATCTTAGCACCATACCAAGTATAGAGTAAATGTTCAAAATGACTCCAGGGTTTGCTTACTGTATTTATCATTATTGTGCCTAACCATTTGAATAGTAGAATGAATATGTAGCTACTAAAAGGTGAATGTCTTGATACAATAATCTCCTGTGCTTATTATCAAGTGTGAAATATAACTACATTTAAGACATTAAATGGAATCTTTTGTCTGATTTTCTCTGTTTAACCAAAGATACAGAAGCCAAACTGTAATGGGATAAATTGACTTCTGAGACAGCTCTTCTTTTTTTTTTTTTTTCTTTTTTGAGACGGAGTCTTGTTCAGCTGCCCAGGCTGGAGTACAGTGGCATGATCTCGGCTCACTGCAACCACCGTCTCCTGGTTTCAAGCGATCCTCCCATCTCAGCCTCCTGAGTACCTGGGATTACAGGCACCTGCCAACATGCCCGGCTAATTTTTGTATTTTAGTAGAGACAGGGTTTCACCATTTTGACCAGGCTGGTCTTGAACTCCCAACCTCAGGTGATCTGCCTGCCTCTGCCTCCCACTGTGCTAGGATTACAGGCATGAGCCACCACGCCCTAGCAGAGACAGTTATTCTTGAGTGTCATTTGCATATGTAGTGTTTGTATATTGAAAATATTCCCTTCAATACTTTGCTTCAGTTTTCTTCACTTTTTATTGGGTCTTCATTAGTGAAGGTTCATCTTTACATTTAGGGGTGGGATGGTTAAGAATAAGTTTCCAAATATCTAGATTGTTTACCAAACCACAGATGGAAGAGAGTTTCAAAAAGCTCTGGCTTTCATTTTTCTTGCTGCCTCTTAAGGCCACAGCTCTCCATCTTCTCCATTACAAGTTCATTTCAGCCGCCCCTAGAATCAGCATTAAGGGGCTGCTAAACTTTAATTGGAATGAGGAAGTCAAAACCCTCTCCAGACAGAGCAATGCACCTTAGTGGTTTGGGAGCTTCTCCAAACTCATGCCACCATATTAACAGTCTCATTCCAAAGCATAAATATCTTGGAACAATTCTCCGGAAATACAAGCAATTTGAGTGACAAATGTAAAATTACGCAACTGGGGGGGAAAGATTGTCAAGCCAAAACATAGAAAGTAATGATTCATTTTAGAAAATAAAATGCTCAAAGAAACATCAGGGAACTTGTTTTCAGCTGCAGTTAGCTTAATGAAATGGTTCTCTAAGTGGATGTTTATTGGAAATCTGTGTTTAGAAGGCTGGAAATAAATTCCATTTTTAAGTTATGCTTTTTTTCTCCCCTCTCCCTCTGCATTTGCTGGCCCATTTTATTCAAAGCTGAACATCAGATATAAATAAGGATTTTTGAACTGCTTTTAAACTGCTGGCATCTGTTAGATTAGAAGGAAGTCTGATTTAGCAAAACTTAGAACAGTACAGAACAATTGCCAAAGCGAGAGGATCTTTTATTTATGTTGTACAACAATGTTATGTAACCAGGCAAGTTGTTCATCTTAATTCTTTATGATGAGTATATGGGGCAATATATCTCTTAATGTTTGGCCAGCTGAGAGCCCATTAGCTGGTGTTGTATTATTTAGATGTTAAATTGATTTGAGAGGAAATTAATTATGTATGTTCAGCTAAAAACCATCACTACATTCAGTAAGCTCTTATATAAAATATCTTTATATTTTGAATTTTTGTTTGGTGGGGGGAAGGTGGTGTTTTTTTCACTTTCTTTACCAATTTCCAGAGTCTCCCGAAACCAAGTAGTTAGAAGTAAAAGTGCCACGGTCAAAGAGATCTTGGTTTAAAATCCGGCTTACTGTTTTCTAGGTGCTTGAATTTCAAAAGTTATTACTCTTTCCAAGCGTATTGCTCATCTATAAAATGGGGATAATAATAATATCTTCCTCATGTGTTTATTCTGAGGATTAATGCAGATAAAGTGCTTAGCACATTGTCTGACACATAGTATGTATTCAATGAATGCTAATGCTATAAAATTATCACTACATTCTTATGAATACAAAGTTCTGTAACATGATTGGGGAGTAGTTTTGCTTTTTTGTTTGTTTTCTTTTAACAATCTATCTAGGTTCAGTAGAGAAAATATTAGCTAAATCATTTTAGCTATACAGGGACATAATAAGCAAACCTCAAAACAGACTGGGAAAGATTTTTTGCCGTGACTCTTTTCTGTATGTTAAATTTCATCAGTCACAGCCGGGCAAGAAATGCTAAACAATATGTATAAGGAGGCAAAAGATGATTACAAACTCAAGACTTTTTTTTTCTATTATTTTATTTAAAGGAAGGGCCTCTATCTGTTGAAGTCTAATGAAATTATACTCTGGAAGTGGGAGAAAGGAATCCTATTCTTCAACTTTAGAAAACAAATCCAAGAAGTTAAATGACTTGCCCAAACTAACACAATGAAGGTAGAATTTATCCTAAAATTCAGCTATTTAAATCCCAACTTTCTGTTCTTTCTCCTACCCTCAATCCTAACCTGGCCCCCACCAAGTCAGTATGAAAGTGGCTGGTTTGGATTCTGCTAATATTACTTTCTATATCAAGGAATTTTCTTAACTAAGAGTAGAGGTTTTATCTAAACTCTTCAAAATTTTAAAAGATATTTGAGAATAATTCCTTAGAAGAATTTAATTCAGGAGGGAAAGAATGCATTCAATATAATTATTATTAATATTTTAATAATGAAAACTAATTTAAATTGAAACTTACTATGTGCCAGGCACTGTGACATGCATTTCACTTGTACTGGTCCCATTTCATCTTCACAACAACTCTGAGGTAGGTATTAAGAACACTGGGGTTTAGAATACTTTCCAAGGGTCATGCAATTGGTAACGGTCAGAAACAGGACTCAAACCCGAGTCTATATAATCAAAAGCCATGGCCTGGGTGATTCAACTTTTTGTCTTCTTCCCTGTCTCAAGGGATCACAGGACTGTTATTCATACTATCAGTCTGAGGCACATTTAGAAGATGGCATTACTATGGGAATTGACTACAAAGGGGAGCTAAATTGGGACTATAATGTTGGGAGTTGAGATTTAGGAATAGGACTAGGGCAGATGCTTATTTTTGAGGTTATCCTAAAGATAGCACTAAGAATAGAGGTACTGCCTCCAGAGTTCTCCATCCCCGAAGCTCCCCCGCTCCGCCCAGTTTCCCTTGAATCTCCTCAAACAGCAGAATTAAGCTTGACTTTTGCATTATCTGGGTCAAAACTGGCAATCAGTAGATTCCAGAAAAGCTTATCTTAAATGAACTACTCTGGTCTGTGGTACATTTTAAACAATCAGTTTTTGTAAGTAAAGTGTATTCAAACATGATGTAATTAGTAAAAACAAAATCATTTTAAGTGATATTGGCTAGAGCTCCAGCAAGAAAACAACAACCACAACAACAACAACAGCAACAAAACCCTCCAGCATTAATCTCTGCACAATTAGACTTTAGCAGGAGGCAGAGATTACCTCTAGCACACAGGTTTCCCTCTGAAGACCTTATCAGGTTCCAAGGTTACATCCAACAAAGAGGTAGAATGTCAGGTCACCCTTCAAGTGGCAGAGATCTTAAACAATTCAAGTAAAGGTTTAAAAGGATAGTCTATGACAGTGTTAAGTAAATGCCAAGAAACATCTGAAAATGGCTCCACTCTACAGATCTTTAGATGATTGCCCAGGTGCAAGAGGCTAAGGACTGGTTGCTGTATTTTTGGCTCTGAGCACACAGATTTCAAAATAAATTTGATTTGACTTCTCAGTCCCAGCAAAACCAGTTAGCCATTTGGCTGGAGGTCTTTTCATGCAGGTACCTCTATAATAATTATAATTAATATAGATGCACCTGCTGCCATGTGCCAGTCACTTTTCTAAGTGATTTACATCTGCTAATTCATCTCCACCACAACCCAGTGAGGAAGGTACTATTATTAGCACTGTCTTAAGGTAGGAAACTGAAGCACACAAAGATTAGAAACACACCCAAGGTTGAAATGTTAGGAAAGGGTGGAACTGGGGTTCAAAACTAGGATGCCTGCAGAGCCCACACTACTTACCACTATGCTTGTTATACTATCCTTTGCCATATTCATGGCAGTCGCTGTTTTTTCAGGATTTACTGTGTTTCAATTTAAATTATACTGAGAACTTTACATGTTATTTCATTAGAGCAATATGACAATTCCACAGGGTAGATGCTATTATCACCCCCAATTTATAGATAAGGAGACTGAGGCTCAGAGATGATGTGTAATTTTCCCAGTCATATTGAGTCGGATTGAAATTCAAACTCAGATCATCTCACACAACCCACATACGTAACTCCTCTCAAAATACCTCTCAAGAAGCACTCTTTTTCATCAGTAAATCTTTAAGTGCTCTAAACCACTGGGAACTTATTTCCAGCTGAAAATAAACAAGGAAAATGAGATTTGACTGCCAACATAGAAGTTTTTGTTTTTTTTTGTTTGTTTGTTTGTTTTTTTTTTTTTTTGAGACGAAGTCTCACTCTGTAGCCCAGGCTAGAGTGCAATGGTGTGATCTCAGCTCACTGCAACCTCTACCTCCTGGATTCAAGTGATTCTCCTGCCTCAGCTGGGATTACAGGCATGTGCCACAGCACCCAGCTAATTTTTTGTATTTTTAGCAGAGATGAGTTTCACCATATTGGCCAGGCTGGTCTTGAACTCCTGACCTCAGGTGATCTGCCCGCCTCAGCCTCCCAAAGTGCTAGGATTACAGGCGTGAGCCACCGCGCCTGGCCAGAACTTCTTATTGTTACACTTAAACTGTATTCTCCTGTAAATATGTTTGAACTATTAATATATTTTTTAAACACATTTTACTTTAAAATATAGTGATCTCCTGTTATCCATTGGGGATACATTCCAAGACCTTCAGTTCATGCCTGAAACTGCATTCATTTCTATGCAGCTTACATAGTACCAAACCCCATATATACTATGTTTTTTTCCTATGTATACATAGCTATGATAAAGTTTAATTTATAAATTAGGCACAGTAAGAGATTACAATAATTAATAATAAAATAGAATAGGATAATTATAACAATATACTGTAATAAAGGTTATATGAATGTAGTCTCTTGCTCTCAAAATGTCTTATTGTACTATTCTCTCCCTTCGTCTTGTGATCTGTTGATCTGATAACCAAGGTAGCTACTAAGTGACTAACAAATATGCTGAAAAAAGGGGTGGAGTGAGATTTTATCACACTACACAGAATGATATGCAATTTAAAACTTATAAATTGCTTATTTCTTAATTTTCCATTTAAAATGTTTGGACCATGGTTGATCATGTGTAACTGAAACCACAGAAAGTAATATCATGGATAAGGGGGAACTGATGTAGATTTAGATTTATACAAAAATTTCAAAGAGTTTTTATGTATCTTACACCAGATTTTCCTTATTCCTAACACCTTACATCAGTATGGCACTTTTGATATAATTTAATGAATCAATACTGATACTATTAACTGAATTCTATATCCAGATTCCTCTAGTTGTACCTGATGTTCTTTTTCTGTTCTAAGATCCCACCCAAGATCTCACATTACATTTAGTCATAATGTCTCCTTAGCTGTAACTTATCTTAGCTGTACCTATTTCTCAGACTTACCTTGTTTTTGATGACCTTGACTGTTTTAAGGAGTAGTCACGTGTTTTGTAGACTGTTCCTCAACTGAGATTTCTTTGAGTTTATGTCATAATTAGACTGGGGTCATAGGTTAGGAAGGAAGACCAGAGAGGTAAAGTGCCTTTTTCATCATATCATATCCAGAGTATATGCTGTTAACATGACTTGTCTATATGAATGTTAACCTTGATCTTCTGGCTGAGGTACTATTAGTTTCCTACACTGTAAAGTTACTCTTTTGCCCTCCTCTCCACACTCTAGTCTTTGGAAGGAAGTTACTATAAGAAGCATACACTTTAAGAGGTAGAAAGTTATGTGGGAGAGATTTGTGGATTCACCCCCAATAGAGATTTAACTATTTACTCAATAATTTATTTATATCAATATAGACTCATATATATTCATTTTTTACTTTTGTTACAATCCAATACTACTTTATTTTGTGAATCACATTATTCCAGCTTTGATCTTTGAGAGCTCTTTTAGGTGGCTGTTTTGTCCTTTTGATGTACCCCCATCACTGTATTTTACTTTTGTTTCTGAGCAGTTTCTTAAATTTTGACAATATAAGGTGATCCAACTTCATCTTGTATATTTTCTGCCAGAACCTTAGAATCAGTCATTTCTGCAAAGAGCCCTAAGTCATTTTATTAGAAAATGGTATTAAAAACCAGCATCTGTATGTTAGGTGTGCTGGTTGCTACTGAGTATCATTGCTTCCAAGCTTTCTTAGCTGACAGAGCAAGGAAATAAGTGCATGTGTATACATATGTGTTTATTAACATATGAATGTACACATATCTGTAAGTATAAAATATTCATGTGCACTATATTAATCCAAACATGAGTTTATACTGAGGTATCCAACTCTAATCTGTTAGAGTTGGATCATTCTAGACTTTTCTCATTGTATGTCTATAACTTCTTACTCTAACAATGAGAAACCTGGCTTGCACCATTTGCTATTCATTTATTTAATTTTTCCATCAGGGTACATGTATGGCAATATCATATTGCTAACAGATAGCCCATGGGCAACAATTTTTTCAACTAAATTACAGTGCTTTTGTGGTACTTTTGCCTTTAGTCTTAAGATTTCACCCATTACAAAGTTACTTTTGTTGGCACTGTTTCCCATTACTTCCTTCCATAAAGTTTCATACATTTGTAATACAGTTAGATTCCTTTGTCACAGTTTGCATTCTATCCTGGGCTCCCCTAATCTCCTAAATGATTTTTTTTAATGTGCATACATCAGGACTTTTGCTTGCTGTAAAGTCCTATGGGTTTTAACAATTGCATAACATCATATATCTACTACTACAGGACTATACAGAATAGTTTCTCTGGCTGAAAAAGTCTTCTGTACTCAATCTCTTTCTGACCTTTCTGTTATCCTTATAGCTTTTCCTTTTCCAGAATATCATATAAATTGAATAATACAGTAGGTAGCCTTCTAGACTGGCTTCTGGAACCTAGCAATATGGACTTAAGACTCACACACATCTTTGCATAACTTGATAACTCATTTCCTCTTATTGCTAAATAACATTCTGGTGTATGGGTATACCACAGTTTGTGCATCCATTTGTTTAAGGACATTTTGGTTGCTTCCAGTTTTTGGTGATTTTTATTAAAGCTACTATAAATATTTGCATGCAGACATCTGTGTGGACATTCATTTTCAAGTTAGTTGTGCAAATACCTAGGAGCACTATTCCTAGATCATATGGTAAGACTATATTTAGTTTTGTAAGAAATTGCCAAATAGTGTTCTAAAGTGGTAGTCTCATTTTGCATCTGCACCAGTAATGAATGAGAATTCTTATTGTTCCACATCTTCACCAGAAAATGGTACTGTCTGTTTTATCTTGTTAATTTTAGCCATTCTACTACATGTATAGTGGCATCTCATCGTTTTAATTTGCATTTATCTAATGATAAATGACATTGAGCATCTTTTCATAAGCTTATTTGGCATTTGTATATGTTTTTTGGTGAGGTATTTTGCCAGACTTTTTGCCATTTTTTAATTGGGTTGTTTGTTTTCTTATCTTTGTATTTTAATGCAGCCAGCAGACACATGAAAAAATGCTCATCATCACTGGCCATCAGAGAAATGCAAATCAAAACCACAATGAGATACCATCTCATACCAGTTAGAATGGTGATCATTAAAAAGTCAGGGAACAACAGGTGCTGGAGAGGATGTGGAGAAATAGGAACGCTTTTACACTGTTGGTGGGACTGTAAACTAGTTCAACCATTGTGGAAGACAGTGTGGCGATTCCTCAAGGATCTAGAACTAGAAATACCATTTGACCCAGCGATCCCATTACTGAGTATACACCCAAAGGATTATAAATCATGCTGCTATAAAGACATATGCACACGTATGTTTATTGCAGCACTATTCACAGCAGCAAAGACTTGGAACCAACCCAAATGTCCATCAATGATAGACTGTATTAAGAAAATGTGGCACATATACACCATGGAATACTATGCAGCCATAAAAAAGGATGAGTTCACGTCCTTTGTAGGGACGTGGATGAAGCTGGAAACCATTATTCTGAGCAAACTATCGCAAGGACAGAAAACCAAACACCACATGTTCTCACTCATAGGTGGGAATTGAACAATGAGAACACTTGGACACAGGAAGGGGAACATCACACACTGGGGCCTGTCATGCGGTTGGGGGAGGGGGGAGGGATAGCATTAGGAGAAATACCTAATGTAAATGATGAGTTAATGGGTGTAGTAAACCAACACGGTACATGTATACATATGTAACAAACCTGCACATTGTGCACATGTACTCTAGAACTTAAAGTATAAAAAATAAAATAAAATGAAAAGGTCTCGGTATATTTGGGATACAATATGTAATCAGATATGTGTTTTGTAATTTTTTTTTTTTCAAATCTGGGGCTTATCTTTTTATTCTTGTAGCAGTGTCTGTCACAGAGCAGAATTTTAAACTTTTAATATAATCCATGCTGTGGGTTGTCCTAATACCCAGTATCTATGAGTGTGAACTTGTTTAGAGATAGGTTTTTACAGAGGTAGTCAAGTTGAGATAAGGTCACAATGGATTAGGGGAGGTTTTAAATCCAATGACTGACATCATTACTTTAAAAAAAAAGGGGTCGGACGCGGTGGCTCACACCTGTAATCCCAGCACTTTGGGAGGCTGAGGTGGGTGGATCACGAGGTCAAGAGATCAAGACCATCCTGGCCAACATGGTGAAACCCCATCTCTACTAAAAATACAAAAGTTTGCCAGGCCTGTGTCAGGTGACTGTAACTCCAGCTACTCCGGAGGCTGAGGCAGGAGAATTGCTTGAACCCGGGAGGCGGAGGTCGCAGTGAGCCGAGATTGCACTACTGCACTCCAGCCTGGCAACAGAGTGAGACTCTGTTTCAGAAAAAAAAAAAAAAAAAAAAAAAAGGAGAGGGGTATTTGGATACAGACATGGAAGAAGTCCATGTAACCCTGGAGGCAGAGATTGGAGTGATGTATCTATGAAGGTTCCCAGGAGCTAGAAAGAGGCAAGGAAAGGTGCCTCCTAGCAGCTTCAGAGCGAGGATAGGACTGCCAACACCTTGATTTTGAACTGCTAGCCTCCAAAAATATGAGATAATAGATTGCTGTTATTTAAGCCACTTGGTTTGTGATGCTTCGTTATGGCAGCCCTAGGAAATGAATCCAGTTCAAATTACCATTGTTTTATTTTTTTCTTTTCTTTAAAGGATTATGTTTCTTTGTTGTTTCTAAAAACTCACCACCAAACCCAAGGTTACTTAGATTTTCTCCTGCTTTTCCCTAGAAATTGTATAGATTTTTATTTTACACTTAGATCTATGATCTATTTTCCATTAATTTTTACATAAAGTATAAATTCGGTGTCTTGGAAAAATGTTTTGCATGTGGACATCCAGTTGTTCCAACATCATTTACTGAAATGACTATCCTTTCTTGATTGAATTGCCTTTGTGCCTTTGTTAAAAGTAAGTTGACTATATTTGTGTGGGTCTGAGCAACAAATTTTAATACTTGGTTATTTTTCCATATATGATATAATCCATTAAAGTCCTTTCATAATTTTTTTATGTTTGCAACAGCAGATTTTATTACTCTTCCTTTCCTCTAGATCATTCATCAATAAAAACCACTTCAATTTCTGTAGGCTCTACAAAAAAAAGGTGATATAAATTTCTTACATCAACTAAAAATGATTCATAATCATTTTCTTATTTTCACCTCTAGGCGACGAGGAAGATAAACTCCCTTTCGAGTCACAGACTTAGAAAAATACATATTATGAATTTTAAAAGTTGGGAGGTATGCTTTCTATATCAGCTGTGAAAGAATTTTGCATTCAGACTAAACAAGACAAGAGAGGGAATTATTATGAAATATGAGTTTCTGCTCTACGGCTGACTTATTTTATGACTTCATGAAAATGCATAGTGGTTTGTGTGCAGGGGCAGGGGTTGTGACTCTGCCCCTGCACCGACCATGCACTCAAACTGCTATGAGATACACACATTGTAAAGCAAGCTCTAAGAGGATGAGGACTTCACCTACTCCAAGCAGAGTCTCTCACACACAGTCACAGCTCAGCAAATATTTGGTAAGTGAAAGATGATGGCAAAAGCTTGAATAAACTAAATTCAGTGAATAACGTAAGGGTGGACCAGGGGCTGAATCTGGGTCACAGATGTGTTTTAAGTTTCTCACACTTAAGAACATAAAAAACAGTGTTTCTTAAAAATCTGTACTCATTTCCCACACTTTTACTTTATTTTTAAAAGACAGGGTCTCTCTCTATCATCCAGGCTACAGTACAGTGACATAATCATAGCTCACTGCAGCCTAAATATTCTGGGCTCAAGTGATTCTTTTACCTCAGCCTTCCAGGTAGCTGGGACTACAGGAGCATGCCATCGCACCATGCTAATTTTTTTTATTTTTTATTATTATTTTTTTTGAGATGGGTTCTCATTTTGTTGCCTAGGCCAGTCTCAAACTTTTGGCTTCAAGTGATCCTTCTGCCTCAACCTTCTAAAGTGCTGGGATTACAGGTGTGAACCACCATGATCATTCTCCAACATTTTTAAATGGAAAATTCTCATGAAAATCCAGAGAATCCAGCAACACAGAGCCTTTATTCCCATTGACTATAACTGAGTAATTGTGCCCTTTTAGAGAGGACAGGTGCTCTACCATTTGCCACAATTGCTACCACTCCTACTTGTCAAACACATGGCCAGCTTTACACATTGTCTTCATCTGTATTGTCCCCACATACATTTGAGTTTGCAACCCTCGTTATATAGACTTGGGTATCTAAGTATTTAGACAGATTTCTGGGGATTAGAAGAACAAACAAATTATCTCATAACAATAATTTTAATAATAAGAAAATGTCTAATTTGTTTAGAATTAGAGCTATGCCAGGCCTAATGTGAAGTACTTGGCATAAATGTATGTTTTATTATTTACAATAATCCTAGATAGTAGCTACATATGCTGTTCCTTTTTATGGGTGAGAGGTAACCACCTTGCTCACAAGTATAGCTAATATAAGGCAGAATAGGCATAAAAGCTCAGGTCTAAACTCCTAACCATTTAACTATTATTTAAACCACTTTGTCATTTTCTAGAGAGCAGGAGAAATTCATTGCTGGTGATAAAAGGGGTTGAATATGCGTAGATATTAAGGTATTTTCTCATGTAAAGGATGGTTTAATGTTATTAATATGATAAGTAAATGGCCCACATTGTGTTATAATTAACATGTATAGAGAATAGAGGGCTGAGATTAACATCTTTAGTCCTACAAGCATAATAGTGAAGTTAGATCAAGACAATGAGGCTATGGTTACAAAGAGTAACCAGATGCTGGGATTAATGTTAGCAGACATCAGACATAGCCATATCAGGAATTATCTCAACTGCAGAAAGCTACCTGGCCAATGGCATCCATCCAATGACTACTTGATGAGTCAGTATAAAGATTGGCCACCTATGCCCAATGCTTGACTATGCTGAAGTACTATTCTAGCTCCAGAGCTTCAAGTTGTGTCAACTGAGGAATCTTAGGGCCAGTATCACAATTAAACTCCTCTCTCTACTCGATTATGCATCCTTCTCTTTTAAAGATTTTGTCCCAAGAGCACATCTTTTTGAAAAATTATGCACATTATGCTTCAAATGTGAGTCTGTTTTCTGGGCAACTAGTGACAGTTTTCTTCCATGTAAGAAATGCCATCATGCAGCCCAGGTGAAGCAATGTGCCTCCATAAATACATTTCATTATTATTATTATTTATTTAGCAATAATGACTAACATCTATAGAATAATCAGAATTTCTAAAATGCTAATGAATTAATCTTCTGAAAGTTGTCACATATGCTCATTTAAATAATCTTACTTACTGAATCAGAACCCATCAGCTAGCATGTGTTACATCATTGACTTGACTATAGGGAATAAAATCAAATGACTTCGAGTTTTTAAATGTTTCAAAACTAAAAGTTCTGTATCCACACTGTACACAGCTGTAGAAACAGTTCTACAATTCCATTGCTAACCCTGTATGACCAATATTACATCACTTTGACAATTTCACAACAATAAGGGCTGTGTTTCCTATATCAAGATTATTAACTCAGCTTTTATTGGACACCCGCTAAAGTTTGTCATTGTTTGTAAATACAGCAGAATATATTAAAATTATTTTGTGATTAGCCATATATTTGTAACTTGTATAAGAAACTTGTTTACTTGGAATGGACTTACCCTGATCCATGTAGTTTAGGTGATAGAACCATGAATCCCTACAGTGATGTTCTATTTCTGCATTTAATGCCATATTTCCCTGAAGTTCTCATAACTTATAAGTGAATCTCTGCTTGGGGATACCACTAAACTATACTGGCCTCAAAATGAGAATTTCCAGATGAATGAATTTCTTTTTGAAAGATTTGTTGAGAAGGTTGCTGTCCAAACAACAAACATGTTTTTTATTCTGTGAGAGCAAAAAACACATCAGAGCTTCACAGCCATTTTGCTGTGAATGAGGTACTAGGGAACATAGATATTGATTTCCTCAACCCCAGGGCTGCTCACCAGCTCTGAGCTGGTTGCCTGTCCTGGGCTGATTGCTTTTGATTATTTGCCCAATGTGTTATACTAATGTGGAAACATTTATGATGCACCAGAAAACATTGTAGCAAACTTTAGATTATACAAACACAAGGATTAACATTGAGTTAAAATTCCTGCATGCATAGCCCTGCAAAAAAATTGATTTCTAAGTTGCCTCTGATGAAAAATTTATTTTGGAATTATTTTGTTATAAAGACTCAATTATAAAACTTAGTGATAAGGTAAGAAAAAAAAGAAGAATCATGGTAATATAATTTATTTTCTAAGTAGGAGGGTGGTTTAAGTCAGTGTTACACACTTTCTAGTATTTCCCAAACATAGTTAATTGTGAAACCCTTTACACTGACTCATTGGAAAGTGGTGGTTGAAGTAAAGCCTGTTTTGCTGCAATAAACAAAAAACTAAAAGAAATTGATTGTAGATTTCATGATGATCCAAGTGTTGATATAGTACAGAACACAAGGCAACTCCACAATGTGGATATAAGTACTGAATGCCAGATAGAAATAAATGATTGAATCATTGTTTTGTAGAATTTTAAATCTGGAAGAGTTCTTTAGAGATCTTAAGACCCACACACATCATTTTTCAGATATGAAAACAGATGTTCTAACTGAAAACAAAGATTTGCCTATGTTCATGTAGCGAATTGATGGAAGAGCCAGCTATGAAGGCAGAGACCTTGTTTATCTTATCTACATGTATTTATTAAGAAAATACATTAATAAACAAAACAAGTAGACAATGTAATTTAAAAACCATATTTTACCAAGAAAAAGAGAATCAAAGGGATGATTTGTGAGAATTTGAGAAAAGTGAATTAGGACTTAGGAAAATGAATTAGGACTTAAGACTTTTCCTTTATACTTGGAAAAGAAATATAAGAATAAATCTTGGTGCAAAGCTGCTAAGATTTCCAGACAAAATATAGGGAAGTGAGATTAATTGATTAATTTTGTGAGGCCAAAATCTCAGTGACAACAGAAGAAATTATTCTTTTAAAACCTATATGCTATGGCTTGACTTCTTGTTACCTCCAAAACTCATGTTGAAATTTAGCTTCCATTGTAGCAGGTTTTTTTTGGTTTTTTTATTTATTTTTTTATTTTATTATTATTATACTTTAAGTTTTAGGGTACATGTGCACAATGTGCAGGTTAGTTACATATGTATACATGTGCCATGCTGGTGTGCTGCACCCATTAACTCGTCACTTAGCATTAGGTATATCTCCTAAAGCTATCCTTCCCCCCTCCCCCCACCCCACAACAGTCCCCAGAGTGTGATGTTCCCCTTCCTGTGTCCATGTGTTCTCATTGTTCAATTCCCACCTATGAGTGAGAATATGCGGTGTTTGGTTTTTTGTTCTTGTGATAGTTTACTGAGAATGATGATTTCCAATTTCATCCATGTCCATACAAAGGACATGAACTCATCATTTTTTATGGCTGCATAGTATTCCATGGTGTGTATGTGCCACATTTTCTTAATCCAGTCTATCATTGTTGGACATTTCGGTTGGCTCCAAGTCTTTGCCATTGTGAATAGTGCCGCAATAAACATATGTGTGCATGTGTCTATATAGCAGCATGATTTATAGTCCTTTGGGTATATACCCAGTAATGGGATGGCTGGGTCAAATGGTATTTCTAGTTCTAGATCCCTGAGGAATCGCCACACTGACTTCCACAAGGGTTGAACTAGTTTACAGTCCCACCAACAGTGTAAAAGTGTTCCTATTTCTCCACATCCTCTCCAGCACCAGTTGTTTCCTGACTTTTTAATGATTGTCATTCTAACTGGTGTGAGGTGGTATCTCATTGTGGTTTTGATTTGCATTTCTCTGATGGCCAGTGATGGTGAGCATTTTTTCATGTGTTTTTTGGCCGCATAAATGTCTTCTTTTGAGAAGTGTCTGTTCATGTCCTTCGCCCACTTTTTGATGGGGTTGTTTGTTTTTTCCTTGTAAATTTGTTTGAGTTCATTGTAGATTCTGGATATTAGCCCTTTGTCAGATGAGTAGGTTGCGAAAATTTTCTCCCATTTTGTAGGTTGCCTGTTCACTCTGATGGTAGTTTGTTTTGCTGTGCAGAAGCTCTTTAGTTTAATTAGATCCCATTTGTCAATTTTGGCTTTTGTTGCCATTGCTTTTGGTGTTTTAGACATGAAGTCCTTGCCCATGCCTATGTCCTGAATGGTAATGCCTAGGTTTTCTTCTAGGGTTTTTATGGTTTTAGGAAATGTAATCCAGCATATAAACAGAACCAAAGACAAAAACCACATGATTATCTCAATAGATGCAGAAAAGGCCTTTGACAAAATTCAACAACACTTCATGCTAAAAACTCTCAATAAATTAGGTATTGATGGGACGTATCTCAAAATAATAAGAGCTATCTATGACAAACCCACAGCCAATATCATACTGAATGGGCAAAAAACTGGAAGCATTCCCTTTGAAAACAGGCACAAGACAGGGATGCCCTCTCTCACCACTCCTATTCAACATAGTGTTGGAAGTTCTGGCCAGGGCAATTAGGCAGGAGAAGGAAATAAAGGGTATTCAATTAGGAAAAGAGGAAGTCAAATTGTCCCTGTTTGCAGATGACATGATTGTATATCTAGAAAACTCCATCGTCTCAGCCCAAAATCTCCTTAAGCTGATAAGCAACTTCAGCAAAGTCTCAGGATACAAAATCAAGGTACAAAAATCACAAGCATTCTTATACACCAATAACAGACAAACAGAGAGCCAAATCATGAGTGAACTCCCATTCACAATTGCTTCAAAGAGAATAAAATACCTAGGAATCCAACTTACAAGGGATGTGAAGGACCTCTTTAAGGAGAACTACAAACCACTGCTCCAGGAAATAAAAGAGGATACAAACAAATGGAAGAACATTCCATTCTCATGGGTAGGAAGAATCAATATCATGAAAATGGCCATACTGCCCAAGGTAATTTATAGATTCAATGCCATCCCCATCAAGCTACCAACGACTTTCTTCACAGAATTGGAAAAAACTACTTTAAAGTTCATATGGAACCAAAAAAGAGCCCGCATCGCCCAGTCAATCCTAAGCCAAAAGAACAAAGCTGGAGGCATCATGCTACCTGACTTCAAACTATACTACAAGGCTACAGTAATCAAAACAGCATGGTACTGGTACCAAAACAGAGATACAGATCAATGGAACAGAACAGAGCCCTCAGAAATAACGCCGCATATCTACAACTATCTGATCTTTGACAAACCTGAGAAAAACAAACAATGGGGAAAGGATTCCCTATTTAATAAATGGTGCTGGGAAAACTGGCTAGCCATATGTAGAAAGCTGAAACTGGATCCCTTCCTTACACCTTATACAAAAATTAATTCAAGATGGATTAAAGACTTAAACATTGTAGCAGTTTTAAGAGGAGGGATTTTAAGAGGCAATTGGGCCTTGAAGGCTTTGTTCTCATAGGTGGGATTACTGCCATCATAAAGGGACAAGTTTGGGCCCCTTATGTCTCTTGGCCCTTCCATTTTCTGCCATGTGATGATGCAGCAAGAAGGCTCTTGACAAATGCCGGTACGTGTCAAGACAAATGCCAGGCTTGACTTCCCAGCCTCCAGAACTGTGAGCCAATAAATGTATGTTCATTATAAATTAACCAATCTGTGGCATGCTACAGCAACACAAAATAAACTAAGACAATATACATAGTATAGTATACATTTTAAAGTTATATATTTTACAATGTAACATATTTCAATAGGTTACATATTTGTTATTCCTTTCATATATTTACATTGTAAAATATGTGAGACAGTATTTTAAATATTTTATTTTGAAATGTTGCATGTATAAAACAGAACATTATCAAAAACAACATAAAAATATGAAATGTGTTCCCTTAATACATATTGCATTTTGCAATACTTATATATTTCTAATTTTTTATTATAGAAAATTTTAAGAGAGACAAAACAGAATAATTAACTCCCAAATACTCATCACCTAGCTTCAATAATTATCAACTCAAAACCCATTTTGTTATACCTGTACTTTACCTCTGTCTTTCATATCATTTTGAAACTAATCCCAAACCTTGTATATGTTTCCTTTTTGTTAACATAACAATATCATTCCCACACCTCTTAATAATATGTTCTTAGTATTATCAGACATTCAGCTAGTATTAAGATTTTTAATTGTCTCATAAATATCATCATTATTATTTTGAAAGTTTGTTTGGTTGATCCAGAATAAAAATAAGATCCACATATTGAGATCAATTGCTATTACTCTAATTGTGATGTTTAATCTATAGGCTTTCCTTCATTATTTTCAGGGGAATTTTGCAATGTATTTGTTGAATAAACAAGATTGTAAAATTACCTTCAGCTTTGATTTTCCTCATTCCATGGTTATTGTATTATTGTATTGTTTAACATGTTTCTCTGCACTGTGTATGTCCTGACACCTGATCGTTGCATCCTGAGTCCTGATTGGACACAGGTTCCATTTTTTTTCCCTGCTGAGACCACTACATATATATGTGTGTGCGTGTGTGTGTGTGTGTGTGTGTGTGTGTGTGTAATATAAAATAAGATTTTATGGGACTCCAATTTTGTGATATTAGCAGCTATTATTGATTATCAATAGCCAGATCAATAATTTCATTGGGGACTGCAAAATGGTGATATGGTGATAATTTCTTTCTGCCATTTCTTCCTCATTAACTAACTGGAATCCTTCTATAAAGAGAAAGGCTCTCATCTACAGTTTAGCCACCCAAAAATGAAATTTGTATGGGAAAGACAGGATAGATACATGATTCTTTACCTTTAGCGGTTTTAAATCAATGAGTTGATTTTCTAGTATTTTTCAACAGTAACAAATTTTTGTCTTTTTTCATTTCATTATGAACTCAAGATTTAAATATATTTGATGTATTGTAATATATTGCAAATATTATCTTTATCGATTATTACATTGTCCCATCTTCACTGCCTGTGTATATCACTAACTGTATGTACATTTTTCTTCAGTTAAAAAAAATGCCATCTTTGACCAGTTCTAGCCATTTCAAATTTGCTCTTGTCCTTTTAAATAAACTGGTGATGCTTGATATCTGATAATACCTTCTTATCTGTTAAAACAAAACGTCTCAGGCTTATCTTGGACACTTCCTACCTCATACCTGAAAATAGTCATTTCCCCAAGGACCACTCGTTTCTAATAGAAAGTAATACATTTTAAGGCCACAATCTGAATTCTACAGGGGCTCATTCCTACTCCATTAGTATTGTTTCTAAACCTTTTTAGTATAAAAAGTTTAAGAATGCTTTAAATAAAATACAATCATTAATTTATACTGATAACTACAAATTCAAATTTTAAAATATAAGTTTTTATTTAAGCTCAATTATCTTAAATCTGAATCTCCTTTCTTTAAAGTCAAGAATCCCAGTCCTCAAAACACAAGGAATGATGGAATTAAAATATTATATAACTATACATTTGTTTTATCCCACAATACAAGCACAACAGTCAGAATAAGACTACCAAGATTACAAGTAACATTATAACTACTAAAAGCACTTTAAGATTTTTATTTACTTTTTTTTTTTTTTTTTGCAGTTCAGCTTGTCCTTAGGGTATATCCCACTAAGAATATTTACGTGTTGTATTTTCTTGAAATAGTTCCTTTCCTTCTGTTTTTTGCCACCACCTAGACACAAAGTTGGTGTATTTATTGTTAAGGAAGTCTTCTATTCGATTTTGTTTTATAATTAGGCAAATGATTTATATGATTTTTAAGCCAAACCTACAGAACAAAGCATATTCAGAGAAGTGTAGCTTCTCACGTCCCATCAAACCCATTATGTAAAATAGATTTTTATTATTCTATCACCTTTTGAACAATAAATGGAGCATATTGTGCATACTTTTTCCCCCTTGCTTGTTTGCCTAACAATATATCCAAAAGAGTTATCCCAATGTGATTGTGTTATTTTACATCCCCACTAGCAACATTTGTGAGGTTCAGTTGACCCACATCTTAGCACATATTTAGTGCTGTCAAATTTTTTAATTGTAATTACCCTGACTATAAAATTGTGTAACATTGTGGTTTTAATTTTTATTTTCCTGAAACCTAATGATGTTGAGCACATTTTGATGTACTTTTTCACCATTCATGTATTTCCTTATATGAATGAAATACATTCATGTAGTTTTCTTTTTGTGAAGTGTCTGTTCAAGACATTTACCCATTTTTATAGGTTTGTCTTTTTATTGCAGATTTATAATAATCCTTCAATTATTATTGAATCAGGCATGTATAACATGGATATTTTCTGCAAGTTTTTGACTTGCCTATTCATTTTCTTACTGGTGTCTTTTGAAGAGTTGATACATTTTGTTTAAATGAAATTTATCAGGTTTTTATTCTTTTATGGTCTGTGCTTTCAGCTCCTTTCTAAAAGATCTTTGCCTACCTCAAGTTTACAAAGTTACTCTCCTGGATTTCATTCTAGAAGCTTTGTATTCTTAGCTCTTATGTTTATATCTATGACCCATCTCAAATTAATTTTTGTATATGGTGTGAAGTAGGAGTTAAGATCGTTTGATTACATTTGTTGAAAGTACTTTTCCTTTCCTCATTAAATTTCATTGGCATCTTTGTCCAAATTAATCCATTGTATATTATAAAACTTATTTCTAGTCTCTCAATTCTAGCCTATTAAGTTGAATATCCTTACATCAAAACCATATAGTCTTGATTATTGTAGCTTTTTATTAATTCTTGAAAGCAGGTAACCTAAGTCATCCAACTTTATTCATTTCTTTTTTTTTTTTTTTTTTTGCTAACTCTGGTAATTTGCATTTTCAAATAATTTTAGACTCAGATTGTTAGTTACTACACACAAAAAAAAGATGGCCAAGATGTTCATTAGTATTACATTGATTCATTAGATAAATTTGGAGAAAATGGATATCTTTAAAATATTGAATCTTCCAATATTCCATATATTTTCTCATTTATGTAGATCTTTAATTTTTTATTCAAATTTTTCTTTCTTTCTTTCTTTTTCTGAGACAGTCTCACTTTGTCCCCCAGGCTGGAGTGCAATGGCTCAATCTTGGCTCACATCAAGGCTTCTGCCTCCTGGGTTCAAGCGATTCTCTTGCCTCAGCTGGGCACCACCACGCCTGGCTAATTTTTGTATTTTTAGTAGAGAGGGGGTTTCTCCGTGTTGCCCAGGATGCTTTCAAACTCCTGACCTCAAGTGATCTGCCCACCTCGGTCTCCCAAAGTGCTGGGATTACAGTCGTGAGCCACCGTGACTGGCCAAATTTTATCTTTCTTGATATCAAGAGTTTTATACTTGCTTTTCTTGCATTTGTATTTGTCTGGTATATATTTTTATTTTTTACCTTTTTGAATCTCTTTTTAATTGTGCCTTTCAATATAGATAGAGTTGAATTTTGTATTGTTAGCCAATATTCTTTTTTATTTTAGTAGGTGTGTTATGCTCATTCACATTTACTGATATATTAAGAACATATATTAATATATTAAGAAAAATTAAATGTGATTAGTATTAATATATTTGGTCTCAATTTCCTCTTTTTAAAATAGTATATAAGTATATACAAGTCTTCCATATAATTAGCTTGTAAATATGTGCTTCATTTCATTTAAGGCACAATTGCATTTTTTTCCTAGTAGTAACAGTAGTAAAGGTTCTAATAGTAAGGTCAGCTAATCAAGTAGTTATTTCTTCAAGCTGACCACTAGCTTGTTTGTTTGTAAAGTTATTGATGGAAACAGCCTTCAACAGTATTACAATCATGGGATTTGGGGAGCATAACACATATCTCCTCTACCTGATCTTTTAAGCTTTATAATCACAGGTAATATTAGAAATAGCTCAACCTTGAAGTCAACAGTTATAGATCCAAATCTCAGCTCTACCACTGACTAGCTGTGTGAACTAGAAGAGTTACTTTACTTCTCTGAACTTCAGAACCTGACAACAATATTATAACTACTTATAATGTCATCAGAATTAAATAACATTTGTAAAGCACCCCAAAAAGTAGGAGAGTGATAAAATGTTAGGTACACTTTGGTTTAGAGATAGCGCTGGAAGCTTGTTTCTGATACTTACCTTCTCACCACTGACAGTAAAAACAGTGAAGTCAATATGGCTACCTTAAGTGCACTGTATTATCTGAATATGATTGTAAGCCCCCACCAAAATGTGGACACTAAACCTGTGTGACAATGTTCTACTTCAGACTGTCACCCAGAAGATTTAGAAGCTTATATTGCTTTTATATTACCAGCTAAATAGAAACTAATCATTTTTAAGCTCTTATAGAGAACTCATGGTGCCCTGGGATCACATCTGTAGGCTCCAGGCTGGGAATCACAGGTTTGCTGTGTCTTACTCTCTGCATCTCTCTCTAGGAAGAGCAACATAGAAATTTGACAGTTATGATTGGGCAGCCATCTGTGAGCTTTGATGGAAAGCACTGTGTGGTCTGGTATGTCTTTATACAGAAACATTAATTAATAGAATTCACTCTAGGTTCACCAAAATTTAATTAATTGGATTAACTGAATTTCCACTGATTGCAAAAAGTATAACAGCACCAAGTTGAAGGGACTACTTTACTGTTGCAATTACAAATCCTCCATTTCATGATGGTGCTTGTCCTCTAAAACCCCAAGGATATATTCAGGGACAAGAGAGTCTGTTGGAAATGACCATCTTTGTTGCATGTCCTTTTATTCATTCCCTAGCACTTATGATGCCCCTATTGAAGCTTTGTAATTATGCTCAGCGACTATTATCAGAGTATGATAGAATCGGTGAAAATGGTATCCTGCTTTATTTTTGCCTTCTTAATCTATCTCCCACTTGGAAATATGCAGGTGAAGGGGCACTTTCTTCCAAAAACAATAAAGTTCATTATTTACTTTTTATGATTAAGAAAACAAAACAGGTCATTTATATCGTTTATAAAATATTGGCAAAATACAGCAAAATAAATAAAAATAAAACATAATGGATAATATATGTATTAAACACTTACTATATACAAGTAATGTCCTAATGCCTTATTTTCAAAATCTTATAAATCAAATGTTCACAGCAATTCTATGAAAGCATTATTATGATTATTACTATTGTTGTTATTCATTTGTATAGTAAAGGAAATTGAGGTTCTGAGAGGTGAAATAACTTTTCCAAAGTCACGCAGCTAAAAACAAAATTTATTTATAATCTCACTTTCGAGAGACATGCACTTTTAATATTGTAATAGTTTTTTCTCCATTCATACATATTGTTTGTATCATGACTATGCTAGGCAAGTTAAACACTTCATTTCTGTTTATCTTTATGACAAAATTTTGAGGTGAGGTTAATCATTCCTATTATAGAGATAATGAAACTGAAATAATTCAAGGTGATTAATTTGCTCAATGTCATACAACTATTAAGAGTGAGAGCCTAGATTACAACCCAAGTACTTCTGACTGCAAAGAATATAGCCTGTCCGATATATATTGCTGCCCCATTTTTTTCAACAATATTAAAATTATATCAATGCTGAGATTTAGGCCTTAGACTTCCAGACACCAAGACTATGTTCTGTTCATTTGGTCACCCTCCCACTTAAAGATTCATGTTCTGTTGGACACAATTCTCCCTACATAGTATAGAAAAGACATCAAAATTTTGTAAACAAAATTTCAATGCATTTAAGTTATATATGCACACACACATATATATAGTATGGTACCTGATAGAATAGGAACATAGTAGAGATTTGGAAAATATTTGTCGAACGAATAAATGAGTAAGAAAGTACTAATAATCCATCTCCTATTGTGGATATGTAGAATTTTTTAAATTTATATCCATTACAAACCGCACTGTCCATGAATGATGGCAGATTGAATGCATACAACTATTTCTACTATCTCCTGAAACTTCACCAAAAATTCCAGTCATGGGAATTTTAAAGCATAAACATAGGCCCAAAGGATAGAGAGAATAGGATAGGAGAGGGTAGGAGCAAATTTTTGAAAGCTGGAAAGCAAAAGGATGAGTAGTAACTGAGTTAGTAGATATGATAATGTAAAATTGTAAGCTGGCAGTGAAAAACAAATGGAAAATCAAACCAGTTTTCAATGTAGAACCCAACAGGGATTCAGAAATCAGTAGTACCAAGTACCTTGGCAAGTAGAAATTAAGATTCTGCTATAGAGAGAAAGATTGCTTGAAAGACCCAACTCTGTATTTCCACATGACTGCCCTTCCTACCCTAAGGAGAAGATTGTAGGTCAATTTTCCACAGAAGGAAAAAGAGACTGACTTGAGACTGGAGGATGCCAGGCACATTATGATGTGCCATAATGAACATGCAACAACTGGTCACTTGAGGGCAGGCCATGGGTAACAACTACTCACCAGCATAGTCTATCAGTGGGAAGGAGGAAAGGAATTTGTCTGTGGCCTCATTCCCATCCAGCTTTTCATTGGTCAGGGCAAGAGAGGTCCCTGACCTGGGTCCTGTTTTTTTAAAGGCCCTGCAGAACTTACACACACACATACAAACACACACACACTTATTACAAAATACAGGGGCACCTCTGTCACTCAGGATCTACCACATCCTGGCACAAAGCAACCCTTAACTCCAAACAGTTACTCTCATGACAAATACTACACAGGCCCCCAGGGAAATGCTTCCCCACATCTCTTACCCTGTGTATCATTTTTGTGCAGATGCCCATGGTGGGCCACTGCTAATGCAAAGATGAATATGCTGTAGGGTATGACAGGATTCTACCGGTGGGAACACTGAGGTCAGAGAAAAGACAAATAGTGAACTTGCTAAAGCCTTCTTCTCAGATAGCAGAAGTACAGCAGACTCTTGCACGACAAACTATTCCTTTATGAAGTACTGAGTCTCCATTTCCTTTGGGTACCTATTTTATGTACTGGAAGTGCCCACATGCTTAGCGTTCCAGTAATGGAACACTAGTTAATGCAGTATTTACAAAAATGACTTATGGAGTTTGAAGGACATTTTACAGTATTAAGCAATAAATATATTACTCAGGTTTGTATGAATATTATGTCAGTCGGAATATAACTTATGTGAAGTGTGTTGTCACTTGTTTACATTGGTAACTAGATGAAGTTTGAACACTTGCCTTCAGAATAGTTTTTTTAATAACAATGTTTAATGAGTTAATTATATTTTTTAAAAATGAAATAAATATTTTAAAGTTTACTTAAGTCAATTTGATTTAATAATTCCATTAATTACAATGGCATTAATTCATATTTGCTTTTTCAGTTTAATAGAAAAATATAAAACTAATTTTATATTAGTTACTTAAAAGAAAAACATTTTTGAAAAATCAGTAAAAATAATTTTACTTTTCATTCTGTTACATTTATTTTAAATTACTTCTTTGATGAAAATACACTGGATTCTTGTACAGTTGAGTAAATCATATTTCATATTTCAATCTTTTACAGTACTATTATCAGTTCAACCTAAATTATATGAAAATCTTGATTATAATAATATAACTAGTGATTTTTCTGAAAGTAGGCAAAAATAAGGATTATATTAGTTTATGAATTACGTATATATGTTAATTTTTAATACTTATTGAAACATCACCAGTCCATCAACAGAATATCTACACATGCTTCATAAGTTACTAAATGTAGTCATCTTTAGTATTTTACCAATGTTTATCCATATAAATAATGTAGCTTGATTCATCTCTTTATGTCTTGTTATTTTGAATGTATACTTATCAAAATAGGAGATACAACTACTTTTAATATTATAGTTGGTTAATTTGGCATAACTTTTTAATGTTTCTATATATGATCTTTATAGTCTTGCCAGACTTTGTAATTTTTCACAATGGACCTGGTCAAAAATTGTCACATAGGGCATTAATTTTCTTCTATTCCTTGCTTCTGTTGCTAAGTCCTTCCAGGAAGCTGCAGAGGAAGTCAGACCTCATGGCCTAAGGCATGCCATTTCATTTCAGGAGGAAGCAATGTGAACAGCCGTAGTTTAATAGGTATAGTTGGGGCAGTCATGGATACTGGAGCCTCCAGAGCTCCCTCTGCAGCAGGTACCATGGAAGCCAGGCCGAAGCCCAGTCCTCACCCTGAGGGAGGCTCACACAGCAGGTGGCCAGAATCTCTCCATGGCACAAGCAGCTAAGATCTAGGGTTGGACAGAGCCAAGTGAATCTAGGAAGACACATAAACTGGGTCTGATTACACTTGTTGAAGACCTTCTGTTACTCAGTGCAAAATTAAGAATACCACATCACCCTCAACATGTCAATCCTAACCCACCTCTACTTAATCCAGAGGCCCTGGGAAATAGAGTATAATAGCTGCCTCTCAATCCTCTGTGTGCCACATGCCTACTCAACTATCCTCCACTCACACCCAACAAAAGTGTACATTAGCTCTATGTGGCATTTAGTCATTTGAGGTCGAGTATTCAGGTCATTCAGTTCAGCATGGAGCCCACCAGTTTGGCTGTGGGCAGGAGAGAGATGATCTGAGAGCTATGCCCAACAGCAGCCATGTCTCCTTAGCACACCAGCTAAGCACCTGAGCCATAAAAGCAAGACCATTGGAGCAGGAAAAAAAAAAATTTGCTCAGAGGTCATTTGCTTTTGTCATTTCTTTCCAAAACTACAAGGAAGAACCTTGACCTGGACATCTATGTACGGTCATTTACCAGGCCACCTGGCAGAGGTGCTCTGAGTCCCACATTCTTGGGCCTGTCTGTTTGACATACAGTTTCCCTGAACTCTTCATTGCTCTAGCATTCTCTGTGTGTGGTCAGTCTAATTAAAGTGAGAGAGCAGCACAGTGAAAGAAGGAATCATTTGAAGGGAGGAAGCGGTAATACACTCTCTTAAAAGCCACCACTAACTACTCTAGCAAGAATGTATGAGCCATTATCAGACTGAGAGGGCACCAGGTGCCTCAAGGTGACTGATGGTCCCCTACCTATCTTAGCCATTATTCTCTGAGACAAGCGTAGAACCCAAATGCCCAGCAGTCCCAGGATATGCACATATATATCCTGTCCATATGGATGGGTTTGTGATTTAATGCTAACAAACGTATTTCTAGGAGAAAAATAGATGTACTAATCGACAAAGATTTAAGCTGAGGAAAGAATCATCAATCTTCTCTGCTGTAACGATCACTTTGCCTTCCTTTTCTGTAACGTGATATTTTAAAACACATTTTTTATTGCCTATGCTTACTTTTCAGTTTTTACACATTATAATTCCTAGTCGAATTTCTTCTGACTATACTGCAGAGTACTTTAGGTGCACCAATTCAAGAGTCTATTCTAAGAAATTAATGTGAATTTAATTACTCTGCCACCATATAGATCTATCTATCTATCTGTGGACACGTAGGTGCAGATATTTTTAATTTAGAGGTTAGAGTGTATTTTTTTTTTTGCCTAATACAATGCATTCTTCTTTCAGTAAATATTTATTAAGCATTTAATAGTTTGAGGAACTCTAGTTGAGCCTTAACATATAGTAGATAATGACATATATTTTCTAGAAAGAACAAAAGCAATGAATGGCAACAAAGAATTCAAATAGGATAGGAATGCTTCCTGAAAGGCACTTGTTATTTTGACAAACCTGCTTTCTCAAAGCCATGTTAACTGCAGGGACCTTGATGCTATCAACATTTTTTTCTTTATTGTAAATTAATGGGCAGAGCAGACATTTGCTGTATTCCTTGGCCTCACTCCATCCTCGACTCCACTCAGAAGATAGAGCAGAATTCAAGAATGTATTGGACAGCAGGGATGAAGCAAGAGTCTGAGGTCTCTTTTGTATGTAAAACTGGATCATTAAAAATTATTCTTACATTTTGACACATTAAAATATCTTTTCCTCAGAGTGGTCAAGTCATAATAGAGCTTAATCAGCTAATTTGAAGTGTGGTGTTTGATGCCTGAGGTCTTTATCTCTCCTATGTATTTGTAAGCAAACATTGAGAAAATACTACAGGAAGTAATCAACACAAGAAATATTAGCAGATTGGTGTTCTTGAAGCTCAAAAGAGAAGGACATTGCTGGAGAACACAGTATTCCAAGGAGAATTGTTAAGACGAGATCTGGGCTGGATCTGAAGAATGAAGAAGAGAAATGATATGAGCAAAGGCACTGGGGTTTGTTTGAGGGGCTGGATTGAAGTGTTCATGTTGGATAGCAGTGAAAGATAGGGAGAGAAAGAAAACTGATGCAGGATTGCAGAATAGCTAAGCTAAAGAGATAGAACTTTGCCCTGCTGACGGAAAGGATTCCTTGTAACTTTGGGAGCCAGTTGTACCAAATATTTAAAGAAAGTATTTGCTGAAAATATTATAAGATGGGCCTAATAAAATAATCAAAAATTCCCTTTTATTTGATTCTACTCTCACTAACAACAATAGCTAACATTGATTGAGTTCTTAATATGCCAAGTGCTATGTTCAGTCTTCCTATCTCACTTATCTTTACAACTACTCTATGGAGTCCATGTTTTACAGTTTAGGGAACAAAAAAAGGTTCAGTAACTTGCACAAATTATGGAAGATGAAGTTGGTGGAGCAAAAGTGTGATCCCAAGAAATATGACTCCAACACCCACACCTTAACCATGAAGTTATTCTGCCTCTCCAAGCAGCCTTATAAGAAAACGGCTTCCCTTGTAGCTTACCTAAAGTGATAGGCTAAGCTGACTGGACCAACTGGAGTAGTCTGTTTTTGCTAATGGTATGATATCAGACTACTTCTCTTAACCCCAATGCCACAGGAAGGACAAACATTTGAAATCATAAACATTTGAAATCATAGACTATTTATTACTTATGCAGCCTTGGACAAGTTAGTCTGTCTCTAACTATTCTTACCTGAGAAAATGAAGACCACAAGAATCCTGCCTTCATGGTTGTTGTGAGATTTCAAGAAATAAATGTAAAGCATTTAGAAGGGTATCAGGCACATATGGAACACTTAATAAGTGTCTGAAATTATCTTCATTTCTTTGGGGCAAATATAGTCAATTATCAATACAGTTTTAAATTAGCTTCCTATGTAGTTTGGATAGAGGGAGAGAATGTGATTATCTTAGTCTGCTAGACATTTCGATTTTTCCTTACAATATCAGACTTCTGAGTTTTCAGGGATAACAATCATTATTTGCACTGTGGTAATTTTATCAAAGAAAATGCCACCTTTGGAGACCTTTCTAAGTGGCCAGATGCCCTTTCCCAAGTGACAATCACCATGTATGACTTTTTAAACCTACTTGAAACTGTCAAAATGGTCATGATTTATATTAACAGAAAAATCAGTTCTTAATTACAAAACGATGATACTCTTTAAAATTTAACTCAAACTACCTTTTTAGTTCATGATATCAGGCCACATCTTCCTTCCATCCCCTCTGGCTCCATCAGTTGGGTTACTCAACTTCACCCAAAGGTTAATTCATCTTGATCTTTTTGGTACATATCCTCTTATTCATCTCCTGATGGTCTCTTAGAAGGTTTTCCACAGTAGTTATTTCAAAATGCATCTTCGTAAACTCTTAAGCTCACTTTCCATGGTTATCAGGTGTTTTGGTTATTTCACATTAATTAAGAAAAAAGGCAGACATCAGGTGGAAGTTTCTTTCATCTCCCTTTTTTTTTTCAAACTTTCTCTAAATAAAAATTCCAATCTTCCCTTGAATATTTTTCTGTTACAAGCCTGAATATTTCAGTTCTGTTCTCCATACCAACTCTTCATATTTGCTTCCTCAGTCTCCCAGTTGTCTTTCAATCTCTTCCTCTCAATTTGATTCATGTATGATTGGCAACAATTCTGATGTATAAGTAAAATCGGGCCAGATGACAAGAAGGTGACAAATGAATTCTGAAATCTCAGTGGTTTGCAGAAACTAAAGTATTTCTCATTTACTATATAAAGAGTGTTAACAGGGGCTCTGCTCCCCGTGGTCACTCAGGGACATAGACTGACCAAGACTCTAGCACCTTTCCATGCTACCATCTCACACATGGTTTCAGGAGTTGCCAGGGCCAGGGAAGGGAGGTGCTAGAGTGCAGCTCGCACTGGTTGATAAGCGTGACACCAGAACACTGTAGCACAGCCCCCACCCATTCATTTCTTGCCGAGAAGAGACTTTTTTTGGTTTGTTGCTCTGCTGTCACCATCTTGAAGTTGTTAGTTTTGGACAAAGAAGCCTCACATTTTATCTTACCCTAGGTCTCACCAATTGTGTAATCAGTCCTAATGAGTGCACAGGAAATCCTGTGACTGTGAATTCTATCTGGACCCTGTTGGCTGGTTAGACTCAGGGCATGGCCTTGATTTTTGCAAGGACAGCTGAGAAATTTAGATTTTTATGCACTATTTTCTGGCAAACACATAGTATATTTTCTTCTACTTGAAATTCCCTAAGCAATAACACCAATTCCATGCAACAGTACTATATTTAAAGTTAAATAGCATGGTAAACAAACATTCTTCATGTGCCCAGCATGTTGAGTGATTCCCATTACTAGCAGGTGCTACATGATATGGATGAACACAGAAAGATGTGCCATGCCTGCCCTCTAGAAGCTTAAATTCTAGAGTAGTGCATTTCACACTTTAATACAAATCTTCTGAGTAAAATGCAGATTCTCATAACAGATATGAGAAGGGGCCCGTGGTTCCGCACTTTTATTCTAGTTTTAATTGAAATGAAAAATTGTATATTCATGGTGTACAACATATTTTGATATATATGTATACACTGTGAAATGATTAATCAAGCTGGTTAATATACCCATAACCTCACATACTTATCATTTTTTATGATGAGAACATTTAAAATCTACTCTTAGTACCAGGTGCATTGACTGATGTCTGTAATCTCAGCATTTTGGGAGGCCAAGGTTGATGGGTTCCTTGATCCCAGGAATTTGAGACCAGCCTGGACAACATGATGAGACTCTGTCTCTACTAAAAATACAAAAAAAAAAAAATTAGGTGGGCATGGTGGCATGTGCCTGTAGTTCTAACTACTAGAGAGGCTGAGGTGGGATCACTTGAGCCCAGGAGGTCGAGGCTGCAGTGAGCCAAGATCATGCCACTGCACTTCAGCCTAGGTGACAGAGTGAAGCCCTGTCTCAAAAAACAAACAAAAAAATTTACTCTTAGCAATTTTCAACTATACAATACATTAGTATTAACTGTAGTCACCATGCTGTACAGTCAATCTCCAGAACTTATTTCTCCTATTGAAGTGAAACTTTGATCCCTTCAGCCAACGTCTCCCCATTCTCTATCTCCTTTACTCTCACCCTCAGCCCTTGGTAACCATCGGTCTACTCTCTACTTCTATGAGATCAACTTTTTAAGATTCCACATATAAGTGAGATCATACAGTATTTGTCTTCCTGTGTCTGGCTTATTTCACTTAACATAATGCCCTCCAGGCTCATCTATGTGCCACAAATGACTGGATTTTTTTTCTTTTTTTAAGGCTGAATAGTATTCCATTGTGTATATATACCACATTTTCTTTATCCATTCATCTATTGATGACCACTTAGTTTAATTCCATATTTTGATTATTATGAATAATGCTGCAATAACATGAGAGTACAGATATTTTTTCAACATGTTGATTCTATTTCTTCTAGCTATATATACAGAAGTGGAATTGCTGGACCATATGATAGTTCTATTTTATTTTTTAAGAATAAATATTATTAAAATGTCCATTCTAACTAAAGAAATCTATAAATTCAGTGCAATCTCTATCAAAATTCAAATAACATTTTTACAGAAATAGAAAAAAAAATTCTAAAATTCATATGGAACCCCCCAAAAAACCAAATAGCCAAGTGAATCTTTAGCAATTCTGCATTTTTAACAAGCTCTCAATAATTCTGATGTTACTAGTTCATAGAACTGGACTTTAGATAGCAAGGTTCTACAGAATGCCATAAAATAAATATATATAAGGTAACAAATTAATGCAGTTATACCTTCAAAGGCATTTATGCTGACAATTCATCCAGTTAAAAAAATAAGAAAATGTTTGTTATTATTTTTTAAAAAGTGAAGCTTTTTCTGCTCAAGATGTCTATCTTTCAGCAAATCTGTTTTCCTTTTGCATTTCCAATATGTTTGCCTTCTTAATTTGAGAAGGGAGGAAAGGGCTCTTCTCATTTGCAGGTTTATTCTTGGTCTGCTTCCATAATTGGTAGTATCAGAGGATTGTGATTAATGCTCCATTTGTGAAAACCTGTTCACCTTAGAATATGCCATTTGGCAAAAACTTTTCCTGCATCTGCTCTCCGACAATAGCCTCTTTATGCTGTTTATAGCCCAATGAAAATGGCTACTGTGGGACCCCTGTAGGTGGTGTTGGCAGCAGACGGACTGGAAGGTGTGCTCATCTGGAACTGCAAGAGAGAGGATAGATATCACATTCGTAGGAGGCGGCGCAATTCTGAGGCTGGGCAACAGCTGGGGTATTCTGAGGAATGTTTCTCTTCTTTCTTTCCCATCCCTCACTTCCCAAAGAGTTGCAGCATTACATTACCTAACTAGTTTCACAGTTTACAAACTGAGAAAAGTCAAATAATTTGTCTCAGTAGCAAGGTGCAACAAAATAACATAAGGAAATAAAATGGAAAGAATTCTAGAAATTCTCCCAGGAAGTCCCTATTTTTAAGCAGAGAAAAGAATCTATGAACATCAAAAGCTAACAGTATCTAGACTCTTGTTCTGATGGCCGTTTCAAAGTGCCTATTTTCCAATTGGAAATTTTAATACCCTAGCCATATGTACTTATGTTATGCTATGAGACATCGTACAGTTTCCCAAAGCATTTTAAATTATGTCATATCACTTTATAGTCAGGGAAACATTTGAAGAAGGCAGGAACCATGAGACCTTCATCATGGATGAAGAAACAGAGATGTCTAGATAGTTACTTAGCCATGGGTATGGCTCCACAAAGCAATGGTGCTGGAACTGAAGCCCAGGTATGATTCCTAATCCCAGCATTTTTTAAGAATTAAAGTGTATGTCTAGCCTTTCATTTTTAATCTCACTCTATCTTTCACTTTATGTGTGTGTTACATAAGTAACATTGTTAAACATGTCTTGTTTAGCTTAATACATTTAAATAAGCCATTGATTTTAATTTTTCTATTTTACATGAGGGGAAAACAGAAAGAGCAAAGTCTGTTTCAATTGTACTAGAAATCTCTTACAGTTATTTATTCACTTTAGAAATACAGTGCTATAAGTTATAAAATTTATAATAGTGTGGAAAATTTTTTAAAAAGTAACTGATTTACATGGGGTTTTGAAGGAACTTTTATTTTTTTTTCCAAATTTTTTTATCACTAAAATTTTTTAAAATACAGAACAATATAAATAATATAATATCCTTACACATGCCATGTATGTTCAATAATTATTTAGATTTTGCCATAGTAGTTTTCATTATTTTTCTGTATCATTTCAAAGTAAGTTGCCAGGTCATCCCTGGGCACTATAAATTAAGGTCAAGTTTTCTATATAAAATTGTTATGGCACCTAAAACAATTAACTTTTGACATTTCTTTTTATTCATATCTGAGATTCTGACTTTTAATAGGATAAATTTATATAATTTACTCATATTGCTTTTCAGCCATCTTTTATCATCTCTCACCTTACTATTTGGGTCTGAATTTTATATTTATCTATTGTTATTGTTTAATTCTAATTTTTATTGTATGGCTTATGATTTCTTTTGTTTTTTGATCTTAAAAGGTAAGTAAATTTGGAAGGTTGTAGCTGCCTATTAAATTGTTAGCTAATTAATATACTCTACAATAATTCTTTTTTTTTTTTTTTTTTTTTTGGAGATGGAGTCTGGCTCTGTCACCCAGGCTGGAGTGCAATGGCGTGATCTCAGCTCACTGCAACCTCCGCCTCCCGGGCTCAAGCGATTCTCCTGCCTCAGCCTCCCGAGTAGCTGGGACTACAGGCACGTGCCACCACGCCCAGCTAATTTTTGTATTTTTTAGTAGAGACAGGTTTCACCATTTTGGCCAGGATGGTTTCGATCTCTTGACCTCGTGATCTGCCCGCCTCGGCCTCCCAAAGTGCTGGGATTACAGGCGTGAGCCACCACGCCTGGCCTCTACAATAATTCTTAAATTTATACTTATGCATATGGACATATCTAATCAGAAAGAATAACTTCCAGTTCCCTTTCATATAGAATGAAGAATTATGAACATTTTAGTTTCACTCTCTCCAGATTTTTCTTATTCATGACTACTTTACCTGGATGTCCTAGTTTGCTTGCTCTTTCAGGGTGTGTGTGTGTGTGTGTGTGTGTGTGTGTGTGTGTGTGTGTGTAGCAATCATGCCAGTTGGATCTTTTTATCTGAAATAGCCCATCCTCACACATATCCACCAAGTGTCATTTTTTAATGTAGCTGACAAGAGAGAAATTTTGGAAACAATGAAGATACTAATGAAAAATAGTAAAGTATGGCACATCCATATAATGGAATGCGAGGCTGAATCTACACATGGAATGGAAGGCAATGAAAATGGTAATAGGTGGAGGTAACAGGTATGTTAATTAGCTTGATTGTGGTGATAATTTTACAATGTCTATCAGAACATTAAGTTGTACATCTTAAACATATACAATTTTGTATATTGTCATACTTCAATTAAGCTGTTAAAATATACTCAAAACTCATAATTTCTTAATTTTTTACTACATTTACTATTATCTATACTCTTGAGGTTATTTACCTCTCTTGTATCTATATGATGGAAATACTATATAATGGTGGACTGCTGTGTTTCTCTTTCTATCTCCACATTCAGCAATGTCAGATATGTAGCTTGAAATTGGCCATGGTAGAATATTTACACCATAGGAGCCAGCAAACACTACAAATAAGGGTCTGTATATTGCTGTTGGTTTCTTGGTCTTTTGGGTCTTTATTGTTTAAACTTAATGAAGTGAAGAAAACATTAGTAATGTAGAGTAAACTTTAAAATGTTTTGTAACAGTTAATCATGCAGAGCACAAAAGAGAAAATAGCCTTTTAGTATTCAGTAAAGAAGCCATTGATAAACCAGTGACATTCTGACATATGTATTTCTTGTTTCAATTTCACTGTCCTCATTCACATAAATGAAAACATCAACCCATATTCATGTTGGAACTACACCTGGGGACTAGATTGTTAAACATTTACCAACACACCATAATCAATCCCTCAGTCATACACCACGCAGCTAAAAATGTTACCTCTTCTCCACGCCCAATGTGAAAGAGAATAGAAACCTGATGCAGAACTACTTAAAGAAGGTTACCACACAGTGCTAAACAAAAGGACTAAGACAGTTCCTGTTAAGATACCACTGCCTGCAGTTTTTGCAATGGTGAATTCTATATTTACTGAACTTAGGCCTAGATCTGAGAGTTAGGGCTACTCCCCAGAGCAGGGTACATTTCTACTAGAAAAATATACCTAAGAAAATACCATGTTTCCCAGCTTGTTTGAATGAACTCCATTTTTTCAGTTTCTAAAGCCATTTCATATAAACAGAGTTCTGCAAAAGCCACCAACAATGTTTGGTCCTCTTTGCTAACATGTATATATGCAAATGATGTCTCATTTCATCCTTTCTCCCTCGTTTACCTCAATTCCATTTAACTCTGAAGAATTTAGTCTTGCTCTCACAAATCATCACAGTTCTAAAAGATCATTTAATTCAAGAAGAAATCAGATTCCACCAGGATATTTCCTGCACTTCTGTAATCCACCGGGGTCAAGAGTGATAGAAGAAAATGGTTTCTAGCTGGAAGACAAGTGCTTTAATTGTCAGGTTGCAGGAGACACGATGTCACAGACTGTTGGAAGGCTGGTGTGGACTCAGAGCAATTTCTTGTGTTTGTCCAGTTTAATAGGTGCTTTCAAGCACATCACCATATTGGGTCCCACAATGGTCCTTTGAGAATGTCAGTTCAGCAACATTTACTAAGAACCACGGAACCAGGGGTTACTCTAGAAGTTGAACACACAAAATTGGATAAGACGTTGCCATCATATGAAAAGGGTGCTCCTGAGCAGTGCATTTTAAAATGGCTTTGCAAATGGGGAAACTCTGGCAGCTAGAAAGCTGTTGAATAAGAACAGCCTGTGGCCCCAGAGAGCAAGCCCTATATTGTAGACCAGCTTGTGCTGTTCCTGAGCCTGTTGGCCCTCAGATCTCTCTGTTATCCTTTGTCTGACATACTCTGTAACAAAGAGCGAGGGAGGACTGACCCTTGAAATCTTTGTTTACCAGTCTGCCAGGTCATTAGGCTTCTTACTGGATTTGAACAACAGAGAAACTGGCACAAGACTGGGGGGTGGAGAAAAAGGAGAATCCAGAGTATTTCTCTCCTCTCTGTGTCATGAGTATCTTCCCCATCATGGCTAAATCTCTTCTATGACTCCAGCTCACTCCAGAAAGTTCTTCTGAGGTTCACACTTCTATCAGGTGACTTTGTCCCTGGGCTCCAGGAACACCTGCTCCCTGTGGCTCACCAGCCTAGGAATGGTATTACTTTCCTGCTGGTGCTCATCTTTAGGTAACCTCACTGTGAACTGTTTGATGAGATTTCTGTGTTACTATTTAGATCCTAATACAGAGATCATCAAAATTCTAGACCCATAGATCTCACTATAATGATAATAATAATTAACAATAATAGCAGCTAACATTTGCTGAAACTCCATTAGGTGTCAGGTACTATTATGAAGACTGGAGATTCTCAGGGCAGGCATTATTGTTATTCCACTTTACAGATTAAGGGACTGTGGCACTGTATATTTGTCTTATATTATCCTCAAATTTATAGTACATTTTATTTAGAGTTCCAGTCAAGTCTCAATTGGGCTACTAGGAAGCAAGGGAAGGGTATTTTTCAGTGTTTCTACAAAGCATTATAGAAATATCTATGTTCTCAAAAGGCTAACATAGTGGTGCCTTCTATATTAAAGAAGATAAATCAAAGGCATTCAAATCTCAGAGACCAAGCCATTGTTGTCTATGTCAGCCACCCTTTTCCACACACTGAAATGCTTTCCTTTACTAAAACTCTCATGACCTGAGTTTTATTTTGTTAATGAAGGCAGAAATATGAAATGTATTATGTCTACATCAGTTGGGATATTTAAAGAATCATAAAATAACTCACAATCTAGACTAGAAAAGGAGGGTTTCCCAGAGCAAGGTTAATAACATGCCTTCGTATGCACTCACAGTACTCATAGATTCTTTGGTATTGTATTAACAAAACAGGATAGTTCCCTGGCCCCCCTCACAAGATGTGCAACAGGGGTGTGGCTTGTCTGTTTGGCTGCTGTGCACTCAAACCCCTTACAGGAGGGGGAGCATGCAGATGGGCAGCTGCAGGAACCAGGACAAGGGCTTTTGGGCTCCAGCCCCATGGTAGTGTCTAGGGGTAGGTGCCTGTGACTCCCAAAGTCTCAATGGTTGTGTTACAGTGCTCTTTTAGCTCTACCATCCACAGAAGGCTTAAGTGTTAACTAGCTCAGTGCCCTCTTGGTACCCAGGTTCCTGTCTGGCATCCAGGGAAAATCAGGTCACACAGACAAACTGAAGGATGGTGAATGCAGGGGATTTTATTGCTGGATGGAGGTGGCTCTCAGCAGGATGGATAGGGAGCTGGAAAGGGGATAGAATGGGAAGATGATCTTCCCCTGGAGTTTGGCGGTCCCACAGCCGATCTCCTCTCTGACCATCCCTAGCCAAACTCCTCAACATTCAGACATTCCTTCTCTTCTCTGCTTCTCTGTTCCTCTGCTCCTCTGCTCATGGAGGTTTGGGGTGTATATGGGTATGGTATAGGGGGGCGTTGTGGGTCAGAAGGCAACATTTGGGTGTGAAAAAAGAAATGCCTGTTCCCATTTAGGGCCACGGGTTTCCAGGCTTGAGGGTGGGGCCTTTGCTGGGGAACCACACTTTTCTACCCAATATCTCCCTGCTTCCTGTCCATATCACTAAAAGGATGGGAATTTCCCTGATAATGTCAACTGAAGAAAGTGGTGTCCACCCCTCCTATTCCCGAATCTTGTCTCAAGTAATGCATAGTTGTATGAAGTTAAAAAGTAATCCCACCAGGTTGGGCACAGTGGCTCATGCGTGTAATCCCAACACTTTGGGAGGCTGGGGTGGGTGGATTGCCTGAGGTCAGGAGTTTGAGACCAGCCTGGCCAACATAGTGAAACCCCATTTCTACTAAATATACAAAAAAATTAGCCAGGTGTGGTGATGGGCGCCTGTAGTCCCAGCTATTCAGGAGGCTGAGGCAGGAGAATCCCTTGAACCCGTGAGGCAGAGGTTGCAGTGAGCCGAATTCGTGCCACTGCACTCTAGAACTCCAGGTTGGGTGACAGAGCGAGACTCCATCTCAAAAATAAATAAATAAATAAATAAATAAATAAATAAATAAATAAATAAATAATTTTTAAAAAGTAACTCCACCGATGATTAAAGGTGCTTATTCATAAAATCACCTTAGTTTCTTGAAGCTGAGCACAACTCTGGATGATAAGCATACCACCAGAGTCCAGGTGTCAGAATATAAAGCATCTCAACTTTTTACCAGAGCAGTACTTTGTTTATCACCTCTGCAAATGTGTGTGAAATATATACCACTGCCTTTTGTCAATACCATTTTCATCACCACCAAAAGCCAATTTAATAAACTCAGTTCATCAGACCTATCCCTTTGACTACTTCCTTTCCCAAAGGGAAATATAATCCATCTTAACCATTTGGATATTTAGAAGATTCTTTTATGTGCAGTCTCAGTTCATTATGAATGGAATACATTTTATTCTTCTGTTCCATTTAGTCTGGCTACACACTGGATTGGATTGAAGATGCAATGTCTCATTGTACTTTTAGTCAGGGAATAGTTTTCCTGAGTGCTCCTTAAACTACTTGCACTTGGCATTTCCTGCCTGCAGTTGTCACATATCAAAACCCATCAGCACTCAACAGCTTTTTTTTTTTTTTTGAGACGGAGTCTCGCTCTGTCGCCCAGGCTGGAGTGCAGTGGCGGGATCTCGGCTCACTGCAAGCTCCGCCTCACCGCTTCACGCCATTCTCCTGCCTCAGCCTCCCAAGTAGCTGGGACTACAGGCGCCCGCCACTACGCCCGGCTAATTTTTTGTATTTTTTTTAGTAGAGACGGGGTTTCACCATTTTAGCCGGGATGGTCCACTCAACAGCTTTTGAAGCTAAGTGTTGAACAATGACCCAGGAGTTAGGTTAGCACAAAGTGGCCCTCTGGATAAGCCACACCAGAAGCACACATTTCCCTGCACGCATCATAATGGCATTCTCCACTTGATTTTGTCTGTATTGCTATAATGCTGAAAGAATAATGCTGGGAACAATATGCCTTTTTTCGATCACTGTTAATAGAAAACAAGGAGATATTATAATTTAGGATATTTGTACCATAAGCAGAAAAGACTGAAAAAAATATGTGCTGACTTTTTGTTGTTTATTGTTATTGTGTTTGGTTTTAAGACTATATTTATGTGTGCAATCCAATTAGACATTTGACTTAAAAAGTTAACTCAGTTAAGGCAACCTCTGTCACTGTTACTGGAATTATTAACTACTGTCTGTTGAGCATTTTCTATATGCTCAGCGTAGTACTAAACACTTTTATGCATTATCACAGTTAATTTTTACTCCATCTCTAAAATTATTATTTACCCCATTTTACATATGCAAAAATTGAGGCTCAAAATATATTGGTCAAGATCTCACTACTATTTAGTCCAAGAATTGAAATGAAAAACAAGGCCTTTTGCTTCCAAGCCCCAGGTTCCATACCATTATTATCTCCCTTTAATAAGTCAATATAGCACAGTAGCTGTGTTAGTAATTGACATTGACTAGGAAGAAACCCGTTAATGATTATTATAAAATTTAAGAAAACCATTCAAAGCCTATTACATACATTTTTTTTACCAAAGTTACTAAGGAGGAAGTTACCTATTAATGAGAAAACAGTTTTATAGGCAACATAAATTCCATTTCTAGAGAAACAATTTAGGTAGCACTCTTTCTTGAAATTTCTTCCTGGATAGCTGATTACACTATAGAAACCAACTGAAACTTCCTGTTCCACCTTCTGAAAGACTCTGCACATGTATCCCAATAAACTTTAGTACATAGCTTATGCTGTGTAAATACTGGGCCCAGATTATTTTTGTTGTCCACAACAATAGCAGTTGAGAACAGAGAGACATTTTGCTACTCCACTGGCAGACGCCCCTTAAAAATGCTTTGGTTTCTTCTTCACTTGCCCGCAAGCACCCTATTTTGTTTTATTGGACATAAGAGGGAATGGAAAGCACTGACGTTTGGATATTGATTTAAACTCATCAAGCCATAGCAATTGTCCCCTTGGTAAAACTAAGCCTTTCAAAGTTATAATTTGCCAAGCTTTTGTCTGAAGGGAGAAATACAAAACTATCTTTGTGCTGAGAAGTTCTCTCGATGGCATGTGCTGCCCTCCCTTCCTCATACAAATAAATTAAAACACTAAAATGTAATCTAGAAAGCATTGCTGTGTCCAATAAGGATATAACATGCAGGTGGCCCAATCCAATTTGGAGAGACCACCATAATGTGGCGCTGGAGCTCACCATCCTCAACAGGAGATGTGTGTACACTGAGGTTGAGATTTATTTTGATCGATTTTTGTTTGTATACAGATCATTTTATGGTCTGGAGTCTGCTGAGAAAAGATATTTATTCTAATTTCTTGGCATGCTCTTTTTCACTCCAAATAAATATTAATAGCTCTTGGCTCCTGTCTGTGAATTGCTGAGATAATTCAAAAATGGCTAGAAAATGTCCGTAGGATCAAAAATTATCTGAGAATAAGGTTAACCATAATACATCTCCTTACCCTTCTCAGTCCATTTGAAAGCACTTGTCACAAGAGTTTATATTTCATTATCTCAAATATCCCTCTTATATAGAGATACTAGGTTATTTTTTCCATACATATAAGGACCTCTTAGGACCAGGAGAATAGGGCTTCAGCTCTCCACACTGAAAACTTGGTTAGCTTGTTTCTTTATAACTTCTTTTTGATCTGATGCATTCCTTCTTGAAAGACATAAAGCCCTCGTGGCTAAACAAAAATTGAGAAGTCTGAACATGTAGCATTGAGAGGACTTAATTTTGGTTTAGCCAAAATCTAGCCACTCACATCTACTAACACATTTCTATGTTAGTGTATGTTACCTCCAAATGCTTGGTTCTCTGCCTAGCAAGACAGAAAAACAAATGCAAATTAAATTTGAAAACTTCAACTGATATATAATTATTTCAATAAATACTTACTAGAAATAGCACTGTCCTTGGCCCTGGGAATATAATAGAGATAAACATGTTCTTTACCTCATAAAACTTACATGCTACTAGCAAGAAAGCAAACAAAAAGAGCTCATTAATAAATACAAAATTGGCCGGGCACGGTGGCTCATGCCTGTAATCCCAGAACTTTGGGAGGCCGAGGTGGGTGGATCATGAGGTCAAGAAAGTAGAAAGCTGGGCCTGTAGTCCCAGCTACTCGGGAGGCTGAGGTAGCAGAATTGTTTGAACCCGGAAGGCGGAGGTTGCAGTGAGCCGAGATCGCACCACTGCACTCCAGCCTGGTGACAGAGTGAGACTCCGTCTCTAAATAAATGAATAAATGAATAAATAAACGAATAAATACAAAATTAAGAAACAATAGTATGTGCTAAGAAGCACACTACAGGGTCCTGAGATACCAATTAAAGGAGGGCTTCTTCTTTAGATTGGTTCCCAGGGAGGATCTGAAAACAAGAAAAAGCCAGTATGGGAAAACTAATGGGGAAGACAGCACCAGCAGAGGGGAAAAAAAAAAAAATATGTGCAAAGGGCTTTAAAGCTAGAAAGGGCATGGCAGGGGACCTGAAAGAAAGCTAAGAGTGACTGGAGCACAGAAAATGAGTGGGAGAGTGGCCTCAAACACAACTGGAAGGTTGGCAAGGGCTGAAGTAAGAAGGTAGAACAATGGGATATGGCTTAGACTACAAGTCCAATGAGAAGCCATTAAAGAGTGTTAAGCAGGGAAGATATGTGATCAGACTTGTATTTTTTAAAGACGTCTCTGGCCACTGTGTAGAGAATGTATTTTTAAAAAAACACTTTTATTTTAGGTTCAGGTGTACATGCATGGGTTTATTATATAGCTAAATTGCATGTTGTGGGGGGTTTGGTGTACAGGTTGTTTCATCACCCAGGTAATAAGCATAGTAAATGGGTAGTTTTTCAATCATCATCCTCCTTGCACCTTCCATGTTCAAGTAAGTCCCAGCATCCGTTCCCTTCTTTGTGTCCATGTGCACTCAATGTTTAGCTCCCACTTATAAAATGAGAACCTATGGCATTTTATTTTCTGTTCCTGTATTAGTTTGGTTAGGATAATGGCCTCCAGCTCCATCCATGTTGCTGCAAGGAACATAATCTTATTCTTTTTTATGGCTGCATAGTATTCCATGGTAGATATGTATCATATTTTCTTTGTCCAGTCTACCACTGATGGCCATTTAGGTCGATTTCATGTCTTTGCTATTGTGAATAGTGCTGTCATGAACATACACATGCATGTGTCTTTATGGTATAATGATTTTCTTTCCTTTGGGTATATACCCAATAATGGGAATCCTGGGTCAAATGGTAATTCTATTTGAACTTCTTTGAGAAATCACCAAACTGCTTTCCACAATGGCTGAATTAATTTACATTCCCACCAGTGGTGAATATGCATTCCCTTTTCTCCACAAAGAATTCGGACTAATGGGGAAATCAGACCTAGTAAAATAAGCAGTTGCAACAGAGAGAGTTACATTCATTTAAGGTATGTATAAGGTGACAGGGAATCACTGTGGACACTGTGGATGTCATTGTAGGGTGGAAAGAATCCCATCCCTTTCCTTTCACAACTCCCAGCCTAGCCTGGGACATGTCTAAAAGACATGTCCAAAAATGCAGAGGCATTCCTGTTTTCCTACTTACAAAGCCAGTGGAATGTCTAAAACTAATGAAGGGACTTTCAACTCTTAGGAGCCAGGGTCCAAGTTGTAAATCACATAAACTTAGCTATTCTATTCTTCCAAACAACTGACATGTTCAAATTGGTGAAGGGTGAGTTTTAGGAGTTCCTTGTTTCTGGAACAAAACTTATTTGTGAATATCAAGATTCCTGTCTACCCAGTTCAGGTCCTCAAAACTTAGAATAATTCTTGCCAAATAAGTCTTGTACTATGTACACTAAAAGAACATCACAAAAAATAACATGAAGTGTTTTTATAATAATGCTTATTGAATGCCTACTCTGAACCTGCCATTATGGAGATCTTACCACATATAAGGCATTGTTCTAAATGCTTTATATTATTAATTTATTCAATCCCAAATCAACCTTGTGTGTTTGTATTTATTTATATCAGCCCATTCCATAGATAAGGAAACTTATGCCTAGAGTGGTTAAATAACTAATAAAAGAAGGAGCTAAGATTAGAAAAAAGTGTGTCTGGATTCCAAACTTCATAATATAAAGGAATAATTAGGGAAAGCAAAGTATTTGTAGGTTCTGTTTCATTCAATACACTGAGACAGGGCTAGTGCTTATTGAATGAGTAAGCATTTCTGAAAAGTCATGGGGTTCAAGTCTCCTGGAGATGATAATACCAAAACCAGAATAATTTCTGTAATCAACAAATTCAGTCATGACACTTTCCTATAAGCAATAATTAAAGTTTCTTATAAGCAATAATTAAAGTTTAATTTTAAACTTTTAAAAACATGCACAAATAGTTTTTAAATAAGGAAATCTTATAAAATCAAAACCATCTTTTTCCTTTCTAAGTGAAAGTAAACATGTTTTCTTGCTGTTGGTTTCTTGATTGGCTGAAAGCCCAAAGTATATTATTTCTCAGGCATAATTCCATAGAGAGGAAGAAAATTTTCCCTACAGGGCAAATGCTTTGGAGAATGTTTCTTTTCAACTAAGTGCTACAACATCCTCCCTCTCTTATTGCAAACTATAAGAGGCATGAAAGAATCCTGAGCCAAATATCCAGATAATTAGGGAGGTAGAGAGAAAACAAGAGTTGTCTGAGAGGACAGAATTTTATTTTATTCAATTACAAAAGTAATTTTTAGTTGTGTTCAGTGCCTTAGAGTTTACAGAGTATTTTCATATCTATGCACTATTTTACAAGGGACTTAAAATAACCCTGTGGAAAAATTACAGGAGGATTAACCCCATGTTTTCTAATAAGAAAGTTAAAGTTAAAAGACATTACATAGTTTACCCAAGACCATACCAGCTTAAAATGAACCAAAACTCAAACTTTGGTCTTCTAACCTTATTCCCTTTCATTTACCTGGCCTGCCTCTACAGTGATGAATTTTGGCAATCTATCTTAATTAGGTTTTTCTTGTCTTTTTTCTGCTTTTCTATGTCAAAAGGATGGGGGGAAGTATTAAAACTAAAACTAGTAAAACTTTATTTGCAGTTAGAGAAAAATTACTGGCAATGGCCTCTTCAGAATTCTGTTTAAAATTAGAATTGTCAGCTTTCCACTCCTGTCATGACAGAGAAACTGACACCACATGAACGCTCCAAAAATACGTGAAAATATATTTACAGACATTGGACAACAACACACAATTGGAAGACTCAAAATATTTTTTGAGGCAGGGTCTTGCTCTGTTGCCCAGGTTGGAGTACAGTAACATGATCATAGCTCACTGCAGCCTCAATCTTTGAGCTCAAGCGATCCTCCCATCTCAGCCTAAGTACCTAGGACTACAGGCATGTGCCACCATACCTGGCTAATTTTTTTAATTTTTAGTAAGGAAGAGGTCTTGGTATGTTGCCCAGGCTGGTCTCCAACTCCTGAGCTCAAGTGATGTTCACACCTCAGCTTCCCAAAGTGCTGAGATTACAGGTATAAACCACTGCAGTCAGCCACAGCATTATTAAAGTGTCAGTTCTCCCCCAAATTGATCAACGTGATTTCAATAAAAAGCCAGCAGGTTTATTTGTATAAATACACAAGCTGATACTAGAATTCATATGAAAGGTAAAGAACCTACAGTATCCAAGATAATTTTGAAGAAAAAGAACAAAGTTGGATAATTATACTACCTCATTTCAAGAATTACTATAAAGCCATTGTTTTGTCTCGTATATGTTTATAGTTTTGCATTTTATAGTAATAAAACAATGTGGTATTGGAGTAGGTATAGATTAACTGAACATAATAGTGAGTCTAGAAGAAGGCCTACATATATAAAGTTGATTGATTCTTGATAGTGGTATCAAAATTAATTAATAGGGAAAGAATCAGCTTTTAACAAGTGGTGAAAGAACAATTATGTATCCATATGAAAAAATAGTAACCTCAAACTCCTACCACACACTATCAAAATGGGTCATAGACCCATAGGCAATGATTTATTAGAGAAGACCAGAAAAAAAGCATTAACTATAAAAGAAAAAAAAAGAAACTGATGCATTAGAGTTTTAAAAATTAAAGCAGCTGTTTTTCTAAGAGCATAAAGAAGAAACTGAAAATGTAAGCCAAGAATTGGGAGAAAGCATTTGCAATATGAGTTGGGTCGTAATCCCAAAAGACACAGTCACAAACGCCTCCCAAAAGACACAGTCACAAACGCCATAATCTTAAATGTTGAAATTCTAAAGTCTCAAAATCTCTTAAGGCCTAAAATCGTAAAAATCACAGTACTATTCTGCTATTGTTGGAAGAAACATTCTGTATATGTCTTCAGGTCTATTTGGTCTATATTGTTATTCAGGTCCACTGTTTTTTTACTGACTTTTTTGTCTGTATTATTAATTCATTGTTGAAAACAGGGTATTGAATTCTCCCATTATTATTGTATTGCTGATAATTTCCCTCTTTAATTATGTGAATATTTGCTTTGTACATTAAGATGTTTTGATGTTGAGTGCATATTTATTTATAATTTTTTCATCAGCTTGATGAATTGACCACTTTATTATTATATAATGACCTCTTTTTTCTCTTGTGACAGTTCTTAAAGTCAATTTTGTACGATATAATTAAAGCCACTTCTGCTCCCTTTTGGCTGCTATTTGCATAGAATTTCTTTTTTCATCCCTTCACTTTCAGCCTATGTGTGTCCTTAAAGCTACAAGAAGTATCTTGTAGGAAGCATATTACTGGATCTTGTCTTTTAATTCATTCTGTCTTTTGATTGGAGAATGTAAACTATTTTCAATTAAAGTAATTATTGATAGGTAAGAATTTACTATTGCTATTTCCTTGTTTTCTGATTGTTTTATAGTTCTTTTCTTCCTTTATTTCTCTTCTGCTGTCTTCCTTTGTGACTTTATAATTTTTTATATTGATATGCTTTGATGCCTTTGTCTTTACTTTTGTGTATCTACTGGAGGTTTTAAAAAATTATTATTTTTTAATACTTTAAGTTCTGGGATACATGTGCAGAATGTGCAGGTTTGTTACATAAATATAAACATGCCATGGTGGTTTGCTGCACCCATCAACTTGTCATCTACATTAGGTATTACTCCTAATGCTATCCCTCCCCTACTCCCCCCATCCCCCAACAGGCCCTGGTATGTGATGTTCCCCTCCCGGTGTCCCTGTGTTCTCATTGTTCAACTCCCACTTACAAGTGAGAACATGTGGTGTTTGGTTTTCTGTTCCTGTGCTAGTTTGCTGAGAATGGTGGTTTCCAGCTTCATCCATGTCCCTGCAGAGGACATGAATTCATCCTTTTTTATGGCAGCATAGTATTCCATGGTATATATGTGCCATATTTTCTTTATCCAGTCTATCGTTGATGGGCATTTGGGCTGGTTTCAAGCTTTTGCTATTGTGAATAGTGCTGCAATAAACATACATGTGCATGTGTCTTTATAGTGGAATGATTTATAATCCTTTTGGTATATACCCAATAATGGGATTGCTGAGTCAAATGGTAATTCTAGTTCTAGATCCTTGAGGAAACACCACACAGTCTTCTAAAACGGTTGAACTAATTTACACTCCCACCAACAGTGTAAAAGCGTTGCTATTTCTCCACATCCTCTCCAGCATCTGTTATTTCCTGACTTTTTAATGATTGCCAATCTGACTGGCATGAGATGGTATCTAATTGTGGTTTTGATTTGCTTTCTCTAATGACCAGTGATGATGAGCTTTTTTTTCATGTTTATTGTCCACATAAATGTCTTCTTTTGAGAAGTGTCTGTTTATATCCTTCACCCACTTTTCGATGGAGTTGTTTTTTTCTTGTAAATTTAAGTTCCTTGTAGATTCTCGGTATTAGCCCTTTGTCAGAAGGCTAGATTGTTAAAATTTTCTCCCATTCTGTAGGTTGCCTGTTCACTCCAATGACAGTTTCTTTTTCTATGCAGAAGCTCTTTAGTTTAATTAGATCCCATTTGTCAATTTTAGCTTTTGTTGCCATTGCTTTTAGTGTTTTAGTCATGAAGTCTTTTCCCATGCCTATGTCCTGAATGGTATTACCTAGGTCTTATTCTAGGGATTTTATGATTTTAGGTCTCACATTTAAGCCTTTAATCCATCTTGAGTTAATTTTTGTATAAGGTGTAAGGAAGGGGACCAGTTTCAGTTTTCTGCATATGGCTAGCCAGTTTTCCCAACAGCATTTATTAAATAGGGAATCCTTTCCCCATTGCTTGTTTTTGTCAGGTTTGTCAAAGATCAGATGGTGGTAGATGTGTGGCATTATTTCTGAAGCCTCTGTTCTGTTCCATTGGTCTATATATCTGTTTTGTTACCAATACCATGGTGTTTTTGTTACTGTAGGCTTGTAGTATCGTTTGAGGTCAGGTAGCGCGATGCCTCCAGCTTTGTTCTTTCTTTTTGCTTAGGATTGTCTTGGCTATAAGCGGTCTTCTTTGGTTCTATATTAAATTTAAAGTAGCTTTTTCTAATTCTGTGAAGAAAGTCAGTGGTAGCTTAATGGGGATAGCATTGAGCCTGTAAATTACTTTGGGCAGTATGGCCATTTTTACAATATTGATTCTTCCTATCCATGAGCATGGAATGTTTTTCCATTTATTTGTGTTCTCTCTTATTTCCTTGAGCACTGGTTTGTAGTTCTCCTTGAAGAGGCCCTTCACATCCCTTGTAAGTTGTATTCCTAGGTATTTTATTCTCTTTACAGCAATTGTGAATGGAAGTTCACTCATGATTTGGCTGTCTGTTTCCCTGTTATTGATGTATAGGAGTGCTTGTGATTTTTGCACATTGATTTTGTATCCTGAGACTATGCTGAAGTTGCTTGTCCACTTAAGGAGATTTTGGGCTTAGATGATAGGGTTTTCTAAATATACAATCATGTCATCTGCAAACAGAGACAACTTGGCTTCTCTCTCCCTATTTGAATACCCTTTATTTCCTTCTCTTGCCTCATTGCCTTGGCCAGAACTTTCAATACGATGTTGAACAGGAGTGGTGAAAAACAGCATCCTTGTCTTGTGCCAGTTTTTAAAGGGAATGCTTCCAGCTTTTGCTCATTCAGTATGATATTGGCTGTGGGTTTGTCATAAATAGCGCTTATTATTTTGGGATACGTTCCATCAATACCTAGTTTATTGAGAGTTTTTGAAGGGGTGTTGAATTTTATCGAAGGCCTTTTCTGCATCTATTGAGATAATCATGGATTTTGTCATTGGTTCTGTTTACATGATGGATTATGTTTTTTGATTTGTGTACGTTGAACCAGCCTTGCATCACAGGAATGAAGCCAAGTTGATCATGGTGGATAAGCTTTTTGATGCATTGCTGGATTCAGTTTGCTAGTATTTTATTGAGGATTTTTGAATTGATGTTCATCAGGAATATTGACCTGAAATTTTCTTCTGTTGTTGTGTCTCTGCCAGGTTTTGGTATCAGGATGATGTTTGCCTCATAAAATGAGTTAGGGAAGAGTTTCTCTTTTTCTATTGTTTGGAATATTTTCAGAAGGAATGGTACCAGCTCCTCTTTGTACCTCTAGTAAAATTCGGCTGTGAATCTGTCTGGTCCTGAGCTATATTTGGTTGGTAGACTATTAATTGCTGCCTCAATTTCAGAACTTGTTATTGGTCTATTCAGGGATTTGACTTCTTCCTGGTTTAGTCTTGGGAGAGCGTATGTGTCCAGGAATTTATCCATTTCTTCAAGATTTTCTAGTTTATTTGCATAGAGATGTTTACAATATTTTCTGATGGTAGTTTGTATTTCAGTGAAATCAGTGGTCTTATCCCCTTTATCATCTTTTATTTTGTCTATTTGATTCTTTTCTCTTTTCTTCTTTATTAGGCTGGCTAGTGGTCTATCTATTTTGTTAATCTTTTCAAAAAATAGCTCCTGGATTCACTGATTTTTTTGAAAGGTTTTTCGTACCTCTATCTCCTTCAGTTCTGCTCCAATCTTAGTTATTTCATGTCTTCTGCTAGCTTTTGAATTTCTTTGCTCTTGCTTCTTTAGTTCTTTTAATTGTGAGGTTAGGATGTTGATTTTAGATCTTTCCGGCTTTCTCCTGTGGGCATTTAGTGCTATAAATTTCCCTCTAAACACTGCTTTAGTTTTGTCACAGAGATTCTGGTATGTTGTGATTTTGTTCTCATGGGTTTCAAAGAGCTTATTTATTTCTGCCTTAATTTTCTTATTTACCCAGTAGTCATTTAGGACCAGGTTGTTCAGTTTCTATGTAGCTGTGCACTTTTAAATGACTTTCTTAATCCTGAGTTCTAATTTGATTGCACTGTGGTCTGAGAGACTGTTTGTTATGATTTCCATTCTTTTGCATTCACTGAGGAGTGTTTTACTTCCAATTATATGGTCAATTTTACAATAAGTGTGATGTGGTGCTGAGAAAAATGTATATTCTGTTGATTTGGGGTGGAGAGTTCTGTAGATGTCTATTAGGTCCACTTGGTCAAGAGCTGAGTTCATGTCCTGAATATCCTTGTAAATTTTCTGTCTCGTTGATCTAATATTGACAGTGGGATCTTAAAGTCTCCCACTACTATTGTGTGGGAGTCTAAGTCTCTTTGTAGGCCTCTAAGAACTTGCTTTATGAATCTGGGTGCTCCTGTATTGGGTGCATATATATTTAGTATAGTTAGCTCTTCTTGTTGCATTAATCCCTTCATGACTATGTAACGCCCTTCTTTGTCTTTTTGGATGTTTGTTGGTTTAAAGTCTGTTTTATCAGAGACTAGGATTACAACCCCTCCTTTTTTTTGCTTTTCATTTGCTTGGTAAGTCTTCCTCCATCCTTTTTTTTGAGCCTATGTGTGTCTTTGCATGTGAGATATGTCTCCTGAATACAGCACACTGATGGGTCTTGAGTCTTTATCCAATTTGCCAGTCTGTGTCTTTCAATTGGGGCATTTAGCCCATTTACATTTAAGGTTAATATTGTTATGTGTAAATTTGATCCTGTCATTATGATGCTAGCTGGTTATTTTCCCCCTTAGTTTATGCAGTTTCTTCATAGTGTTGATGGTCTTTACAATTTGGCATGTTTTTGCAGTGGCTGGAACTTGTTTTTCTTTTCCATATTTAGCACTTCCCTCAAGAGCTATTATAAGGCAGGCCTGGTGGTGACAAAATCTCTCAGCATTTGCTTGTCTGTAAAGAATTTTACTTCTCCTTCGCTTCTGAAGCTTAGTTTGGCTAGATACGAAATTCTTGGTTGAAAATTCTTTGAAGAATGTTGAATATTGGCCCCCACTCTATTCTGGCTTGTAGGGTTTCTGCAGGAAGATCTGCTGATATTCTGATTGGCTTCCCTTTGTGGGTGACCTTACCTTTCTCTCTGGCTTGCCTTAGCATTTTTTCCTTCATTTCAACCTTGGTGAATCTGAGGATTATGTGTCTTGGGGTTGCTCTTCTCAAGGAATATCTTTGTGGTGTTCTGTGTATTTCCTGAATTTGAATGTTGGTCTGTCTGGCTAGGCTGGGGAAGTTCTCCTGGATAATATCCTGAAGAGTATTTTCCAACTTGATTCCATTCTTCCCATCACTTTCAGGTACACCAATCAAACGTGAGTTTGGTCTTTTCACATAGTCCCATATTTCTAGGAGGCTTTGTTCATTCCTTTTTATTCTTTTTTCTCTAATCCTGTCTTCACATTTTATTTCATTAAGTTGATCTTCAATCTCTGATATCTTTTCTTCTGCTTGATTGATTTGGCTATTGATACTTGTGTATGCTTCATGAAGATCTCATGCTGTGTTATTCAGCTACATCAGGTCATTTATGTTCTTCTCTAAACTGGTTATTCTAATTAGCAATTCTTCTAACCTTTTTTAAAGGTTCTTAGCTTCCTTGCATTGGGTTAGAACATGCTTTTTTAACTCAGAGGAGTTGTTATTACCCACCTTCTGAAGCCTACTTCTGTCAATTCGTCAAACTCATTCTCTGTCCAGTTTTGTTCCCTTGCTGGCAAGGAATTGTAATCCTTTGAAGAAGAAGAGTCATTCTGGTTTTAGAATTTTCAGCCTTTTTGCACTGGCTTATCCTCATCTTCATGGATTTATCTACCTTTGGTCTTTGATGTCGGTGACCTTCAGATGGGGTTTTTGTATGGACGTCCTTTTTGTTGATGTTGATTCTATTCCTTTCTGTTTGTTAGTTTTCCTTCTAACAGTCAAGCCCCTCTGCTGCAGGTCTGCTGGAGTTTGCTGGATGTCGACTCCAGACACTGTTTGCCTGGGTATCACCAGCAGGGGCTGCAGAACAGCAAAGATTGCTGCCTGTTCCTTCCTCTGGAAACTTCATCCCAGAGGGGCACCTGCCAGATGCCAGCTGGAGCTCTCCTGTATGAGGTATCTGTCAACACCTGCTGGGAGGTGTCTCCCAGTCAGGAGGCATGGAGGTCAGGGACCCACTTGAGGAGGCAGTCTGTCCCTTAGCAGAGCATGAGCGCTATGCTGGGAGATCCACTGCTCTCTTCAGAGCCAGCAGGCAGGAATGTTTTAGTCTGTTGAAGGTGTGCCCACAGCTTCCCCTTCCCCCAGGTGCTCTGTCCCTGAAAGATGGGAGTTTTATCTATAAGCCCCTGACTGGGGCTGCTGCCTTTCTTTCAGAGATGCCCTGCCAAGAGAGGAGGAATCTAGAGAGGCAGTCTGGCTACAGCAGTTTTGCCAAGCTGTGGTGGGCTCCTCCCAGTTCAAACTTCCCAATGGCTTTGTTTACAGTTAGAGGGGAAAACTGCCTACTCAAGCCTCAGTAATGGTGGACAAACCTTTCCCTACCAAGCTCAAGCATCCCAGGTTACTTCAGACTGCTTTGCTGGCAGCGAGAATTTCAAGTCAGTGAATCTTAGCTTGCTGGGCTCCATGTTGGTGGGATCCACTGAGCTAGACCACTTTGCTCCCTGGCTTCAGCCCCCTTTTAAGGGGAGTGATCAGTTATGTCTCACTGGTGTTCCAGGTGCCACTGGAGTATACAAAAAAAAAAAAAAAAACTCCTGCAGCTAGCTCAGTGTCTGCCCAAACGGTCGCCCAGTTTTGTGCTTAAAACCCAGGCCCTTGGTTTTGTAGGCACCCAAGGGAATCTCCTGGTCTGTGAGTTGCAAAGACCGTGGGAAAATTGTAGTATCCTGGCTGAAATGCACTCTTCCACATAGCACAGTCCTTCATGGCTTCCCTTAGCTAGGGGAGGGAATTCCCTTGTCCTTCCTGGGTGAACCGACGCCCCACCCTGCTTTGGCTCAACCTCCATAGGCTGCATCCACTGTCTAACCAGTCCCAATGAGAAGAGCTGCGTACCTCAGCTGGAAATGCAGAAATCACCCACTTTCTGTGTTGATCTCACTGGGAGCTGCAGATGGGAGCTGTTACTATTTGGCCATCTTGCCATCTGCTAAAAAATTATTTTTTGGTTACTATGAGGCTTACATAAAACATATTGTAGTTATAAATATCTGTTTTAATTTGAAAATAAGCTTCTTTTCAATCACATAAAAAACTCTACACTTTTAATTCTCCCCCTCCAAAAACTTTATCTTATTAATGTCACAATTTACATCTATTTATATTGTGTGTCATGTAATATATTATTGTTGCTATAGTCTTTTAAAAATACTTTTGTCTTTTAACTTGTATACTATAGTTAAAAGTGGTTTACACACCATCCTTACAATATCATTACAGGATTACAATATCCTGATGATTATTCTGAGTATGACTATATACTTGTATCAGTGAACCTAATACTCCCATAGGTTTTTACACTAATAATTAGCATCTTTTATTATACCTTGAAGAACTTCCTTCAGCACTTTTTGTAAGGAAGGTCTAGTGATGTCAAACTTCCTCAGCATTTCTTTTAGAGACAATCTTTATCTTTCCTCCATTTCTGAAGAACAGCTTTGCCAAGCATAGTATTCTTGTTTGTCAGTTTTTTTTTTTTTTTTTCACCACATTGGATATAGCAGCTCACTCTTTCTTGGAGTGCAGTTTCTACTGAGAAATATTCTGATAGTCTTATAAAAATGTCCTTGTGTGTCAAGTTGCTTTACTCTTCCTGCTTTCAAAATTCTCTCTTTTTCTTTTGAAAACTTGGTTATAATATATCTTGGTGTTACGTTCTTGGGTTGGGGACCTTTGAGGTATATAAACCTGGACATCCTACCCTTCCCAATATTTGTGAAGATTTTGTCTATTATTTTTTAAGTAAGCTTTTATCTCCTTTATCTTTCTTTCTTATACCATGAGTTTCATAATTTGTGTATCAGTCCACTTGATGGTGTCCTATAAATTCCATAAACTGTCTTCACCTTCCTTCACTCTTTTCTTTTTTCTCCTCTGACTGATAATTTCAAATGACCTATTTTTGAGTTAACAGATTCTTTCTTTCTTCTGCTTGAGTCTGATGTTGAAGCTTTCTCTTGCATTTTTATCTCATTCGTTGCATTATTCAGCTTCTTCTGTTTAGTCCTTTTTAATCATTTATATCTCTTTGTATAACTTCTAATTTTTTTATGTATTGTTTTTCCTGGTATTATTGAGTTGTCTATTTGTGTTCTCTTGCAGCTGACTGTTTACTTAAAATAATTATTTTGAAAGTCTTTGTCAGGTACTTCATAGATCTCCATTTCTTTAATGTCAATTACTAAAAAATTATTGTGTTTATCAGTTACTGAAAACTTCTTGTGTTTTTCTGTTTCCCTGAAGCAAAAAAATTCAAAAATGTGAAAATTCAACAACACATTCTTGAGTGACCATTTGAGTCATACAAGAAACAAAAAGGGAAAAATTTAAAAATACCTTGAGACAAACATAAATGGAAACCCAACTACCAAAACCAATGGAATATAGCAAAAGCAGTTCTAAGAGGCAAGTTTAAGCCAACAAATGCCAAGTTAAGGAAGAAAGAGCTCAAAGAACCTTGCATAGTCCTTTGGGTATATACCCAGTAATGGGATGGCTGGGTCAAATGGTATTTCTAGTTCTAGATCCCTGAGGAATCCCCACACTGACTTCCACAAGGGTTGAACTTGTTTACAGTCCCACCAACAGTGTAAAAGTGTTCCCATTTCTCCACATCCTCTCCAGCACCTGTTGTTTCCTGACTTTTTAATGATTGCCGTTCTAACTGGTGTGAGATGGTATCTCATTGTGGTTTTGATTTGCATTTCTCTGATGGCCAGTGATGGTGAGCATTTTATCATGTGTCTTTTGGCTGCATAAATGTCTTCTTTTGAGAAGTGTCTGTTCATGTCCTTTGCCCACTTTCTGATGGGGTTGTTTGTTTTTTTCTTGTAAATTTGTTTGAGTTCATTGTAGATTCCGGATATTAGCCCTTTGTCAGATGAGTAGGTTGCAAAAATTTTCTCCCATTTTGTAGGTTGCCTGTTCACTCTGATGGTAGTTTGTTTTGCTGTGCAGAAGCTCTTTAGTTTAATTAGATCCCATTTGTCAATTTTGGCTTTTGTTGCCATTGCTTTTGGTGTTTTAGACATGAAGTCCTTGCCCATGCCTATGTCCTGAATGGTAATGCCTAGGTTTTCTTCTAGGGTTTTTATGGTTTTAGGTCTAACGTTTAAGTCTTTAATCCATCTTGAATTAATTTTTGTATAAGGTGTAAGGAAGGGATCCAGTTTCAGCTTTCTACATATGGCTAGCCAGTTTTCCCAGCACCATTTATAAAATAGGGAATCCTTTCCCCATTGCTTGTTTTTCTCAGGTTTGTCAAAGATCAGATAGTTGTAGATATGTGGCGTTATTTCTGAGGGCTCTGTTCTGTTCCATTGATCTATGTCTCTGTTGCTATAAAGACACATGCACACGTATGTTTATTGCAGCACTATTCACAATAGCAAAGACTTGGAACCAACCCAAATGTCCAACAATGATAGACTGGATTAAGGAAATGTGGCACATATACACCATGGAATACCATGCAGCCATAAAAAATGATGAGTTCATGTCCTTTGTAGGGACATGGATGAAATTGGAAATCATCATTCTCAGTAAACTATCGCAAGAACAAAAAACCAAACACCGCATATTCTCACTCATAGGTGGGAATTGAACAATGAGAACACATGGACCCAGGAAGGGGAACATCACACTCTGGGGACTGTTGTGGGGTGGGGGGAGGGGGGAGGGATAGCTTTAGGGCATATGCCTAATGCTAAATGATGAGTTAATGGGTGCAGCACACCAGCATTGCACATGTATACATATGTAACTAACCTGCACATTGTGCACATGTACCCTAAAACTTGAAGTATAATAATAATAATAATAATAAAAAGAACCCAGCATAACACCTTAAGAAACTAAAAAAGAATAAAAACTAAGCTAAAAATAAGCAGAATGAAGAAAATAATAAAGATTAGAGCAGAAATAAATGACATTAAGACAAAACACAATAGAAAAGATCATCAAAACTGAGATGGTTTTTTGAAAAGGTAGGCAATATTGCAAACCTCTAGCTAGACTAACCAAGAAAAAAAGAAGACACCTCCACACACACCAACCAATTTTTCAGCAAACACCAGCTTGGTGTCCTGTAATAATTCAGTTCAATTCTGACACTATCTACCTCAAGATAGTGTCAGATCCTACAGGTTAAGGACTTAATCCCACTAGACTGCCCCTGCTTCAGATTCCATTCACAAGTTTCAGGTTATAACTTGTGCTTCTGACCTACCAGCTATAAACTGTGGTTCCCCAACTTGCTCCTCAGGTCCATTTGATTTGCCAGAGTGGCTCATAGAACTCAGGTAAACACATTCACTAGCTTATTATAAAGGCTATTTCAAAGGATACAGATGAACAGCCACAGGAAATAGATGCATAGGGCAAATATATATATATATATATATATATATATATATATATATATATATACTCACACACACACACACACACACACACACACATACACGTACATATAAATGGCAAGGTCTTGCAGGGTATCAAGCACAGAAGTTTCTGTTCCTATGAAGCTGAGATGTGCCATTCTCCCAACACATGGATGTGTTCTTCTTGTTCACCAACCTGGAAGCTTCCCAAATCCTGTCCTCATATAGTATACACAAATCAAAATATTATATTACACACTTTAGATTTATTTAATTTTGTTTGTCAATTATATTTCAATAAAGCTGGAGGGAAATAAAATGTGATTTATTCTTCAAAAAGAGAGAACATCTGTTTCAAAAACAAATAAAACATGTATATAATGATTCCTTTTATTCAAAACTTTACATTGAAATCTGAAGTAATGTATTAAAAAGCAGTGACAAAAATGAAGAACATGTTGCAGTCACTCTGTTTTACTCACTGTTGATGCTGCTTCACTCTTTCATATTAGCTTACCCCATTAGACACCACTGTTGTGGATGACCTTAGTATCCTTGTTTCAGGCACAGATACACTCTTATTTGCTTGCTGGATGTGATGTTTGTATCTCTGCCTTGCAGTGTGTGCACTTGGACTACCTTGCAACATACTTCCTTGTAGTTAATTGTAGAGCCATTATATTTTTAGTGACCTTGTGAAATGAAACATTAAAAAAAATCACACTTCTGCATGCACACACAATCACATGCACATAGATGCATGCAAGTTCATCAGATATATAACCTATTGGTTTTTATACTCCTGTGACTCATTTCTGACAAATTGCTGTTTTACCTGTTAGGAAGTTAATAACATTTGACATAAACTTGAAGTAAATTTGCATAAGAAACTTTGATATTTAATATGGCATCACCTGTCATAGGTAGATATATATTTTTAAAGATCTTGCCCTATATATATTGAGTAATCAGTTGCTACCACTTTTTGAGTCTTTACTCTGTGACAGTTTCAATTCCTACCACATGCTATTTGATTTTCAATCATAGTGAGAATTATTCTCAAAATAGTTGAAACACTGGCCCAATATCACACAGCAATTAATCCATGGTTATGGGATTTTAACTGACACTTGCCTGGCTCCAATGCCTATGTACTATTCACTATGCCCTTGTGTTCATGCTTTTAATAGCAGTATATGTGAATCAAGGTGATGTAAATAATCAACTAAATCAAGCCTTACTGCGTGGAATTGAAGTAGATACTAATTTTAGTCATAATTATCTACATTTTTCAAGTAAGTGGCCCATATTATTAAAATAGCCCAATTTTTATAAGGTTTTAAACAGGTTGGATTATATAGCTGCCTCATTATCCCCTAAAATGTGGATAGGGTAGAAGAGGCATTTTAAAGTGAACTACAGAACTTAAGAATTGACTAGCAGACTGGAGGCAAGATGGCTGACTAGATGCAGCCAGTACATGCCTCTGACACATAGCTCAATCAAAGTAGTAAGTAGATATTCACACTGCAAGTAAATTTTCTAAGAGAAAACAGTGAGATTCAACAGAGAAGTGACAGACAGCACTGAAAGCAAGTAAAGAAAGAGAAGTGAGGCAGCTTGCTCAGCCAGGATTGGCGGGGAGCTTGGAGAGGCTTCCAGACATGAGAAAAGGGTAAGAGAGGAATATCCAGGGCTTCACATTCCCACCATGGTCTTTTACAGTGTTAGCTATGAGAGAACCCCTTGACCCACACAAGCCTCAAGACTAACATATGAAGCTGCCTAGAGGTTGCACAGAGACATTGCTCCAGATAGAGAACTAACACACAGCCCCACAGGTATCTGAGCAGCTGCATCTTAGTGCCATTCTAAGAGCCTAGTCTACAAATATATGTCTCCTGCCCTGGGCCTTGGACGACGTTGTTGCTGTAGGGCCAAGAAGGAAGATGAGAAGCTATACATTCCCATGCACTCTGAGAAAAAATCCCACTGCTGCCAGTGTAGGCTGCAATGGGATCAAAGCACAAGAAAACTGCACTTCCCGCAATTATCTGCTCCCGCTGCTCCAGCTGAGAGGGGCTTTACTCTACCCAAAGGCAAGCCCTCAACTGGCACCATTCTGAGAGCCTAGCCTCTAAAGATCTGTATCCTGCCCTGAGGCATGGCTGACACTGTTGCTGCTGCCACAGGGTCATAAAGGAAGAGATGAGGCTAGATACTCCCACACATGCAAGGACAAATCTTATTGCTGCTGCTGTGTACTGCTCTGAGACCAAGGTGTGGGCTAACTTCACTCTCCATGACTACCTGCCTACGCTGAGCTAGCTGAGAGGGGCTCACACCTGAGCATTCCACCAGTGACCTTGGGACCACTCCACCTCTTCCTACCATAGCCAGCACCTGAATGCACTACTAAGGGGCCTGAGGACAAGTTTATCAGCCTGGTCCCATCCCCCAAATACTCGAGCATCCAACCCATGAGCCTAAAAATTACCCAGCTAAGTCTACCACCATTGGCACCTGATCCCTCCTGCTGTGGTCTGAGGTCTGGCTGACTCAACCTGCCAATATCACCACAGCTGAAACCCATAAGCACCGGCCTGCCCAACCTGTCACAGTCACCACCAACATAGCATGGACTGCATGGGTTCCGGTAGGTTGCTCCAACAGTCCCACTGCCATCAGCCACATCACACCAGCTGCCCAGTGGCTGAAGAACATGTCCACATGCCCAGCCCACCACTGCCATGACCAGCACCCATGCAAGCCACCTGAAGGCCTAGGAATCAGGCTTTCAGGCTGGGCATGGTGGCTCATGCCTGTAATCCCAGCACTTTGGGAGGCTGTGGTGGGCAGATCACTTGAGCCCAGGAGTTCAAGATCAGTCTGAACAACATTGTGAAACCCCATCTCTACAAAAATTACAAAAATTAGCTGAGTGTGGTGGCACATGCCTGTATTCCAGCTACCCAGGAGGCACAGGTAGGAGGATCACTTGAGCCGGGGATGCAGATGATGCAGTGAGCTTTCATCATTGCACTCCAGCCTGGGTGACAGAGTGAGACCCTGCCTAAAAATATACATATATATATATATATATATATATATATATCCTCCCTATATCCACTCACACTAGTGCCAGTGTAAGCTGCTCTGGGGCCCAAGAACAGGCATGCTGTGTCTAACACTGCCACCACTAGGGCCCAAAGACTGGCCTACCAGCATCCTAGTCCCCAGCAAAACTTCATCACAGCCTCCCCTAATAACTGCACCCTAATCACAAAGGAAGTCACAGATAACACTGAGGCTGTTGACAGCTGAAGAAATCATACAGAGATCACACTACTGCAGGCACCCAAAATCAAAACCAAAGCACCCTACCTAACCAGCAATATATATAGATCTTCAGGGAAAAGTACTCCACTATGAAAAGAAATCCAAAAAATTGGAAGAAGTGACTGTTATACCAGATGTGCAAATATCAGTATAAGGACATAGAAAACAAGAAAAGAAAAAAAAAATGATGCCCCCAGAGAAATACAATAATTCTCTAGCAACAGATCTCAATCAAAAAGAAATTTTTAAAATCTCAGATTAATACTTCAAAATATTAATTTTAAAGATGCTTGGTGAGGTACAAGAGAATTCTGAAAAACAATACAAAAAACTTAGAAAAAACAATTCAGTACATGAGTGAGAAATTAACTAAAGAGATAGATTTTTTTTCTGTAATATCAGCTACTCAGGAGGCTGAGGGATGAGAATCGCTTGAACCTGGGAGGTGGAGATTGCAGTGAGCCAAGACTGAGCCACTGCACTCCAACCTGGGCAACAGAGTGAGACTCCATCTCAAAAAAGAAAAGAGACAGAGAGATTTTTTAAAACAACCAGGTATAAATTCTGGCACTGAATAATTCATTGCAGGAAGTAAAAAATAAATTTAAAGTCTTCAATAATACATAAAATCAAGCTAAGAAAGAACTTGAAGACAGATTTAAAAAACAAAAATTTAGTTGACAAAATTTTAGAAAAAAAAAAAAGGATGAGCAAAGCATTTGTAACATTTGGGACAACATAATGCAACCAAATATTTGAATTATCAGTATTGCTGTGGTCAAAGAGAAAATGAAAAGATTAGAACATTTATTTAACAAATAATTTGATATAAATTTCCCAAGTCTAGCAAGAGATTTAGACTTTCCCATACAGGTGGCTCAGCAATCCCCATGCAGATAAAATGCAAAAGGATCTTCTCTACAGCACATTGTAGTCAGACTCTCTAAGGTCAAAGATAAAGAGTGAATCCTAAAAACAGCAAGAGAAAAGTGTCTAGTCACCTACAAAGGAAATTCCATTCTGATTAATAGCACATTTCTCAGCAGAAACCTCACAAGCCTGAAGAGAATGAGATAATTTGTTCAAAGTGCTGAAAGAATAAACTACCAGCGAAGAATACTACATTCAGCAAAATTATCCTTCATGAATGCAGAAGAAATAGTCTTTCCAAGATAGACAAATCTTGAGGAAATTCATTACCACTAGACATTCCCCACAAAAAAAGGTTCAAAAGAGTCCCAAGCCTAGAAGCAAAAGGATGACATTTACTATCATGAAAACACATGAAAATATAACACTCTGGTGAAGCAATCACACAAAGGAAGAAGAGAAAGGATTCAAATGATAACACTGCAGAAACCCACCAAACCACAATTATAAACAAGAGAAAAGAGAGAAACAAAGAATATGTGAAACAACCAGTAAACAATTAAAAATGTAACAAAACACAGTCTCATATGTCAATAATAATCTTGAATGTAAATGGATTAAATTATCCACTGAATATATATATAAAATGTGGTTGGATAAATTTTTAAAAACAAGATTTAGCTATATGCTGCTTGATATCTCACCAGTCTTCTTTAAAATTAATATTTTGAAGTATTAATCTGAGATTTAAAAAATTTCTTTTTGATTGAGATCTATTGCTAGAGAATTATTGTATTTCTCTGGGGGTGTCATTTTTTTTTTGCCTTTTCTTGTTTTCTATGTCCTTGTACTGATATAAGGACATACAAGAAACTCATTTTATCAGTAAAGATACATATAGACTGAAAGTAAAGAAATAGAAAAAGATATTCCATGCAAATGAATACCAAAAGTGAGCAAGAGTAGCTATATTTATATCAGATAAACCAACTTTAAGTCAAAAACAGTAAAAAAAAAAAAAAAAGACAAAGAAAGTCTTATAATGATAAAGGGATCAATCCAGAAAAAGAATAAAACAATTTTTAATATACATGCATCCAACACTAGAATACCTAGATTTATAAAACAAGTATTAATAGATCTAAAGCACTGAATAGACTGCAATACAATAACAGTGGGGGATTTTAACAGCCTACTTTCAACGTTAGACAGATCATCTAGACAAAAAAAAATTAACAAAGAAACATTGGAATTAAACTTAATTTAGACCAAATGAGCTTACAAGACATTTACAGAACATTCTATCCAATGACTGCAGAGTATATATTCTTTTTATTGGCACATCGAACATTCTCTTAGATAGGCCACATGTTATAGGCCACAAAACAAGTCTCAACAAATTTTTAAAAACCAATATTATATCAAGTATTTTCTCAGAACACAATGGAATAAAGCTGTAAATCAATACCAAGAGGAATTTTAGAAACTGTACAAATATATGGGAATTAAGCAACATGCTCCTCAATAACCATTTGAGTCAACAAAGAAAATTAAAACAAAAAGTTTATTAAAACAAATGAAAAAAAAACATAACATGTCAAAACCTGTGAGATACAACAAAAGTAGTACTGAGGGAAATTTATAGCAAAAAATGCCTACATCAAAAAATTAGAAAGATTACAAATTAATAGTCTAAACAATGTACTTCAAGGAATTAGAAAAACAAGATCAAACCATACCCAAAATTAGCAGAAGAAAAGAAATAATAAATATAAGAGCAGAACTAAATGAAATAGAGACCAAAAAATACAAAGAATAAATAAAACAAAAAATTAGTGATTTGAAAAGATAAACAAAATCGATAAACCACTATGTAGATGAACCAAGAAAAAAAGAGTATACCCAAATAAGCAAAATCAGAAATGAAAAAGGAAGCATTACAACTGATACCACAGAAATACAAAGAAAAATCAGAGACTATTATAAACAGATATATACCAACAGACTGAAAACCTAGGGGGAATGGATAAATTCCTGGAAACATACAACATACCAAGATTGAAATAGGTAGAAATAGAAAACCTAAATAGACATAATGAGTAGCAAGACTGAATCAGTAATAAGTCTCTCAAAAAGGAAAATCCCAGGACCGGAGGGACTCACAGCTCAATTCCACCAAACATACAAAGAAGAACTAATACCAAATCTCCTGAAATTATTCCAAAAAATTTAACAGGAAAGTGTTCTCTTTCACTCATTCTACAAGGCCAGCATAACCATTATACCAGAATAAGACAAGGACACAACAACAACAAATTATAGGCCAATATCCCTGATGAATATAGATGCAAAAATCCTCAACAAAATAATAGCAAACTGAATCCAACAGATATCAGAAAGATAACACATCATGAATAAATGGGACCCATCCCAGGAATTCAAGGACAGTCAACATATGCAAACTGATAAATGAGATACATCTCATCAACAGAATGAAGGACAAAAACCATATGATTTATTTTATCATAATTGCAAGATTCTAATATTATATATCATAAATTATTGAATAAGTCTCCTGTTTTGGAACATTTAGGCTGTTTCTAACTTTTCTTATATTATAAACCATGCTTTAGTAAATATTTTGCCTATATAACTTTGCACACGTTTCCACATATTTCTTAAAAGTGTAATTGTTGGATCAAAAAACAGACTTGATTTTATGAAACTGTATACATAATGTAAAATGTTCTTAACCACACAGAATCCTCCTTGTAGTGCGTGAGAGGGATGCTCCTGCCAAGCTGAGTATTACTATGTTCTCAAAATCTATGCCAGTTAAATAGTTACAAATAGTGCTTCATTGTTGTTCTCCAATATGCAAGTTTTCTTACTGATAATATTTAATATGTTTTCATATTTATTAAGCACTTATGTTTCTTCTTTAGTGAATTGCCTGTTTGTCCTTATTTCATTTTTTCTATTGGGATGAATAATCATTACTTTTACTGATTTTTAAGAATTCTTGATAATGAGGATTTACCTGTGCTGTGCAATTCCAAATCTCATTCTCAAGTTAGAGTCTCCTTTTAAACTTCATATTGGATTTTTTATACAAAAATTGTTTATTTTTACCTGATAAAAACTATCTAAACTTTACATGTGGTTTCTGCCTATGATGTTACTCCAAATTTAAACAAATACTCACCAATATTTTACTCCAGCACTTTTCTGTTTTGTTTTGACATTTTAATTTTTACTTATCCATCTGGAATTAATTCCACTTTCAGGTATAAGCAAAGAAGTATCAGTCTTTTTATTTCAAAATGTACTTATTCCATTCTCACTAAGCCCTGGAGACATAAAGGGGAATAGGACAGCCCCTCTCTTCAAGCTCAAGAAAGTAGATAAAGACATGCTCTTGTCTTTCTGCTTGCTAGTCTACTGATTGATGACCACAGACTCATTTATTGAGGACCTGATGCCTTGACACAAGAGACTCCAAACTCACCTATAATTGGAATCAAACCGTTGAAGCCCACAAACTCAAAATGTTCCTCCCTCTCTAGAAATACTGCAAGAAGAATGAACAAGCTGAGAATAAAGTCAGGATGGCAGAAAGATGGAAAATTCTGTGCTCCCACAGCAAGCCTTTCTCATCATCTTAGCTTATAATATCCAAGTAAAATAAAACACTCTATAGCTGGCATTGCTTACTTCCAAGCTAATAATAACCTTTTCATTTCAGCACCACATATAAACAGACTGCAATATCTACAAGTGAAGTGCTTTGAAGGAAAAAAACACATTAACGTAATCTGAAAATAATTGCTGAATGCTGGGCTATTAGAGTATTTGACTTGTGAAATATAAAGGGATTCAAGATTCAAGATTGATGCAGATGCAAAATTTCAACTACCACCACCCCGCACCCCCGCCCCACCCCACACATATATGTACACATTTAGCCATTTTACACACTTCTCACTAGAATCACAAATACACTGTGGGGGGAGGCATTTTTATCCCAACTTTCAGATATATAAACTGAGTCCCAGCTGCAAATGAGCATTAAGGCAAATTGCAAATAGCTAGGAGTCTGCTGGTCCTAGGCTTGTGTAAACAGTGACAAAACAGAGAAAGTTAAAGACCATTTCTCTAAGAGTTCTCACTCTAGTCTCTTTTCTGCTTCTCACCAGTCTGTGACCTAGGGCAAATTACTCAGCCTTTGAAATTCTGTTTATTCATCTGTGAAGCAAAGGGATTGAGTTATGTATTCTTAAAGTACCCCCAGCACTAACATTCTATGAGTTAATTTTACAGTGTTAATATTAATAATTCCTCTAAAGATAAAAACTCAGGATTCCAAAAAAGACTCAGAGGAAGTAAAGCTCACATTTGAATTGCAGTCAGCATTTGGTGATCTTAATCTCATATCTGTTTGATTGCTAAGATGTGTAAGATTGACAGCACTGATAGCTTCTACTCAAGAGACAGTTTGAGGAACAGGTTCACTAACATTGCCCATTGCATTAGTAACATCATTTAAGGAAAATACTATCCCTTCTCCTATTCTTGGCCCAAGATAATGCACTAAATTGTTTTAGAATGGGAAAGGAATTATTGACTAAAGATAGCCTAACAGGGCTGTTCCATTTTAGGGGCTTTAAAACTAATAGCAGCTAAGAATAAGATTTAGAAGGGCTATAATTGCAAAATGAGCATCAGAAACCTGGATCTTTTCCTAGAGCCCAGCTATTTCTACACTGTCAGAGTAAATTATTGACAAAACCATCTGGCCCTTTTCAAGAGAACACTATACTCTCAGTTCTGGACAGGTGATATGTTTTAGTCTGTCAATGGAGAAAGAAGCTGATTTTAGCCTCAAAGCATTGATAATTCCTCTGGACTTGCACTTCCTATGTGTGAACTCTGCTTATCTTTACATGCCAGAAAGGAAGAACATCCATTTTAGGCCTAAGAGAGATGAAATTGAAAGCAAATAAATTAACTGTGAGCATCCTAGACTATGGTCTTAAACACTGCTTGATCTGGATAAAGAAATATATCCACATTCTTTGAAGTGGATATGGTCAGTGTTCCCCCTTCATCTGATTTTATAGTGTTAAAGCTTCTATGTGTGTATCGGAAGGGGAAATAGCTGGTCCTGTGGGGAAAAGAGAAGTTTTCCTTCTTAAACAGCAGATCTCCCTGGGTGGACAGGGTGTAAAACCACAAAGTTCTGCATCTAAGAAACTTCTGCACAGAAGGTCAGTGCATGTTTATTTCTGTTCAGCTAATATTGCCCACTAGTGGCGAAGCTAGATCTGTGTCTATGGCCAAGCCTGGCCTTCAGGCTGCCACTCCAATTCAGAAAGCTGAGTTGAAAAAAATAAAAATGGTACAGCCATGTGATCTTTTTATTCCCACCTCTTTGAAAGTTTTGTAGTGAAGAAATGAGCCTCAAGGGGAATGCATCTTTCCAGTTCACCCACATTAGTAGTCATGTCGAGTGGAGCATTTATATGGCCTTTTAGAGACCATTCTTGAAAATTGCTGTTTCCTCAAAAATAGGGCAGATGCTATCAACCTGGGCTTCCTCTTTGGATTTGATTCAAATTTCACTGTAGCTCACAAAGATTCCGGAGTTTAAATAAGGGTTTGTGGTGGCTATTTTATTATCCATGGAGTTTTCTTTTTCTATTTTTAGCTATTTGTGCTAGTTTTTGAGTTTTGGAGTTTCAGAGCAGTGAGGTGGTTGAGGGTTCATTCTTTCCTGCCTCTTAGTAGCAGCTTTTACCCCCTTTGAGTAAATAATACCACCCCTGTTTGAAAGGATTCTAGAAAATATTCTGTATGATACTGTAGTGGTAGATAATATAAGATGTTAATAATAGGGGTAACTGTCTGTTGGCATATATTGAAACTCTCTGTACTATCTCTTCAGTATTTTTGAAAATCTAAAATTTCTAAAAATGAAAGTCTATTTTTTAAAAAGACAAGGTTTACCCCTAGCAGAACTATTGAGGGAAAGACGCTTTACCATTTTGATTCAAATGGTTCCCATGTTTTAGGTCAGAGTCACTGTGTATTTTTAGCAGAAAAAAAAGAACCTGAACAAGCAGGCAGTAACATCTTCTAAAGAACAAGGTCTTAGAACATTAAGAAGCAATAAACAGGCAATTTATCCTGAGGTCCTCTATGTCAGCAAGGAATCCATGATCAGTTAAAGACATCAGAAAAGTTACGTGGCAACAAACAAGAGAAATAAAAACATTGTCAATAAACACATTAGTGAATGTGGCTGAAATCTTCACATCACATTTTGCCATTGCCCTACCATTTCCCTTATGCAGAAGTCCATCAAAACATAATCAGTGAATCTAAGAATAAAACCACAATATTCTCCTCTAACTCTGGGCTCTTCCTTTGTTCCTAATCTGAGAGAATAAAATCATGACCAATCCAAGTAGCAAGCAAGGGATTTTGAAGCCAACCTTATAGTCCCTTTTTCTATGCTATAACCAAATCTGTCCATTTACCTCTTAAATATAATGATCAAATCCATCAATTTCTCCCACCCCCAGTAGCATTACAGTCATCACCAACAGAAACATTCTATACCTGCCATTGTCTCTCACTTAAATTAATGCAATAAATTCTTAATAGTACAAATATGTTAAGACAAGAGGGTATTGCTTTTCTTTCTTTTTCCTTTTTTAGGATTTTTTTCTATTATAAATTGCAGCCATTTTTTTTTTTACAATTCACTATTCTACATATTTTATCTTTGCATCCTTTCCAACAATGGTATAATTGTGTAGAGACATTTAGAGAGTTCTAATTTGTTCATGCATTTCTTGCAAATTTGACTCCATGAAAAGGCATTATCACAATGTTGATTTTGTGTGTAAGCACTGTATGTGTATGTTAAAATGTTGAAACTTTTCAACAAATGGAGAGATATCATTGTACATCTGCATTTATAAAAGATAAAATTTCTTGAGTTCTTGGCTTTTTGGGTGACTATATATGCAATGTTGATCCACTGCAATTTTTGATAGATCTCATCAAAAGGGTTAGGTTTTTTGTCATAGTATTTCAGATGACTGCAGTTGTAAATCTGGGTGCACATAATTACCAAACATAGTGATATACGTATTTATACATGTCCTTTTTTGACCTATGTCTTTGTGAACATGATTTATCTGCTCATAATTCTTATACCCATGCAACTGTTGTTAGTATACTTGAGTGCTTGCAAAAATACATATGCTATTATTGCCTATTTTATTGTGAAAATACCCTATGAAGCATTCAGTTCTGTTTTTATATGTTTCTCAACTAAACCCCCTTTTTGAAATGTAAGTAAATGTCTTCTAAAGAATTTTTAAATATTTTTTTTCAGAATTATATTTTTGGGACTTTGCTGTTTTGAGATTTCAACATTTGCCATTATGGCTGCAAGAATTGTGTCTTTTGGGATTATGATTGGTTCCCATTTGAAGTAAGCTTCAAAGTCCAAATTCAACAATCAAATCCCAAGTATACCTCCTAGTGGAGGTACACAGAGGAGGAAGCCACTTATTATTATATGACTTCATTTTTTTTTTACAAATCCTGTGCCTAGCAGGATAATTGTTTCTTGAAACCATGAAGAGACACTCATACAGCAAATCTCAAAGGACAAAAACATATTATCTTCCCACTCCACATATACAACCATCTTCAATTAAAGAAGTAGAGAAATTAAAAAGAATTCTCTATAGTTAACTTTATATTATGCATTATATAATAGCATACATTAAAGACTAAAATCCATGGGACCTATAGCTATTTCAGAATATGGTCTTTATTATAAGTAAACACACGAAGAAATAATAATCTAACTGTGAAATCACAGGGCCATTAATGTACTACAGTAATAAGGAATACTGCATATCAAATCATCTAAATTTAAAAACTACTGCTTAGCCTTTATTCACTTGACAAATATTTATTTAGGATTTACATCAATATTTATTCAGTAAACAATTATTAAGCTCATATTATGTGCCAAAGAGGGCTCCCAAGAGGAATAAAAATGAGGAATCTCAGCCTATTGGAGGGGTAACCATGCCATAAAATAAATAGTGCCCTGGTAGGTAAGAGCACAAGCTTTAGACGTACATTGAACTCTGCTTACTGTATTTGTAATGCTGGACAAATTATTTAAATATTCTGAATCTTAATTTTGTCATCTGTAAAATGGACATAAGTTTATATGTGCATCAAATAAGATAAAGCCTGATGACTCCTTAGCATGTAGTAGTTTCTCAATCATAATAGTCTTTAACACTTAATTTTATTTTGTTATTTATTCAATGCCAGAAAACATAAATGAGGCATAGACTATCAGTCTAGATGACATGAGAAAAGATTTCACCAAAGAGTGGTATTTGGCCTGGGTCTTAAAGGATGAGTGGGAACTCATTAGGCAGGTAAGAGACAAGAAAGGCACAGGGCTCCAAGTTTCAAAATCACACAAAGTTTAGGGGAAACCAGGAGGCAGGGGCAATGTGATAGTGAACAGGAAGATAGCTAGCCTGTAGTGAGACCAAAATGACAGGTTGAGAGTTGATTGAGGCCATTATGAAGCCCATCCACGGAGACTGGAAAATGAGTGTATTCACTCCTTTCTTATTCTTTTGAGGAGCCTTCACTCATGATTCACTCTAATTTTTCATACATGATTTCTCTTATATAAATATACATGTCCACAGGTATGCATGCACAATTTATGGCAAACTGCCATACTCACAATGAATCAGAGTTGAGGGGACCACTAGCACAGAGCTGAGATGATTCAGGGGCTGGACTCCTATATGTAAGATTCCTGTGCTCCAGGAAGGAAGGCAAAAATTTGAATATGTGGCAGCAGCCCAGACTATGAGAAGCCTGCAGGCTTCCAGGTCTAGCCTGAGAATTTCCTGAAAGGGAGCATCCTGGCTTGTGAGATTTGGTCTTAGAACATGCCCAGTGAATCTACTTATTGATCATGATGAAGATATTCTGTGTAATGATAGTAGCAGGCAGTTATTGAGCACTTGATATAAGCCAGTCAATGAGATAAATATTTGGGATATTTAGGTAATTTAACTCTCACAACACAGAGAGTAGGTGCAATATACCACAACTTACAAAAGAGGAAATTGAGGCCAAAAGATAAAGTGACTTTCCCAAGCTTACAAAGCCAGTAAATGGCAGAGATGGGATTCAAACTCTGGTCTGTCTGATTTCAGAGCCAAAAGTTTCATTCACTCAGATTCTCTGGGAGGGGTGTATTAGTGTGTTCTCACACTGCTATGAAGAAATACCCAAAACTGGGTAATTTATAGAGGAAAGAGGTTTAATTGACTCACAGTTCCACATGGTTGGGGAGGCCTCAAGAAACTTACAATCATGGCAGAAGGGAAAGCAAACACATCCTTCTTCACATGGTGGCAGGAAGCAGAATTGCCAAGCAAAGAGGGAGAAGCCCCTTATAAAACCATCAGATCTTGCGAGAACTCACTCACTATCACAAGAACAGCATGGAGGGAACAACCCCCAAGATTCAATTACCTCCCACTGGGTCCCTCCCACAATATGTGGCAAATATGGGAACTATAATTCCAGATGAGATTTCAGTAGGGATACAGCCAAACCACATTATTCCACCCTTTTCCCCTCCTAAATCTCATGTCCTCACATTTCAAAACACAATCATGCCTTTCCAACAGTCCCCCAAAGTCTAGCTCATTCTACCATTAGCCCAAAAGTCCAAGTCCCAGGTCTCATCTGAGGCAAGACAGGTCCCTTCTACCTATGAGCCTGTAAAATTGAAAGCAAGTTAGTTACTTCCTAGATACAATACAGGTAGAGGCATTGGGTAAGTATACCCATTCCAAATGGGGGAAATTGGCCAAATAAAGGGGTTACATGCCCCTTGAAGTCCAAAATCCATTAGGGCAGTCATTAAGCCTTAAAGTTCCAAAATGATCTCCTTTGACTCCATGTCTCACATCCAGGTCATGCTGATGCAAGAGCTGGGCTCTCATGGCATTGGGCATCTCCACCCCTGTGGCTTTGCAGGGTACAACCCCCGTCTCAGGTGCTTTCATGGGCTGACGTTGAATGTCTGTGGCTTTTCCAGGTACATGGTGTAAGCCGTCAGTGGATTTACCACTCTGGGGTCTGGAGGGTGGTGACCTTCTCCTCACACCTCCTCTAGGCAATACCACAGTGGGGACTATATGTGGAGGAGGGTCCAACTCCACCTTTCCCTTCTGCACTGCCCTAGCACAGGTTCTCCATGAGGGCCTCACCTCTGCAGGAAACTGTGGCCTGGACATCCAGGCATTTCCATACATCCTCTGAAATCTAGGCAGATGTTACCAAACCTCAATTCTTGACTTCTGTGTACCCTCATGCCCAACACAACATGTAAGCCACAAAGGCTTGGGGCTTGTACTTTCTGAAGCAACAGCCTGAGCTGTACATTGGCCCTTTTTATCCATCACTGAAATTGAAGCAGCTGGGACACAGGACACCATGTCCCGAGGCCCCATAGAGAAGGAAGCCCCTGGGTCCAAACCAGGAAACCATTTCTCTCTCCTAGGCCTTTAGACCTGTGATGGAAGGGGCTGCTGTGGAGGTTTCTGACATGGCCTGGAGATATTTTCCCATTGCCTTGTTGATTAACATTTGGCCTCTCTTTACTTATGCAAATGTCTGCAACAGGCTTGAATTTCTTTCCAGAAAATAGGTTTTTCTTTTCTATCCCATCTTCAGGCTGCAAATTTTCCAAACTTTTATGTTCTGCTTCCTCTTGAATGCTTTGCTGCTTGGAAACTTCTTCTGCCAGATACCCTAAATCATCTCTCTCAAGTTCCTAGTTCCACAGATCTCTAGTGAAGGGGCAAAATTCTACCAGTCTCTTTGCTAAAGCATAACAAGAATCACCTTTATTCCAGTTCCCAATAATTTTCTCATCTCCATCTGAGATCACCTCAGCTTGGACTTTATTGTCCATATCACTATCAACATTTTGGTCAAAGTTATTCAACAAGATTTTAGGAAGTTCCAAACTTTCCCACGTTTTCCTATCTTCTTCTGAGCCCTCCAAACTGTTCTAACCTCTCCCTGTTACCCAGCTCCAAAGTCACTTCTACATTTTCAGGCATCTTTATAGCAGCACCCCACTCTCTGTGGTACCAATTTACTGTATTAGTCCATTCTCATGCTGCTATAAAGAAATACCTGAGGATGGGCATGATGGCTCATGCCTATAATCCCAGCATTTTGGGAGGCCGAGGTGAGTGGATTACTTGAGGCCAGGAGTTTGAGACCAGCCTGGCCAACATAGCCAGTTTCTACTAAAAACACACACACACACAAAAAATCAGCTGGGTGTGGTAGGGCACACCTGTAGTCTCAGATACTTAGGAGGCTGAGGCAGGAGAATCGCTTGAACCCAGGAGCCAGAGGTTGCAGTGAGCCAAGATTGTGCCACTGCACTACAGCTTGGGTGACATAGCTAGAATCCATCTCAAAAAAAAAAGAAAAGAAAAGAAAAGAAATACCTGAGACCGGGTAATTTGTAAAGGAAACAGGCTTAATTGACTCACAGTTCTGCATGGCTGAGGAGGCCTCAGGGAACTTACAATCATGGTGGAAGGGGAAGCAAACACTTCCTTCATCACATGATGTTAGTAAGGAGAAGTATCAAGCCAAAGAGGAAAAGCACCTTATAAAACCATCAGATCTCATGAGAACTCACTCATTATCACAAGAACAGCATGGAGGTAACTGCCTCCATGATTCAATTTACTCCCACTGGGTCCCTCCTGTGACACATGGGGATTATGGGAACTACAATACAAGATGATATTTGAATGGGGACACAGGCAAACCACATCAAGGGGGAAAAGCACCTCAATTATGATCATAAAAGATTTTATGAGGTCCTTCTCCAACTTTCTAGATTTTTCACTAACTTGGCTAATTTGTCCTTACCATCCTTACCATCTCCAGTGGTTATGGTGAAATTTAACATCTGTGCTTCTTCTCTTGACCAAGAGTTAGGAAGAAAGGACACTCAGAAGTTCAAGTCCCTGGAAAAGCAGCCAAGTAATCTGGCTTCAGCATCATAATCCATGTCATTTAGATAGTACTTTGTGGTTTCAAACTGTTTTACAAACACTCACTCGATCTTAGCAAACAAGGTTGCTAAGAGGCTGTAATTACCATCCTACCTCTAGAAATAACAGAGGTCCCACATTATTCGACGACTTTCCTTGAGAAGGCACAGCCAGGATACAGCAGAAACAGGCCTCTTAACCAAGATTCAGATTCCTAGCCCACTGTGTTTCTCATAATATGAACCATATTTTGTAAAATTTGGAAAGGTTGCCCCATTCTATGTTTACATTTTATTTTGGTGGTGTACGATTTTTTTATTTTCCATTCTTGACAGAGGAGCTATGAGGTAACAACACTCAGGATCCATAGAAGATGGGAAAAGAAGAGGATTCCTGGTTGAAAACAACCTCCCTACTTTCATATATTTGTTTTTGCTAGTTTACTGATTCCTCTCATTAACAAATATTTCCACAGCCCATCTGTGTAATTTATTAAGGCAGATAACCACTGCAAATTTCCAACCTCAAGAGAAATACCTATTTGCTTCCTGTCTCACCTCCTGTGCAGAATTACTTCATATTTAACTTTTAAAACCCCAACAATAATAAAACCCACCACATACATGAGCTAATATAACAAAAAAGGTAGGTTTCCTGAGTAAACTTGTCCCAAAGTATGTCAGAGAGAGGAGTAGATAGGTGAATCTATATAATTTTTAATGAAATAATGAATCATCTTGAACTTTTTCATTATGCCACTTAGGGCAGGGGGAGATTAGTGGAACCTAATCAACTGGGCAAATTAAATTATCACACAATGTCTACATTGTTCATTTGAGCTGCTCAAATGATTGAATAAGCTCTCTTTTTATTTGTTCTTAAACATGAGGTATATCTCAACTGATGCTATTAAAGACCAAACAAAATTGATGATGGAATGAAAATTCGTTCAGTGGCTAGAACCACTAACTAGTATGTAATGAGCCTTTTCATTAAAGACAGTGTTTAATATTCTTGATTTATAATAACTGGTAACATTTTAAGATAAACTACTTAGTTGCAGTATTGTGTTGTAAATTATGACAATAAAATTTAATGGTATTTTTCTTAAAAATGTCTATAAATTGTTTTTCTAAAAAAATACTTTCTTACATAAGCAAGTGGAAACTTCAAAATACAAGGGGTAAAAATACCATAGAATTAACTGCAACATAAATGGGATGAATTTTGAGCCAATCTTCTAACATATTACAGTAAGCTCATGTGTAATTTAGTTAATGTAAATATTAAAGGTTAAATAATGTATTCAAAAGTATTTTTTAAGAATTTTTTCTCTCCTTATATTTGCATGTATGTATGTGTAGAGATTGAGGAAAAGAGCTATATTTTATTTCCTCTCATAATAAGATGACCCTGCTGATGATATCTCTTATTAACTAAGTTTTTAAAATATCAGTTTGGAACATAAAAAGGATCTTAGAAATTTACAGTTTACTGTGTGAAGACAAAGGCAGCAAACCATGCATATACCCATACCTATGTTTACCTATGTTCACAGGACCTACCAAACATCCTACCAAGGAGATTGCTGCTAAGACACTGAGAAAAATGAGTTCAGCATAAAGGCAGAGCAAAAAAAGCATGAGCTTTGGAGTCTGGCAATCACTGGTTCAAATCTAATTTCTACCATTTACTAATAGTGTTACTGAAAATAAACAGTCTAACCTCTTAGAATCTCATCTGTGAAATCTGGATAGTAACATCTGTCCTTACAGAATTGTTTGAAAAGTTACATGAGCTGGTATGTACTTTATGTAGCACAAGCCTACATAGTAGGCATATAAATGTAGCAATTATTATTAACAAATAATTAATAATTATCAAGGCCATGTCTACTCCACTCATGAAGAGAGCTGATACAATCTTTAAATTGAAAAGAGTAATTTCTATGGAATAAGAGTACTACAGTTTTGAATTCTTCCAATGTCTTACTAAAACTCTCCAAAGTTAACAGAATATTCCTCAACAAACAGCACCACTAAGTAGTCCCATCATTACCTTATATTGACCTAACACTGGCCTCATTCGAACAGAAATACTTATGTGATTTAACACATTTGAATTTAAGAAAATATTTTATAAACACACTCAAGTATTTCAGGTTGGGTTTATAAAGTCTTCCACAGTATAGAGTAACACTGTACTTAAGGCTGACTTGTGACAAAATGAGCAATGATGTGTGGTCTCGTTAGAGTCCAGAGCTTTATTAATCAATACTTATTTTAATATAAATAATAATCATAAGTAATTATTAATAAAATAATATCCCGCTATTATTGTGCAGTTATTTAAGTCTCTTTATAGGTCTCTAAGAATTTGCTTTATGAATCTGGGTGCTCCTGTGTTGGGTATATATCTATTTTGGATGGTTCAGTCTACTTGTTTAATTGAACACTTTTTTATTCTGTAATACCTTTGTCTTTTTTTTTTTATCACTGTTGGTTTAAAGTCTGTTTTGTCTGAAATTAGAATGGCTACCCTTGCTTTTTCTTTTTTCTGTTTGCTTGGTAGATTTTTCTCCGTTCCCTTACTTTGAGCCTATGGGTATCACTGCACATGAGATGCATACGCTGTAGACAGCATACAGTTGTGTCTTGCTTCTTTGCCACTCTGTGCCTTTTAATTGGGTCATTTATTTACATTCAAGGTTAATATTGATATGTCAGGTTTGACCCTGTCATCTTGTTGTTAGCAGATTATTATGCATACTTGATTATGTGGTTGTTTTAGAGTGTCAATGTATGTTTTTGTGGTGGCTGGTAATGGTCTTTTCTTTCCATATTTATCCCTCACTTAAGGACCTTTTGTGAGGCAGGTCCTGTGGTAGTGAATTTCCTTAGCAACTGCTTGTCTGAAAAAAATCTTATTTCTCATTCACTTATGAAGTTTAGTTTGGCTGTATATAAAATTCTTGGTTGGAATTTCCTTTCTTTAAGAATGTTGGATATAGGCCCCCAATATCTTCTGGCTTACAGAGTTTCTGCTGAAAGGCCTTCTGTTTACCTGATGGGGTTCCCTTTGTAGGTGACCTGCCCCTTCTCTCTAGCTGCCTTTAACATTTTTTTTCCATTTTGACCTTGAAGAATCTGATAATGATGTGTTCTGGGGATGGTTTCTTATATAGTATCTCACAGAGGTTCTCTGCATTTCCTGGATTTGAGGGTTGTCCTCTCTAGTGAGGTTAAAGAAATCTTTGTGGAGGATATCCTGAAATATGTTTTCCAATTTGCTTGATTTCTCTCCCTCTTTTTCAGGAATGCCAATGAGTCATAGATTTGGTTTCTTTACATAATCCCATATTTCTCAGAAGTTTTATTCATTCTTCTTTATTGTTTTTTCTTTATTTTTGCCTGCCTGACTTATTTTGGAGAACCGGTCTTCAAGCTCTGAGATATTTCCTCAGCTTGGTCAATTCTCCTATTAACACTTGCAATGGTACTATGAAATTCTTGAAGTGAGTTGAGTTTCTTAGCTCTGTCTATTCAGTTTGGTTCTTTATTAAAACAGCCATTTCATCTTTTATCTTCTACATTGTTTCACCATATTTCTTAGATTCCTTGGATGGGGTTTTGACTTTCTCCTGAATGTCGATGATCTTTGTTCCTATCCATATTCTGAATCATATTTCTGACATTTCGGCCATTTTATCCTGGTTAAGAACCATTGCTGAGGACCTACTGTGGTTGTTTGGAGTTAAAAAAACACTCTGACTTTTTGAGTTGCCAGAGATCCCATGCTAGTTCTTTCTCATCTGTGCGTGCTGACATTCCTTCAATCTGTGAAGTTGCTGTCCCTTGGATTTTTTTTTTTTTTGGATTAATATTCTTTGGTGCCATTGGTTGTTTGGTTGTGGCATAAGGTGGGTTTAGTCAACTGGCTTTAATTCTAGTCTGCTCTTGGGTCTTGGACGAGCCCTCTCTGATTACTGTCTCCATGCCTGCATTTCTTTTGTTGGGTGTTCTGGTTCATGGGGCTCCTTCAGGCAAGGGCTGCAGTTGGCAGACAGGCCATATCCTTGCTGAGTCGGCCCTTATCTGCTGTCTCAGTGCTTCTCAGGGGAACACAGGGTTGTGCCTGCCTACAGGGTTCAGGCAGAGGCAGAACCACTGGGCTGGAATTTCTAGCAAGTGTGGTCCTTCTGACTATGAGAGGGAGGAGGTGGATGGAGTTGTTCACCTTGTCCTCTGGCTGTTTCTGGTGCAACAGAAAGCTGTGCCCCTCAGCATATTCAAGCAGAAGTAGGACCTCTAGGCTTGAGCTCTGCAGCCATTGTCCCACCTTGCTGCCAGCAGTGGGGGTGGCTGGGGTCACCCGCCCTTCCATCCAGGTGTTTCCCAGGACAACAGGAGGTTACACTCTCCAATGAGTTCACACAGAAATGAGACTGCTGGGCCAGAGCCACAGAGAAAGACAGGATACAGTCTTCTGCCAGATGAAAACAGTTGCTAGCCCACTTTAACTCTAGTCTCATGGATAAGAGGGTGACCAAAGGGAGAAAAGATGAAAGCCAAAGAAGAAAAAGGTCATCTCTTTAATGTAATGGAATTAAGACACAGATGATACCCAAAAGATAAAATCCAATGAAAGGGAAAATGGTCCCTTCAATATTTTTGACATTGATCCTTGGATGAAGAAGTAGAAAGAGGTCTTGATTTTGCTTTCCAAATGTGCATGCAAAATATCTGCAAAATCATGATTGGCAAATTCAAAGTTCTGGAATTAAGTTTAAACTGACCCTCTGCTTCTTCTTTGTAAGCTTTTAAAATTTTCTTCAGAATGGATTTCTCACAAGAAAACATTAAAGGATGATAGTACTAGCTTTGCCAAAAAGGTCATCCACTCAATCCAAGCATAATTTATAATGAGGACTCTGGGCACCTGCCCATCAAAAAGGAAAGTATCCCAGCAGCCACTTCCCTAATTCCCTGCACAGCTGTCAGCTTCCATTCCAGATGGTGATTACTGATGGATGCACTCACATGGACCAATCTTTAACTGGTACTCCAAACCTGTTCTTTTACTGAGGACTCATTAATGCCAATTATAATCTTTGATTAAGCCTGTGCTTGACAAATGGGCTTTATTGCAAGTATTCACTCCAGACATGAATTTACAACTAGAGGTTAGCATAATCAATACTCTGGATAGTATATTGTCAGAAACAGGATTTGCCAGAATACCTAGTGCTATGCAGCTGGTGGCATTCAATCTATCACAGCTGCCCAATAAGACTGAACCACAGCCATCCTCCATTAATCTCTCCCTGTTCTCAATCAGGAATACGGCTGCAGGAAATGAGATTGGCTATTTAGGAAGACTGTTTAGAATTTCTCAAGAAAATGACCATTAGGAATTTCAACTAGAAAACAGAAAGTTTCCTTTGTTCTTCCACATTTGTCACAACATCAATTATGACCACATGGTAGAAATAAGATGCAGAATCGATTTTTCCAGTCTCAGATAAGTAAGCATGGTTACAGAACTATCCATTTGCTCCTCTACTATCGAAAGCCACTCCTTGGAGCAAGTTAAAAAGCTGGAAGGCTATGTACTGGTACCACATTAGCCTCATAGAACACTCTTCATTGAATTGCTGTTTAAAGACTATTATCAGAGGTTATTACATGAAATAGTATTTGAAGTCCACCTCTTCATCCTTTTGCAATGAGATCCCAGCTGGCTCAGAGCTGAGTCCCAAGTATGCTTGCATGTTAAGTTATAAACACTCTACTACCAAGCCCTACCCACTCTTCTCATTAGTTCAAAAGATCCTCATGGGAATAAATTTTAAGCATGTTCACAGTGAGGTTCAATTTTGTACAGACATATTGGATTGACCGTGAGGCATAAACTAGAGAAAAAAGAATTCCTGAGGGAATGGCTACATTTGAGAAATATGTCAGACCTGCTGAGGTATATGAAGCCCAAGGCTTGGGCAGGTGCCATAAGTATCACAAAGCTGAAGAGACTATATCACTAGGGAACCAGCCACACTCCTGTGGGTCCTCCTCCTCCAAAAGCAGGCCAGAAGAACAAGAAATATTGGCCAGAATGGAAAGAAAGAGGGCAATGTGACTCCAAATGGGGAGACTCACCCCCAAGGGTACTTTGGATTCAAGGGTAGGTCGGCACCACCACGTGGGCATCCCCCAAAGAGTGGCAGGAGGAAGGCAGTCCTGACATTTCTAAGGCACTGAGCAGAGTGAAACAGACAACAGAGAAGACAGAAAAGGCAAAAGCATAAGCAGTAAGGAGGCAGGAGTGTAGCCAATAGAGAACTGCAGGTAAGATCTCCCACAGAGATGCAAGAAAGGAAAGACGAAGGTCCAGCAAGATGACATAGGAACAAACCCTTACAGTGTCCCGACCTGGAAATCAGAACAGAGAGGGCTGCAATTCAAGTAGGTTTTGTCTGGAAAATAACAGCCCCTGAGCCTATTGTGCATTTCAATATTCAGTGTCCATTCTATAAAATGTGTGAAAAAGACTTTTCAAAATTTAATGCCAACAATATAAAAAATGTTGATGCTCCTTACCACCACCTGTTCTTGACTACAAAACCAAGGGATCCATTAGATTTCCTTTTTGACTTGGATTCCAGGAAGTCAATAACTCTATTTGATATGGAGTTATAATAATTCCAATCCTTTGAATGAGCAGATCTCTACTTCTATTTCTAGTTCATAATTTCTCTTTATGATACTATTATAATAATTTTGTTTCATGTATCTTTTTGTTTCAAAAGCTGGCATATAAGTAAATAAATATGATATCCTTATTGCATATATAATACTTATGTCAGCCTAAATTCCATCAAGATACAGTATCCTACTATGTGCTGTAGAGGGAATCAAGCAGATGATTCTACCTCAGTCCTCTCACTTACCCACCTACAAGGTTGTTAAAAGGATTAAAGCCTATGTAAAAATATTTTGTAATCCTTAGAAAACACTGCTCAAATGTTAAATGATGATCTTATATGAAAAACATCTGGAAATTTTTTTCTATTTTGAGTTATCTTTCTTACATTCCTGCCATAGTATTTGATACTGCCATAAAACTCAAGGCTGTGCAAAGACTCTAAACTAAAAGCTGGTGTTTAAAAATGCAACTGTTTTCTGAGAAGGAGGCATTATAAATTATAATCAGCCCTTAACACCTTAGCTCAAAATCACATATTGTTTAACCTTGCTAAGTGCTTTCTAAATGAAGGCAGATAATAGCAAGGCTGAAGACCGAGTGGCAGAGTAAAACCAATGACCAAATAACACAATTTTCATGATGCTCCCCGAAAGATGCCTGCCTCTATGGTATCTTCTGCTGACTGCTGAGTTCCTTCAAACAGCTGGCAGGAGCCAGATGTCAGCAATACAGCTCTGGTCCCTATTGAGAATGCATCCATTTAATCTTATATTCAGCATTTCTTAAGAGACAGACTGGTATGTAAAGGGCCACAAAAGAGTTGTTCTTTGACCAAATCTGCACACCACAGCTCTGCAGAGGGCTATTTTTTAAATGCATATTGGAGTCTCCCAACTCCTACCTCAACAAGAACATCTTCAGTGTCTTTCCTTTGTCCAACATTTAAAACATCCCACAAGGCTCCTCATGATCTGGCCTTGTTCTGAGTTTCTGAACCACACCTAGCCTTCTGTGAGCTCTGGCTTACACTGGCTGGCCTTCTTTTCATTTCCAGAGCCTTCACTCAAGCTGTCCTCCTACCTGGGAGGCAATTTCCCTACTTTTTCTCTGGAAAGTCCCAAATCATGTCCCAGATTTCGGTTGAAAGTTCAGCCACTCAAGAAACTTCTTTGGCCTTCAATGATGCCAGGTTCCCTGTGACATGGACTCAGACACCTTATAGCTCTTCTGCACAGCTCTCAACACAATCATGATTCAACAAGTACTTGGATGATGATATGTTTATGGCAGCATTACTAGAATGCACATTTTACAAGCATAAGGTCCATGTCTATCTCATTCATTACCATCTCCAGTGCCTTGTTTAGTGCTGTGCTTATCTTGGGGACCTAATAAATATATGCTAAATGAAGAAAGGAAGGAAAGCAAGGCTGGGAATTACCTCCTAGTCAAGACAGTGTGTTTAAATGTTGGTATTTGAAGCCTTTCAAAAGAAAAATACAGGCTGGAGGACAGAGAAACTAAGGAATCTGATTCTCTTCAGTGTCCTCATACCTGGCCTTCAGGTTTCATCTCGCATAGTTAGGAAGACTTCATATTCACTAACATCTTTAGACAAGGTTAAGCACTTTCTGCAACGTGTTTCCATTGACTCATGCTCATACCACCATCACAGCCTTATCATACTGCTGTCATGATTCACTTCCTTATTTGTTTCTCCTGAATTCCTTAAAGCAAGTTTCTAATTTCACTCATTTTTGTGTTGCTAGATCATGGCCCAGAACCTGGTATATAATATGCACTAAATAAATATTTTCTAAATGGCTGGATGAATACATAACATTTCACTGATCTGATGAAAATAAAACAAATCTTACATCTATAGGTCCTGGACCTTGGACCAAGGGAGAAAAAATAGTTATGATGAATTTTAGGCTTACTAATACAACACCAGGAAGACCATGAGAATAGACATAGTTAGGCTTATGCCAATGATATATCAGTAACAAATCCTGGCCAAAAACTTTTAGAAGTGCTCATATTCACATGGTGTTTTGGCTGCCATGAAAGGAATAGATCTTTCTAAGACATACAGACAGTGCTTGATGGCTGGAAATCAAAACCCATATATATGGTAGATAAATAAGTTAAATTTATTCATATCTGTTTTGACACCACACCATGGGTCACCCTACCTCAACCTCTTCTTCTCTTAATTTAAATCTTTAGACCTTACACTTGCAATGTCAAAAGATGTAAATCTGATTCTTTTTTCTTCTCCACCATAGAGATTAATTAGTTTTTCAAAAAAAAAAAAACAAGGCCTGCATTCTTGATTCTAGCCACATATCATGGCTATAAGAAAAAAAAAAAAAAAACAGAGAAAATGATGTGGCTAGCTCAACACAAACATATCACCCTAGTGAGAAAGAATAGCGAATATGTTACCTAGCGAACATTGATAGCCAGTTATCATTGTCGATATCCATAAGATGTGTACATATCAAAATGTTAAATACTAAACAACTCTTAAGGGCCCCAAATAAATGTATTAGTATCCAAATTAGGGAAACTGTTTCTTCCAGTTTTTGTCTTGCTATGGGATTATTGTGACAGCCTCTTTATATTCTAAAGTAAGTAAAATCAAAATCCTGTGACAAGTACTGAGGGAGCAGCCATTAAAAATAGTAAAACTCTTAAGTCCTCTGACTCATTAATAAGAAAGCCCATAAGTCTCATTTAGGCTAATTGTGCAAGTGTTGTGACAGAGAATATCCCCTCATAGATCATTTTAAAATATTCCTTAAATGTCTAATGTTTATTACAACTTTTTATAACGATACCATTAAAGCAGAGTAAAGAGAAAATTCTTAATAGCCATGGTAAGAAATTGTATCTTTATACCTACAATATATTTGCCAAATTAATTAGTTCTTTAGTTCATGACTATAATCATCATCTGAATTGTATTATTTCATTCAAACAATGTTGCCTTCCAAATAATATTTGCCTTGAGTAGAAATTTGAATGTGTTGGTATTCTGAAAGGAGTTATGTTTACAGCGTTCTGTTTCCCAAATAATATTTCACTACCAGTGAACATTTGGAGTAGCTGCACATACCTATTCAAATTCTAATGAAACATAGACTAGAAACATTTAAACTTTCAGTAGAATATTATTTGGAGAAAAAAATCTTCTTTGGCTGATTGTACGCTATTGCTACATTTGCAAATAAATTATTCTTGGCTGCATAAAACTTCACACAACAAATTCTGCTTGGAAGATTAAATGACTTTGAAACAGATACCCAATAATGGAAAAGTCACTATTGCTTCATAAGAGCTACTTTTAAATTAATGGGTTATCAGAAGAAAATAGGAGTGTGATACAAATACCAAAGGTAAACAAAACTGAAAGAAAAGCTATTTGGCTTAAAATAAACACAGAGAGAAGTATTCTGTCGATATCCAAATTGAAATGCTTTCTCTGTCCACAGTGCCTTTAAGTTTCCGGATTCTGATGAAAATTTGATTATATTTTTGGCATCTGGGGGATGCATTACAACTATTTGACTCTAATTTCTAGAAAATAGAAAATTTGCCACACTCTAATCTCATCCATGCCAGGATACATACTGAAATAAGTTACATATTTGTTGAATTAATGTACCTTTAAATCATCTGTCATATTTTCCTGCTTTATTGTCCTGTTCCTCCATTAGAATGTAAGCTCCCTAAGGAGAGAACATTTGTTTTATCTACTCATAGATCCTCAGCTTTTAAAAGAGTGTCAAATACACAGTAGTACTTAACAAATGTTTGTTAGATATCAAATAAATGAAGTGGGGTGCTGTGGATTAAATGACCAGGCTACTACAACAGAAAGACATTAGATAAGGGGAGAGGAGTAGCTCCTGGAGAGTAAACTTAAGCATTTCAGGTATTTGCCTAAAAATAAAATTCTATGGTATATGCAGACAACACTTGGATTTCACCAAATTACATAGTATCTTACACATATTGATTGCTGGGTGGTAAAAAGCACTGCCACTTCTTTGATTCCCTGCATATCCTGACAACTCGCTGCAGCCCACTCAAACTCAAAGTCCTATCGAAAAGGATTTCTGAAAATTCCCAAAAGGAAATATTAATCTAAGACCTTCCAGTGGTAAATAAATATAGGAAATTTAATGTAAAAGTGCTGGACTACACAAAGTAGTCAGAAAGGATTTTTATTGACTGACTCTTGCTCTCTTTCTAGAGAAAACTGAATTGAGACTTCTCCATATAATGATGTCTTATAGGAACTCATAGAAGTAGAGAGTAGAATGGTAGTTACCAGAAACTGGGGGATTCAAGTGAATGGGGAAATGGAGATGGAGATGTTGATCAAAGGGTACGAAATTTCAGTTAGAAATGAAAAATAAGCTTTAATGGTCTATTGCACAGAGTGGTAACCATAATAAATAATAATGCATTGTGTGTTTTAAAATTACTGAAGGATTGGATTTTACATGTTTTTCACCACAAAAAAGATAAGTATTTTAGGTAATAGATTTATTATTTAGCTTGATTTCATCATCCTACAATGCAAACATATATCAAAACATCACATTGTACCTCATAAATATATGATAAATATGAATATTGCTTGTCAATTAAAAATAAAATTTTATAAATTTAATTTAATCTATGTAAAAGATTGTGACTTACACGTGGAGCCAACTGTCCATTTGTTCATGTGTGGGTATTTAAAAAGAAATTTCTGAAGGGAAAATTTAACCTAATTTTGGCGTATGTACCTGCCACAAAGAGCATTCACTGTGCTTGGGCTCAGTGTGCAGCAGCAATAATGTATTGAAATAACTGAACCAATTGGACCGGATAGAAACATTCCATGGAGTTATTCTGGTCTGGCAGAGAGACAGATCATGGTCTATAAATAATGTGCCTCCCTCAACCACTAACTGATGGAGTGGCCTAGATCAAATGTTTCAGTGTTTGGGTCTTAACAAGACTGTAGGACAAGATGATCTTTCAGAATCTTTCTAGGGTTAATTTTCTGGAGCCCCTAAAAATCCACAGGGCAGAACTGATTTCATTAGGCCTCCCTAGTCTCCAGAATAAATAAGACATAAAAAATAAGACTGACAAAGTAGAAAGTGAGTAAGTGGTTCTCTGATAAATATAAGTGGTATAAAAAAGGCTCTCTAGACATCCTGGCAAAAATGGGTCTTTTTTTCTAAATAGCAATTTTCTATTTCTAAAATAGATATCTGTATGATTTAGTTCACCTCCCTACCTCAATCTGCCTGTGCAGACTTTACCTAAATTAACTTAAGTGGGTATGTTGGGGACAGAATAGGGAGAAAAGGATTTTAATGAAAGCCATAGAGGACACATGTTTCACAATTATTAGACAAGGTTTTGGTGATGTTCTCCATCCACAAATTCTCTCAGTTTATTCTTGTTTTCAAGCAGTAATCTGAGCATAAATAACCTGAGCAGTTGCGGCATGACACTAATAGCTCCATATTCATGTTTCTGCAACTCTGATTTGCATGCACGTTTATACCTTCCAAAAAGGGCCGATTATTTCCCATGGAAGATTCTGACACTTGGAAACATTTGAATGAAAAGAGAAAATAACAGGAATTTGGAGTATTGCTTATTTGGCAAACATGTGATTTGTCAAATCCCCCCAAATAAGCTAAATGACAGTCCAGAAGGATACAGGGTATTTCAATTGTCGCCAAGCATTGTTTAGAGGATTAGACAGCTCCTGGTAGTAAGATTGCCCTTTTAAATTACATCGGGTTGAAGTAACAGGACAGATAATGTTATATTAAAATTTATTTTCTCATCTTCTTTTTTCCACATAGCTTTTACTGTTGAAATACTTTGACTATTTCTGTTGAAATTGTCTGTGTTCTCACAAACCAAAGCGTATCTCTGTGCTCCATACAGCATCACACCATACTTTAAGCCACCAATCTTGTCTTCTGTTTCCTCAAACAAAAACAAGTGGATGACACAGGATGAGAGATATCCATAGATGCTCCATTTTCTAAATTTTCTACAATCTCAAGGAAATACTCAAAAAGTGACACTCCTGCCATTGTTTGCTCTTCTGAAATGTTTTTCTGATTTATCATATTGGAGTAGGAATAAGGAGTTAAAAGGCTTCTAAAAGCCATCAATAGGTAAGCTGGTCTGATTAGGATATTTTATCCAGAAGGCCATACATAATCAGGTTTCTAGCATTTTTTCCCTCATCTAGTGAAATCCAGTCACACAGGATAATTAGCTTCTTCTTACCTCAAAGCTTTCCTCTAGATGTTTCCTCTGTCTGCACTTTTCCTTAAAAATTGTCATATGATTCTTTTCTCTCATCTCATCTTTTAGGTTTCTGATGAAATGTTGACTCCTCAGAAAAGCCTTCTTTGACCACTCTATATAAAGTTTCACATCCTTTCAACCCAAAATACTATTGTTCTAATTTAGTTTTCCTCAAAGCACTGTCTGAATTTTTAAGTAGACTTTATTTTTTAGACCAGTTTTCAGTTCACAGTAAAACTGAGCAGAAGGTACCAAGATTTCTAATATACTCACTGTCTGCACAGATGTACAGTCTCTTCTATTTTTAACATTCCCCACAACAGCTATTCATTTATTTCAACTGATGAACTTACACTGATACATCATAATTACCCAGAGTCTACAGTTGACATTAGGATTCATTCTTGGTGTCGTACATTCTATAGGTTTGGACAAATTTATAATGACATGTAGCCACCATTATAGTATCAGACAGAGCAGTTTTATTGCACTAAAAATCTTCTGTGTTCAGCCAATGCATCCTCCTTTCTGCTAATCCCTGACAACCACTGATCTTTTTACTGTCTTCACAGTTTTGCCTTTTCCATAACGTCAAGTAATTGGAATAATACAGTGTGTAGCCTTTTTGAATTGACTTCTTTCACTTAGTAATATACATTTATGTCTTCCCCATATCTTTTCATGGCTTGATAGCGCATGTCTTTTGAATAATATTTCATTGTCTGGATGAACCACATTTTTATCTATCCACTCACCTGCAACCTACATCTTGATTGCTTTATGAATAAAGCTACTATAAACATTCTTTTGCAAGTTTCCATGTGAAATAAGTTTTCAACTTCTTTGGGTAAATAATAAGGAGCCACATTGCTTAATCATATGATACAATTATGTTTGGTTTTGTAAGAAGCCACCACCATCAATTAATAAGAGTTCCTGTTGCTCCACATTCTGTCATTCGGGGTTGTCGATGTTGTCTGAAATTTTATTATTTGGTTATTTATTTGTTTATATATTTATTGCCTGTCTTCCCCAACTGGAACATGAGTTTCTTGAGGATAATAACTTTGTCTGTCTTATCCAAATCTGTTTTCAACAACTAGTTCAATGCCTAGAATGTACATGGCACTATTAACAAATATTAAATGATTGAATGTTTTAAATGGGATGCTCAACATAGTGTTACGGCTCTAAAGCCACCAATTTTTCTGGTTGGCTGAAAAAAAGGGAGGGAGAATGGCAAAATGCCAATTTTTAGCTCCAAAATGGTACACCTAACTTCAGTTAATGTCTTCAGTTTGGCATCTTCGAGACACCTCAAAGTCACCATGTCCAAACCAAACTGATGCATTTAAGCCCATACCCCACGTCACTGAAAATGGAACCACACCCAATGCCTTGGAAATGCCAAACCCTGAACATCATCCTGAACTTTCTCCTCTCCCTAATATATACTTAGTATGTCTGAAAGATCATTTACTTCTGGTCTCTCATGGCCTTTACACATACGGATCCCTCTCATATAAAAGTTATTTTCTTGTTGGTTTTCATTTTCTTCCAATTTTTATTTATCTTTTATTCCCACTGAAAAGATGTAGTCACCCATAACAGATTTTTATTTCTTAATAATAGGCTTTCTTTTCTGGTTAAGTTTATTCTTTCAATGGTAAGGTTTTAATGCAGTCTCTTTCATTTTTTTTGTTGTTGTTTTTTTTCATTATTTAATTTTTATTTTAAATTCAGGGGTACATGTGCAGGTTTGTTTTACAGAGAAGCTAGTGTTACGGAGGGGTTGTTACATAGATCATTTCATCACCCAAGTATTAAGCCTAGTACCCATTAGTTATTTTTCCTGATCATCTCCCTCTTCACACCCTCAACCCTCCGATAGGCCCCAGTGTGTGTTGTTCCCCTCTATGTGTCCGTGTATTTTCATCATTGATCTCCCACTTATAAGTGAAAACATACAGTATTTGGGGTTTCTGTTCCTGTGTTAATTTGCTAAAGTTAATGGCATTTAGCTCCATCCATATTCCTGTAATGAACATGATTTTGTTCTTTAAAAAAATATTTTAAGTTCTGGAATACATATGCAGAACATACAGGTTTGTTACATATGCATACATGTGACACAGTAGTTTGCTGCACCTATTAACCCATCTTCTAAGTTCCCTTCCCTAGCCCCTCAACACCCAACAGGCCCTGGTGTGTGTTGTTTCCCTCACTGTGTCCATGTGTTCTCATTGCTCAAATCCCACTTATGAGTGAGACCATGTGGTGTTTGGTTTCCTGTTTGTGTTAGTTTGCTGAGAATGATGGCTTCCAACTTCATCCATGTTCCTGCAAAGGACATGATCTCATTCCTTTTTATGGCCGTGAAGTATTCCATGGTGTATATGTACCACATTTTCTTTATCCAGTTTATAATTGTTGGGCATTTCAGTTGGTCCCATGACTTTGCTATTGTAAATAGCGCTGCACTAAACATATATGTGAATGCATCTTTATAGTATAATGATTTATATTTCTTTGGGTATATACCCAGTAATGAGATTGCTGGGTCAAATGGTATTTCTGATTCTAGATCCTTGAGGAATCACCATACTGTCTTCCACAATGGTTGAACTAATTTACATTCCCACCAACAGTGTAAAAGTGCTCCTATCTCTCCACAGCCTCACCAGCATCTATTGTTTCTTGACTTTTTAATAATTGCCATTCTAACTGGTATGAGACAGTATCTTATTGTGGTTTTGATTTGCATTCCTCTAATGACCAGTGATGTTGAGCTTTTTTTTCACGTTTGTTCGCTGCATGTCTTCTTTTGAGAAGTATCTGTTCATATACTTTGCCCACGTTTTAATGGGTTTTTTTTTTGTAAATTTGTTTTCTTGTAAATTATCTTTTCTTGTAAATTCTGGATATGAGACCTTTGTCAGATAGATAGATTGCAAAAGTTTTCTCCCATTCAGTAGTTGTCTGTTCAGTCTGATGCTGGTTTCTTTTGCTGAGCAGAAAGTCTTTAGTTTAATTAGATCCCATTTGTCAATTTTGGGTTTTGTTGCAATTGCTTTTCATGTTTTAGTCATGAAGCCTTTGCGCATGCCTATGTCCTGAATGGTACTGCCAAGGTTTCCTTCTAGGGTTTTTTTAGTTTGGGGTTTTACATTAAGTTTTTATCCATCTTGAGTTAATTTTTGCATAGGGTCTAAGGAAGGGGTCTAGTTGTTTATTTTTTTCTGCATATGGCTAGCCAGTTTTCCCAGCACCATTTATTGAATAGGAGATCCTTTCCCCATTGCTGGTTTTTGTCAGGTTTGTCAAAGATCAGATGGTTGTCGAGTGTGGTAATATTTCTGAGGTCTCTGTTCTGTTTCATTGGTCTATATGTCTGCTTTGGTACCAGTACCATGCCGTTTTGGTTACTGTATCCTTGTAGTACAGTTTGAAGTCAGGTAGCATGATACCTCCAGCTTTGTTCTTTTTTCTTAGAATTGTCTTGGCTATATGGGGTCTTCTTTGATTCCGTACGAAATTTAAAGTAGTTTTTCTAATTCTGCGAAGAATGTCTATGGTAGTTTAATGGGAATAGCATTGAATCTGTAAGTTAGTTCGGGCAAAATGACCATTTACATAATATTGATTCTTCCTGTCCATGAGGATGGAATGTTTTCTCGTTTGTTTCCTCTCTTATCTCCTTGAGCAGTGGTTTGTAGTTCTCCTTGAAGAGGTCCTTCACATCTCTGTTAGCTGTATTCCTAGGTATTTTATTCTCTTTGTAGCAATTGCGAATGGGAATTTATTCATGATTTGGCTATCTGCTTGTCTATTGTTGGTGTATAGGAATGCTTGTGATTTTTGCACATTGATTTTGAATCTTCAGACTTTGCTGAAGTTGCTTACCAGTTTAAGGAGTTTTGGAACTGAGATGGGGTTTTCTAAATATACAATCATGTCATCTGCTAACAGAGACAATTTGACCTCCTCTCTGCCTATCTGAATACCCTTTATTTCTTTCTCTTGCCTGATTGCTCTGGCCAGAACTTCCAATACTATATTGAATAGCAGTGGTGAGAAAGGGCAGCCTTGTCTTGGGCCGGTTTTCAAAGGCAATGCTTCCAGCTTTTGCCCATTCAATATGATATTGGCTGTGTATTTGTCATAAATAGCTCTTACTATTTTAAAATGTCTTCCATTAATACCTAGTTTATTGAGAGTTTTTAACATGAAGGGATATTGAATTTTATCAAAGGTCTTTTCTGCATCTATTGAGATAATCATGTGATTTTGTCTTGGTTTTATTTATGTGATGGATTATGTTTATTGACTAGTGTATGTTGAACCAGGCTTGCATCCCAGGAGTGAAGCCAATTTATCATGGTGGATTACATTTTTGATGTGCTGCTGGATTTGGTTTGCCAGTATTTTATTGAGGATTTTCATACCAATGTTCATCAGGAATATTGGGCTAAAATTTTCTTTTTTTGTTATGTCTCTTCCCGGTTTTGGTATCAGGATGACGCTGGCTTCATAAAATGAGTTAGGGAGGAGTCCCTTCTTTTCAATTCTTTGGAATAGTTTCAGAAGGAATGGTACCAGCTCCTCCTTGTACCTCTGGTAGAATTCAGCTGTGAATCCATTTTTGCCTAGAGATGTTTATAGCATCTGTGATGGTAGTTTGTGTCTCTGTGGGGTCAGTGGTGATATCCCTGTTACCATTTTTTATTGTGTCTATTTGATTCTTCTCTCTTTTCTTCTTTATTAGTCTAGCTAGTGGTCTATTTTGTTAATTTAAAAAAAAAAAAAACAGCTCCTGGATTCATTGATTTTTGGAGAGTTTTTTGTGTCTCTGTCTCCTTCAATTCTGCTCTTAGTTATTTCTTGTCTTCTGCTAGCTTTGGGATTAGTTTGTTCTTGCCTCTCTAGCTCTTTTAATTGTGATGTTAGTGTGCCAATTAGAGATCTTTCCAGTTTCTCATTTGGGCATTTAGTGCTATAAATTTACCTCTTAACACTGCTTTAGGGTGTCCCAGAGATTCTGGAATGTTGTCTCTTTGTTCTCATTGGTATCAAAGAACTTACTGATTTCTGCCTTAATTTCCTAATTTACACAGGAGTCATTCAGGAGCAGGTTGTTCAATGTCCATGTAATTGATTTGTTTTGAGTGAGTTTCTTAATCCTGAGTTCTAATTTTATTGCACTGTGGTCTAAGAGACTGTTTGTTACAGTTTCCATTATTTTGCATTTGCTGAGGAGTGTTTTACTTCCAATTACATGGTCAATTTTAGAATAAGTGCCATGTGGCACTAAGAATATCCTTGTTAATTTTCTGTCTAATATTGACAGTGGGGTGTTAAAATCTCCCATTATTTTTGTGTGGGAGTCTAAGTCTCTTCGTAGGTCTCTAAGAACTTGTTTTATGAATCTGGGTGCTCTTGTATTGGGTGCATATATATTTAGAATAATTAGCTCTTCTTGGTGAATTGTTCCCTTTACCATTGTGTAATGCCCTTCTTTGTCTTTCTTGATCTTTGTTGGTTTAAAGTCTGTTTTGTCAGACAATAGGATTGCAACCCCTGCTTCCTTTTGCTTTTCATTTGCTTGGTAAATTCTCATCCATCCTTTTATTTTTAGCCTAGGTGGGTCTTTGCATGTGGGATGAGTCTCCTGAATATGGCATACCAATGGGTCTTGACTCTTAATTTGCCAGTCTGTACCTTTTAATTGGGGCATTCAGCTCATTTACATAAGGTTATATATTATTATTATATTAATATATAATATATATGATATTATATATTACAACATATATAATATATATGATATTATATATTACAACATATATAATATATATGATATTATATATTACAACATATATAATATATATGATATTATATATTACAACATATATAATATATATATTATATTACAACATATATAATATGATATATATTACAACATATATAATATATGATATATATTACAACATATATAATATATATGATATATATTACAACATATATAATATACATGATATATATTACAACATATATAATATATATGATATATATTACAACATATATAATATATATGATATATATTACAACATATATAATATATATGATATATATTACAACATATATAATATATATGATATATATTACAACATATATAATATATATGATATATATTACAACATATATAATATACGATATATATTACAACATATATAATATACGATATATATTACAACATATATAATATATATGATATTATATATTACAACATATATAATATATATGATATTATATATTACAACATATATAATATATATGATATTATATATTACAACATATATAATATATATGATATATATTACAACATATATAATATATATGATATTATATATTACAACATATATAATATATATGATATTATATATTACAACATATATAATATATATGATATTATATATTACAACATATATAATATATATGATATTATATATTACAACATATATAATATATATGATATTATATATTACAACATATATAATATATATGATATTATATATTACAACATATATTATATATGATATTATATATTACAACATATATAATATATATGATATTATATATTACAACATATATAATATATATGATATTATATATTACAACATATATAATATATATGATATAATATATTACAACATATATTATATATGATATTATATATTACAACATATATAATATATATGATATTATATATTACAACATATATAATATATATGATATTATATATTACAACATATATAATATATATGATATTATATATTATAACATAATATATATGATATTATATGTTATAACATATAATATATATTATATTAATAAAGTTAGTATTATTATGTGTGAATCTGATCCTGTCACCATGATACCATCTGGTTATTTTTCACACTAGTTGATGCAGTTTCTTCATAGTGTGATTGGTCTTTATATTTTGGTGTGTTTTTGCAAGGGCTGGTACTGGTTTTTCCTTTCCATATTTAGTGCTTCTTTCAGGAGCTCTTGTAAGGCAGGCCTGGTGGTAACAAAATCCCTCAGCATTTGCTTGTCTGGGAAGGATTTTATTTTTCCATCACTTATGAAGCTCAGTTTGGCTGGATGTGAAATTCTGGGTTGACAATTCTTTTTTAAGAATGTTGAATATTGGTTCCCAATCTCTTCTGGCTTGTAGAGTTTCTGCTGAGAAGTCTGCTGTTAGTCTGATGGGTTTCCCTTTGTAGGTGACCTGGCCTTTCACTCTGGCTGTCCTTAACAGTTTTTCCTTCATTTTGGCCTTATAGAATCTGATAATTATGTGTGTTGGGTTGATCTTCTCATGGAGTATCTTAGTGGTTTTCTCTGTATTTCTTGAATTTTCAGGTTGGCTTGTCTTGCTAGGTTGGGGAAGTTTCCCTGGTTAATATCCTGAAGTGTGTTTCCCAGTTTGTTTCCATTCTCTCCATCTCCTTCAGGTACTCCAGTCAATCACAGCTTTGGTCTTTTTATGAAGTCTCATATTTCTTGGAGGCTTTGTTCATTTCTTTTCATTCTTTTTTCTCTAATCTTGTCTGCATGCCTTATTTCAGCAAGGTGGCCTTCAAACTCTGACATCCTTTCTTCCACTTAGTCAATTTGGCTTTTGATACTTGTATATGTTTCATGAAGTTCTTGTTCTGTGTTTTTCAGCTCCATCAGGTCATTTATGTTCCTACTTAAACTGGTTATTCTAGTCAGCATCTTCTCTATCCTTTTATTAAGGTTCTTAGCTTCTTTGCATTGGGTTAGAACATGCTACTTCAGCTCAGCATTGTTTTTTATTACCCATCTTCCCAACCCTTCTTCGTTCAATTCATCCATCTCATCCTCCATCCAGTTCTGTGCCCTTGCTGGAGAGACACTGTGATCATTTGGAGAAGAGGCACTCTGGCCTTTCGGGTTTTCAGCATATTTTCATTGATTCTTTCTCACCTTTGTGAGTTTGTCTAGTTTCAATGTTTGAGGATGCTGACCCTTGAATGCAGTTTTTGTGGGGGCTTTTTTATTGTTGTCATGTTCTGCTTGTTTGTTTTTCTTTCAATAATCAAGTCCCACTTCTGTAGGGCTGCTGTGGTTTGCTGGCGTTTCACTTCAGGACCTCTTCATCTGGTTTGTACCTGCATCTGAAAATGTCACTCAAGGAGGCTGGATAATAGCAAAGATGAGTGCCTACTCCTTCTTCAGGAATCTCTGACCTCAAGGGGCACCAATCTGATGCCAGTAGAATCATTCCTGTATAGGGTGTCTGACAATCCTTGTTGGAGGGTCTCACCCAGTTGGGTGTCCAGGGGAATAGGACCCGTTTAACGAAGCACTTTGTCCCTTGGTGGAGAGGGTGTGCTTTGCTGGGGGTAAACTCGCTCATCTGGGCTGCCCAGATTCCTCAGAACTAGAAGGAGGAAAGGCGAAGTCTGCTGATCAGCAGAGACTGGGGCCAGCCCTCTCCCTAGGGGCTCAGGCCCAGGGAGATCTGGGTTCTGTCCCTGAGCCTCTAGCTGGAGTTAATGGAGTTCCTTCAGGGAAGGCCTGTGCAGTGAGGAAGGATGAGTCATGGTCAGGCCTGAAAAGGCACTCTGGCTGTAATCTGCCACAGCTGGTTTGGTGGGCTGTTGGCAACACATCTTGGGGCCAAGCCATCCAGCCCCTTGGCTCCAGCAGGGGAAAAGCACAGCCTGGAGCTATAGAGATGCATGCTGCCCTTCCCCAACCCAGAGAGCTAATGTGTTAGGCAGTTGTGAGTGCCAGTGCTGGCTGCTATGTTGAATAGAAGTGGTGAAAGAGGGCATTCTTTTCTTGTGCCAGTTTTCACTGGAAATGCTTCCAGCTTTTGCCGTTCAGTATGATATGGGCTGTGGGTTTGTCACAGACGGCTCTTATTATTTTGAGGTATTTGCCTTTAATACCTAGTTACTAGGAGTTTTTAACATGCAGTGGTGTTAAAATTTATCAGAAGCCTTTTCTGCATGTATTGTGAAATGATGTATTTTTTGTCCTTAATTCTCTTTACGTGATGAATCACATTTATTGACTTGTGTATGTTGAACTATCCTTGCATTCCAGGGATAAAGCCTACTTGATCTTGATGGATAAGCTCTTTGATATGCTGCTGGATTTAGTTTGCCAGTATTTCATTGAAGATTTTTTCATCAAAGTTCATCAAGAATATTGGCCTAAAGTTTTCTCTTTTTCTGTTATGTCTTTGCCAGGTTTTGATATCAGAATGATACTGACCTCATAGAATGAGGTGGGGAGGAGTCCCTTCTCCTCAATTTTTTTGTAATAGCTTCAGCAAGAATGGTACCAGCTCTTCTTTGTACATCTGGTAGAATTCACCTGTGAATCCATCTGTTCCTGGGCTTTTTTTAGTTTGTAGGCTATTACTGACTCAATTTCAGAGCTTGTTATTGGTCTGTTTAGGGATTCAGTTCTTCCTGGTTCAGTCTTAAGAGGCTGTATGAATCCAGCAATTTATCCATTTCTTCTAGAGTTTTTATTTTATGTGCATAGATGTTCATAATATTCTCTGATGAGGTTGTTTGTATTTCTGTAGGATCAATGGTAATATCTCCCTTGTTTCTGATTGTGTTTATTTGAATCTTCTCTTTTCTTCTTTATTAGTCTAGCTAGCAGTCTATCTATTTTATAATTTTTTTTGAAAGACAGGTGTCTGGGTTTGTGGATTTTTTGAATGTTTTCTTCTCCCTTCATCTCTTTTAGTTCGTCTCTGATTTTGGTTATTTCTTGTCTTCTGCTAGTTTTGGTTGTGTTTGCTCTTGGTTATCTAGTTCTTTTAATTGTGATATTAGGTTGTTAATGTGAGATCTTTCTAACTTTTGATGTGGATATTTAGTGCTATAAATTTCCCTCTTAACACTCTGCCTTAGATGTGTCCCAGAGATTCTGGTCTGATGTATATTTGTTGTCATTAGTTTGAAAGAACTTCTTGACTTCTGCTTTAATTTCATTATTTACCTAAAAGTCATTCAAGAGAAGGTTATTCAATTTCCATGTAATTGCATAGTTTTAAGTAAATTTATTACTCTTGATTTCTAGTTTAATTGCACTGTGGTCTGACAGATTGTTTGTTATGATTTCAGTTCTTTTGCACTGGCTCTGAAGTGTTTTACTTCCAATTACATGATCAGTTTTAGAGTATGTGCAGATAAGAAGAATGTGTGTTCTGTTGGCTTTTGATGAAGAGTTCTGTAGATGTTTACCAGGTCCATTTGATCCAGTGCTGAGTTCAGGTCCTGAATATCTTTGTGATCTGTCTACTACTGTCAGTGGGGAATTAAAGTCTCTCACTACTATTGTGTGCAAATCTAAGTCTTTTTTAAGGTCTCTAAGAACTTGCTTTATGAATCTGGTTGCTCCTGTGTTGGTTGCATATATATTTAAGACAGTTAAATCTTCTTGTTGTGTTAAACCCTTTACTGTTATGCAATGTCCTTCTTTGTCTTTTTTTAATTTTGTTCACTTAAAGACTGTTTTGTCAGAAACTAGGATTGCAACCCCGTTTTCTTGGTAAATTTTTCTCCATCCCTTTATTTTGAGCCCATGTGTGTCATTTCACCCATCAAGAAATGGGTCTCTTGAAAGCAGCATACCAATGGGTCTTGGTTCATTATTCAGCTTGCCACTCTGTGTCTTTTAATTGGGAAATTTAGCCCATTTACATTCAAGGCTAGTATTGATATGTGTGGATTTGATCCTGTCATCATGATGTTGGCTGGTTATTTTGCAGAATTGTTTATGTGGTTGCTTTATAGTATCACTGGTCTTCCTTCAACAACTCTTGTAAGGCAGTTCTGGTGATAACAAATTCCCTCTGCATTTGTTTGTCTGAAAAGGATGTTATTTCTCCTCATTTATGAAGCTTAGTTTGACCAGATATAAAATTCTGGATTGGAATTTCTTTTAAGAAAGTTGGCTATAGGCTCCCAATCTCTTCTGTCTTCCAGGGTTTCAGCTGAGTGGTCTGCTGTTAGTCTGATGAGCTTCCCTTTGCAAATGGCCTGACCTTTCTTTCTAGCTGCCTTTAACATTTTTTCTTTCATTTCAACCTCAGAAAATTTGCTGATTGTGTGTCTTGCGGAGGATCTTTTTTGAAGTATCTTACAGGGTTCTCTGAATTTCCTGAATTTGAATGTTGGGCTCTCTATCTAGGTTGGGGAATTTCTCATGGATGATATCCTGAAATATGTTTTCCAAGTTGGTTTCATTCTCCCCATCTCTTTCAGACACACCAGTGAATCATAGATTTGGTATCTTTACATAATCCCACATTTCTCAGAGGTTTTGTTCATTTCTTGTCATTCTTTTTTCTCTATTATTGTCTGACTGTCTTATTTCAGAAAGCCAGTATTCAAACTCTGAGATTCTTTTCTTTGCTTGGTCTGTTCTGCCACTAATACTTGTAATTGCACTATGAAATTCTTGTAGTGTATTTTTTGGCTCTATTAGTCAGTTACATTATTTTCTATACTGGCTATTTTGTCAGTCAGTTTCTGCATTGTTTTATTATACTTTTTAGCTTCCTTGGATTGGGTTCCAAGGTACTCCTGTAATTCAACAATCTTCATTTCTATTCATATTTTGAATTCTATTTCTGTCATTTCAGCCATCTCAGCCTGGTTCAGAACCCTTGCTAGAGAGGTGATGCAGTTATTTGAAGAAAAGAAGACATTCTGGCTCTTTAAGTTGTCAGGGTTCCTTTGCTGATTCTTTTTCATCTTTGTGGGCTTATCTACCTTCAATCTTTGAGAGGGTCAACCTTTGGATTATTTTTCTTTTTTTTCTATTAGATGAAGTTTGGATTATTTTTCTTTTTTTTCTATTAGATGAATTTGAGGGTTTGATTCTCGTATAAGGTTGATTCAGCCAGCTGGACTTATTTCTGGAAGATTTTAGGGGGCCAATGCACAGCCCCCAACTCCTAGACTATATGTTTTAATTCTGGAAGATTTGTACTGGGTCCCAACTTTGTTCTCTGGTTTCTTAATGATAGGAATCCACTTCACTGGGGAAGGGGCCAAGGAGGTGCTCCCAGACTGCTGGTCACTGCACTCCAATGGGTGGTGTCAGCCAAGTGTTTCATAGTGCAGTGACAGTGGATCTAGTCTCATAGTAGCAGCTGTGGCAGAGTCCTAGTAGGTGCTGGACTGCCTGACTCCCTGTCAGTATTCACCACAATGGCAGAGGCAATGCAGCTGGAATAAGGGGTGAGGGGCTCCTTCTGGTGATTATGTGCATGGTTGTACTGGAGGTGGTGTTGGCTTGGAGGCAGGGTGCTTGTGGGCACAGTTCTAGATGGCTTCTCTGTGCCCAGCAAGCAAGAGTGGTCACTCAGGGTGAGGTAGGATCCCCTGTTCTCTGTGCAATGTTAACACAGAGTATGGTGCTGGTGGTGGCAGAGATGGCTGGCTCTGCTCACCAAGGCTTCACCTGCAATGGAATTTGGAGCGGGGAGCAGGGATGGAGCACAGACATACATATATACCACACAGACATACAGACAGCAAAGCAATGTGGGGAGTTGCTGTGGGCCAAGGGGAAGCTACAGCATAAGGAGGGAGCATGAAGGCTGGTACATGGTCACAGGAGCCAACCTGCAGGAGCTCTGCAAGTCAGGCATGTTTTATGAAGCAGAAGCTATGGTGTGGGCCCCGAGAGCACTCAAGACTGCCCTTCAAGCAAGCATGTCCAGGCTAGATCCCCAGGAGAGACCAGCAGACCAACAGGTGGTCAGGTCAGACCAGCCATGTCTGATGGGCAAGACTACCCTACAGAGTTCAGGTCCAACAGTTCCTTTAGGGCTAAAGGCTATGGGAACAAGTCAATGCTAGGGGGACGGCCCTTTCTGGCCATGGTCTGCTATGGCCATGCTCCTGCACCAAACCCTCTGGGCTCTACATCAGCTGCCTTGCTGCCCCTACCACTTCTCTAGGCTGCTCTCCCTGCTAATTTAAGTGTCCATGGTGGTTGAGGGGTCTCCTCATGCCGGGGTCCCAGAGGCCCATGGCAACAGTGGGTTGCTCCTTGCCAGTTTAACTCAATTATTCCTCCAGAGCCATTGGGGGCCAGAAATAAGTCCCAGTACTTGGTAGCCCCATGCAGCATTCCCAGCTTTCTCCCCCTTCAGCCCAGCTTTTGTGTCTTCCCTTTATCCACTCTTGGTGCCTTCCCTCTGAAGATCTGTTAGGAGCACGCCAGTTCTTATGGTACCTTGATGGGAGCTGTTTCACCTGGCTGCTCTAATCGGCCACCTTGTCCTCCTCCAAAAGTTATTTTCTAAATGCCCCCATGTGGCATGATTAACTTAAAATTTCAGCTCAAATATAACTTCTCAACAAAGTCTTCTGTAGTTTCCACTCTAAATCAGCACTTCTGATTTTACACATTCATAGTAAGTATGTTTTATTACATTTTACATATTTTTTCTTTTTGTTACAGAATATTGTTTTTATTTTAGTACCTACTGGTTTGCTCTTTAGACTTCATCCAGTTTTTACAGTAGAGCTATTTTTGGATTCCCTCACTATAATGGCATTAAATACGTTTCAGTTGAATGAAATAATGAATGAAAGAATGAATATGAGATCCTTGAAGGCTTTGATGAGCTTTTCTTTTACTTTGCCCCCACAAATGCCTAAAATATTGTCATCCATAACAAAGGGTCTTGATAAGTGTTATATAAATAAAATAAATCCAATCGGTGACCTAAAAAACTATGGGACACAGGTTTTATGCATGTTCTAGAACAACAAAAACTATGTAACATAGAACATTAGTTCCATGGAACATAATAAAATAGGTGTTAAATGTTTAAAGAATGATCCACTGGAAATTCTGCTTCATCGTAGCATGTATTTTGCATAGAATTCACCTTTTCAGTTAAAAACTACAAATTCTGAACAAGTTGTCTCTAAAAAGCAATAATTTAAAGGCCCTAAGAGTGATTAAACACAGACAAAGTTAAATAAATTCAACTCTTAAAAGATCAAAACCAAAGTCAGTTCCATGTTTATGCATCTATCCCATGCAGGGCACTTTCCATCAAAACACCTGAAACTCAAGCAAAATGATGCAGTCTTTCTGAATTAAATTGTGAGAGAAAAACTTCAGAACTTTCAGAGAGGCTTGAAAATGAGGAGGGAAATCCTGAAAAAGAGAATGGCACAGAGTGGGGAGCCCCAAAAATCTACATATTGGGTTGGTGCAAAATTAAATGCAGTTTTTTGTTATTACTTTTAATGGCAAAAACCACAATTAGTTTTTCACCAACCTAAAACAAACTTTAATTCTCAGCTGATGTCTGTATTGTGCATGTGTGGATGACATTATATGAAGTTCAGTGGAAATCAACAGCCAAAAACTTGAAAAAGTTTAGAAGGTATTTTAGCTGCTACTCACCGTAGAGGAGAACAAATTGGGTCCCAACAACGTAAAGAGCCTTGGTATTTGAAACGTCAGAGTCTTCCACTGAAACTCAAAAACAGCCATACCTCAGAAGTAAATGCTATGATCCAGAACTGAGAGATTTTTCTGCGAACAAAACAAGACATTCTTATAAAAGTAAGATAAGAATACCACAAGTTCAAGATAATCAACCTTCTATAACAAAAATAATTCTACAGAGGAGCATAACAGAACATATTATCTCTGTAAAGTATCATCTACTGTGTTCATTAAAATTATAAGACACATATTTAAAACCCAGAAAACTGGGATGCATAGTCAAGAGGAAAAAAAATCTATTGAAATAGACCCTGGGATTACTTAGTTTTTTTTTTTTTAATTTAGCAGAAAAAATGACAAAATACATTGAATAACTTTAAAGTGGGGGGTAGTCATAATTAAAACAAAAGGATGAATGGGAAATCTCAGAAGAGAAATTGAGACCCTTAAAATATAGAAATTCTAACACTTAAAAACTATACCAGAAACTTAAAAGTCACTGGATGAATTATTAACAAATGAGACACAGCACAGAAAGAATTAGTTAACTTGAAGACAGAGCAATAAAAAGTATACAAGCTAAAGAACAGATAGTAAAAGACTGAAAAAAGATTAACACATCTTCAGTAACCTGTGTGAATAATGTTAAGCAGTCTAGCATACATAAAATTGAAGTTCCAAAAAAATAAAAGTGATAATAGAACAAAAATAGTTAATCAATTAATAGACCAAATGTTTCAAAATTTGTTGGAAAAATATTAATTTTGAGATTCAAAAATCTCAGCAAATGAAACATTTTATAGTAAAATTTCTGAAAAAGATAATAAGAAAATCTTGACAGAAGCCAGAGAATAATACATTATATACAAGATAATAATAAAAATGGCAGATAACTTTTTGTCAAAAACAATAGAGTCAAGAAGGCAATAAAATGGTCTTTCAAGTAAAAGTGTGAATATTAAATATCCATCCAGCATTTTTTCTAGCAAAAATAAAATGAAAGATAAGACAAAGATATTTTCTAGTACACAAAACCAGAGAACTAATTACCAGCAGACCCATACTACAAAAAATGCTGTCTCTTAAGGATCTCTTATGAGGCTGGTCTAGTGGCAACACATTCCCTTAGCATTTACTTGTCTGGAAAATATTTCATTTTTCCTTCAAACCTCAGCATCACACAATATATCCATGTAACAAACTTGTACATGTACCTCCAGAATCTAAAATAAAAATTTGAAATTTTAAAAATAAAATAATATAAAAAATGAAATAGTGTAAACTTTACCAAAATATATAACAATGATCTATATTAAAACCTCTGAAACACTACTGAGAGAATTTTAAAATACCTAAATAAATGGAGAGGTGTACTATATTCATAGATTGAAAGACTCAACATTGTTAAGATATCATTTCCTCCAGATTGATCTGTAGACTCAATGCAATTTCAATCAACTTCCCAATAAATTTTTTAAAAATAAAAAATTTACACTGATTCTAAAACATGTGGGAAAAAAAAGCAAACCCAAAATCTAGCACAGAAATACACACACACATCCATATACATGTGTGTATATATATCTTACACTCAAATATATATATACTCAAATAACTATATATGCATTCATATATACATATATACACACATACGTACATATATACACACATATATGTACGGATATACAGCTATTTCATTTATACACACACACACACATACACACGTCCATATATATATATACACACACACATATGTGGATGTGTGTGTGTGTGTGTACAAATGAGAAAGCTGAAATACATTACCTTTTCTAAGATCTAGTATAAAACTAGTAAACTAATAATCAAATAGATAAATATAATAAAATAGAGAAACCAGAAATAAACCCATATAAAAACTACAGTCAGATGATTTTCATCAAAGAAGCCAATGCACTTCAATAGGGAAAAAATCTTTTTAACAAATGATGTGAAATAACTAAATGTCAGCATGCAAAAAAAAAAAAACCTCAACTTTTAGCTCACACCATGCACAAAAATTAATTTTAGGTGGATTGTAGACCTACAAGTTAAAGTTAAGTGTAAAAATCTTCTAGAAGAAAATGTGAGAAAAATTAGAAATATCCTTTTGATCTTAGGGTAAGCAAACATTTCTTAAAGAGAAGACCCAAAGAGGACCACAGATTGGCACACACATGCACATACACACACACATACACACACACATTTGAGTGTGTATATTTAACTATGTATGTGTGTATATATATATGTGTGTGTGTATATATGTATGTATGTGTGTGTATATATATGAGTATAGGATACATAATACATTTTTACAAATCATTAATAAAAGCACAAACAATTCAATTTAAAACTTTGAACACATTTCATAAAAGAAGGTATACTAACGGCCAGTATGCACATGAGAAGATACTCAAGATCATTAACCTTTGAGTAAGTGAAAGTGAGAACCACAATGATGCACCATTTTAAACTCAAGAATAGATAAGCTACACGAGACTGACAATACCAGATGTGAGTGAGAGTGTGGAAGAACTGGGCATTTCATACTTCGCTAAAGAGAGAATGTAAAATTGGTCATCCACTTACCAACCTGTTTCACATAGGCATTTATCCAAGATTAATGACAGCATAAATCCATAAAAATCGTTTCACAATATATTCAAAATGACTTTATTCATGATATCCAAAACTGAAAACAATGCAAATGTTCATCAACAGGAGAATGGATACAAACTCTAATATATTCATACAATGGAATGTTTTTCTAGCAACATAAATGAATGATATATAAATACATGCAACAATATATATGAATATTCAAAACATATATTGAATAAAAGAAAACAGAAATGAAAGGTTTCATACTGTATGATTCCATTTACATAAAATATAAGAACAGGCAAAATAATCTGTGGTAATCGTATTAGGCTGTTCTTGCATTACTATAATGAAATACGTGAGACTGGGTAATTTGTAAGAAAAGAGCCTTAATTGGCTCCCAGTTTTGCAGGCTGTATAGAAAGCATAGCTCCAGCATCAGCTTCTGGGCATGCCTCTAGAAGTTTACAATCATGGCGGAAGGTGAAGTAGGATTTTGCATGTCACATGGCAAAAGCAGGAGGCAGAGAAAGACAGGGAGGTGCCATACATTTTAAACAGCAGGCTCTCACGAGAAGTCACTCTGCCACGAGGAGAGCACCAACGGTATGGTTGTAAACCATTCATGAGAAATCCATCTTCATGATCCATTCACCTCCCACCAGGCCCCACCTCTAATACTGGTAATGACATTTCAACATGAGATTTTGGGTGGGGACAAATACACAAACTATATCATAATAGAAACCAGAACAGTAGTTTCTGATGACTGGAAGGTACAGTGTAAGAGTGAATTTTAGAGGGTCGATAGGAATGTGTTACATCTTGATTTGGGTGGTGATTACACAAGTGTATATATGTATCAAAACTTACTAAATTATACACTTATAGTCTGCGTGTTATACTGCATGTAAAATGTACTTCCATAAAAGTATTTAAAATTTTTTAAATGTATCTTTTATAAAAATTAGAATTGAAAATGCCAGATCTTCCAAAGTTAAGCATGTTCCTTTCCCGAAGGACTTTTCAGTACCTTCAAAAAGACAAATAAACATGGTTAAGTGTCTGTGAAAAAAATCTAGTCTTTATCACTGCCCTGAGTTATTTGTCTATAAAATTTTTTGTCCTTCCATAGCATTTTGAAGTACAAATAGTCTGCAGAAAATGCCTTTGGAAGTGCCGCTCAGATGGTGTCTTCCATCAGAAGCGATAGTTGCCTGGGCAACACTGTGTGGAGGAAAAATGCAAACTGACCACTCTGTCTGATAGGATCTAGTTTGGAAACCAATTTAACTTCAGTAATGAGAAATCCTAACCATCAAATTTTTGCAACTCATACATTTTTCACTACTGTAACACATGGTAGTAAATAATGTAGGACTGTTTCCTCTTTTACCAAGAACTTTTGGCCTATAAGTACAGATAGCACCAGACAATTATTGCATTTTGTATTTCCATTCATGGAAATTCAGCCAATTGTGATGTTCTTTAGAAGTGGACTTATTTATATTTAGATCATAAATGACATTGCATCCTTCAAGGCCCAACTCAAATGCCACCTTTATGAATTCTTCATAAAGCCTTTCCAGTACCTTAACAAACTGAAAACATATTTTCTTTCACTGAACACCTCTGTTTTGTGTTCTCATAGGGTTTGGCTCTATGTCCCCACCCAGATCTCGTCTTGATTTGTAATCCCCATAATCCCTATGTGTCAAGGGAGGGACAACGTGGGAGGTGATTGGATCATGGGGGCTGTATTAGTCTATTCCCGGGGTGCTATAAAGACATACCCAAGACTAGGTAATTTATAAAGGAAAGAGGTTTAATTGACTAACAGTTCAGCATGGCTGGGGAGTCCTCAGGAAACTTACAATCATGGCAGAAAGGGAAGCAAACACGTTCTTCTTCACGTGGTGGCAGCAAGGATAAGTGCAGAGTGAAGGGGGAAAATAACCCTTATAAAACTATCAGATCTCATGAGAACTCACCCACTCTCATGAGAACAGCATGGAGGTGGAGGTAACCACCCCCATGATTCAATTACCTTCCACCAGGTCCCTCCCATGACACAGGTGGATTATGAGAACCACAGTTCAAGATGAGATACGGATGAAGACACAGCCAAATCATATCAGGGGCAGTTTCTCCCATGCTGTTCTCAGGATAATGAGTGAGGTCTCATGAGATCTGATGGTTTCATAGGCAGTTTTCCCTGCTCCTGCCTGATCTCTCTTGCCTGCCATTATGTAAGACATGCCCCTTCCCCTTCCATCATGATTGTAAGTTTCCTGAGGCCTCCCCAGCCATGCAGAACTGTGAGTCAATCAAACCTCTTCACTTTATAAATTAACCAGTCTCAGGTATGTCTTTATAGCAGTGTGAAAACAGACTAATACATGGCCCTTATTATTTTCTGTCTTTTGTTGGCATTATTTGTATTGTTTACATATCCTACCACAGGACAGAAATTATAGCTTAATAATATCTCTCTTACACAAATATCTCATAGAATAAATTCTTAACACTTGTTGAAATAATAAATGAGCACTTGATATGGTCATTTTTATAGAGGAGCTTCAACCTCTGGAATCATAATGTTGCATTTCAAGAAATTACTTGTTCTACATCACTTTATAACATTAATTCTCCTGGGAGCAGCCCAAATAAAATTGAATGGCTGGTTATTTTCCTTACTGAACTCAACAAGCCACTTTATCCTAAGTGATAAGCCCTCTTCTGTTTCTAAAGATCAGTGACATAGCTTTATTATGTATGATTTTCCAAAAAGGTTCATTTTACATAAATTAATAGTAGTCAATAAATCAATAGATATTTACATAGCATTCATTTTGCAAATAACACTCGGGTAATGTGCATGACCAGGTATACTTACTAAATGGTTCAATTTGTGATACCATCAAACCTGAACAAATATAACCTGAATATTGCTCTTAGATATGTCAAAAAGCCTTTTATTTTTTTAAATAGGAATGTAGATGCATGGTTATGTTGGGCTAGTGAAATTACATATGCATAGTAGGGTATTCAAGGAGCAAAAATGTGGTTTTCAGCTAAAGTGAGAATATAATAATGGAAGGGATGACCTCTTCCATTTAACAGATGTGAGAAGTATGCCAGAAGAAGTGAGGGTAATGTGGGCAATGTCATTACATTAGTTAAGAAAAGAGCCTCATCTAGAACTTATATCTTTGACACTTGACCCAGGGATGTTAGAACTTGTTCACATTCTGTTTCCTTATAAAGAATTTATACTTACCATCAATTAACCAGTAAAATGTCTACGCACTTAAAAACTGAAGTTGTTTTACTTATGATTGTACTTTTTTGACCATACATGGCTTCTAATCACCTGGACATTGGTTTAAAGACAAACTAGGCTGAGCATGGTGGCTCACATCTGTAATACCAGCACTTTGGGAGGCCAAGGTGGGAGGATTGCTTCAGCCCAGGAATTTCAGACCCACCTGAGCAACATAAGGAGACCCTGTCTGTACAAAAAATACAAAAATTAGCTGGGCATGGTGGAGCACACCTGTAGTCCCAGCTATTCTGGAGGCTGAGGTGGGAGGATTGCTTGAGCCTGGGAGGTTGCAGTAAGCCCAGATTGCACCACTGCACTCCAGCCTAGGCAAGAGAGAAAGACCCTGTCTCAAGACAGAACCAAAAAAAAAAAAAAAAGACACTAAAATTGCAAACTTTAAAGTGGCAAAGTACTCTGTTAAAAAATATTTAAAGAGGCTTATCATTAATACACAGATAAAACAGAATTCCAAACAGTTAGTAAAAATCAGAAAAGAACATTCAAGAGATAAAGGATGAGGATGGTAGAAACATTACAAGAACCTATCACTTAGCAGTAATTACCAGTAAAGTAGGGAATTGAGTGTTTGAAAAATGGGGTAAAAATAAGATCTCTCATGTTTCTTTTCTACCTTGAATTCTGTATGCTAGTATTATCTATTTAAAACATAAAAGTCAAAATTAATTAGCATTTTAAGTATTTTTAAATGAATAAATGTGTAACTTGTCCCTGAAAATCTACAATAATTAACTGCATCTTGGTCTGGACTAGGTAGCAAGTGAAAACATGGAAACACTGTATCTAACACAACTAACAAGTATCTAGGCATTTGATAATGATATTTCTTTGTCCATTAATGCTTTTCTTTTTCCCACTCCCATCAATTGGGCCCACTTTACAAACCCTAGTTTAATCCTCACCACATTCATGTCTTTGATGATTCCTCCAGTTCTCATGAAAACTTATTTCTCTAAATTCCAACAGACCTTGAAGTGTGCACCATACACAATTGGCTCCTTCCTACACTCAAACATCATTCCTTTTTCTTTATTCTCCTTTAAGCACATTGGCTTTTTTCTGTTTTACAAATGAGCTTGGCTCATTTCCATCTCAGGGATTGGTCCTTAATTTTCCCTCGGTGTTAAATCTGTCTTTCCACATCTCCACGTGGCTGGCTCCTTCTTGACTCAGGGCAAAGCTCAAATATTACCACTTTGGCAAGACTATCTGGACCACCCAATTTAAAGTAACATTTCTCCCATCATTCTCCATCATGATTTTTCCGTCAATATCATATTTCCCTGTTTTATTTTCCTTTTAGGACTTACTACCTGAAATTATCTTTATAACATCTGCATGTACTTATTTATTTTGCTTTTTTCTACCATAAGCATGATGTACCATAAGCACAATGTATCTTACTCACCACTGTAGTGCTAGCTCCTAATATTGTGACCAGCACATAATAGATGCTTGATAAATATTTACCAAATGAATATCCTGAATTACATTCTGCCTTGTACTACTTGCTGATTATTTCATTCCTTATCTCTCAAACTAAATTGCAACTTTCCTATGGCTAAGAACCATGCTACATATTCTGTCTGCCTCCCCTACCGCTTGTAGCAAAGATCTAGGCAGATCTGCACTCAAAAATGACTGATTGATTGATTCAGATTATGGCTGTTACACAAGATAGTAGATGGAAGAGAAATACAAACAGATGATCTTAGAGGGGCTTGTGAATGCTGTAATGTAACAGCCTTCACAAGTCTAGAATTGGTAATGAGGCAACTCATCACCTGACACAGAGGCAGTAAACACCTTTCCTCTGCAGTACCCACCAAAGCCCAAATGTCAATACCAGTTAATATCTGAGGTTGCATAGTTCTCCAGAGAGTTTTTACTAAAGGGATAAAGTAATGCATTAAAATGTAAATTTTGCTATTCTGGCTGCTTTGCATTTAGGGAACATCTTTCTTCCAAGGAGCTCAAATAAGTGGTAACAACTCTATTTAACATAAAATACAGTATACATCTCACACAGTCCAAATGAATTGAAATTAAAACTCGTGGGAGTTGTTCTAAAAATCTCTCTTGGCAGCATGGCATACAAATTTGGAAGGAAAAAAAGAGAATACAGTTATTGGAAATGAAAGTTAGGTTGCTCACTTTGTCTCTGAAATTTAAATTCTCAGTAGTCCAGAGGAGAGGCTAAGGTGGTATACGAACAATACTTTCATTTCTGCCACAGGGGTTCACACTTACTCTACTGAGAAAGATAAAAATTTATATCAGACCAAAGTGAAAAATACTTTCTTAAAATTACCCAAGTAAACAATGCTAGTAATTGTGTGGGAAGAAGTTATATAGTTTATTCAAATATTCAACAAACATTTACTGAGCACCTACTATGTAAATGCCAGGCTATAACCATGAAATCTTGAAACAAATCTGCCTTCACAGTTTGATTAGGAAGATAGCTGCATAAAAAATTATCTGCAATACAATAAACAGAATTCTGATGGAGGTAAGGACAGTGGAAGTACATAGGAAAGACACCTAATCCTGTTCTAGAAGATCAGAAAAGTCTCTTCAAGGATATAATATCTCAGTTGAAGCATGAAGGATTAGAAGAACTCTGCCAGATTAATAGAAGTTTCAGACCCAAAGAACAAAATTTACATAGGCCTAGTGTATTAGTCCATTCTCACTCTTCTAATAAATATATACCAGAGACTAGGTAATTTATAGAGGAAAGAGGTTTAATTGACTCACAGTTCAGCATGGCTACGGAGGCCTCAGAAAACTTAAAATCATGGTGGACAAGGAAGCAAACATACCTCTCTTCACAAGCTGGCAGGAGAGAGAAGTGCCAAGTGAAGCGGGGAAGCCCCTTATAAAACCATCAGATATCATGAGAATTTGAGAACAGCATAAGGGTAACTGCCCCCATGATTCAATTACCTCCCACTGGGATCCTCCCACCACAGGTGGGGATTATTGGAACTACAATTCAGGATGAGATTTGGGTGGGGACAGAGCCAAACCATATCATTCTGCCCCGGCCCCTCTCAAATTTCATGTCTTCACATTTCAAAACACCGTCATCCCTTTCTAACAAGCTCCCAAAGTCTTAGTTCATTCCAGCATTAACCGAGAAGTCCACATCCAAAGTCTCATCTGATACCAGGCAATTCCCTTCCATCTATGAGCCTATAAAATCAAAAGCAAGTTAGTTACTTCCTAGATACAATGGAGCTACAGACATTGGGTAAATTCACCCATTCCAAATGAGAGAAATTAGCCAAAACAAAAGGGCTACAGGCCCCATGCAAGTCCAAAATCCAATAGGGCAGCCTTAAACCTTAAAGTCCCAAAATAATCTCCATTGACTCCATGTCTCACATCCACATCACACTGATGCAAGAAATGGGCTCCCATGGCCTTGGGAAGTGCCACCCCTGTGGCTTTGCAGGGTACAGCCCCCCTCCCGCCTACTTTCATGGGCTGATGTTGAGTGTCTGTGGCTTTTCTAGGTGCACAACAGAAGCTGTAAGTGAATCTACCATTCTGCGGTCTGGAGGATGGTGGCCCTCTTCTCAAAATTCTGAGGTTCTCCATCATGGCTCCACCCCTGTAGCAGACTTTTGCCTAGACATCCAGGCATTTCCATACATTCTCTGAAATCTAAATGGAGGTTCCCAAACCTCAATTCTTGACTTCTGTGCACCCACAAGCTGAATATAACATGAAATTCCCCAAGGCTTGGGGTTTGCACCCTCTGAAGCAATGGCCTGAGCTGTATGTTGGCCCCTTTTAGCCACTGCTAGAGATGAAGCAGCTGGGACTCAGGGCTGCATAGAGCAGAGAGGCCCGTGGCCTGGCCACATCCCAAGGCTGCATAGAGCAGAAGGATCGCATGGCCTGGCCCTGGAAACCATTTTTTCCACCTAGGCTTCCAGTTTTATGATGGAAGGGGCTGCTGTGAAGGTCTCTGACATGCCCTGGAGATATTTTCCCCATTGTCTTGGTGATTAACATTCAACTCCTCATTACTTATGCAAATTTCTGTAGAGGGCTTACATTTCTCCCTAGAAAATGTTTTGTTTTTTTTTTTTTTCTATTGCATCATCAGGCTGCAGATTTTTCAAACCTTTATGCTCTGCTTCTTCTTGAACACTTTGCTGCTTACAAATTTTTTCCACCAGATACCCTAAATCATCTCTCTCAAGTTCAAAGTTCCACAGATCTCTAGGGCAGGGGCAAAATGCCACCAGTCTCTTTGCTAAAACATAGCAAGACTCATCTTTGCTCAAGTTCCCAAGAAGTTCCTCATCTCCATCTGAGCCCACCTCAGCCTGGATTTCATTGTCCATATCACTATCAGCACTTTGGTCATTGCCATCCAACAAGTCTCTAGAGGTTTCAAACTTTCCCACATTTTCCTGTCTTCTTCTGGGCCCTTCAAACTGTTCCGACCTCTGTCTGTTACCCAGCTCCAAAGTTGCTTCCACATTTTCAGGTATCTTTATAGCAGCACCCCACTCTCTGTGGTACCAATTTACTGTATTAGCCCATTCTCACGCTGCCAATAAAGACATACTTGAGACTGGGTAATTTATAAAGAAAAAAGGTTTAATTGATTCACAGTTCAGCATGGCTGGGGAGGCCTCAGGAAACTTACAATCATGACAGAAAGGGAAGCAAACATGTCTTCTTCACAAGGCAGCAGGAGAGAGAAGTACTGAGTGAAGGAGGGAAGCCAGTTATAAAACCATCAGCTCTTGGGGGAACTCACTATCAAGAGAACAGCATGAGAGTAACCACCTCCATGATTCAATTATCTCCCACCGGGTCTCTCTCAGGAAATGTGAGGATTATGGTAACTACAAATCAAGATGAGATTTGGGTGAGGATACAGACAAACCATATCACCTGGACACAGAGAGCGTATGTAGTAAAAAGGGCATTTAAGTAAATAATATAACAGAATTGCAGAGGACACAATGCACTCTGAAAACAGTCACAATTTGATCTGTAATTGTAACTAGCTTTAATAGGACATACCAAAAATAGACATCACATAATGAAAGAGAAAGAAAGAGAGAGGGAGGAGAGAGAGAGAAAGAAAGAGAGAGGGAAAGAAGGAAGAAAGGAAGGAAGGAAGGAAGGAGTCTACATGCTCTCTAGCCAATCAAATAACAGTATCCAGAAAACATGAACACGAATGTTCTTCCAAGTAAACTATTTAAATATTCTCCTTTCCATCTTGTCCTGCATTCTAATGCAGCCAATGGCATGAATCCACATTGTCCAGTGACATAGTCTGACTCTATTTTGTCCTCAAACACTTTGTTTCTGTGTCAAAGCTCATTTGTCCAGCTGAGGGCTTTAATCTCCTGCTCCATCCCCTTCTCCCCATTGCACCTTGCTACTTTACCTGGCGAAGCACCAAACCCAAACTTCTCACCAAGAGGAGCTTCAGTTATTTGATTTCTACTAATATGTGAGATTAATGTGTAGTGTTCTGTGAATCTGGTATAATCCATCACACAATCAGATGCTGGCCTTCCCTTAATGAATGTATAATAGAGAATGACATTATCCATTAAGTGAGAATAAGATGGAGCAGGCACATAGCTGAGTAAAGGCCAACACCATGAGGAGCCATGTGTAGATCCTTTGATTTCAGAACTAAAGCCCAAATGTCATGCTCTTCAGGGGAAATATAACTTGGCGGGGTCCACTCTGTCAGGACAAGTGTCAGTGAAGCACCTCGGTGTGGGAACTGAGTAGCCTGGCTTTGGGTTTTTAAAAGAAAAAACTCTAGGCAAATTAAATTTAGCAGAGTTTAATTGAGCAAAGAATGATTCAAGCATCGGGCAGCCTCCAGAACAAGAATAGGTTCAGAGAGGCTGTAGGGCTGACACATGGTCTGGTAACATTTATGGACAGAAAAGGGAAAGCAAACTACAGAAAATGGAAATGAATTGCAGAAACAGCTGGATTGCTGACAGCTGGCGTTTGCCTTATTTGAACCTGGTTTGAACAGTTAGCTGCCTGTAATTGACTGAAACTCAGCTGCTGTGATTGGCTGAGATTCAACTACTTACACAAAGTATATAACAAACTATTTACACATCAAGTTAGGTTTCAGTTCACTGTGTACAGAGAAATCTTTAAACTTAAAATACGTGTGGAGAAAATTTTAGGCCAAATTTAATTCAATTTAACAGGGTTAAGTCTGTCTTGGGGAGACTGCATGAGGAAGAAGTGAAATTCTGTGCATTGTGTTTGTTGGTAAACCAGGCTAAAACATTTGCAGACATACATTAAAAACCACCAGATTTAATAATATTGTCTAAAATACTTAAGACAGTCAGGACACTTTTACACTGTTGGTGGGACTGTAAACTAGTTCAACCATTGTGGAAGTCAGTGTGGCGATTCCTCAGGGATCTAGAACTAGAAATACCATTTGACCCAGCCATCCCATTACTGGGTATATACCCAAAGGATTATAAATCATGCTGCTATAAAGACACATGTACATGTATGTTTATAGCGGCACTATTCACAATAGCAAAGACTTGGAACCAACCTAAACGTCCAACAATGATAGACTGGATTAAGAAAATTTGGCACATATACACCATGGAATACTATGCAGCCATAAAAAAATGATGAGTTCATGTCCTTTGTAGGGACATGGATGAAACTGGAAACCATCATTCTCAGCAAAATATCACAAGGACAAAAAAACCAAACACTGCATGTTCTCACTCATAGGTGGGAATTGAACAATGAGAACACATGGACACAGGAGGGGGAACATCACACACCAGGGACTGTTGTGGGGTCGGGGGAGGGGGAGGGATAGCATTAGGTGATATACCTAATGCTAAATGACAAGTTAATGGGTGCAGCACACCAACATGGCACATGTATACATATGTAACAAACCTGCATGTTATGCACATGTACCCTAAAACTTAAAGTATAACAATAATAAAATAAAGTAAAATAAATATATGTTCCAAATTATAACTATAGTAAATACTGGCACTAGGAATGGAGCCTTGATCATCTGACTCTGGAACTTGTGTTAATCCCATTTGAACCTGTAAATAACTCTGTGGATTAAGAACAAAGATTATTTCCATTTTATGGAGGAGTGGCAGAAAAGTGTGGTGGTTAGGAGAGCAAATGTAAGTGTTAGAAGAGTCCATTTTGATTCTGGCTCTGTCGTTTATCAGTTGTGAATTTGGGAAAGGTATCTAACTCCTCTGAGATTTACAACGTCCTCAAATATCAAGATGTAGAGAACACTTAATCTCTTAGGGCCTCTCTGTCTTTGCCATCATCATCATGGTTATTACGTATTTTGGGTTTTCTCATCTTAATTTTTTCTCCTACCTGAAATTGCCATGTTATTCCCCTTAAACCCTTAGATTAAGAGATGGCTGCAATGTACTACTATGCTGCTAATAGTAAATATTTATTGTACACTTACTATATGCCAAGTGCTTTTAGTGCATTATCTCATTCAATCTTTACAACCCCTCCACGAGATAAATACTGGTGTCATCTATAATTTATAGCTAGAAACAGAACTCGCCTAGAACTGGACATTGCTGATTTCACTTCCCCTTTTCCTGCCCACCACCCTGACTGCCAACTGACTTCGGAACTCCAAAAAGGCATCCATGAAAACGACAGGAATTGCCTGCAGGAAATTCAATGCTCCAGGAGTTTGACACTAAAAAGACTGGGAACTGTCCACCAACTGGTGCTACCGAGAATAGTGGTTGTTGAAAGGAATTTCGGCTCTATCCCAACTTAATTTTCCTCAGGGATGTGTCAATTACCTCCAAGTCCTCTTCAGAAGGGTAGCCGGAAAAACAGTGAAACCAAGTAACTCACCTGAGAACAAGCCGGGAGTAGTGCAAAGGAATCAACCAGACTTTTAATTTATTACAAAGTCCAGCCACTCCATTTGCTTTCTAACAACCTTGTTGCGTGGTATTGAGTAAAAGATGCTATAAAGGACGAACACGTTTGGAAGTAATAATAATCTGATGTTATGCAACATAATTTTCTCCACATTTGTTGTTATTTTTCTGATAATAAATTTCATACATTTTATTGGAAAACCACAAAAAAAACAAAAAAGACAGGAGAGGCAATGCAATGAGGTGTAAAGAACCCATGGCTTGGAGTCATGGAGCCTGGACCCCAGTTCCAGCTCAGCCAGCCACTCATGTTAAAATCTGAGCTTTATTTCCTCCAACCAGATAGTCACTAAGTTACCTTCTGGTGCTGACATTCAATGACTAGCTTATCAATCTTTGCCACAGTCATATATCTCCCTTACTACCTTCTGGGCTTCAAAGTACTACCTCTTCTTCACTTGCCTGAATTGTTGTGTCTTCTTGGGAGCCAGAATAAGAAACAAAAGCAGAAATGATTCTGGAAAACAGAAACTTGGTTAAGTATATCAACCACGTGATGTCCACCAACATTACGGGCAGATTTACAAGACCGCTTAATACTAGTTCAAAGGAACAAATGTTTACGAAGCTTTATATATAATTAAGCACACTTTCATCAAATTTTCCTCACCATTGTAATAACAACCAACATCCTCTAATAAGCTACTGGGACATTATTAGATGTGAAGATAATTGAGCCTGAAAATGCAGGTTCATTGTTCAGCAGACCTATTTGTTCTTCATAATCTCATGGGATCCTTGGCAATATTTTGATGTTTTATTATCTACAGTACTAGTAACTAGAGTCCTAACAGTTAGGGGATGAACTCTTAGCTTTCAGGCTGTAATTTGCCTGTGAACCAAAGGTGTCCCAAAGCCTAAAATGTAAGAATGACATTTACATTTTTCACAGATTGTAAAAAAAAAAAAAAAAAAGTGACAGAGAGACAGAGATAGTATTTGTCCTATAAAGCCTAAAATATTTACTCTCTGGTTCTTTGCAGTAAATAAAAGTTTGCCAAGCCTTGAACTAGACTAAATATGAGACTTCCATTACTTAAACCTTAATAGATAAAAAGCTAGGGACTTCTTTTATACTTCACCCTAATTTCTGAGCAGATAACTAAAATATCCCCCTTAAGGTAAAGTTCCCTGAGATTCTGTCTTGAAACACAGAAAGAATAAATGCTATGGAAGCAAGACACAATAGGAAAATTCAGATTGGAGACTCAATAACACGGGTGGAGGATGAAGACTAATTACTAAGGTGAAGAGAAGCAGAAGAAAATTCTCAGGAGACAGAAGACAGGGAATTTGAAAAAAACCACATGGTCCAGCTAAAGGTCAGAGTGCAAAGTGAGTAATAAGAAAAATTAAGGCTACATAAGTAAATACAGGTTAGAAATGAAAGAACTTATACACAGAAAAATGTCTAGATATTATACTAAGGGCACTGGGGAGCAACTGCAATGATAGTCTACTGCTATTCTTAATACCTACCACTAAGCCCAGAGCACCCTCCAGACAAATGAGTCAGACCCCTATCCTGAATGTGAGACTATAATGGAAGTTATTGAGTGGAGAACAGGGGATGTTATTAGATCTCAGGTCCACAAGAATTCTAAGATCTATAAAGCATCCATTTCCCTCTACATGTTCCGAAGGCCCCCAGATGACTTCAGACATTTCAGGTAGAATTAGGGATATCAGTAAAAAGTACTCTGAAAATAAAAATCTGAGACTCAGGAGAATCTCCCAGGGTAACATATTTTGACAAAACACACGCCAAAAGAAATAGCATGTTGCTTGCTGTCAAGGAATGGTTATCATATTGTCCACTGAGGGACCAGAAGAAATAAGTTATCTCATTTATCATGTGTCTAGGTAGGGGGAAATAAAAAAAAACTTTACTCAACAAACTGCAGGGTCAAAATACATTGCATCTTGCATCTTGCAATTTTCTTCCAGATTGTAGAATAAACACCTGTTTTGACAATGCTTCTGCAAACTCCTCTGCAAAATGCATCATTCTGCTCTGAGAGCTAACTAGTCATCTACAAAGCTCTGCAGGGACCCTGGGAGAGAAGATAGGAAAAGAGAGAGACAAGAAGACACCCACCTGCACTTTTGTGAAAGCCTTTAGGAAATCATGAGCCTGGATTCTGGTGCCAGATGCCAAGAAATAGTAGGTCCAAAGTTATGAATTGTGCCTGCCATTGGTTAAAATGGTCAGAGAAGCGAAAACTGAGTTTCCATGCCCTATGGGAGCCAAAGCAGCAAGGATGTCTGAGAACCACCAAATGTAGTTGTGGCGGGAATATATTAGGGAATGAAACTGAAGGATACATCATGCCTGATCCCTTCAGATGAGCAAGAATGCAATGGTGTGAGGCGATGGCTGGTGAAATAATTTAATGGGTCAATTACTTCTCAAAGGGGCTAGAGTTTGAAATGAACTTTGCATACCTCTTGTGCATTACTTAAATCCCCATGGCCTCATCTTTTCTCTAGCCATGGCAGGGACCAGAATCAGGCAAGCTTCAACCAGCTTCAAACAGTGTCACCTGGCAGTACTTCAACTCAGTCTGTACTGCCCATCTTCTACTCCCTGGGATCCCTCAGGGAACAACTGGGCACTCACTCACATGCCATGCAAAATACAGAAGATTTCATGTCCCCTGGGGCAACTGTTGGCCAAAGAATGGGGCACAATTGCCCACGTATCATTATTTCCCCCTCGCCTCTTTTAGATGAACGTTTCTGAGTTTTATTTTATCCAGCTCCTCAGAAACTTTTTCAGAGTCAATTACCAGTTGATTGTAGCAGTGGCCAAATCAGTAACATACCTTTCTGAAGGCCTCCCCTACCTCCCCTGTTTTCACTCCTGTCTCTCATGCCTGCCTTCTATGATCACATCCCTAAACCCTCTGCATACCAGTTTTCCCCCAGTCTCTGCCTTCAGGGGAAGCATGAGAGGATAAGACAGGGGCCATTTTGGAGTTGTGATCCACAGGACTCTTAGTTTATTTATTAATTCAACATATACTTACTCTGTTTCTACTATGCACTTGGCCCTTTTCTAGGTGGTGAGGACATAGCAACAAACAATGTTCCTGTTCACGTGGAGCTTGCATCCAAGTGGGAGAGACAAATAGTAAGCAAGTAAAAGAGTAAACGAGGACATTTCAGAGAATGACGAAACCAAGAAGAAAACAAAACATGTGAATGTGATAGGGAGAAGAATGCGTGAGAGGAGTGTGGCTTTTTAGAAGGAAGGAAGGAAGTCTTTCCTCAAGAGGGGACATTTTAGCTCCACCCTAAACTTCAAGAATTAGTCTTGAGAGGATCATATAGAAAAAGGTTTCAGGGAAAAGGAGCAGTAATTATGGAATCTTTGAGTGAAGAAAAAACTTGATATATTCTGGAGATGTGCCTGGGATCCACTGAGCAAGTGAGAGATTCACATGTCCTGAGATTGGAGAAGTGGAGGGCTAACCCAAGTGGCCAACACCAGACTGTACCCAGAATTACTCCTCCTCTCAAATCTCCCATATATTCTTACTGGGTCAAGTTTATCATTTCTGTACTCTTCCTCTGGGAGGAGTTTTCTTCTTACTCGTTATCTAGAGGATAGTCTGTGGAGCCCTCACTATGAGTTTCCTCAATGTGGTGATAGAAAATGAGATGGAGTTGATTACATGGGGGTTGGAAATCCAGCATCAAAGCCACTCCTGGTTAAGAAGGTGGTACACAGAAAAGAGTCATAGAAAATAAATTAATATATATAAATCACATATCAGAAAAGGATTCTGAGAAGTTCAAAGGTTCATTTCTATATCCTGCTAAAACAATACCAGAGCTCATGCAAAATTATATGCTCTTCTTCTTAAGAACAAGGAAATTCTGTCACTCCATCCAGAATCTTCACTTTCTCAAAAATTCCAACTGAATCTAACATAAATACCTCCTTTTATCAGCAAAATGGTACAATGGACCATTTACCCTCTATATAGATATAGAATTCTATTTCTAATTTGTAATAACTAACCCTACAGAGATCTTTTTCCCTCTCATCCCCTCATCTCCCAGGGCTCCTGCATTAATTACTCCGTTTTCATGCTGCCGAGAAAGACATACCCAAGACTGGCCCATTTACAAAAGAAAGATGTTTATTGGACTTACAGTTGCACATGGCTGGTGAGGCCTCACAATCATGGCAGAAGGCAAGGAGGAGCAAGTCACATCTTACGTAGATGGTGGCAGGCAAAGAGAGAGAGATTGTTCAGGGAAATTCCCCCTGGTAGAACCAACGTACCTCATGAGACTTTTTCACTGTAACAGAACAGCACAGGAAAGACCTGCTCCCATTATTCAATTACCTCCCACTCGGTACCTCCGATAACACATAGGAATTCAAAATGAGATTTGGATGGGGACACAGCCAAACCATATTATCTCCACACCCTCACACTGTCCTTCCTTTCCCCAATTTTATTTAATACTGGGTTTCTGGACCTTTATTGGATAATGGCTAGAAGTGTTAGCCCTGATCAAATTCAGGCATCAGTCATTATGCAAGTGATGACTATTTTTTGAGATATCCGTACATAGTTGTATATTCTACAAATGTGTACAACTAGTCCTGATCTCAGAGAGACAGACCAAAATAATATAAAATAAATCCTTTTCCTCTTAAAATTTTTCTCCCATCCAGACCTCAGAGACGCCAAGTGTGTAACAGTGTGCTTCAGGCTGAGGAAAGTTCAGGATCCCCAATCAAACTTTTCTTCTTCCCATCGTCTGAGAGAAACTTTTCCTCATTCCCATTTGAATTGTTAATCCTCTCCTGTTGCTGTTGGCAGAAACATATATCTTGTGTCATTTTGATAAAGTTGTGCATTTAATGTTCCTACAGTTAAGTGAGAGGGGAAAAAAATCTAACATTTTTAAAATGAGGCAATTCAAGCAGCAGAGAGAACACGATGTCGAATGACTAATTCCGAGGTAGCAGGTTACCCCCAGGAACATACATCATTTTCCAGCATGCAGAAAATAACAGGCATTTTTCATTTTTCTCCTCAGCGCACACATTTGGTTTTATCCACCAGTCTGTGGGAAGGAGGGTGTCTGGCTTTGTTTCTTTGGACCATCTGATGCTAGAGAAGAGGTATACTTTCCAAGCCTTTCTCTTCCAAAGCAAGGAAACACATTGAGACTCTGAAACTCACTACCCTACCATCAACCATGACCTGGGACAGAATTTCAAAGCATTCCTTCCTGGGATAATCAAAGAAAACATTAGGGCTATGAGGAACCTAATGAGGCCATGTCTAAAGCCAGTGCCATTTTTCCCAATAATAGGAAAGGCAGCAGCAAAGGATGCCTCCCAGGGATTCACCACTGTCTGGTGGGTGTAATTACCACCAGACAGCCTCCCTCCCACCACTTAGACTCTGAAAAGAGCCAGAAAATACAGATATCCAAGGATCACTTCTTAGTTATCCATCCCCAGACAGAAGCCCTACTGCCGTTGTCACGTGCTTGAAGGGATACAGCCAAGAACTAGAAACTTAAATCACGCAGTTGAAATTTCAAGGACCTAAAAATGTGAATTTTTGAACTGAGATTTTGCAAGTTCTAGAATCTAGGATTTCTTTTTTTTTTTTCTTTTCCATTTAGACCCCTAGCCCATTATCCTTGGTAAAATATGAATAAAGAGGGTAGATCTCATGTTAAGTGTTCTTACCACAATCAAATAAAACTAATCAAGTTAAGAAGGAGAGTATGGAATTTTCCCTAAGGTAAATGAAGAACTTCCTCTGCAGTATTTTCATAGAATCATCTATTAATCCGGTGTTCAAATAATAATTTCAATTAGTGAACTCCTACCATGTGTCAAGACTGTGATATAGATTTTGAAATGCATTAGATCCTTATAACAGCTCTATGATGAAGATTTTTCCTTTAGTGTAACAAGCTCACCTCTTTCCGCTAGCAGCCACCATCCCTGGAGAATGTTAGCTTGTGTGAGGACTCCCTCTTTGCCTTCTTTACTCATATATATCCTCCACCTCCTGCTCAGCCCATCCCACCATTACAGATGAGACACTTTGGTCAAATGATTGCTCAGACTATGGACTTGATGTGCACATTTATCTAAAGTAGCAATTTGTGTTTTTGTTATGTATGTGTTTGATTTTTGCACTGTCTCTCGAACATTTAGTCTATGCATGGCATTCTGCTAAATTTAGTAATGTGAGACAGTGCTATTATTCTCACAGACAGAGGAGGAAACTGAAGCTCTTTCCCTCTCGCTACTTCGAACACTATTTGCCTGGGTAACTACTATCAGTTGTATGATCTTATTCAGAAAAGTCTTTCCTAACATCACCCACCCACCCCCGTTGCTTCTAAGTTATAGCCACAACCATAGTTGATTATTCATATTATTTGTTTAGTTATCTGCTTCTTCCATGTGAGGCGCCTTATTCATCACCTTTCATCCATAAAATTTGTGAAAAACAGAAGAGTTTACAAATCATTTTCACATGCTTTATTTTAACACATGGATGGGACAGATATGACCATTCACATTGTTAGAAGAATTGGACATGGACTCAGAGAGGAAAGTGATTTTCCCAAAGATGCAGAGACTTTTTCTCAAGTGTCCTAAGCAAAACTGGCTTTTCTTGAGTGGGTAAAAGCTAAGGGAAGCTGTATGCTCCTTGGACTGGTAGATTCATCAAGACTCAGCACATTTTATCTTAAGCAGAGATACTTAAGCACTCATACTACAAAGGTGACCAAATACTTCTGAAACTTTAGGATTGTTTATATATGAAACATGTGCCCTTGGATTTAGGGCAAAAACTGAATTTATGCCAGGGACACATTATAGATTTGGTTTGAATCAGATCCAGGAAAATTGTAAAGGAAAATTAAAATGCTCACTGTACCAAAATCTGTGCTGTAGAGCAGGTCTCCTTGTTTGGAATCCCTTTTCCAATTCTCACTGGGTGTGTGACCTTGAAAAAATGTTTAACCTCTCTGAGTCTCTACAAGATAAGTTTTCTTATCTTCACAATAGATATATTAGTGTGCACCTGATGAGCCTACAGATAGGATTATATGCAATAATGCATTTAATGGGTTTAGCATAGTGTCTGCCATATGTGAGTTGACACTGAAAGTCAGATGCCTGATAGTGAGGATCACAATGTGAGGAGGAGCAGGCACAACAGACTGAATCGATGTCATATGTTTTATCCTGGTTTATTTCAGGTAAGTCTTTTCAAGGACATATGAATGAGCAGCAAAGGATTCAAAATGACCTTGCTGAGCCATCCAGATACTATACACTGAGGAAGGGGTTTTGTCAAAGGGAAATTAGAGTCCAAAGACCAACTCCTCAGTGCTTGCCTTGGGATTAGGTGGTAGAACTAGGATTTGGACCCACTTCCTTGAGCCACTAGACCCACACATGCTCTTTTTAATGTAAACTTCTTCCCTTAGAAGGTAGAGCTTTCCTAGGGGAATGCAAATGAGAAGAAATCTCAAAAGGTCCAAACACTGTGAGGAGTCACTGGGGAACCAAACTCTTCTAAGGTGGATCCAGAGTGTCCAATCTCCTTTTTCTGATTATAAGGAAAAGCCCATAGCTTTGAAAGTAGTTTTAAAAGGGACCAGTGCCAGGTGTGATGGCTCATGTCTGTAACCCCAGCACTTTGGGAGACTGAGGTGGGAAGATAGCTTGAGCCCAGGAGTTCAAGGCCAGCCTGGGCAACATAGTGAGACCCCATTTCCTTATTAAAAATAATTAAAAATTTTAGAAAAAAAATTGTAAAAGAAGACGGGGGCAAATGCTTGAATGCCTGCTTCCCCCATGCACAGTAGCCAGTATGAAGAATGGGGCCTGGTTCGGAGGTCTCCCCATGCTGGCCCTATCCCTTCTAAGCCTGTTCCTACTCCCATGAAGAACAGAACTCAATTCCCCTTCCCAGGCTCAAAACACCTGCACTCAGACCTACTGGGTAAAAGAAGGAAAGTTTATATTGGGTTTGCTATGTACCAGGAGCTATACTAACACTTAACATGTGTCATTTTATTTAATCCTCTCACAAATCCTACGACATGGGTGTTATTATCCCTGATTTACAGATTGGGAAACTGAAGTCAGCAGGATTGGGTACATCTCCAGTGTCATTCAAATGAGAATTGGGGGATCCTAGCTCCAAAACCAGGTCTATCAGACTCAAAATCTATATGTAATATAGTACTGTCTCACCCTGAAGAGAAACTCCTCAAGAGACTGCATCTTCATAACAGCCAATGTTAGCTCGCAGGAAAGTTAAATCGATCTAGATCCTTTTTATTAGGACAGTGCATCTTTTCTGGGAACAAGGTTGGTCTTTTAAACTGCCAAAGCACTAACGCCAAGAGAAATGTGTGTACCAAACCATCTCATTTGTAGATGGCAGCCACCCTGATTTGAAGCGGATTAAATATCAACAACGGCACCTGTGACTTCTATGATCTCTGAAGGCTGGCAGGATAAATTAAGCGTAACATTCTCTGTACCATCCTTCACCACTACCGAATGGTGTATTTGTTCACTCTGAGTAATAGAGCAAACACGGAACAGTGAAAATGTATGATATATTGGAAGCTTTAGCTTATGCAAGAAAGATGGCTTATTTTCCTTTCCGCACACTCTGTGCACCTCCATTAGCTCATGCATCAGCTGCAGAGCTGTCCTTCAAAAGGACAACACAAGCAACAGAGACTGTGGGATCAAATAGAGACAGGGATTCCCATAACAGCTTTGCCTCTTCCCCAGCTGTGTGACATTATTTGCATTTATTCATTTTATGAATATATAGTGTGTGTCCAGCACTATGTTAGGCAGAGTGAACACCAAGGTGAAGGAAATATGTCCCTGCTCTCAAGGAGCACACAGAGTAGTGGGAGAGACTGACCAAATGACCAACAATTATAATACAGTGTGGAGAGTGCAGGAAGAAAGATCCATGCACAGTCACTTGCATATCTTTCAGCATCTTTAAACCTCTCCTCATCTGTAAAATGGAAAGAATAATGAACACCTATTTCACAAGGCTGGGGTGAAGATTAACTGATATTGGGTAGAAGGTGTCTATAATCTGGCAAGAGTCACACAAATTGTGGTTTTGACTGTCTATGGTCCAGTTTAAAGTGAGAAACCTAATGAAAGTGAAGCAAGATGGAAATGTAGAGGAGGCTCAAGGCAAAAGAGGAAGAAAGATATCTGCATGGTGAGATTAGACACTGTTATGTTAACCTCCAAGGTTTCTCTGAATTGGCTCTGGGGGGATACAGAGTGAAGGCAGGATGTGGGCAGGTAACTGGATGGAGGCCCCGCTGCACATATTCAGCTCATATTTTCATGGTTTTAAACACTGGGGCTCCAAATCAGATTTCATTTAAAGAAAGTGTTTCACAACTTAAAAAAATAAAATAAAAAAACTTCAAGTGCCACGCTATCCCAAACTCCAAAAATGTGTAATAATATCCTGATTGGGGAACTCCCAATAAGGGGGGTATCTTTGCTATTGTTAGAAAATATAATTAAAAACAAAATATTCCCCAAAAAGAAAATTTCTCCACAATGGCAGAAAAGAGAAAATGTAGCCAAGTAGATAAAACCTATTACATACAAGTAGAAGGACTTAACAGCACTGTTTTTTCACACAGTTTATCCTAAACTCACCTGGTAATCTGGGTCCCCACCTATGTTAGTTAATTGCTGTGTTAAGCTGTTCTTACATTACTATAAAGAAATACCTGAGACTATGTCATTTATAAAGAAAAGAGGTTTAATTGGCTCATCGTTCTGCAGGCTTTATTAGTTCAACTTTCTTAGAGTCCACATATAAGTGAGATCATGCAGTATTTTTCTTTCTGTTTCACTTAACATAATGACCTCCAGTTCCCTTCATGTGGGTGCAAATTGTAGGAAGCATGGTGACAACATCTGCTTAGCTTCTGGGGAGGCCTCAGGAAGCTTAGAATCATGGCAGAAAGTGAAGAGGGAGCAGGCATGTCACAAGGTGAAAGCACAAGCAAGAGACAGCAAGAATGGAGGTACCACATAGTTGTTTTTTTTTTTTTTTTTTTTTTTGGTGTAGTCTTCCTCTGTTGCTGAGGCTGGAGTGCAGTGGTGCAATCTCAGCTCACTGCAAGCTCCGCCTCCCAGGTTCATGCCAATCTCCTGACTCAGCCTCCTGAGTAGCTGGGACTACAGGCACCTGCCACCATGCCTGGCTAATTTTTTGTATTTTTAGTAGAGACGGGGTTTCACCGTTTTAGCCAGGAGGGTCTCAATCTCCTAACCTTGTGATCCACTCACCTCAGCCTCCCAAAGTGCTGGGGTTACAGGTGTGAGCCACCACAGCCAGCTGGTACCACACACTTTTAAACAACCAGATCTTACAAGAACTCCCTCGGGATCACAAGAACAACACCATGGGGATGTTGTTAAACCATTTATGAGCAATCTAACCCTATGATCTAATCACCTCCCACCAGGCCCTACCTCCAACACTGGGGATTAAAATTCAACATGAGATTTAGGGGGGGAAACAGATCCAAACTATATCAATTGGCATCATATAAAGGAAAGATAAACTTCTCATATTTGTATAACAGGTGGTAGTTTTGCAATTTGTCAGAGTACCCATGAAGTTAGTCTTTTACCCTTCTACAGAAACTGGGAAATAAGGTTTTTATGTCTTTAATGTTTACATAATATTTACATTTCAAAAGGATGGCTCTCATGTCTCTGAAAAAGACATTACTGGGTTGTAAAACTATCAACAGTCTTTTAGAAAGATTTACATCTCAAAGGGCAGAGAAAGAATTAACAAGTTTTTGTTTTGTTTTGTTACTTAATGAAAATTGTATATATTTTTGTGTACAACAATGTTGGAAAATATGCATACATTGTGAGGAAAATGGCAGATTGGAGACAGAACTAATGTGGAGCTCCCACTTGGACAGACAGAACAGCATGTGGAGACTCACATTGTGAACTTTTGCTCCAAGAACCACTGCAAGAACATACCAGGAAAACCAAAAGAATTCACAGATCCTTTGAAAGAAGTGGCTTGCTGCTGCAAACTCCATGAGCTGAACAACTGTGAGTTCATACAGTGTGAGAGGGGGTAAAGTCTGCCTCTGAACACACATTCCCACTGGAGAATCTGAAAATCCAGACCACAGGAGAAAGATTTAACCTTACCTAGAGCTGAAATGGGTTTAGGGAGCTGAGTGAAATATAAAAGTAGAAAAAGCAGTGAGAAGAGCCCTGTGGGCACTCCCAGTCCCCAGCTCAAACCCAGGGAAGCCATTCCTGGCCTTATCTCATGGGGTTCCTTGAGGAAGGCAGCCAGCAGAATTAGGGTGGGGTCACAGGTTGAAGGAAGCTTCTACCTAAACTTTGTAATAATTTTGATTGAGCACAAATTTTCCTGAGCTGAAGCCAGGATTGGGGAGCAAATGGGAAGTACAGATATGAGCACAGAAGCTATAGCTGATAGTGCAGATAGGTATGGAAGGGTGAGTTCTGAAGAGCCCTTCTTGCTTTCTCAGCAGGAAGGCTTGTTGGCTGGAGCAAGAACTCAGCCCTGTGCATCAGCTCTCTGGATATAAACTTGGTGCTATGTGTGGGGCATGGTGGGAGTGAGACTGGAGACTGGCCTTGCTGGCTCTGGATAAGGCCTGTCACTTCTGGCTTATCCCCACTTCTGTGGCAACCTATATGATGGGGCAGAGGCAGCCATAATCCCCCTGGGAACATAACTCCATTGACATGAGAACCACCCTCTGTCTCCCACAGTGGCCACAACAAGCCTCACCTAAGGAGAGTCTGAGCTCAGACATGCCTAACCCTGCCCTTAACTGGTGGTTTTTCTCTACCTGCCCTGGTAGCTGAATACAAAAGACATAAATTCTTAGAAGCCCTATGGCTCCACCCATTGCCTAAAAAACCCCAGTACTTTTCTTGACGAATATAGGGCAAACCTAAATTCCCCTTTAACTCCTGTAGCTGCTGCTCTCTTGAAAGAGTCACCTCTTAGATGTAGGTCAACCAACTAAAGCCATTACAGCAACTCATAACAGGACAACTCTGCTCCAACAAAGGAGAAAACAACAGCTAATTCCACCAACAACAACTGGATAACCAGACGTCCTGAGTCTGTCAACATGACAACTTCACTGCTACCCTAACCAGCATTCAAGAAAACCAATCCACTAAACAAAACTACAGCCAAGGACTCCCACAGAGTACACTTCAATCCTCTGCCACCTATGCCAGCACAGGTGTGAGTATCCATGGCTGAAAGACCTGAAGATGAATCACATCACAGGACTCTGTAGACATTCCCCAGCACCAGCCCAGAGCCCAGTAGCCCTACTGGGTGGCTAGACCCAGAAGGGCAACAACAATTACTGCTGTCTGGCTCTCAGAAAGCCCCATCTCTAGGGGAAGAAAGAGAGCACCACATTGAGGAATTACCCCATGGCAGAAAAAAAAATCTGAACCGCAGCCCTTGAGGTTTAGATCTTTCCACTGAAACAGTCTATGCAAATGAGAAGGAACCAGGAAAGTATTTCTGGTAATATGACAAAACAAGGTTTCATAACACCCTTAAAAGATCACACTAGCTCTCCAGCAATGGATACAAACTAAGAAGAAATCTCTAAATTGCCAGGTAAATAATTCAGAAGGTTGATGATTAAGCTACTCAAGGAGGTAGCAGAGAAAGATGAAAACCAACTTAAAGAAATTTATATATATATATATATATATATGTATAATATATATGTATAACATATATATGTATAATATATATGTATAATATATATATGTATTATATATAGGGGATTGATGAAAAAGTCTCTAGATAAATAGATATATTAAAGAAAAGACAATCACAACTTCTGGAACTAAATAACAACTTAGAGAAATGCAAAATACAAGGGATAGAATAGATCAAGTGGAAGAAAGAGATTCAGAGCTTGAAGAAAAGGCTTTCAAATTAACCCAATGAGAAAAAGACAAAGAAAAAAGCAATTGTAAAAATGAACAAAGCCTTCAAGAAATTTGGGATTATGTTTAACGATCAGATGTAAGAATAATTGGCATTTGTGGGAAAGAAGAGAAATCTAAAACTTTGGAAAACATACTTGAGGGAAAAATTGAGGAAAACCTTCCTGATCTTGCTAGAGAGTTAGACATCCAAATACAAGAAGCTCAAAGAACACCTCAAAAATTCATTAAACAAAGATCCTCACCTAGGCACACAGTCATCAGGTTATCTAAAATCAAGACAAAGGAAATAATCTTAAGAGCTGTGAGGCAAAATCATCAGGTAACCTATACAGAAAAACCTATCAGATTAACAGCAGATTTCTCAGCAGAAACCCTACAAGCCAGAAAGGATTGGGGTCCTATCCTTAGCCTCCTTAAAGAAAATAATTGTCAGCCAGGAGTTTTGTATCCAGCAAAACTAAGCTTCATAAATGAAGGAAATATAAGGTCTTTTTCAGACAAACAAATGCTGAGACAATATGCCACTACCAAGCCAGCACTACAAGAAGTGCAAAAAGGAGTTCAAAACTTTGAAACAAACCTTAAAATTCACCAAAATAGAACCTCCTTAAAGCATAAATCTCACAAGGCCTAGAAAACAATAACACAATGGGAAAAAAACAACGTATTCAGGTAACAACTAGCATGATGAATAGAATAGTACCTAATATCTCAATACTAACGTTGAATGTAAATGGCCTAACTGCTCCACTTAAAAGATACAGAATTGCAGAATGGATAAAACTCCACCAACCAAGTATCTGCTGTCATCAAGAGACTCGCCTAACACATAAGGCCTCACATAAACTTAAGGCAAAGGGGTGGAAAAAGATAGTCCATGAAAATGGAAACAAAAAACAAGCAATAGTAGCTATTCTTATATCAGACTAAAGAGACTGTAAAGCAATAACAGTTAAAAAAAGACAAAGAGAGGGCCAGGTGTGGTGGCTCATGCCTGTAATCCCAGCAGTTTGGAAGGGCAAGGCGGGTGGAACACGAGGTCAGGAGATCAAGACCATCCTGGCTAACAAGGTGAAACCCCATCTCTACTGAAAAAAAAAAAAAAAAGACAAAGAGAGACATTATATAATGATTAAAAGATTCATCCAACAGGAAACTATCACATGAAACCAAAAAAGTGCCTGCATAGCCAAAGCAAGACTAAGCAAAAAGAACAAATCTGGAGGCTTCACATTATTTGATTTCAAACCATACTACAAGGCTATAGTTACCAAAACAGCATGGAACTGGTATAAAAGTAGGCACATAGACCAATGGAACAGAATACAGAACCCAGAAATAAAGCCAAATACTTACAGCCAACTGATCTTTGACAAAGTAAACAAAAATGTAAGGTGGCAAAAAGACACCCTATTCAAAAAATGGTGCTGGGATACTTGGTAAGCCACATGTAGAAAAATGAAACTGGATTCTCATCTCTCACCTTATACATAAATCAAGTCAAGATGGATCAAAGACTTTAATCTAAGACTTGAAACCATAAAAATTCTAGAAAATAACATGAGAAAATCTCTTCTAGATATTGGCTTAGGCAAATAGTTTATGACCAAGAATCCAAAAGCAAATGCAACAAAAACAAAAATAAATCAATGGGACTTAATTAAACTATAAAGCTTCTGCACAGCAAAAGAAATGATCAGCAGTGTTAAAGACAACCCACAGAGTGGGAGAAAGAAAATCTTTGCAAACTATGTGTATTAGTCCATTATCATGCTGTTATGGAGAAATACCAGAGACTGGATAATTTATTTAAAAAAACGTTTAATTGACTTACTGTTCTGCATGGTTTGGGAGACCTCAGGAAACTTACAATCATGGCAGAAAGCACTTTTTCACAGAGTGGTAGGAGAGAGAATGAGTTCTGATTGAAGGAGGAGTCCCTTTATAAAACCATCAGATCTCATGAGAACTCACTCACTATCATAAGAACAGCATGGGGGAAACTGCCCCCATGATTCAGTTATCTCTACCTGGTCCTGCCCTTGACACATGGGAATTATCACAATTCAAGATGAAATTTTGGGTGGGGACACAGCCAAACCATATCATTCTGCCACTGCACTCCCGAATCTCATGTCCTTACATTAAAAAACACAGTCATACCTTTTCAACCATCTCTGAAAGTCTTAACTCATTTCAGCTTTAACCCAAAAGCCCAAATCCAAAGTCTCATCTGAGTCAAAGCAAATCTCTTCTTCCTATGAGCCCATCAAAGCAAAAGCAAGTTAGTTACATCCTAGATACAATGGTGGTACAGGCATTGGGTAAATACACCCATTCCAAATGGGAGAAATTGGCCAAAATAAAGGGCCTACAGTCTCCATGCAAGTGTGAACTCTAACAGGTCAGTCATTGTATTAGTCTGTTTTCATGCTGCTGATAAAGACATACCCGAGATTGGGTAATTTATACAGAAAGAAGGGTTTATTGAACTTACAGTTCCACGTGGCTGGGGAAGCCTGACAATCATGACAGAAGGCAAGGAGGAGCAAGTCACATCTTACGTGGATGACAGCAGGCAAAGAGAGAGCTTGTGCAGGGAAACTGCCTCATAAAGCCATCAGATCTCATGAGATATATTCACTATCATGAGAACAGCACAGGAAAGACATGCCCCCATGATTCAATTACCTCCCACTGGGCACCTCCCACAACATGCGGGAATTCAAGATGAGATTTGGGTGGGGACACAGTCAAACAATATCTGTCATTAAACCTTAAAGTTCCATAATAATTTTCTTTGACTCTATGTTTTATATCCAAGACACACTGATGCAACAATTGAGCTCCCACACCCTTGGGCAACTCTGCCTTTGTGGCTTTGTGAGTACAACCCCCCTACCAGCTGCTTTCATGGGCTGACATTGAGTGTCTGCAGCTTTTCCAGGCACACAGTGCAAGCTGTCAGTGGATCTACCATTCTGGTGTCTAGAGGATGGTGGCCTCCTTCTCACGCTCTACTAGGCAGTGCTCCAGTGGAGACTCTGTGTGGGGGCTCTAATCCCACATTTCCCTTCTGTAGTGCACTAGAGGAGGTTCTCCATGAGGGCTCCATCCCTGTATCAAACTTTGGCCTGGACATCTAGACATTCCCATACATCCTCTGAAATCTAGGTGGAGGTTCCCAAACCTCAGTTCTTGTCTTCTGCACACCTGCAGGCTCAATACCACGTGGAAGCCGCCAAATATGGGCTTTGCACCCTCTGAAGCAATATCCCGAGCTGTACCTTGGCCCCTTTTAGCCATAGCTGGAGCAGCTGGGATGCAGGGTACCAAGTCCTGAGGCTGCACACAGCAGGGGGTCCCTGGGCCCAGGCCAGAAAACCATTTTTCTCTCCTAGGCTAGGCTTCCAGGACTATGATGGGAGGGGCTGCTGTGAAGGTCTCTGACACGCCCTGGAGACATTTTCCCCATTGTCTTGGTGATTAATATTTGGTTCCTCATTACGTCCGCAACTTTCTGCAGCCGTCTTGAATTTCTCCCCCAAAAATGGGTTTTTCTTTTTTCCTGCATAACCAGGCTGCAATTTTTCCAAATTTTTATGCTATATCACCTCTTGAACACTTTGCTGCTTAGGAAATTCTTTTACCAGATACCCTAAATCATTTATCTCAAGTTCAAAGTTCCACAGATCCACAGATCTCTACGGCAGGGGCAAAATGCCACCAGTCTCTTTGCATAGCAAGAATAGCCTTTATTCCAGTTCCCAACAAGTTCTTCTTCACCATCTGACCACCTCAGCCTGGACTTCATTGTTCATATCACTATAGCATTTTGGTCAAAGTCATTTAACAAGTCTCTAGGACATTCCAAACTTTCCCACATCTTCCTACCTTCTAATTTCTTCAAGTCTCTAGGAAGTTTCAAACCTTCTCACATTTTTCTGTCTTATTCTGAGTCCTCCAAACTGTTCCAACCTCTGCCTGTTACCCAGTTCTAAAACTGTTTACACATTTCAGGTGTCTTTATAGCAGCTCCCCACTCCTGGTACCAATTTACTGCATTAGTTTGTCCTCAAACTGCTATGAAGAAATATCTGAGACTCAGTTATTTATAAAGGAAAGACATTCAATTGACACACAGTTCTGTATGGCTGGGGAGGCCTCAGGAAACTTACAATCATGGCGGAAGGCACGTCTTCACAGGGTGGCAGGAGACAGAATGAGTGCTGAGCAAAGGGGCAAGCCACTTATCCCCTTATAAAACCATCAGATCTCATGAGAAATCACTCACTATCATGAGAACCGCATGGGGGAAACCACCTCCATGATTCAATTATCTTGACCTGTCCCCCCTTGACACATTGGGATTATTACAATTCAAGATGAGATTTTAGGTGGGGACATAGCCAAACCATATCACTATGCATCCAACAAAAGACTAATATCCAGAACCCACAAAGAACTCAAACAAATCAGAGATAAAAAATAATAATAATCTCATCAAAAACTGGGCAAAGGACATAAATAGACAATTCTCAAAACAAGATGTACAAATAAAAAAATATGAAAAATGCTCAACATCACTAATGATCAAGGAAATGCAAATCATAACCAAAATGTGATGCCACCTTACTCTTGCAAGAATGACCATGATTAAAAGATAAAATATAATAGAAGTTGACATGAATGTGAAAAGGGAACACTTTTACACTGCTGGTGGGAATGTAACCTAGTACAACCAATATGGAAAACAGTATGGAGATTCCTTGAAGAACTAAAAGTAGAACTACCATTTGATCCAGAATCCCACTACTGAGTATCTAAAAGGAAAATAAGTCATTATATGAGAAAGATACTTTCATATGCATGTTGATAGCAGCACAATTTGTAACTGGAAAAATATGGAACCAGCCTAAATCCCCATCAACCAACAAGTGGATGAAGAAAATACACACACACACACACACACACACACACACACACACACACACATTATTTATTATGTCAATAGATGGGGAAACACATTTACTCATCCCCCACCCCCTTCCCTCAGACCCTGGTAATCACTATTCTACTCTCTTCTTCTATGAGTTCAACTTTTTTAGGTTCCATACATAAATGAGATCATGCAGTGTTTGTCTTTCTGTTTTACTTCTGTTTTATATAACCTAATGACCGGCAGTTCCCTTCATGTTGCTGCATATAACAGGATTTTCTTTTTTTAAGACTGAATCATATTTTATTGTGTCTATATAACACATCTTTATTCATCTGTTGATGAACACTTGGTTCCACATCTTAGCTATTGTGAATAAAATTATGAATTTCTAAAAAGTAATTGCTCTAAGAAAAGGGAGAAGAAAATATTTCTTATTTTTAGAGGTAGAATTAAGCCTCTTATTTCTAATTTGTCTTTGCCCCTACTGTTATCTGACCCTTTTCAGGATATGGGAACTCTCTTGAAACATCAGCAATATACCATATCCCTTCCTCCCTAGTTGGTCAAGCAACCGGTAGAGAACAGGACCAGAGAAATTGACTGTTTGTTAAAGAAAGAAAGAGTTATCCACAATTCAAAATCTCTGGCCACATGAAATTGAACTACTTGGCAGATGTGTCCTAATAGGTGTTTTCTATAGAATCTTGGTTTACATTTGATTGGCTGCTCTTGTTGTAGCCAAAGGTGATGCCCTTCCATAACCACCACAACGAAAGTAACCCCCCAGGCCTGCTGAAAATCTGTCCCATTGTCCAGCATATCTCTGTAATAGAACCCCTCAGAACGTGTAGTTACCCTCTTTACTTATTTATTATTATTTCCTGCTATTATTATTCTCAGTCTGTGAAGACAGAACACTTTTCTTTCTTTTTCAATTAAGAAGTAAAATTGTCTTCTTATTTCCAATATGTTTAAGTAACTAGAAGAGTGGTAGATATATAGTAGGCCTTCAATAAATATTTGTTGAACTAATGAATGAAACAATAAATACACAATGCATACAAAACTGACCTGGCAGAATTGTGAATCAGAGTAGTGTTCTCCTATTTTAAACTTTTGCTGAATTAATTCTCTCAAATGAGTGCAATTTCAACCACCATATAAGTATTTACTTGGGCATCTCAGCACTCAATACCTGAGTCTTGAAATAATATGCAGCACAATGGCATAGGCAGAATGATTTCATTTGAATATGTCCACATGGGAGGATTCTGTTTACCATTTATATGTCTCATAAAATAGATTTGGAAAATCATCACCAGCAATAACTCTAGGCTGCAGTGAGAAAAAGCAATGGTTCTAAGACCTGAACTCAGCTCTGGATCAAGTGGCTCTGATAGATATCTATAGAACTCTCCACCCCAAAATAACAGAATATACATTCTTATCACCACACAGCACTTCCTCTAAAATTGATCACATAATTGGAAGTAAAACACTCCTCAGCAAATGCAAAAGAACTGAAATACTAACAGTCTCTCAGATTAGAGCACAATCAAATTAGATTGAAAAATTTACTCATAACACACAACTAAATGGAAATCGAACAACGTGTTCCTGAATGACTCTTTTTTTTGTTGTTGGTTTTGTTTTGTTTTTTATTTTATTTTCTTTTTTTCTTTTTTTTATTATTATTATACTTTAAGTTTTAGGGTACATGTGCACAATGTGCAGGTTAGTTACATATGTATACATGTGCCATGCTGGTGTGCTGCACCCATTAACCCATCATTTAGCATTAGGTATATCACCTAATTCTAACCCTCCCCCACCCCCACCCCACAACAGTCCCCAGAGTGTGATGTTCCCCTTCCTGTGTCCATGTGATCTCATTGTTCAATTCCCATCTATGAGCGAGAACATGCAGTGTTTGGTTTTTTGTCCTTGCGATAGTTTACTGAGAATGATGATTTCCAATTTCATCCATGTCCCTACAAAGGACATGAACTCATCATTTTTTATGGCTGCATAGTATTCCATGGTGTATATGTGCCACATTTTCTTAATCCAGTCTATCATTGTTGGACATTTGGGTTGGTTCCAAGTCTTTGCTATTGTGAATAGTGCCACAATAAACATATGTGTGCATGTGTCTTTATAGCAGCATGATTTATAGTCCTTTGGGTATATACCCACTAATGAGATGGCTGGGTCAAATCGTATTTCTAGTTCTAGATCCCTGAGGAATCGCCACACTGACTTCCACAATGGTTGAACTACTTTACGGTCCCACCAACAGTGTAAAAGTGTTCCTATTTCTCCACTTCCTCTCCAGCATCTGTTGTTTCCTGACTTTTTAATGATTGCCATTCTAACTGGTGTGAGATGGTATCTCATTGTGGTTTTGATTTGCATTTCTCTGATGGCCAGTGATGATGAGCATTTTTTCATGTGTCTTTTGGCTGCATAAATGTCTTCTTTTGAGAAGTGTCTGTTCATATCCTTCACCCACTTTTTGATGGGGTTGTTTGTTTTTTTCTTGTAAATTTGTTTGAGTTCATTGTAGATTCTGGATATTAGCCCTTTGTCAGATGAGTCGGTTGGCTAGCCATATGTAGAAAGCTGAAACTGGATCCCTTCCTTACACCTTATACAAAAATTAATTCAAGATGGATTAAAGACTTAAACGTTAGACCTAAAACCATAAAAACCCTAGAAGAAAACCTAGGCATTACCATTCAGGACATAGGCACGGGCAAGGACTTCATGTCTAAAACACCAAAAGCAATGGCAACAAAAGACAAAATTGACAAATGGGATCTAATTAAACTAAAGAGCTTCTGCACAGCAAAAGAAACTACCATCAGAGTGAACAGGCAACCTACAAAATGGGAGAAAATTTTCGCAACCTACTCATCTGACAAAGGGCAAATATCCTGAATGACTCTTGGGTAAATAATGAATTTAAGGCAGAAATCAGGAAGTTCTTTGAAACTAATGAGAACAAAGAGACAATGTACCTGAATCTCTGGGACACAGCTAAAGCAGCATTAAGAGGAAAATTTATAGCATTGAATGCCCACAACAAAAAGCTAGAAAGATCTCAAGTTAACAACCTAACATCACAGCTAAAAGAACTAGAAAAGCAAACAAACCCCAAAGCTAGCAGAATACAAGAAATAACCAACAAAAGAGCTGAACTGAAGCAGACAAAGATATGAAAAATCCTTCAAGAAAATCAGTGAATCCAGCTTTAACCCAAAAGTCCAAGCCCAAAGTCTCATCTGAGTCAAAGAAAGTCCCTTCTGCCTATGAGCCCATAAAAAGCAAAAGCAAGTTAGTTACATCCTAGATAAAACTAGTTTTCAAAAAATTAGTTTTTTGAAAAAATTAATAAAACAGACTGCAAGCTAGACACATAAAGAAGAAGAGAAGAGATAAATAGAGACAATCAGAAATGATAAGGGAGATATCACCACTGACCCCACAGAAATACAACCATTAGGGAATATTATAAATACCTCTATGCACATAAACTAGAAAATCTAGAAGTGGATAAATTCCTAGACACATACACCCTCCCAAGTCTGAACCAGGAAGAAATTGAATCCCCAAACAGATTGATAATGAGTTCTGAAACTGAGGCAGTAATAAATAGCCTAGGAACAAATAAAAGCCCAAGACCAGATGAATTCACAGCTGAATTCTACCAAAGGTACAAAGAAGAGCTGTTGCCATTTCTACTGAAATGATTCCAAACAACTGAAAAGAAGGAACTCCTCTGTAACTCATTCTATGAGGCCAGCATCATCCTGATACCAAAACCTGGCAGAGATACAAGAAAAAAAGAAAATATCAGACCAATATCCTTGATGAACCTCAATGCAAAACTTCTCAATAAAATACTGGCACACCAAACCAGCAGCACATCAAAAAGCTTATCCACCATGATCAAGTTGGCTTCATCCCCAGGATGCAAGGTTGGTTCAACATAGGCAAATCAATAAATGTGATTCACCATATAAACAGAACTAATGACAAAACCACATGATTATATCAATAGATGCAGAAAAAGCCTTTGACAAAATTCAACATCCCTTCATGTTAAAAACTCTCAATAAACTGGATATTGAAGGGACATATCTCAAAATAATAAGAGCCATACACGATAAATCCACAGCCATTATCATAATGGATGGGCAAAAGCTGGAGGCATTCCTCTTGAAAACCAGCATAAGGCAAGGATGTCCTTTCTCACCATTTCTATTCAACATAGTATTGGAAGTTCTGGACAGGGAAATCAAGCAAGAGAAAGAAATAAAGGGTATTCAAATAGGAAGTGAGGGAGTCAAATTATCTTTGCAGATGACATGATTCTATATTTAGAAAACTCCATCATCTCAGCCCAAAATTTTCTTAAGCTGAGAAAAGCAACTTCAGCAAAGTCTCAGGACATAAAGTCAATGCACAGAAATTGCTAGCATTTTTATACACCAATAACAGGCAAGAGCCAAATCATGAATGAACTCCCATTCACAATTGCTACAGAAAAAAAAATACCTAGGAATACAGATAACAAGGAAAGTGAATGACCATTTCCAGGAGAACTATAAAGCACTTTTCAAAGAAATAAGAAAGGACATAAACAAATGGAAGAACCAACCATCCTCATGATTAGGAAGAATCAATATCATGAAAATGGCCATCCAGTACAAAGTAATTTGTAGCTTCAATACTATTTTCATTGAACTACCATTTATATTCTTCACAGAATTAGAAAAAAAACTATTTTAAAATTCATAGAGAACCAAAAAATAGCCCAGATAGCCAAGACAATCCTAAGCAAAAATAAAACTGGAGGCATCATGTTAACCAACTTCAAACTATACTACAGGGCTACAGTAACCAAAACAGCATGGTATAAGAACAGTGGTATAAGAACAGATGCATAGACCAATGGAAAAGAATACTCAGAAATAATACTGCACACCTACAACCATCTTATCTTCCACAAACCTGACAAAAACAACCAATGGGGAAAGAATTCCCTATGCAATAAATGGTGCTGGGAGAACTGGTTAGCCATATGCAGAAAACTGAAACTGAACCCCTTCCTTATACCATATACAAATTTTTTTTTATTATACTTTAAGTTTTAGGGTACATGTGCACATTGTGCAGGTTAGTTACATATGTATACATGTGCCATGCTGGTGCGCTGCACCCACTAACTCGTCATCTAGTATTAGGTATATCTCCCGATGCTATCCCTCCCCCCTACCCCCACCCCACAACAGTCCCCAGAGTGTGATATTCCCCTTCCTGTGTCCATGTAATCTCATTGTTCAATTCCCACCTATGAGTGAGAATATGTGGTGTTTGGTTTTTTGTTCTTGCGATAGTTTACTGAGAATGATGATTTCCAATTTCATCCATGTCCCTACAAAGGACATGAACTCATCATTATTTATGGCTGCATAGTATTCCATGGTGTATATGTGCCACATTTTCTTAATCCAGTCTATCATTGTTGGACATTTGGGTTGGTTCCAAGTCTTTGCTATTGTGAATAATGCTGCAATAAGCATACGTGTGCATGTGTCTTTATAGCAGCATGATTTATAGTCCTTTGGGTATATACCCAGTAATGGGATGGCTGGGTCAAATGGTATTTCCAGTTCTAGATCCCTGAGGAATCGCCACACTGACTTCCACAAGGGTTGAACTAGTTTACAGTCCCACCAACAGTGTAAAAGTGTTCCTATTTCTCCACATCCTCTCCAGCACCTGTTGTTTCCTGACTTTTTAATGATTGCCATTCTAACTGGTGTGAGATGGTATCTCATTGTGGTTTTGATTTGCATTTCTCTGATGGCCAGTGATGATGAGCATTTTTTCATGTGTTTTTTGGCTGCATAAATGTCTTCTTTTGAGAAGTGTCTGTTCATGTCCTTCGCCCACTTTTTGATGGGGTTGTTTGTTTTTTTCTTGTAAATTTGTTTGAGTTCATTGTAGATTCTGGATATTAGCCCTTTGTCAGATGAGTAGGTTGCGAAAATTTTCTCCCACATTGTAGGTTGCCTGTTCACTCTGATGGTAGTTTGTTTTGCTGTGCAGAAGCTCTTTAGTTTAATTAGATCCCATTTGTCAATTTTGTCTTTTGTTACCATTGCTTTTGGTGTTTTAGACATGAAGTCCTTGCCCATGCCTATGTCCTGAATGGTAATGCCTAGGTTTTCTTCTAGGGTTTTTATGGTTTTAGGTCTAACATTTAACTCTTTAATCCATCTTGAATTGATTTTTGTATAAGGTGTAAGGAAGGGATCCAGTTTCAGCTTTCTACATATGGCTAGCCAGTTTTCCCAGCACCATTTATTAAATAGGGAATCCTTTCCCCATTGCTTGTTTTTCTCAAGTTTGTCAAAGATCAGATAGTTGTAGATATGCGGCATTATTTCTGAGGACTCTGTTCTGTTCCATTGATCTATATCTCTGTTTTGGTACCAGTTCCATGCTGTTTTGGTTACTGTAGCCTTGTAGTATAGTTTGAAGTCAGGTAGTGTGATGCCTCCAGCTTTGTTCTTTTGGCTTAGGATTGACTTGGCGATGCGGGCTCTTTTTTTAGTTCCATATGAACTTTAAAGTAGTTTTTTCCAATTCTGTGAAGAAAGTCATTGGTAGCTTGATGGGGATGGCATTGAATCTGTAAATTCCCTTGGGCAGTATGGCCATTTTCACAATATTGATTCTTCCTACCCATGAGCATGGAATGTTCTTCCATTTGTTTGTATCCTCTTTTATTTCCTGGAGCAGTGGTTTGTAGTTCTCCTTGAAGAGGTCCTTCACATCCCTTGTAAGTTGGATTCCTAGGTATTTTATTCTCTTTGAAGCAATTGGGAATGGGAGTTCACTCATGATTTGGCTCTCTGTTTGTCTGTTATTGGTGTATAAGAATGCTTGTGATTTTTGTACATTGATTTTGTATCCTGAGACTTTGCTGAAGTTGCTTATCAGCTTAAGGAGATTTTGGGCTGAGACAATGGGGTTTTCTAGATATATAATCATGTCATCTGCAAACAGGGACAATTTGACTTCCTCTTTTCCTAATTGAATACCCTTTATTTCCTTCTCCTGCCTAATTGCCCTGGCCAGAACTTCCAACACTATGTTGAATAGGAGTGGTGAGAGAGGGCATCCCTGTCTTGTGCCAGTTTTCAAAGGGAATGCTTCCAGTTTTTGCCCATTCAGTATGATATTGGCTGTGGGTTTGTCATAGATAGCTCTTATTATTTTGAAATACGTCCCATCAATACCTAATTTATTGAGAGTTTTTAGCATGAAGGGTTGTTGAATTTTGTCAAAGGCTTTTTCTGCATCTATTGAGATAATCATGTGGTTTTTGTCTTTTGCTCTGTTTATATGCTGGATTACATTTATTGATTTGCGTATATTGAACCAGCCTTGCATCCCAGGGATGAAGCCCACTTGATCATGGGGGATAAGCTTTTTGATGTGCTGCTGGATTCGTTTTGCTAGTATTTTATTGAGGATTTTTGCATCAATGTTCATCAAGGATATTGGTCTAAAATTCTCTTTTTTTGTTGTGTCTCTGCCTGGCTTTGGTATCAGAATGATGCTGGCCTCATAAAATGAGTTAGGGAGGATTCCCTCTTTTTCTATTGATTGGAATAGTTTCAGAAGGAATGGTACCAGTTCCTCCTTGTACCTCTGGTAGAATTCGGCTGTGAATCCATCTGGTCCTGGAATCTTTTTGGTTGGTAAGCTATTGATTATTGCCACAATTTCAGAGCCTGTTATTGGTCTATTCAGGGATTCAACTTCTTCCTGGTTTAGTCTTGGGAGAGTGTATGTGTCCAGGAATTTATCCATTTCTTCTAGATTTTCTAGTTTATTTGCATAGAGGTGTTTGTAGTATTCCCTGATGGTAGTTTGTATTTCTGTGGGATCGGTGGTGATATCCCCTTTATCATTTTTTATTGCGTCTATTTGATTCTTCTCTCTTTTTTTCTTTATTAGTCTTGCTAGCGGTCTATCAATTTTGTTGATCCTTTCAAAAAACCAGCTCCTGGATTCATTAATTTTTTGAAGGGTTTTTTTGTCTCTATTTCCTTCAGTTCTGCTCTGATATTAGTTATTTCTTGCCTTCTGCTAGCTTTTGAATGTGTTTGCTCTTGCTTTTCTAGTTCTTTTAATTGTGATGTTAGGGTGTCAATTTTGGATCTTTCCTGCTTTCTCTTGTGGGCATTTAGTGCTATAAATTTCCCTCTACACACTGCTTTGAATGCGTCCCAGAGATTCTGGTATGTTGTGTCTTTGTTCTCCTTCGTTTCAAAGAACACCTTTATTTCTGCCTTCACTTCGTTATGTACCCAGTAGTCATTCAGGAGCAGGTTGTTCAGTTTCCATGTAGTTGAGTGGTTTTGAGTGAGATTCTTAATCCTGAGTTCTAGTTTGATTGCACTGTGGTCTGAGAGATAGTTTGTTATAATTTCTGTTCTTTTACATTTGCTGAGGAGAGCTTTACTTCCAACTATGTGGTCAATTTTGGAATAGGTGTGGTGTGGTGCTGAAAAAAATGTATATTCTGTTGATTTGGGGTGGAGAGCTCTGTAGATGTCTATTAGGTCCGCTTGGTGCAGAGCTGAGTTCAATTCCTGGGTATCCTTCTTGACTTTCTGTCTCGTTGATGTGTCTAATGTTGACAGTGGGGTGTTAAAGTCTCCCATTATTAATGTGTGGGAGTCTAAGTCTCTTTGTAGGTCACTCAGGACTTGCTTTGTGAATCTTGGTGCTCCTGTATTGGGTGCATATATTTTTAGGATAGTTAGCTCTTCTTGTTGAATTGATCCCTTTACCATTATGTAATGGCCTTCTTTTTCTCTTTTGATCTTTGTTGGTTTAAAGTCTGTTTTATCAGAGACTAGGATTGCAACCCCTGCCTTTTTTTTTGTTTTCCATTGGCTTGGTAGATCTTCCTCCATCCTTTTATTTTGAGCCTATGTGTGTCTCTGCATGTGAGATGGGTTTCCTGAATACAGCACACTGATGGGTCTTGACTCTTTATCCAATTTGCCAGTGTGTGTCTTTTAATTGGAGCATTTAGTCCATTTACATTTAAAGTTAATATTGTTATGTGTGAATTTGATCCTGTCATTATGATGTTAGCTGGTTATTTTGCTCATTGGTTGATGCAGTTTCTTCCTAGTCTCGATGGTCTTTACATTTTGGCATGATTTTGCAGTGGCTGGTACCGGTTGTTCCTTTCCATGTTTAGTGCTTCCTTCAAGAGCTCTTGTAAGGCAGGCCTGGTGGTGACAAAATCTCTCAGCATTTGCTTGTCTGTAAAGTATTTTATTTCTCCTTCACTTATGAAGCTTAGTTTGGCTGGATATGAAATTCTGGATTGAAAATTCTTTTCTTTAAGAATGTTGAATATTGGCCCCCACTCTCTTCTGGCTTGTAGGGTTTCTGCCGAGAGATCCGCTGTTAGTCTGATGGGCTTCCCTGTGAGGGTAACCCAACCTTTCTCTCTGGCTGCCCTTAACATTTTTTCCTTCATTTCCACTTTGGTGAATCTGACAATTATGTGTCTTGGAGTTGCTCTTCTCGAGGAGTATCTTTGTGGCGTTCTCTGTATTTCCTGAATCTGAACGTTGGCCTGCCTTGCTAGATTGGGGAAGTTCTCCTGGATAATATCCTGCAGAGTGTTTTCCAACTTGGTTCCATTCTCCCCATCACTTTCAGGTACACCAATCAGGCATAGATTTGGTCTTTTCACATAGTCCCATATTTCTTGGAGGCTTTGCTCATTTCTTTTTATTCTTTTTTCTCTGGACTTCCCTTCTCACTTCATTTCATTCATTTCATCTTCCATCACTGATACCCTTTCTTCCAGTTGATCGCATCGGCTCCTGAGGCTTCTGCATTCTTCACGTAGTTCTCGAGCCTTGGTTTTCAGCTCCATCAGCTCCTTTAAGCACTTCTCTGTATTGGTTATTCTAGTTATACATTCTTCTAAATTTTTTTCAAAGTTTTCAACTTCTTTGCCTTTGGTTTGAATGTCCTCCCGTAGCTCAGAGTAATTTGATCGTCTGAAGCCTTCTTCTCTCATCTCGTCAAAGTCATTCTCCATCCAGCTTTGTTCCGTTGCTGGTGAGGAACTGCGTTCCTTTGGAGGAGGAGAGGCGCTCTGCTTTTTAGAGTTTCCAGTTTTTCTGTTCTGTTTTTTCCCCATCTTTGTGGTTTTATCTACTTTTGGTCTTTGATGTTGGTGATGTACAGATGGGTTTTTGGTGTGGATGTCCTTTCTGTTTGTTAGTTTTCCTTCTAACAGAGAGGACCCTCAGCTGCAGGTCTGTTGGAGTACCCTGCCGTGTGAGGTGTCAGTGTGACCCTGCTGGGGGGTGCCTCCCAGTTAGGCTGCTCGGGGGTCAGGGGTCAGGGACCCACTTGAGGAGGCAGTCTGCCTGTTCTCAGATCTCCAGCTGCGTGCTGGGAGAACCATTGCTCTCTTCAAAGCTGTCAGACAGGGACATTTAAGTCTGCAGAGGTTACTGCTGTCTTTTTGTTTGTCTGTGCCCTGCCCCCAGAGGTGCAGCCTACAGAGGCAGGCAGGCCTCCTTGAGCTGTGGTGGGCTCCACCCAGTTCGAGCTTCCCGGCTGCTTTGTTTACCTAATCAAGCCTGGGCAATGGCGGGCGCCCCTCCCCCAGCCTTGCTGCCACCTTGCAGTTTGATCTCAGACTGCTGTGCTAGCAATCAGCGAGACTCCGTGAGCGTTGGACCCTCCCAGCCAGGTGCGGGATATAATCTCATGGTGCACCGTTTTTTAAGCCCGTCGGAAAAGCGCAGTATTCGGGTGGGAGTGACCCGATTTTCCAGGTGCCGTCAGTCACCGCTTTCTTTGACTCAGAAAGGGAACTCCCTGACCCCTTGCGCTTCCCAAGTGAGGCAATGCCTCACCCTGCTTCGGCTCGCGCACGGTGCGCGCACCCACTGACCGGCACTCCCTAGTGAGATGAACCCGGTACCTCAGATGGAAATGCAGAAATCACCCGTCTTCTGTGTCGCTCACACTGGGAGCTGTAGACCGGAGCTGTTCCTATTCGGCCATCTTGGCTCCTCCCCATCCATATACAAAAATTAACTCCAGATGGATTTAAGAGTTAAATGTAAAACCCAAAACTATAAAAACCCTAGAAGAAAATCTAGGCAATACCATTCAGGACATAGGCACAGGCAAACATTTCATGATAAAAATGCCAAAAGCAATTGCAACAGAAGCCAAAATTGACAAATGGGACCTAATTAAACTAAAGACCTTCTGCACAGCAAAAGAAACTATCATCAGAGTGAAGAGACAACCTACAGAGAGAAAACTTTTGCAATCTATCCATTTAACAAAAATCTAATATCCAGAGTCTACAAGGAACTTAAACCAATGTACAAGAAAAAAAAACATTAAAAAGTAGGCAAAAGACATGAACAGACACTTCTCAAAAGAAGACATACGTATGGCCAAGAAACATGAAAAAATGCTCAGCATCACTGATCATTAAAGAAATGCAAATCAAAACCACAAAGAGATACCATCTCATGCCAGTCAGAACGGCTATTACTAAAAAGTCAAAAAATAACATGCTGGTTAGGTTGTGGAGAAAAATGAATCCTTTTACACTGTTGGTGGAAGTGTAAATTTATTCAACTATTATAGAAGACAGTATGGTGATTCCTCAAAGAGCTAGAGACAGGAATACCATTTGCCCCAACAATCCCATGACTGAGTATATACCCAAAGGAATATAAATCATTCTATTATAAAGATACATGCATGAATACATTAACTGCAGCCCTATTCACAATAGCAAAAACATAGAATCGATCTAAATGCCCATCAATGATAGACTGAATACACAAAGTGTGGTAAACATACACCATGGAATACTATGCAGCCATAAAAAAGAACAAGATTACGTCCTTTGTTGGGATGTGGATGGAGCTGGAAGCCATTATCCTCAGCAAACTAATTCAGGAACAGAAAACCAACCACCTCATATTCTCACTTATAAGGGGGAGCTGAATGATGAAAACATATGGACACATGGTGGGAAACAATACACACTGGGGCCTGTTGTGGGTTGTTCTGGGGCGGGAATGACGATGGCACACATTTAACTATGTAACAAACCTGCACATCCTGCACATATATGCCTGAACTTAAAAGTTGAAGAAAAAAAAAATAATTCAGCAAAAGTTTAAAAAACCAACTATGCCTTCCCACTCCCACACAGCCTTCCCTTAGAGATCAGAGGTAGAAACACAAGGCACCTGCCTGGGAGCCCCCTCATCATCATTATTATTATTTTATCTTTAACTCAGCTCAAGTCTCACTTACTCCTCCTCCCTTCCCTCTCTGAATTAAACGTGGTGATTGTTTTCCCCAAATATCCTACTGGGAAAAGAAGGGGCCTCAGTCAGGACCCTTCTGGCAGATGAGAGCTGGCAGATGAGTGGACAGAAATAAAATCCATCTTTAAAGTGATCCTGTGGTTTGCCTGCAGGGTTTTTGCTGCTTTCCTCATGTTTCTCATTGATGTCCAGCCCAAATATCTATATTCTCTAAAACAGAAATAAGTTGTCCCCTCAAGATCAATATAGAAATAACTGACATTTCCTTCAGACGTTAAATTTTCATCTCGGTGAGGAAAAGACAAGGAATGAAGAATGGGGAGTGAGGACAAGAATTCCTGGAGTAAAACTGACTTTCAGCTACATCTTAAATGGCAAAGACTCTGACATGAATCAAATGTCTAAAGAGCTGCAGAATCTACATCTAACTTTTGAGGTAAATTCCCCATGAAGGTCCAACTATGAGGAAGGATCTGGGTTATTCATTTCTTTACCAAGTATAATATAAAGGGGATATTCTAAATAATAACAATAGTCAACATTTATGGTACATTGCCTATATGTCAGGCAGACTCCTAAGCTATTTGCATTCATTATTTATTTAATTCTACATAATCTTGTGTGACTTTTCCTATTGTTGGGATTGCTATTTTACAGGTGAGAAAACAACAACTCACAGAGGTAAAGTTGCACACCCAAGATCATACAGCTACTAAGCTGAGATGTGAACTCAGATCTGTTGATTCCAGAGCTGCAAGTCCACTGTACCACCTTGAATAGAAAGAATATGGAGAAAGAAAAGAATAAGAGGGAAGAAAATAAATTTGGCATTTCTTTCCTACCCAGGATTCTAGTACCCTGGTTGAGATGGTCTTGTAGGATCCCACGCATGGAGGCTTCCAAAGACAAGCAGTTTACCCACCAATAGGCTTTTTTGTTCGGCAACTGAGTCAAATCTCTGAGTAACTGAATTCACTTGCCTACACATCATAATTGGACAAGGTACAGAACGGATCTGACCTACTTTAGAATCAATTTTCTTGTACCCCATAGACTCTTTCAAGCTAATTTACAAATATCATCCTGTTTTTGTCAAATACATCTAATTGCTCCTGGAGTGTTAACAGATGACACTGCCTGCCAGGCAGAATCTGCCAAGATTGGAGCTGCTGTGCAATATTGTTTTGCAAGAAAATCCCTAAGTCTTGGTTTTAGACAACCTCAAAAACAGAGAAGAACACTAAGAGTATTTCAGAGGTCTGGCTATGAATTTTAACCCTCTAATGTAGTGTGTTACCAAAAGAGCCCTGTGACACAGTGTATTTATTAATCAGATTTAAGACTCTCCTCTCCCCTCAACTCTGTATCCCAGCCTTAATATTTTTTTTATTCAGACAAGAATCTAAAATTGGATTTGAAAGATGGCATCTATTTTTAAACATACCCCTTGGAATTAACTAGTGGAGAGCGCAGAATCAGTGATCAGAGCACAGTACCATCTGGGTGAGAGAGATTCGCTTATTCAATCTCATAGTCAGGTGCCAGGAGGTATTTAGTCCCTGCTGTGAACCAGGCACTTGTGCGGGATGCTGTTGATATACTGACAAAAGGAACGAACCATAGTCCTTGCCCTCATAGAGTTTATAATCTATGAAAACAATCGCACCATTAAAGGTATAATACAGTTTTGTTGTGATAAATGGTATAAGGAAATAGTGAATGGTGCTATGAGATAGTGCAAAGAGAATTTGGGCAGAAAGTTCAGGGATGTAATCATGAAGTTTAGATTAGACGATATTAATTATGAGAAGAGGGACAGAAAACCAGGATATTTAGGCACTAATGGAGAGAACAGATTGGAAGGGCAATAGTGATAATAGATGCCAGTGGATCTCAAGTAAATCTTGTATGAAAACAGTTCAATTTCTTTCTTTCTTTCTTTTTTTGAGACGGAGTTTTGCTCGTGTCACCCAGGCTGGAGTGCAATGGTGCAATCCCAGATCACTGCAATCTCTGCCTCCTGGGTTCAAGCGATTCTCCTGCCTCAGCATCCGGAGTAGCTGGGATTACAGGTGCCTGCCACCACACCTGGCTAATTTTCATATGTTTACTAGAGATGGGGTTTCACCGTGTTGGTCAAACTGGTCTCAAACTCTTGACCTCAGGTGTTCCATCCATCTCAGCCTCCCAAAGTGCTGGGATTGCAGGCCTGAGTCACCGTGCCCGGCCAAACAATTCAATTTCTACTTCTATTGGTGCCACAGGCTATTTGAGTTGCAATGATCTTCCAGATTACCTCACCTAGTCTCTCACCCATTGTAAGAATCTCTACCTCTATTTATTCATTCATTTATAAAACACTTCTAAGCTTTTCTAGGCTCTGGAGATATTCAAGTAGAAAAAAAAACTGTTCCTGCCTGCCTGAAATTAATGTTCTAGTACAAAGAATCAGACAACAAACAAACAACAGGTAAATATAGAATATGTCAAAGGCTGGAAGGGCTACGGAGAAGTTGTGGGGTGGGGGCAGGGAGGAGGAGATATACCTAATGTAAATGACAAGTTAATGGGTGCAGCACACCAACATGGCACATGTATACACATGTAACAAACCTGCACTTTGTGCACATGTACCCTAGAACTTAAAATATAATAATAATAATGAAAAACAGAGTGAGATGCAGAGATAGTTTATTGGGGGCTATTTAAATACAGAGGTGTAGAAAGTCCTTATTGGTATGAAGAAGTCACTGGGGTAGAAATTTGAAAGAAATAAGCAAGGGAGGCATGCAGCTATCAGGAGGAAGAGCATTCCAGGCAGAGGAGAGAACAAAAGTGAAGCCCCCAGGCAGGTGCATGCTACTGTGTTCTAGGGGCAATAAGGAGGCCAGTGTGGCTGGGCTGAGTGAACAAAGTCCAAAGAGGAGTAGGGAAGGAGTGCAAAGTGGGAATAGGAAAACAGTTCATGTGGGGCCTTGGAAGCCTTTGTAAATGGACTTCTGCTTTCCATGAGATGAGAAACTCCTGGGAGCCCTTAAGCAGAGGGTGACATTAAATGACTCTGATATTTAAAAGAGCACTTTGGAGACTGTGTGAAAACATTAAGAGCAGAGGTCAGAGCAGAAGCAAGGATAGAGATGGGATAGAAACCTATTGCAATAATGAAGGCAAACAGATTAGGATGGTTTGAACCTGATGATAGTGGTAGAGAGGGTGAAAGTAATTGTACCCTGGCCATGAAAGGAAGGTAGGGTTAACAAGATTGGCTAACGGATTGGTCATGGGGTATGAGAGAAAGAAACGAGGCCAAGATGACTTCGAGGTTTGTGGTCTGAGCAACTAGAACAATGTAGCTACCATGAACTGAAATTGAAACTATGGGAGGAAACCATCTGGGGGAGAGGAATATGAGGAGTCTAGGTTTGCACATGTTAAGCAAAAGCTGCCTATTACAGAGTTAGTGAGATATGGAGTAGGCAGTTGGTTTTATGGAAAGAGATTGATATTTCAGGGAAGAGATACATACAATTGGGAATACAGGATGAGATTACGTAGGTAGGTCATGTAGACAGGGAAGTGCGGAAGTCCAAGGACTGAGATCCAAAAAGCTAATATCCAGGGAACCTAGTTCATTATGTATTTATTTCACAAATGTTGAATATCTCCCAAGTACCAGAAATATGATATCAAGAAGTGGAGACTCTTTCCCCACACTTTGATTCTAGGCTGGTGTTATGACTTGCTTTGACCAATAGAATGTAGTGCAAGTCACAATGTGCTCATTCTGGGCCTAAGCCTAGAGAGGCCTGGCATGCTTCCATTCTGTCTCTTAGGGTCCTGCCACCACCACATATGTTAGCCTGCTGGAGGACGACAGCCAGCCAACCTCCAGACATGTGAGTGAGGCCAACCTAAACCAGCCAGCCCTCAGCCATCCCAGCAGCTGAACACAGATGCATGAGAAAGGCCAGTCTGTATTACCTGAATGCAGCCCAGAAGAGCAGAACCACCTATTGGGTCCTTAGTCTCATGGGAAATAGTAGATGGTGGTTGTTTGCTGCCACTAACATGTGGAGTGGTTTTCGATGAAGTAATAGTTAATTAATCCAATTTTTGTCTTCCCAACTCTACATGTGCAAATTCTACCCATTCCATTTCAAATATACCATCCTCCATGAAGTATTGCCTGATACCTACAGCAAGAAGTCAGCTCTTTTTCCTCTGACACCCTACAGCATTTAAACTGTATCTTTTGGTATTTGTCAGAATAGGTTAAAACTATGCTGCTGTAACAAATTTCTTTGGCTTTGTATAAAAAAGATTTATTTCTTGCTCATGGTACACAACTTATGAGAATTGCCGGGGAGTTCTGCTTCACACATTCTCTCAGGCTACCACACTGAGGCAAGCGGCACCTTCATGGAAACACTGTCTCAGATCTAGACCTCAGACAAATCATGAAGAACTCAAACCTGCTCTTCGTCACTTCTGCCCACTGCCCATTGTCTAGGCCTGGTCATGTGTCCTCATCTAACTGCAAGACAGCTGGAAAATCAGGGAAAGCACATGGATACTTGTCCATGTCTATGCCATTGTTTCTCATGGTACCATTTCTTTATGCCTGTATACCTTTGATTTGCGTAGTTTTCTTTCTTATACCGAATGTGGTATATATCCTCGCCCAGGACTCGTTTCATGAACATGCATGCTGTGCATTCTCACAGGGCCCCCATGCTTAAAACTCTTAGTTTAATAATTTGATATCACCATTTTGAAATTCTTAATGAGTTTCAACAGGAAGCCTCTCATTTTCACTTTGTCCTGAACCCTGCAAATTATATAGCTGATCTTGTTCATACCTAATCTAGTAATTCTCAACCCAGAGTGCTCACTGGAGGAATTTTTTAAAATATAGATACCCAAGCCCCACCTGAGAACAAATTACATCAAACTCTGGGAATGAGGCCCTGGCAATGGTTTTTTTTTTTTTTTTTTTTTTTTTTTTTTAACAAATTATAACATTTTGTCAGAGTTGAGCATCACAGCCCTAATGTTATGGCCCAGAGAACCTCTTCTGACATTTTCTTAAAACAAAATACGGTGGGAAATAGAATTTTTTAAAAATCAAAGATAATAGAAAGGTATTTAAAAGGTAAAATTTCTTTTTTATCCACTCCCAATCACTAGTCTTTCTTCCCAAATGAAATAATTGTGAACAGTTTTTAAGTAGTAATGTTCTAGAAACATGTTTCAGCATAGACAATTTGAATATCAAAATTAAAAGATATAGTAATGGGTTATAACATATTGAATAAACTAGGAAACTCTGAGTCCATACTGATTTAAATAAATAAACGGATAAACTGAAAGTTTGATGATAAACTGGATATTTACATAGTTTGAAAGTTTTTCCCCATCAAATACTTACGAATTTCAAAGGGAAAAGTGTAACTGCACAATGAAGAAGTCTGACTGACAACACCTTAATCATGTGATCAAAGTGAACATCATCATCAGTAAAGGGACAAATCATGCACCACCTGATAGGATGCAGCAAGAAAGACACAGCATCAGCTCCGTAATATTTCTGCCAAAAATGTACAACTTCAATCTAATCATAAGGAAAATTCAGGCAAAGACAAATTAAGAAACGTTCTACAAAATAACTGTAGTTTCCAATGTATCCAGTTCATGAAATTAAAGTCTGAAGAACTACTTCAGACTGAAAGGGACTAAAGAGATAAGACAACTAAATGCAACACATGATTCTGAACTGGATCTTTTTGCAAAAGGATAATGATGTCATATCTATCTTAGAGAAACAATAGCAGATACATGCAAAGACAGATATACAGGGATGTTCACAATGGCATTGTTTCTGGTAGCAAGAAAAGTAAGAATACAAACTAAATATCCATCAACAGAGAAGAGATAAATTATAAGAAGTCATGCTGTGTAAAATAGAGAGCAATCACATGTAATTACCTAGAACATATCTGACATATTATTATTTGAAAATATATATATTTCAGACTAATACATACATCATGGTTCTATTTTTAATAAATGCATATATGTATATAAAAAGCTTGTAGTAGTAAAATGATTGCTTCTGAGGATAAAAGAAATTTTGCTTCTTATATGACATACACATAACTTTTAAGGTAGTCTATTAGGAATTTTAACTTTTTATTTTTCAAGAAATAAACTTTTATGCAAGATTGACAATTGACCTTCCTTTTGGCTGTTGTAGTTTAGCCAGTCAATAATTTTTTTGTAACCACCCTTGAAGAAATTTATGAGAGCTTTTAATTTTAAGGAACTTCCCAATTCAGTCTTCTGAGTCAAGCAGCATAAAGCATAAATGAAAAACTTTACTTAGCAAATAAGCTCAAGTTGTTAAAAAAAAAAAAAAAAGCAAAACCTAGAATAAAAGGAATAAAGTATCTCCAAGTAACTTACATTTCAGTAAAGAATCAATGTTCCTAATTTCAAGAAATTCAAAGCTGCCATGGACTAATTACCATGCATTGAATTCCTCCAAAATCTGATCCATTACATGTTTGTGTGTATCTCTCTTTAGGCATAACATAGAGAAACTGGGGGAGATGGCGGGGGGCACTACTGTAAGCTGTTTTCCTCCCTCCTTCCACAAAAGAATAATTTTGGTGTGAAAAGGATTTGCAAAACAAACACCAAGCTGCATAGGGCTTTGTGTTTTGAAGCCATAAGCATGAAAATCCATTTAAGAAACCTCTTTCTGCCTGCTGAGATAAACAGGTTCTAAGTGCCCTATATAAATCTCTGAACCATGGAAGAAAATAACCCCAAACTTTTTCTCTTTATTTGTCCCCAATTAAAGTTCAATGTAGGGGATTTATAATCCCCATCTAAACAGGGCATCTTCAATTGGTAGCCTGACGTAAATATCCAGCTTTAATGCTACAATAAAGGGACGAGAAGGGTCAACTCCATATCTTTATACAGAAGGGAAAATGATACCAACATTCAGCACTCCACCAAGACATTACTTACTAAGATGCCCCAGCAGATATTTGGCATTTTGTCTCCCCAACATCCATTCCCTCTGTCTAGTGTCACCTGTATTTCCACACTGATAATTAATTTCTCCTCCAGGATGTGTAGTATTAGAAAACCAATTCCAGCTGATTATTTTTAATGACAAAAGGAAAAGATCAGATCCTCCCTATCCCTGCCCAATACAGCCAGAGGGTGAGCACATGACCTAACCTCTGCCTTGGAGTATGTGAGGGTGAGGTGCGCTGCAGGTGATTAAACTACTGTCTCTCAGCTCAAAATTCACCTTTGCTACCCAGCTTTGTTTTGCCAGACCTGGGGCCTTGTAGATTGTATTTCTCAGGGCCAGGTGGCTTCCCGATTCATTGTGTCAATAGGGAAACTGGAAGGCAGGAGGAGAGAAGCGACTTGCTCCTCTGCCTTCAGCATCAGCCAGCTGCTGCTCTTCACCTGGGCATCGTCAGTTCTTTCCAACAACAACTGGTCCTTTATCAGCTTCTTTCCACAGTCCTAGAATCATCCTTGCCTCAGTCCCTCAGAGGTACCAGCCAGGTACCCTCTCCTCAGAGGTCTGAGCCCCAGCCTTGGCAGAATCCTCTTCCAACTCCCGAGACACCAGCAGAGGTTGGCCAGCATCCTCCCCTCAAAGGTCTAGGATTCAGCTCCTTCATGCCTCTTTGCCAAGCTTTTGGACTCTGACAACAGCAACTTCTCTTTGTTTCCTAGCCCTAGGCATGGTAGCTTCTTCCTGCTGGTACTGTATCTATGTTGTCTTGAGGATCATTTTTACGATTGCAATTTCCAACTTCTGTGCAACCATTTCCCTATGTTGAATTCTCTCCATTAAAATAAATGCCACAGTTTTGTTTTCCTCACTAGCCTCTGACCACCGCAGGCAGTCTCAGGATGTTGACTCCCACATGGGTTAATAAGGAGGGGAGGCATAGATTGCATGTTTTCATTACAAAATGGACATGGCTGTAGAGAGGGTCTTGAGGTTTTTCCCATGACAGAACCATTGCCATGCTGCTTCTTTCCAAGTCCTCCTCTCCTCTTTTAGTTTCCCTCATCCTCATGCAATTCTCCACCCTCCTTTGCATTCTGTAGGCCCATGAAAACCATCCAAACATTCCTCTTGCTTAGTTCAGTTAAAATTAGTTTCAGTGAATTGTGACTAAGAGCACACACTGCTACTAAATCATTAAGCAGGAAGGTTTGAGCAAACATCCTCATTCATTCCATCTTCCAATCCATGAGTATTCATTGAACAGAACACTTGGGACAAATGAAGTCAACTCTAGGTGACCTGAGTACTTTATGTTCAGGCTTCAAAAAACTGGATAACTGTATCATTTGTTTCTGATGTCCTCCAAATAACAACCCCTGACACGTACACATGTACAGAGACACAGACACACCATGCTCAGTCTCAGCATTGCCAGGCTCATATTGAAACAGCCATCGAGGAATCATTAGTTCATAGATTAATGAGTTCATTCTCTTCACTAACCAGGTCTAGAGAAAAGAGGAGATGGGCCCAAGGCCATATAGCAAGCAATGAAAGAGTCATGGCCATGACACTGGCTTCTGGGGCACAGTTGACCCCATCCCACTGCCACCTGGTCAACCTGGCATCTCTATCTTAGGGAATCCAAGGAAGATGCAGAAGTGGGGGGCACTGGGTAGTGAATAGAAGAATATATAACCCTAGTCATTACAGAAAGTTTCTAACCTCAGGCAAATCCATCTTTATATGTGAAAGTCAGAAGGGAATAAAAGTAAGAAACCAGCAAACACTATTCTGAGCTAGATGAGAGGTGTATGCAGTGGGGGAAGAAGACTCAGGTTCAATCCCTGGCTCTTCCACTTACTCATTTTTGACGTATTATTTTACTGCTAAGAGTCCCATTCTATCTTCTGTTAAATGACGATGAAAACAAATGCCTATTCTCCTTTCAAAGTTATTCTAATTAAATATCCTTGTTCTTCCAATATGTGGGCTAAGCACTGCTGTAGCAGCTGGGAACACAGCAGTGGGCAAGACAAAACCTTCACCATCCTGGAACGTATGCCCTTGTAGAGGAAGATAGGCAGTATACAAATAAACTTATAAATAAAGATGACATTTTAGAGAGTGACAAATGCAATAGAAAAATTAGAGTAACTTGACAAAGAGTGGTTGAACTCACTAGGTCAGGAGGTCAGGGAGGGCGTCTTTGAGGAGGTGACACTTGAGCTGACTCATAAGGGAAGGAAAAAGAGATGATCTAGGTAGAGAACATTCCAAACAGTGGGAGGAGTGAGTGCAAAGGCCCACAAGCCAGAGCAAGTTTGATGTCTTGAGGAACAGAAAGAAGGACCAAGTGGAGCTGGGCCCAAGGGAGTGATGGGGAGAGTGGGGTCCCGTTGACTCTAAAGAAACAACACTTTCCACAGCTGGTATTTGTACATGCTTTAAGCATTGTGTGAAATCAATTGTCCTGTTCTCATTAGCCTACTTTATCATTTCAGCCTTTTGTTGCATAACTTCTTGTTCATTTTCAACAGTCAATGACTTCCTAGGACTTCTACTTTGTTTTCTGTGTGCTCTTCCTCGTTCTTTGCCAAATAGGGTCTTACAAGTTTTATATAAAGGGACTTTATAATATTTTTCCCATTTGGTGGAAATAATCACACCAATTTATGTCTTGTGGGCCAGAAAGGCAGTGTACTATGATAGGTAAGCAGTTGAGTTTTGAAATCAGGTCTTGGTTTAAAACTTGTGTCTACCACACTGTAGCAATGTTAATCTGCGCAAGTTAATTAGTTTCTCTAAGCCTTCATTTTTTTCACATATAGACTGAAAGATACCTAACTTACAAGATTTTTAAAATTTTTGTTTTTATTTTAGATTCAAGGGTACATGTGCAGGTTTGTTATATGGGAAAATTGTGTGTCACAGGGGTTTAGTGTACAGATTTTGTCACCCATGTAACAAGCATAGAACCTAATAGGTAGTTTTTCAACCCTCACCCTCCTCCCAACCTCCACCTTCAAGTAAGCCCTATTGTCTGTTTTTTCCTTCTTTGTGTCCATGTGCACTCAATTTTTAGCTCCCACTTATAAGTGACATGTGGCATTTTGTTTTCAGTTCTTGTGTTAGTTCACTTAGGATAATGGCCTCCAGCTCCATTCAGGTTGCTGCAAAAGACATGATCTTATTGTTATTTATGGCTGTGTAATATTCAATGTATACAGGTATCACATTTTATTTATCCAGTCTATTGTTGATGGGCTTTTAGGTTGATTCCATGTCTTTACTATTGTGAATGGCGCTGTGATGAACATATGCATGCATATGTCTTTATGGTAGAACCATTTACATTCCTTTGGATATATGCCCCCAAAATGGGATTGCTGGGTAGAATAGTAGTTCTAATTTCTTTAGAAATTGCTAAGCAGCTTTCCACAATGGCTGGACTAATTTACATTCCCACCAGCAGTGTATAAGCATTCCCTTTTCTCCTCTACCTCGCCAGCATTTGTTTTTTGTTTTTGTTTTTGTTTTTTACGTTTTAATAATACTCATTTGCTTTTGATTTGCATTTATCCAGTAATTAGTGATGCTGAGCATTTTTTCATATGTTTGCTGGCTGTGTTTATGTCATCTGTGAGAATCCTGAATGTGTGTAAGGCATAGAGGCTGGCTCACAGAAAGCACTCACTGAGACTAACAGTAGGTGTTCCTGTGCATTGGCATTTCCTCCTTCTTCCTAACTCTTCTCTACTAACTTCCTGCTGTTACTTCAAGACTCAGGTTTGATGTCATCTTCTGCAGCATGCCTTCCTTAGATATCCAGGCTGAATCAAGGTCTCCCGTTATCTTAAATCTTACCACCTAACACATCATATGGAATGTGTTTCACGTCTATTCTTCTCTTTTACTATTAGCTTCTTGACAGCAAGTAATGTGCTTCACTCATCTTTGCACACCAACCACAGAACCCAATATCCTCCACATAATAAATTCCCAATGTGATTGATAAATTCAACTGTGGATTATGTTAGACCAGACACCAGCTGCTGATAAACTGTCTCTGACTTGGACATCTCAGTGGCTGTGTAGAGAGAGCAGCCTTGCTGAGGAGGCGTTGAGAAAAGAAAAAGAAAACTTTACCATCTCTGGTAAGTGATGGTTGTCATCTGCTGTTTGTAACTCAAGGCATGCATATAAGTGCAGTTTTCTAATTTGTGTGACATTAGCTGTTAGTGCTAACTGAAAGAAATAATCCTGTTATTGCTCCAATGCTCCAGTGACTGAAGGAGGAAACAGAATCCATTAAAACAGAATATTGAAAAGGAAGAATTTACCTAATTCCCAAAGAATGCTGGAAATCTGAGTTTTCAAAGTCAGCCAGAAAGCAATTAAATGTCTTTAGTATATTAACCTTCTCTAAAATGAGACCTCTAACTCCTTTCTGAAGTAGCCTCTGTGCACAACTAAAATAGTCCCCACTACAATAGAAGACAGTATTTCGTGGGAGGGATCTTACTTTAGCTCAAAGGACACATATGAGAACCTTGGATTCAACTGACCACATGACTCTTCGTGTAGCTGACAGTCCCAGAAAAATCTGGGAGGCCTGATGCTCTCTGGAGTTTTGCACGGAGGCCCTTCTCTCCTTGGTTCATTCCTTCCCTCTCCCTCTGTTTTTAGAGATAAGAACCTAATAATCTCAAAACTGGATCAGGTGTGAGAACTCATGCTGCTATTAAAGAAATATGGTCTGGCATTTTCGCCCAAACATAATTGAAACTGGTCAAAAAGGCAGGAGATGTATATCTCTACCTATTTATGAAAAACAGTGCATCTTAGCTCTGAAAATGCTTCTTTCCCCTAGAGCCATCCATCCCCAAAGCAGAACAGTCAGACAAATGTCATCCTGTTTCCTGAGAGGTTGTTATACTCTCATGTCCTCCCTTGCAGAAGGGAAAATGCAAAAATATATTCTTATTTTTCCTCACCTGAGCCAGGAAGCAGCTTCTGCAATAATTGGACTGAGGGGATCAAATGTGGTTCACAAATTGATTCTGCCTATCAGAAAAAAAGTTCATTTAAATACAATGATAGATACAAACTCAGGACAGAGACACTATTTTCTTTATCCCCCAACAAATAAATCACTCCTCACTGTTAACATCAGAGATTTGGGGAAAAAATAGAAAAGAAAAAAAGAAGAAAGACAAGAAATCAAGAAGCAAATAGAGTATATTATCAAGCAAAACTCTGTTTGACTTTCTGCTGCATCCCCAAAGCCTAGTTATAAACAACATGACAAATCCTCTCTTTTGTACTACCCTCCCCTATCCTGAGAATTTCAGTGTTCTCTTAACCTCTTTTCCCACTCCATGGGCAACCCTAAATAAACCAACCTTGAATAAGATGCTCCAGCTTTGGGGATTATCTCACTATTTTACAGAGATGTGTCATCTCCGAATATAAACTGTCAGGATTTTTATTATTTATTGATAATTCTTAAGTTAGATGCCAAGGGCCTAGCAATTGGAACAGAGAAAACTGTTTAAAAAATAAAATAAATAGCACAAACTTTTCTGTTAGTGATCATTAGTGTGAAAGCAGGTTCTACCTATAATTTACTCATTTCCACCTGCTCTCGGAAACCTCATGCCTATCTTCCTGCAGAAATCACAAAACCTGTTGAACTGCAGCTATTGACTTGGAAATTGAATTTGGAGGAAAATCTCTAGTTCTTTGTGCACCTTCTGCCTCCTCTTTAAAGCTATTTAAGACCCAGAGCTTTTATATTGCCTCTCTTCACTTGTCTGTTGCATGCTGATTTCTCCCTTTCTTGAGACTTACCACCCATAATCACACAGTGTGCTGCCTTTTTCTCTGATGCAGCGATGCTGTCAGCTTCTTGAGAGCAGCAGCCATAGCTTATATCTCCCACAGCATCTAGCATGGGCCAGCAATGTTGCAGTTGCTCAAAAACACTTCCTTGGTGATCCTCCTTTACTTGTGTCCCCACTTCTGCACTGCTGCTCTGTAATACTTCAGGTTAGTCCATCCATTCTCAAATGTGTGGGATCAGATGGGATGCTCTGCAGAATTGCCTGGGATTGGCTCACTTCAAGTTTCAGCAAAGAAAGAATTGGTTGCCAACATTTAAGAATCAGGAGACTTCAGGTAACATTCTGATTTCTGGCCTGTCTTTAGGAATCGGATGATTTGGCAATACTGGCCCCCATTCTGGCGCATCAGCAACTCAGAGGAGCTAAGTGGCCTTCACATGGGTCATGTTCTCTAAATCTAGTGGCCCTCAATTCCAGTCAGCTTCATTTATTTATTATAAATTTCATATACCTCTGCCTGGGTCAAAAGTTTATAAGTCTGACCAGTCAGTGTCTGCTTTACAGGAGATTCAGATTATTCTCCCCCAAAGCCTATCATCTTTAAAATCAGCACTACCTATTTTATCTAAAACCAAATCCATTGTCTCAGACTCTGGGAATGTTCTGTGTTTTTGATGCCTCCCTATCTTGACTGCTGGCCTCACTGTTCTAGTTACCCAGACCTAAAGCCTCTGGGTTTCTCTATCTCCATCCTATCCCTCACTAAATCCTACATATTCCACTCCAACACATTTTCAAACTCTGTCTCCTCCTTTCCATTTCTACTGCCCTGCTTTCTGGCCTTCTGTACTCCTTACCTGGATCTCCTAACTTGCCTTCTATCCTTCAATCTCTGGTCTTCAAATTCATTCTTTACATTTTATCAAGGAGCACAGATCTGATTCTGTTACTTCTCTGTTCCAAAACAAAACAAACACAACAAAAAACTCCAAAATCTCCCTGTTGCCTGAAAACCTTTCTGAACTCCATGGACTCCACCATTTGTGCCCAATTTACCTTGATAGCCTTACCAGCTCTGTATCTTCCAGGGAAACCTCTATCCCAGCAGGCTATCCTCCAGTCTCCGAAACAGCTGTGTGCTAGTCCACTCTGAGGCTGAGCTCTAAGCTGTGAAACCCTTCCATGAGACTTGGGAAAATGCATTGCCCCTCCTGCATGGATGAACCGTTTAAATAAGACCTGGAGAAAAGAACTCAAATAAGTGACTTTTTTCTCTGTCATGACCAGATTCCAGCCACAGTGACCCAGGATGGGGAGGCTACTTCCTGAGAGGATAGAGCCTTCCCCAAACATCTTGAACCATCGCAAACAGAAATCGATTTTGCCTGAGTAAAACCAACCCCTTGTGAACCTCACTATCAATCATTTCTCTGATTTGGTATCCTTGGGACTCAATTTGAAGATTTCCAGTGGGACAGAAAAATTATAGTTTATTTCTTACTTTCAGAAAACCGAATAATAGCCAATGTGCCTTTTAGGAGCCATACCAGTTGTATCTTGATTTATATGTGTTTTGTTTGGTTTTTAACAAGGTTTGATTTCCACTGGCCAAATTATTAAGCACATGGAAAGTTCTTACAATGGGCTGAGGAAAATGTTGTTTTCAGACCTCCCTTCCTTTGCTCGGCTTTTTATTTCTGTTAATGGGCTTAAAACTAATTAGAGTAAATTAATTCCTCAGAATAATAACAATTGCCAGGGAGTCACAACCAACACTCTATTCTTAGAGATGAGAGCTTCCTGGGGGCTGGGAAACAATTACAACTTCTTAATGATCTATGGAAGAAAAGGATGCTGGATCTGTATCAATTATGTTTTATTTATTTGTTTCAGAAACTTTTAATGAATTTAAGGGGAAAATTATACATCTCAACAGAAAGCGCTTACCCTCTCTGAACCATGTTCCTCCTGTGGTCACAAGAGGCTCATTAGGCTGGCCTTAAAAACAGCAGTTGGGACAACGAGAAAGCTCCACAGAAAATCATGATGAGCAGTGTTCATTATCTATTCATGAGCACCTTTCTTGCATATTTAGCATTTGCAAAATATTGGATGTCATCAGCATATGGGAGTCCAGGAGAAATCTCACCTTCTTGCAAAGACAAAAATGGAAACGGCTGAGTCTTTCTACCCAGTTGAGGGAACCCAATCTGAACATGACGCCTAGTTGTTCTTTGACTCAGTTTAAATGATGTGAAGCTGAGCTGTACTCTCTGCAGCCCAAATATCTCTGGTTGAACAAAGAACATTAGCACCTAAGGCCAACAACTCTCAAAGTTTCTGTACTGTGAATGGTCCAACAGCTGAAAAAACTCAAGTTCATCTCACCTCCAATGTCTCTCTTGAATCTATTCCTTTCTGTCCATCTACACAGTTAGATACTAACCATCAGCCATGCCATCTCTTGCCACCATACATCATTTGTAATATAATTAGTCTCACACTTATCTCAGTTTCCCATCTCACTCCTCTCTTATCTATTTTCCACATTACAAACTGAGTGATTGTTTTGCTTCCTACAACACAGTTCTTATCATCACCATTGTCATCATTGAAATTATATTATCATAATTATCATAAGTCAGGTCTTAACTGTAAGCAAAAAAATAAACTCTGGCTAATTAAAGCAGAAATAATGAACTTAATGGATATGGGCTGATTTCCATAATTCCTAGGAAGTCCAGAGAACTATTTCAGAAGCTACACATCCAGGAATCCCTTCTTTTCAGGGATGCATGGTGAAGGCACACAGCCTCCACCGCCACACATTGCCTCTGCAGTTTGCTCTGTTAGCATTTTGAGGTAGGGCTTCAGATGTTACTGCTAGAACCACTGCCTCTGCTGACTCTAAGAATCACATGCAGCTGCCACCACTAGAACCAACCTCCCCAGAAAGAAGTCTGCATGGTTGGTTCTTCATTGCATAATGCGATTCAGACAAAGTCTGATGCATCCAATTAGTGAATTCTTAGCTAAATGTCTATAACTTTGCTTCATAGGAGATGGCATTGCCAACCTTTAAAATGGACTCTGACTCAAAAGATAGGAGACTCTCCAACAAAGGAAACAGTGGCCAGGAAGAATAATTGATGTCTACTTTAATACCATTTATTTAGCACCTACTATATCCCAAAGACTTCATATATATTATCTCTACAATATTTCAGCAAAATAGATATTTTTGTCCATTTTATACAATCCTGAACTTTCAGGATCAAGACAGAACACAAACAAATGATGATGACTGAAACTGGAAATGTGTTGGTTCATGCAATTGAAATGTGAGTTGTATGAGAGCAAGACTTATTTCTCTCATACAAAGATAAATTCTGAATACCTTTAGTTGTGCCTGGTACAGATCAGGAATTCAATAAAGCATCCAGCCAGCAAGCTTGATCCAGGGGCTCAAAAGATGTCATTACAATTCTGCATCACCCTATCTCTCTATTGCACCCACAATGCAATAGGGCTCTCTCTTTGTTCCCAGGTGGATCGGCAGGTTGAGAAATAATAGACACACACAAGATAGTGAAAGCTGGGTCAAGGGGTGTCACCGCCTTTTGGTCTCGCAGTGCCAACAGTGCACTGGATATACCAGCATTTATTATTAAGTTTAGTGAGGGTGGGGGTAGGTTAGTGAGGGATTTAGGATCATTTGATTATGAGGTGAGATGGTTGCATGGGGATGAAGTAATTCTTCAACATAACATTTGTATGTAGAAGTACAGTATACAGAGATAAGAATTTACAATATAGCGTGTGCATCAGTAATTTCTAACAGAGCCTTAAAACAGAAACACAATATTTCCATAACCTATGATTAGCAAGATATTAATCAGCAGTAACAGTTGCAACAAAAGCTGGTTACAAGCAATCCATGGAAACAGGACATGAAGCTAGACAACCGGTTAGACCAGAAATTCTCAGAAGGGATTATGCCTTAACCCTAAAGAGGCCTAGAAGAGCCGTGGCAAGATGAGGGCATTTATAGCCCTATCTTATCCATATGGACAGGCGCCCCCCATGTGTCCGTTTATAGGCTCTCCACAAGGGTCGCATTCCATTCCCAGAGCTATGAACATCTGCTTTTCTGGGATAGGAATCTTGATGATGTGAAACCTCCCTGACTGCACATCCATTCATAGGCTCTCTGCAGGAGGAAACACATTACGCACTGTTGGCTCGTTCTGGCAGTCCAACCTGGCATTGTCTTTACACAATCCTGCATGCAATTTTTCATTTACAATAATCAGGTGCATTTCATCTTTTATTCCATAGCAATAGTTTCAGGGGGTCTCCCTATATCTCTGTGCTCTGCTTCATGTTTTATACCCTGACAGATTACATTCCCAAAGGCAAAAAACTTCCCTTTCCCATCACCTCCCTCCATATATAGAAGAAATAAGTCTCATTGTCTTGGCCCAAGTCATATACCTATCTCTGAAACAATCAATGAGGCCAACATGATAGAACGCTCAATTGGCCAAGCCTGGGTCATATGACTACTTCTGGAATTTTAGAAAAAGACAACTGAGCTGTATTGACTTAAATAAAGGAAGAAACATTCTAAAAATGAAGCCTAGGGTCCTTTGCTAAGAATAAAAGCAGTAGAAATAACATTGGGCATGCAAAGTTAACAAATGCCTATAATGTAGAGCACAGTTCCACCTCTGTACAGCATTTTCAGGATTCCAAAGTGCTTGAAAACAAATTCCCTCCTTTGAGCTCTCAAAAATGCCGTCAGCACAACACAGCTTTATCTTTACAGGCAAGAAAACTGAAGATCAGAGAGGGTAAGTGACTTTCCCAGGCTCACATAGTAAGACAATAGCAGAGCCAGAAATTAAAGTTGGAGCCCCTATTTTTGCCCAGTGTCTTTTTTCCTGGACCCTGGGAATCTATGAAAATATGAGAGAGTGGGAAATTATTAGCCCTCTTAAGAGCAAATAGTCTTTGAACTAAGGAAACTGTATTCAGGTAGCACATTTATTATGAAATGTTTTATTTTCCTTAAAATAATCCATGTCATTAATTTAGATCACCTTATTAACTAAAGCAACATCTTACTGACGTCAACATTCACAGCCACAGTGCTGATTAGTGCTTTTCATATCCTATTTAGGAGAGGATGTCGTATGTATTACCATGCCCTCTGTGTAATAAATTTGACATTTCAGATGGCAACAAATGGCTAGAAAATTGGCCCCTTGAGACTAATAGCCCAGCAGCATTTACATGTAATTATTCTGCCCAAGAATTTAATCTTGTTGGGCATAAAAGTTATGCTGAGTAGAAAGCCCCTGAACAGTGAACCCTGGACTCGAAAGATAGATATTAGCATGAGCACTGGATTCCGAACATTCATTCCCATGCTTGAAGAGAATTCCCCATGGCCAAGGGTATTTCTGCAACAAATGTAGATGTTTTGCTCTGTGTGATACTAATTACCCTCTAACAGTTATAAGTGGGCTCTTTTTTTGGTCCCCACACTGTCATTTTTGCCATTTTTCTATAGCTCTGAGTGCCTGTCTCCTGAGTCATGGGTCATGAATTAATGATTTTCTCTGGATATTTGCACTGCCACTGCTCTTTCCAGTTAGAAGACTCGTGAACCTGCTGGTTCAGGAGGGCAAAGTGGTTGCCATTAGCCCCCTCCCTTTTTTTGACTAACTAAGAGAATAAAACTCAAAGACACACAGATATTTAGCTAATGATATACAGCTACACAATGAGAGAGAAGGTTACCTGAGTCTCTAACTATATCATCCCTATCACTGAGTGCCCGTTCGTCCACTTATTTCATATTAAGTGCCTATAATATGCCAAGCATTAGATTATGTATGTAAATACAAAGTTCATCTAAAGAGATAAAGAATCTACTTTCGGGAAGCTTATATCGTGGTGGGAAACACAGAAAATAAGTAAGCAAATTAATAATATAAAAGAATTAATATTATGAAAATGACCATATTACCCAAGCAATATATAGATTCAGTACAACCCCTATCAAAATACCAATGACATTCTTCACAGAAATAGATTTTTAAAATCTTAAAACTTGTATGGAACCACAAAAGACAGTGAAAGGCCAAAGCAATCCTGAGCAAAAAGAAGAAAGCCAGAGGTATCACACTACCGGCCTTCAAAATGTACTACAAATTTGTAGTAAACAAAAGAGCATGACACTGGTATAAAAACAGACACATAGACTAATGGAACAAAATAGAGAACCCAGAAATGAATCCAAGTATCCACAGCCAACTGATTTTTGATGAAGTTGCCAAGAACACTCACTGGGTAAAGGACAGTCTTCAATAAACGGTGCTGAGAAAACTGGCTATTCATATGCAGAAGAATAAAACTATACCCCCACTTCTCATCCTATTCAAAAATCAACTCAAAATGAATCAAAGACCTATATGTAAGAACTGAAACTATGAAACTACTAGAAGAAAACAGGAAAAATTCTTCAGGATATGGATCTGGACAGATTTTATGAATAAGACCTCAAAAGCACAGAAAACAAAAACAAAAATAAACAAATGGAATTTTATCATATTAAAAAGCTCTGTGCAGCAAAGGGAACAATGAACAGAGTGAAAATACAATATCAAAAAGGGAAGAAAATATTTGCAAGCTATCCAACAGGGGATTAATATCCAGGTTATATAAGGTGCTCAAGCAACTCAACAGCAAAAAAATTAATAAATAAATAATCCAACTGAAAGATGGGCAAACGATCTGAACAGGTGTCTCACAAAACACACACACACACACACACACACACATCAACATCACTAATCATCAGGGAAATGTAAATCAAAACCACTGTGGAGTATCATCTCCAGATAGAATGGCTATTATCAAAAATAGAAATATTAGCAAATGCTGGTGGGGATATGGAGAAGGGGAACTCTTCTACACTCATATATGGAAGCTAAAAATAGTGATTTTACAGTGGTAAACAGTAGAATAGAGGATACTAGAAGCTGAGAAGGGTGAGGGAAGGGGACATAGGGAGAAATTTGTTAAACGATACAAAATTATAGCTAGAAAGGAAAAATAAATTCTGACATTCTCTGTCAAAGTGGGATGACTATAGTTAACAATAATATATTATAGAGTTTCAAATAGCTAAAAGAAGGATATTGAATGCTCCCAACACAAAGAAATGATAAAAGTTTGAGATAATGGATATGCTAATTATCCTGCTCTTATCACTATATATAATATGTATGGAAACATCACCATGTACCCCATCAATGTGTACAATTGTTATATGTTCATTAAAAAATGAAAAAAAGTTCATTAACAAATAAAATACATCTCAGTTTGAAATAAGAGCTATAAAGACAATTATGTGAAAAAAAGTGACGGGTTGGGGAGAAGTGATTACTCAGACAAGGTAGTCAAGAAAGGACTCTAGGAAGACAGATGTTAAAGCTGGGAACTGAAATATGAGAAAGAGCTAGCCATAGGAGGAGCCAGGAAAACAGTATGGGGAGTAGTAGAAACCTTAAGAATAAATGTCCTCATGTGCAAAAGATCCTGGTATGTTCCAAGAACCTATGTAAGTTTAATGTGGCTGGTGGATGGTTTTCAGATATAGTTTGGATATAGAACTGGCAATTTGCCAATCGATCGGACATAGACCAACAGGGAAAGGGAGAGATTAACAAATTATCCCGTATTATCATCTTCATGAGCCACATACCTGGAGCTTCCATCGATTAAAATGGAAATACAGCAAGAGGAACAGATTGCTGTGCCATTTGAAAATCTGAGGCCAGGAGCAGTGGCTCACGCCTGTAATATCAGCACTTTGGGAGGCTGAGGCAAGTGGATCACCTGAGATCAGGAGTTAGAGACCAGCCTGGCCAACATAGTGAAACCTCGTCTCTACTAGAAATACAAAATTAGCTAGGCATGGTGGTGCATGCCTGTAGTAATCCCAGCTACTTGGGAGGCTGAGAAAAGAGAATCACTTGAACCTGGGAGGTGGAGGTTGCAGTGAGCTGAGATCCCAGCATTGCACTCCAGCCTGGGCAACAAGAGCGAAACTCCATCTCAAAATAAATAAATAAATAAATAAATAAATAAATAAAAATTTAAAAATAAAAAGAAAATCAGAGACCACATTTTTTGATATAGTCCTGACACAGTTAATTTCAGATGCTTGTTGGTTATATAGGCCTGGAGCCAAAAGGAGAGATCTCTGTCTTCATTGAGTTTTCAGTACCGCATGAGGTTGAAAGATGTTTTTATAACAGTCAAAATCCATCAGTGTTAGTTAGGGCCTTAAGTGGTGATAATTCACCTGGCTTAACCCAGGATATATGAATAATGGCTTCTGTTGCTGCTTTTTCTTCTCCGTTACATGAAAGATACTGAATAAAGAGAGAAACTGATTATAATTCTCACTTGAGCTTCTTTAGTATCTGTTTTAATGAAATCTTTTCTTTTTTTTTTGGTTAGAACACTGAAATTTTCTTTTTTTTTTTTTATTATACTTTAAGTTTTAGGGTACATGTGCATATTGTGCAGGTTAGTTACATATGTATACATGTGCCATGCTGGTGCGCTGCACCCACTAACTCGTCATCTAGCATTAGGTATATCTCCCGATGCTATCCCTCCCCCCTCCCCCCACCCCACCACAGTCCCCAGAGTGTGATATTCCCCTTCCTGTGTCCATGTGATCTCATTGTTCAATTCCCACCTATGAGTGAGAATATGCGGTGTTTGGTTTTTTGTTCTTGCAATAGTTTACTGAGAATGATGATTTCCAATTTCATCCATGTCCCTACAAAGGACATGAACTCATCATTTTTTATGGCTGCATAGTATTCCATGGTGTATATGTGCCACATTTTCTTAATCCAGTCTATCATTGTTGGACATTTGGGTTGGTTCCAAGTCTTTGCTATTGTGAATAATGCCACAATAAACATACATGTGCATGTGTCTTTATAGCAGCAAGATTTATAGCCCTTTGGGTATATACCCAGTAATGGGATGGCTGGGTCAAATGGTATTTCTAGTTCTAGATCCCTGAGGAATCACCACACTGACTTCCACAATGGTTGAACTAGTTTACAGTCCCATCAACAGTGTAAAAGTGTTCCTATTTGTCCACATCCTCTCCAGCACCTGTTGTTTCCTGACTTTTTAATGATTGCCATTCTAACTGGTGTGAGATGGTATCTCATTGTGGTTTTGATTTGCATTTCTCTGATGGCCAGTGATGATGAGCATTTTTTCATGTGTTTTTTGGCTGCATAAATGTCTTCTTTTGAGAAGTGTCTGTTCATGTCCTTCGCCCACTTGTTGATGGGGTTGTTTGTTTTTTTCTTGTAAATTTGTTTGAGTTCATTGTAGATTCTGGATATTAGCCCTTTGTCAGATGAGTAGGTTGCGAAAATTTTCTCCCACGTTGTAGGTTGCCTGTTCACTCTGATGGTAGTTTCTTTTGCTGTGCAGAAGCTCTTTAGTTTAATTAGATCCCATTTGTCAATTTTGTCTTTTGTTGCCATTGAAGGCAGGGGTTGCAATCCTAGTCTCTGATAAAACAGATTTTAAACCAACAAAGATCAAAAGAGACAAAGAGGGCCATTACATAATGGTAAAGGGATCAGTTCAACAAGAAGAGCTAACTATCTTATTGTTAAGAGGTAGTGGAGCATGGGCTCTGGAGTTAGGCTGCCTAGATTTGAATCCTAACTGTGTGACCTGAGGCCACCACTCTAAATCTGTTATCTCATCTGTAATTGGGAAAATAATACCTATGTCATATGGTTGTTGGGAAGGTTAAATTTAGATAAAGTGTGTCAAGGGTCATAGTAACTTACACATAGTAAGAGCTAAATAAATATTCATCATCATTCTAACTCTGGCTACTGATCTCAAATCATAGAGTACTGTATTTGAAAGGGCTCTCAGTTGCAAGTGACAGAAAACAAACTCAAACTCACTTAAATAGAAGGAAATATACTGGATCATGCAACTGAAAAAGCTAGGGACATATAGATCAGATTGCCCAGAAGCTCAAAGAACACCATCTGCTGCCTGGTGTGTTGCTCCCTTCTTAAGTTTATCCCCTCGTATTGAGTAACAAAATGGCCAGCAACCCCTCCAAAATGACTATTGGTTCTGAAAGCCCCAGAGGAAGGAGAACATCTCTTTCTCAATAATTCTAATTAAAGTGCTGAGGCTGAGTCCCACGTGTTAGCACATGTTCATTCTAATGAGATGGCCAGGTGGGAAGGGCTTCCCAGCAAAACTCAGGTCATAAACGGACTTAAAGGATGGTGAATGAGGGGGTTTTATTGAGTGGTGGAGGGACTCTCACTGGGATGGATGGGGAGCTGGATAGGAGATGGAATGGGAGGATGATCTTTTCCTGGAGTTTAGCTGTCCAGTGGCTGATCTCTCCAACTGTCCCCAGTTGAACTCCCCTCAATGTTCAGATGCTCCTTCTCTTCTCTCCTTCTCTGCTGCTCTTCTGCTCTTCTGTTCATCAGCTCATGGAGCCTGGAGCTTGGGGTTTATATGGGTACATAACAGGGGTACGTGGTGGGCCAAAATGCAACTTTTGTGTGCAAAAATCGGAATGCCTGTTCCCATTTAGGACCACAGGTTTCCAGCCTTGAGGCTGGGACCTTTGCCAGGGAACCACCCTCTTCTACCCAGTATTTCCCTGTCTCCTGTCTATATCAACATGTTACTCTACTGCTTAAGTCTATTCCTGCTCCATACTCTGAAGGCTCCAATAGCTCCTAGCATTTCCCCTTCACAGTGATTATTGTCATTATAATTGAAAAATCACTCCTTCACAAGCCTATAAACTTCCTGAGGGTAAGGACTGGGTTTTCTTAACACATCCCTGTATCTGCAATGCCTAGAACAGGGCCTGCCGTGCTCCACTTGCTGGATGAATATTTGTGCAATAAATACTTAAATTTTTGACACTGTTCTGCCCCCCTCTGGATAGAGCAGATTGCTGTTTCAGGGTAGCCTCATTTGCAAATGCCTAAAAATAAAAACGAAATGCAAACAGAATGTTCCCTGTCAGAATGAAGCTGCTGAGAAAGAGCAGTTTAAAAAGCTGCGCCTGAGCAAAAGAACATGGAAACCTAATACTCCTTAAATAGCTTCTTAAATACAGTCGTCAATCAAAAGTCATGTCTTTGTGGATCTTCATTACATGGGAAACCATAGAAAAATGCACAGTCCCTCATTGCAAAACACAGAGCAGTCCGTTGTAAAGAATTTCCAGAAATTGATAATTTAAACAGACACAACTGAACTCAAGAAGTTACAATCCTGTTGTCAATGAGAGGCAATCATCGAAGCCACCCAACTAAATACAATTTTTGATAACATCTTGGCAATCTAAAAATATTAGCAGAAAGCCATGGTGGAAAAGCTGCTAAGCCGGCAATTTTCAGCACAAGGAGAAGCAACAATCTACCTCCTGGGCAGCCGGTCAGTGACTTGTGTAGAAAAGCCATTAGTCACTGAGGCTATGCAATGTCCTGTAGGGAACTCTAAAGGAAACAAGACCCAGGCCATGACCACAAAATCCGCAAACTGAGATCAAAAATTAAATACTAATTTAGATCAAACCACTTCACTGTTATAAATGCTGAATTTGGTTTACTGTTTGTTTTTTCAGATTGTCTAACCAGACTGGATTCTGTCAAAGCAGATGTGTCTAAGATGCTAGAAATGAATGCATACCAAAGGACACAATTGAATAATGCTGGACAGAGAATTCTGCAAGACAGTCTGCCTAGCCAGAGTAGCAAGGGAAGGCACCGAGTCAGCTACTGAGAATGAATTTTGAAACAGAGACTTGTCAAAGGCATAGAAAAATTGCAAAAGTGGCAACAACATTTATGGTAATTACATAGGATCCACAGAGCACTTTCACATCAGCTATCTCATTTAACCCTCAAGATGCCTCAGAGATGACAGGAAGCATGGACATGCATTGAGTCACTTGACTTGGCCAAGATGTATTGGCAAGTTGAAGTATATTGGGAGCTGGGAATGACCATTTTCCTCCATTCATATGGACATCTTATAATCATTTCTTAATATACCTTTACTGTAGAGCCTTCACTGCATCCCCACTTCTCAAAATTTCTGTGTGTTGACTTCAAAGTAATTCATTATTGCCCACATGCCATCTGGCTGAGCTTCTTTCCCACTGTTTCTTGGTACTTCCCCACCACTTTTCTAGGCTCCATACCAAAGTGCCACAAGCACTCCACAGTCATTCACACATGTGTCCTCACCACTCCAACCCCCTAGCCTACCACTCTGTCACCTCTCTTCACCCAAGACTTTGCTCAAATACCATTTCTTCCAGAAAGGTTGTCTGACTGCTTCATCCTTACCGGTCATCTTTGTTTTCTGAACAACTAGAACACTAGCGTTTTAAGCATATAACCAGAACACATGCCTAGATATTGTTTTAAATGGCTTCATGTATTCCTGTGTGTTTGCTTTTGCTTTTTAAACTAGACAACTTCAGGGCAGAGATCGCGCCCTACCTCTCCTCATGATCCTCCAGGGTGCTTCATTCTGTGTCAAGCTCACAATAGTGCTGAACACACTTGTTCTTTGATTAATCCCCCTTCTTTCTATTATGGGTATATGTTGAGAAAAAACCTTAGGGGGACAGATTAAAATCTGCAGGGTTTGATACAATAGAATTTCAGGAGTAAGTTCAAATCATTCCCTTGACAGCTGCCTGCATAATATCCCCTTCATTATTTTTTAAAGTCAGTTTATATTTTAATGCAGCAATAGAATATTGGACAGCTCCCAAAAGTAAAATTGTCATCAAAGAGAAACTCCTCACTTTAAGACTAAAAAAAGCCTGAATTATGTGGGGTAGGTAAGGGGCCGGGAGAATAATGAGTGATGGTTGCTCTCAAAACAGCTCTCACTGAAAAAGCCATCCCCAGATTGGAAGACCTGGCCCTTGTTCTTGCTTTTCCAAATTGTCCCATGACCCCAAGAAAATCAGTCAGCAGTTTTCTGAGTGTCCAATGAAATATAATATCTTGCTATATGCATGCATACTGTTGTAACTTGTTCACTCTACAGTACAATTCCCAGACATATCCTTCTATGTGGTCTCCTGACTCCAACCTTGCCCCTTTAATCCATTTTTCTTCCCGAAACCAGCATCATTTCTCTAAAAGGCCCACATGACACATCATCTGCCTGTTGAAATCCCTCAATGACTTGTCGTCACTTTATAGTCCATGCTCATTAGCATAGTTTTATAAGGTTTTTTATGATCTGTTTCCACTTACTTCTACCTCTTCCTTCTCCTGTCCCCCAAGACTCAACATCTTTTATTTATTGCAACTTACATTGCACTGTCTCTTCTCCAAGCTTCCACACATGATATCTCTAGCAAGAACACTCTGCTCATCTCCAAATCTTCAGTATAACTTCTTATTTTTTGGACCTCAACTTAGACATCCTTTCCTCCCTGAAGCTGTCCTGACTCCAATTTCATATTAGCTTCCCAGTTTTTATTCTCTAATATGCACTCTTTATTTCCCCCACTGTAGCACAGATCACACTGGATTATAATTTCCCAGTCACTTTTCTGTAACCCTTCAAGACTAAACGTCTTTTGGTTAGGGTCTGTGTGTATCTTTTTAACGGTGCTATTTCCAGATTCTAGCATAGTTCTTAGCCCATGGTATAGATAATTAGTAAGTCGTTGTGAAGGGAAGCAAGGAAGAAAGAGAGGTGAGAAGGAAAGGGGGAGTCAGAAAAAAAGCAAAAAAAGAATGAAGGGAGGGAAGAGAGAAAGGGAAATTATCATTTCTGGGGCAAACACATCAATGCCATTGTTTTCCAAAAGATATAAGGGGCCATTTCCTGGGTGACAAGAGAGTGAACTCACCAGTTCCTCTTGCTGAAAACTCTAAAACTTCCTCCAGGAATGAAGTACAGCTATGAAGTTCCTAGATTCAAAGCAGATGCTATTTCTAGCAAAGGATGTACAAATGGATAATATGTTAGTAATAAGCTCTGTAGGTGTGAACATGGAATCCTAATGCTGCCCAAAAATGGAGGGGGATTTATTTTGATATCTGAAACCCCTGAGCTATAGGCATATGACTTATTTACTTCCCAAGCATGAAATTTTATTTGTATTAGAAAGAGAGAACCTCAATATCATATGACTTATATTTTGCCACATAAAAAATTATGATGCAATATGGCCTCAAGAGATTCATGGCATATGTTAATTAGAAGTCCAGGAGGAAGGTGTTGGCAAAATGGCTAGGCAAGCCCTGATTAAATGAGACTATTGATTCAAAACTCACATTCATCAGACTTTATAAAATGTTTTCAAGTGCATTAGAGCATCTGTTTATCTCAAAAGCAGTTCACTCTACTCTCCTGCTTAGAACCACCAACGGTTTCCCATTGCTCTTTTTTATTTCGTTTATTTATATTTTTATTCTACTTTAAGTTCTGGGATACATGTGCAGAACGTGCAGGTTTGTTACATAGGTATACAGTACCATGGTGGTTTGCTGCACCCATCAAACCATCATCTATCTACATTAAATATTTCTCCAATGTTATCTCACCCCTAGACCCCCAACCCTGACAGGCCCCAGTGTGTGATGTTCCCCTCCCTGTGCCCATATGTTCACATTGTTCCACTCCCACTTATGAATGAGAACACGCGGTGTTTGGTTTTCTGTTCCTGTGTTAGTTTGCTGAGAATGATGGTTTCCAGCTTCATCCATGCCCCTGCAAAGGACATGAACTCATCCTTTTTATGGCTGCATAGTATTCCATGGTGTATATATGCCACATTTTCTTTATTCCAGTCTATCATTGATGGGCATTTGGGTTGGTTCCAAGTCTTTACTATTGTGAATAGTGCTGCAATAAACATACGTGTGCATATGTCTTTACAGTAGAATGATTTATAATCCTTTGGGTATATACCCAGTAATAGGATTCCTGGGTCAAATGGTATTTCTCATTCTAGATCCTTGAGGAATCACCACATTGTTTTCCACAATGGTTGAACTAATGTACACTCTGACCAACTGTGTAAAAGTGTTCCTATTTCTCCACATCCTCTCCAGCATCTTCTGTTTCCTGACTTTTTAATGATCCCCATTCTAACTGGTGTGAGATGGCATCTCATTATGGTTTGGATTTGATGCAGAAAAGGCTTTTGACAAAATTCAACAGCCCTTCAAGCTAAAAATTCTCAATAAATTAGGTATTGATGGGATGTATCTCAAAATAATAAGAGCTATCTATGACAAACCCACAGCCAATATCATACTGAATGGGAAAAAACTGGAAGCATTCCCTTTGAAAACTGGCACAAGACAAGGATGCCCTCTCTCACCACTCCTATTCAACATAGTGTTGGAAGTTCTGGCCAGGGCAATTAGGCAGAAGAAGGAAATAAAGGGTATTCAATTAGGAAAAGAGGAAGTCAAATTGTACCTGTTTGCAGATGACATGATTGTATATCTAGAAAACCCCATTGTCTCAGCCCAAAATCTCCTTAAGCTGATAAGCAATTTCAGCAAAGTCTCAGGATACAAAATCAAGGTATAAAAATCACAAGCATTCTTATACACCAATAACAGACAAACAGAGAGCCAAATCATGAGTGAACTCCCATTCACAATTGCTTCAAAGAGAATAAAATACCTAGGATTTGCATTCCTCTAATGGCCAGTGATTATGAGCTTTTTTTCATGTTTGTTGGTCACATAAATGTCTTCTTTTGAGAAGTGTCTGTTCATATCCTTTGCCCACTTTTTGATGGGATTGTTTGCTTTTTTCTTGTAAATTTGTTTAAGTTCCTTGTAGATTCTGGATATTAGCCCTTTGTCAGATGGATAGATTGCAAAAATTTTCTCCCATTCTGTAGGTTGCCTGTTCACTCTAATGATAGTTTCTTTTGCTGTGCAGAAGCTCTTTAGTTTAATTAGATTCCATTTGTCAATTTTGGCTTTTGTTGCCATCGGTCTTGGTGTTTTAGTCATGAAATCTTTGCCCATGCCTATGTCCTGAATGGTGCTGCCTAGGTTTTCTTCTTGGGTTTTATGGTTTTAGGTCTTATGTTTAAGTCTAATCCATCTTGAGTTAATTTTTGTATAAGGTGTAAGGAAGGGGTCCAGTTTCAGTTTTCCAACACCATTTATTAAATAGGGAATCCTTTCCCCACTGCATGTTTTTGTCAGGTTTGTCAAAGATCAGATGGTTGTAGATATGTGGCATTATTTCTGAGGCCTCTGTTCTGTTCCATTGCTCTATATATCTGTTTTGGTACCGGTACCATGCTGTTTTGGTTACTGTAGCCTTGTAGTATAGTATAGCATGATGTCTCCAGCTTTGTTCTTTTTGCTTAGGATTGTCTTGGCTATATGGGCTCTTTTTTGGTTCCATATGAAATTTAAAATAGTTATTTCTAACTCTGTGAAGAAAGTCAATGGTAGCTTGGTGGGGATAGCATTGAATCTATAAATTACTTTGGGCAGTATGGCCATTTTCATGATATTGATTCTTCCTATCCATGAGCATGAAATGTTTCTCCATTTGTTTGTGTCCTCTTCTATTTCCTTGAGCAGTGGTTTGTAGTTCTCTTTGAAGAGGTCCTCCACATCCCTTGTAAGTTGTATTCCTAGGTATTTTATTCTGTTTGTAGCAATTGTGAATGGGAGTTCACTCATGATTTGGTTTTCTGTTTGTCTGTTATTGTTGTATAGGAATGCTTGTGATTTTGGCTAGGGGAGGGAGCTCCCTGACCCCTTGCACTTCCTGGGTGAGGCGACACCCCTCCCTGTTTTGGCTCGCCCTCCATGGGCTGCACCCACTGTCTAACCAGTCCCAGTGAGATAAGCCAGGTACCTCAGTTGGAAATGCAGAAATTACTCGCCTTCTGTGTTGATCTCACTGGGAGCTGCAGACTGGAGCCGCTCCTATTTGGCCATCTTGCCAGCCACCTCTCCAACTGCACTTAAGATAAAACTCAGATATCTTACCTTGGTCTCAAGGTTCTGCAGGGCCTGACCCCTGACTTCTCTAACTTTGGCTTACGAATGCTACTAAAGGTGACTGGTCTGCAAAATGTTACTGAGCTATAAGGAGTTATGGACATCAGACTTTACACCAACTATGTAACTAGGCATACTGCTTAATTCAGCTGACTTTTGTTTTTCTAACAAGACTTTGTTAATGACAGGGGCATTGCATTGATTTACATTTCTGTTCAGGCTTCTAATCTTGTCGCAGACCAGTAACAAAGAATGTGAAGATGACCACTGGTCTGCAGACTATTTTGTGTAGCGACGCCTATAGTCTTCTTGCTCTTTATCGTTATCTTTTAGTAACCCTGGTTTTCACACTTTAGAGCCTCTGGATAGCACTTACCCAGCCATTTTTGGTGCCTTCTCATCCTTTAGCTTTCAAGTCTCCATCATGTCCTTAGAGAGGCTTCCCCTGACTGCCCTTGCACCCTTAATCTCCGACACTTGTACCCTCAACCTGCTACCCAAAATGCTTGTTTATTGTTTTCACAGTACTTATCACAATGGGCAACTATCAAATTTGCTTTTTCTACTTGTTTATCATATGTCTACCACCACCACCTCTCCCCTAACAATAAATAAGTGATAATGCTAATAGACGCACAGTATTTGTTGAATGAACAAATTAACAACCCTGTGAAATAGGAATCATAATTTCAAATTTATAAATGTGGAAATTAAAGCTAAGGGAATTTAAATGTTTTTTTAAAGTAACAATCTTTTACAGTTTTCTTTTACTTCGAGTTATGAGCTCTTAATACTATGCATCAAGTAGTGCAGCAGCTGTGGTGAGAAAGCTGACATTCAAAGAGAATTAGTGACTTGCCCATCATCAATCAAAAGCAAATGATAAAGGGCAAGAAAACAAAGTCAGGTCTTCTAAATGCAAGATTAATGTCTAATAAAGTAGATAATATAATCACCTAAGAGTGCCTCAGAAGGCCCTCCAAAATGTGATATACTTTATTTTTAAGGGGATAGAGTGTGCCAGGGCAAAGCTTTTTTGGAAATGGGGGTAGTGGGGTGCTGAGGGAAGGTGGGGAAAGTCTTGATTCTTTTCCTTTTGAGTAACACAGTGTAATAAAAAGAGCATGAGCTTACTTCAAGTTTACATGTCACTTACTCTCCATGTGACACTAAGACAGTGGCTTAACCCATCTGAATTATTATCCATAAAATGATCATATCAATCATCTCACAGAGTCGCTGTGAGGACTAAATAAAAGTATGGAAGCAAAGATCCTTGAACCATCTTTGGCAAGGGAGTAGGTGCTTCATCTTGGTAAATGCTATTCAACTTCCCTTTCTCTCCCCCACCCTCTATGTTGGAAAGCAATGATTGTGGCCATAGTCATTGCATTATAATTCATTCCAGGGAACATTTTTCAAAGACATGATTATGTATCAGTCTACACTGGGGAGTAAATTATATTCAGCCTCGCGGTGAGGACAGATAAGAGCTTTCTGAAGCCTAGTGCTTGGTATTGTTTTTATCTTCATGAGATAATGCTGGTGACCTGATGGGCTAGGTCAATTCAGGAAACTGAGACCCCACTAGACAAATACTGCCACAGGTCTAAAGGACCAGAAGAGTGTCTCACTTTTCTACCTCCAAAGCTTTTCTGTAATATGATTCATTTTGGACATTTATAAATTCATAAAGGCTCAGTGGACAAAAGTCTTCTGGTTCTGTCATGGACATGCCCCTTAACCTTGGTTTGCTTAGCTCTCTATTGGGGTTACATATTTGTAAAAGCTGCAGTAGAAACCAGGGGTCTTTATAGCAGGACTCCTTAAGGCCTATGGCTGTTCTTAACAGATCCACAAACCTCCACCTTCCAAAATTGTATATGGAATTGTGTGTGTGTATAATAGTGTGTATTTTTATTTAGTCCTTAGTTTTCATTAGATTCTCAACCCTTATTATTCAAAAGAGGTTCAGAGTAGATTTAGAGATTTTAGCCACCAACTTGTTTTGGGTGAAAGACATCTATCACTCTACTAACACCACCAAAGTTCTGAACAATTATGCATTAGTTCAAAGATACTTTGCTACTTTGAAAATAATTTTCTGACTTTAGTAAGATACAAAAAATTTTCTAATCAGTGATAGGGTCAAACATTTATGTATAAGGATACTCCTTAAACTTTTATTTATTTAAAAATGTATGAACAATGTAACTGGTCAACAATGAGAAAATAGTTAATTATATTTGATCTTTACATTGGAATTCAGCTAGTAAAAACCATCATTTCAATGCTGTTTAATAAAACGGGAAAATTTCCACTATGTATTGTTAGTTTAAGAAGCATATAAATAGCTTAAAAATAATGTAAAATTGTACAGACAGTAAAATTCCAATTTCGTTATAATACTTAGTAGTGGTTTTCGACTGGGTGCAATTTTGCTCACAAGGGAATATTTGGCAATGTCTGGAGACTTTTTTGTGATGATTGGGTGCTGAGGAAGGGAGGCTCTATTCTGCCAGTATCTAGTGAGTAGAAACCATGGATGCTGTATATGTTCTAGAATTCATAGGACATCCTCCAGAAACAAAGAATTATTCTATCTAAAATGTCACTTGTGCTGAGGTTGAGTAGAAACCCTGACAGGTAGAGAAAATACTGGAAGAAATTATACTCCAATTGTAATAGGGTTATCAATGATTTGATTTATTGATTTCATGCATTTTGGTACATATTTTACAAATGTTCTACAATGGGCATTTGTTTCTTTTATTATCTGAAAAAATCAATTAAAGAAAAAAATCTGATTTGTTTTTATTCATTTTTGAAATAAGTCAATAAGTAATGGGGTCAGCTTAGAAACGGGTTGAAAAATTGATCAGAGCATCAAAAGAAGAGGGAGGATCCAACAGAGCATGAATATAAATTATCATTGGAGTTTTATTTCTGCTATGAAACTCCTTGGGGAATAAAAGGGGAAATGCCATCAGCCACCTAGGGTTCTAGGAATAAAAAGCAGTGTGCTATTATGTGATTCCGACTGATCTTCATCTTGAGTCAAGCACAGGCAATCACAAGAAAAATAGGAACAAGGACTGCCAGGCTGCTTTGAATGAATATCTAAAATATCCCCCAGAAAATTCTGATGTCCCCTGGGAGCTGTATCCTGGAATCTTGTGTCCTGGAGTCACTACACACTCAACAATTTGAAGTACATATAATTTTCAAATTATACATTCTTTATCCATTTCTCTCTAGATGCTACATCATAACTGAACCCTCTTGAGATACTAGAATTTCCCTTTTCACCTGAGCAATTGCCTTTTTTATTTTCAATTGGTTAGATTTCTTAAGCTGACCCAGAAAAAACTTGCATATAGTATACCTAGAAAAGTCAAAAAAAATAAATGTGTTATATTTTCTTTCCCCATAGAATCTATTCTTCCACATAATCTACCATTTATATGTACATGAAGTATGATTCCCAATGAACAATTTAAGGCTACTTAATTAACAATTTAAGTCACAGACACATATTATTTTAACATATTTATTTTTTCATATTATAAAATTTCCCCTACTAAATATATTTCCAGATTTAAAATAATCTTCATTCTGAAATGTACAATGATTGAAACAAAAAGAAAAGGCATAATCATGTCCCCCCAAAAATGCCTCAACTATATCTTCTTACTTTTTCTTTATTATCTATAGTTTCCTAAATAGAATTTATAGAAAACATTTGAATAATTACAATTTAATTTTTTTTTTTTTTTTGACAGAGTCTTTCTCTGTCGCCCAGGCTGGAGTGCAGTGATGCGATCTTGGCTCACCACAACCTCCAACTCCCGGGTTCAAGCAATTCTCCTGCCTCAGCCTCCCAAGTAGCTAGGACTACAGGGGGCATGCCACCACTCCCAGCTAATTTTTGTATTTTTAGTAGAGACTGGGTTTCACCATATTGGCCAGACTGGTCTTGAACTCCTGACCTCGTGATCCTCCTGCCTCGGCCTCCCAAAGTGCTGGGATTACAGGCATGAGCCACTGTGCCCAGCCTGTTAGTTCAGCAACATAAAAAATGACCAAGAGTTATCACAATTCATGTCATTAACTAGTGAGACTGCTACAACCCAACTGCAATTATCTTTTATTTTTCATGCCACCTGGCCATACGTTTCAGGTTGGGCCAGTTATTTCAATAAAGAGTTCTTCATACGCTGGCTAATCACACTGCCACCATGCACACCATCTTATTACAGCAGATTGTTTTTAGTTGCTATAGTAGTAAGATATAGAACATGTATTTTTAGTGGGTAGATTCCAAAATAAATTATCCTCTATTCTATTATCATATAAACCTATGACACAAAACAATAATTCATTTGGGTTGAAACACACTTATTAATTTCCATACTTGGCTTCACTTGCTGACTTTCTTTTCCTAACATACTCTACCCTGGCCCTAGATCCAACTTTACAATCATTTACTAACTTCTCTGTATCAAGACTTGCTTAGTGTATTCTGGACACCATTTATTCATTCACTTCACAAATACTTGGGGCACCTACCCTGTGCTATACTTCTTTAATCTTCACAAAAAATATAAGGTAGGCATTAAGTCATTTTACAGATGAGAAAACTAAGGTCACAGGAATTTAAATACATTTCACACAGTCACATAGAAGTATAACAAGGATTTAATTCATATCCTGAGCCCAAAGTCCATGTTTTCTATTGTGCTATACTGCCTCCTAAGATCACACTGTTGGCAGCTCCATGATATAATTTTAGGGATAACAATAATATGTGTTTACTTAAATAAACTATTTCAAAGATGTTTTATATGAAACTAGAAATGTATTCTTAGTGGCAGGATGATCTAACTTTAATAAGTAAGTAACCCTTAAAATGGAAAACAAGAGATTGAGTCATTTTTACTTTAATATGAGTGACTTCTCAGATTTTTGTGTGGGAGCAATTGATAACGGATGGAGATAATGAGAGCTTTGTGTGTATAAATACGAGACAAAGTAGTACAAATCAGAGCACAAGGAAAGAATTGCTGTGAAGGATGAAAAATCAATTTGTCCTATTTTCAATCTGGCCTTAGGTTTACCCTTTCTTTTATTCCATTTTTAGCTAAGAGATTAGATATATAGATAATAAGCAGCAATATGTATGTTTAGAATTGATTGGTTCAAATCTTTATTGCTCATCGACTGTATACCCTCAGACAAGATATTTAACTTCTTCTTCTTTTTTTTTGAGATGGAGTCTCGCTCTGTCGCCCAGGCTGGGGGGTGCAGTGGCATGATCTCTGCTCACTGCAAGCTCTGCCTCCCGGGTTCACGCCATTCTCCTGCCTCAGCCTTCCAAGTAGCTGGGACTACAGGCACCCGCCACCACACCTGGATAATTTTTTGTATATTTAGTAGAGATGGGGTTTCACCATGTTAGCCAGGATGGTCTCAATCTCCTGACCTTGTGATCTGCCCACCTAGTCCTCCCAGAGTGCTGGGGTTATAGGCGTGAGCCATCGTGCCCGGCCTTAACTTCTAATCTTTAGTTTTCTCATCTATTTAAGGAAAATGATAATTCCTATCCCACTGGATGGTCTTGGAGTGTATGTTTAATTATTGTTATTCTATAAAAGGCCTTCAATAAATAACAAGTCATTAAAAGATGGAGAAATATAGATAAGATTAGTATCAGGTGGATTCAAAATTGGTCAAAGGAATGGATGCAAATGATATTAAAATTTAATTCTCATCAAATATTTATGTATCCTCCCACATTTTTAACTCCTTTATGGTTAGATTGAGGATATATGACGAGGTTCAACCACTGAACTGTGAGCAGAAATACATGGACTATGTATGCAGCATGAGTAAAAAATAAACTTTGGTATGGAAAGTCACTGAGATTTGGAAGGTTCATTTGTTATTGCAGCACAACCTAGTCTAACCTGAATAATACATTATGAATTATTGCCATTCTGGAGTGTAGTCTATAGTAGTATGCTTCAGGGATCTACCTACGGCCATGCCCAATGTAGCATCGTTATCAAGGATTGGATGATCATTGCAGCTGATAGTACGTAAGCATGACAAAAAGCTACAGAGAGCACTGATACAATAAAATGTCAAACTCCAGAAAAATCTCAGGAGACTGAAACATAATCCAAATTGATTATCACAAACCTTAATTTAAATAAATGTCAAGTCTTATACATAGCTCCAAAAAGAAAACTTCCCAAATACAAAATTGGAGGACATGATGTAGGAGCAGTATGCATGGGGAATTCTGAAGGATATTACCATGTCAATCATTGTTCAGTAAGAGTACATATTGTGACTACAAAAGCTGATTTAACTTTACATTGAAATGTGTCTTAAATCAAGCAGTACAAGTCCTATTCTTTTAAGCTGTCCAAAAATTGCATGAATTCAGAAACATCTAAGTCATTTAATCTATTTCAAATGGCATGCTGGAATTTGTCATTTTCTCTTCCAGTTCTACTCTCCATCTTTCCCTACCCTGCTCTGTGACCAAGAAAACTGATCTATTTATGTTCTGGCTTCAGGTTGGCTTTGGCCATTGGGGCCACTGGCAGGAGATCAGGGCTGAAAGAGAAGAAAGAAGAGCATTAGTGCTCTGGTTTCCTCCCTGTGTAATCACTGTGAGTTGGCTGTGCCCACTGTCTACCGAAGGCGACACTCTCCATACGGTTACTCTTTCTGAGTTCAAGTGACTGCTGTTTCTAGTTGGCTCCTTAATCCTAGGTGAGGTGATGACTTTCCACTTCTACTAGCCCCAGGTTACTAGATTATCCCTTAGTAGTTCCTTAAAACTTGTCCAGGTCTTTGAAAATAGTAAACTCTCTCCAGTGACTGCTTTGACTGTACCTTCTGCTTCCTGCCAAACCCTTGAGTGATATAAATTAGACAAAATTTTATAGTAAATAGTAAAAAATAAATAAATAAAAAGTTTGATTTGAAATTTTATGTTGAAAAATGAAACTGAACATAAAATGATTGTTTAATTATGTGGAACTAAATTTATTTTATGATTTCAGCTTTGTATATTTTTCAAAATAAACAAAGAATAATTTTTTGTTTGTTTTTTATTTAATTTTACCGACATAATTTTATGACCTGCTATAGAAAATCCTTCATTTTGGTCTAACCTTTCTTCACAATTATAAATCTTTGCAAAACATTTTTAATCTTTTTTAAGTTTCAAAAGGATGTCTCCTAATCATTTTTTAACTCAAAGCATCCTATTTGAAGTTTTTTTTTTTTTTTTTAGTGTCTTTAGTTTTAATTGATATGGTCCTGTCTAATCCTTTTACAATAGTTTACCATGTGATGGGAGAAGTTCTCCACTTTCATTTTTAATTAATTTTATAGAATTCTATATCTTTTGCATAGTTTTCAGTTTAACTTTGTAATTAATTTGCATTGAGCAAGTAGTCACATTAACTATACCTAATCATATTATGACCATTGTGTTCCCCTATGCAACTTCATAACGGGAAGGACTCTGATATGGGTCCTGGACAAATGAAAATCACTGTCTACTGGTGACCCATTCTGGGCATGAAACTGTCATAGAGACAATAGCAAACAGAATGCAGCCAGAAGCCTACAGGGGCCTGAAGGTATTGCCAGCATTAAGGCTCTACATCTTAGCAGTAAAGATCCCACAGAGACCAAAGATAAACCAAAAGAAAACAGAGTCCAGTTAAGAGAACACTACTGCCACATGGCAGTAACTTAATATGTATGGAAGTCCAGTGATGACGTAATACTCTAAGCCTGATTCAGAGATAAAAGTTACCAAAGCTTTTATACACATTAATATTACAACAGCTTCCCAAATTCTAACTTGTTCTGATCAACAGGACAACATACATTACAAGAGGATTATGGGTAGAATTCTACCTTTTTGAGGGGCTTTACTTTAGGCTCTGTGGTCCAAAGAGGGCAAAGTCAAGTACCCCAATGACCTCCAAAGGCCTGTGTCACATATTAAAGATATTAAATCCACAGGTCTCATATATCAGATAGGAAACCATGCCCCTTCTGTACGTCTTCTAAAACACATGCTGAATTAAAGAGGTTCTTTAATTACCCCAAGCATGATGCTTCCAGATAGAGTTGAGAAAAGCCTAAGAGCTAATGCAGCAATCGAGCATCCCTTATGCAAATGTATAGTTATTTAAGGCCCTGGCTCACTGAGGAAATAATATTAGAATAAGGGAAAGGTGGAACAACTATATACCTCTCTTAGTGCCAATTTTGTTATGACAATAGAAAGTTAATTATTGATATTAGGACTCTGATACCACAAGATTAGGCCTTGACAAGCTTAATGTTTAAATATTTCTCAACACCAGGAAACAGAAATATATGCCTAAGAAAAAGGCAAGAAGTCTGTCTTCAAATATCTGCAGGTTTATCCTGTAGGAGGGAATTTGAATGAAACTCATTTCTCATAGGGGATAGTTAGCAAATGGTTCTTAATACTGTGTATTCACCTTCTACAGACCTTTTAATATGTCATCTCTTTAAGACAGAGATATATGGATGTATTTGGACATGTGAAAGATGTATGGAATATATTTTTAGATGTTACTTATCTGTTTTTCTCATTTATTTTATTAAACACTGCCAATTGATGTATCAAATTGGCAATTGGTTGGCATCTTCTTTGAGGTAATTAAAGCCTCTCTATGAATCAGCATGTGTATTAGAAGAGGTACAGAAGGTATGGTTTCCTATCTGATATATGAAATCCATGGATTTAATATTTTTAATATTTGACATAGGCCAACAGGGGGGACTGGGGTACCTGACTTTGCCCTCTGGACCAAAGAGCCTAAAGTAAAGTCCCTCAAAAATGTAAAATTCTGCCCAAAATCCTCTTGTAATGTATGTTGTCCTATTGATCAGAACGGGTTAGAATTGGGAAAGCTATTGTAATAATAGTATATATAAATATGTCACTGTATGTGCTTCTCAGAATTAATGCCTTCCACCTGTTCCCCCATAGTACTTTTCATGGCCTCCTAGAGTCCTGGTCTCAGTCTACTTTATATTGAAATTAATAGTGTAGTTTTCCACCTTCTGATATTAGATGGCTAGCAGCATGCACATCAGAATCAGCAAAGAAGCTGCTTAAACCACAGATACTCAGGCCCCACCCATCAAAGATTCTGATTTAGTTAGTCCAGACTAGAGACAAATTTTTATGTGTGTGCTCATTAGAGAGTAATCAGTCACTATATCCAAAAGTCAATAATGATACAAATAAGGTATTCAAATTAAATGCGTAAGAGTTGAGAACCAGGCAATGAATTCCATTGTGTGATATTATCCTAATAAACCCAGATCTTTCTCTCTGGTCATAGTCATGGTGAAGATGAGCAGTAGGAAGATACAGTAATTGAAAGCATTAACTCAGGAATTAAGCTGCCTGGGTTAACTCCGACTCTACCCTTACTACTGATGTGACCCCGGGGCAAGCTACTTAACTTTTCCATGTCTCCATTTCTTCATTGGTAAAATAACCGTCCTAATCGTGACTACCTCATAGACTTGTTGGAAGAACTCTATGAGTTAATGATAGATCTAAAGTGGATAGAACAGTGCCAAACAGTGAGTGAGTGCTGTGCTAGTTAGTATAATAGTAAATATTGTCCGAGAAAACTTTTGTTAGTGGCTGAATTAAATTTTAGCATTCAAAAGCTCCACAGGTGATTCTAACACAAAACTAGATCCCAGAGCCAGAGATGCAGGCAAACCCAGGCAGCCTTGAAGGTTTCAAACTTTTCCTTTTCCAAAGTAAGATATATTCCCCTCCATTATTATGATAGCATTTATAAATAAGATTTCTGACAATCTGACCATCATGAATTCAGCTTTAGTGACATCTATAATTATCCTTTGGAAATTTTCCCTGAGCTGAGACGTGTCAGAATGTGTGTGAGCAGATTCTGCCTCAGAGATTTTTCTTTCTGCTGCTGTTCCAAATAAGTTAGTCATTAAAGACATGGAAGAAAAAAAAAGTCCTTGGAAGCTGAACAGTTTAACAGTTGGCAATGATTAATAAAATGAATGAGAAAAACAGATAAGAACATCTAAAAAGATACTCTCCATAGGAAATTCACTTTACTATAGAAACCAAAAGTATGAATACAAACATAAGCATACCAATTTGGCAAGATTAATATCTTGATACAAATGATAATAATTAATACCATTTTTCATTATGAGTAATAAAAGGTCTTGAAAAACAGGTGGCTTTGTGACAATTTAAATGAACAATTATGCATTTAGTTTACTACTTGGAAATAGTGATCAAACTAACATGAATTTAAATTATGTGCTGGTAATTAAAGTCAAATTAGAATATATATTACATGATATATAATGTATGTTTTTGTATGTCTATCTATTTACCTACATATCATATATCTATCTATAACTATGTAAAATGCTTGGACAAGGCAATAGATAAATAGTTTATCCACTAAGTAAGAATGTAAAATTTCCATTTTATTTTGATATTGGCTGGTAATTAAACCACTGAGTAGAAAATCCAAGAACACATTGTCCCTTGACAAGCTGGGACAAACATTTTGGTAACAAACAGATATAGGGCTTTTTCCAGGAAATGATAGTTTTCTGTCTAAGCAGGCCACTAAAATAATGAAGTCCAATACTTATTTCAGGGCCGCCCAGGCCTTCTTAACCCCAACCCACTCCCATTTAGCAAGCCACACTCAACCTAGAACAAGCATTTATGCCTCTACCATTACAACCTCACACCTACCACCCACCCTGAATTCACCTGTCCATAAAAATGAAAAATTAATCTAGTACCAAATCTAAAGAAATATATGTTACCAGCACTAGATCAACATTCTCATTAGTCTCAACCAGGGTCACTAGTAAATTTGAAAGGTCTCCAATGACCCTTTGATGATATTATAATGCCCACGAGCATCTCCCAGGAGTATCTTCCCAGAAGTTTGTAAAACCCAGGAAGACCCTTTCCACATTAAAACATACTTCACAGTCCTTCTGGTTCAGTCCACTATCCCAGTGGTTATCATGACAATCCATAACTTATAAAAATCTGGAGAATCACTGTTATAACCAAGAGTATTTGTCCTTAGGGACAGAACACAACTCTAGCCCACCAGCACTGGAAGCCTCCATCTGCATCATGGAATTCCCAGTGCTCTGGCACCTGATACACCACACAGAGTTTTCTGGGCCCTTCACAAGTCCAGTCATAAAACGACAACACTGAAGGATTTCATAGTGGCTCTCCAGGAAATAGGGATATGACAAACCATTCCAAGTCTACATATATGCTAATCCTAAAAAAAAGAATGAAAGGATTCTAGACCTAAAGTATATTTCATATTTTTAAAATAAAATGTAGGTCCATTTTACATTTTATGTTACATTAGCTAATATATATTTAGTATCTACCACGTATCAGAGACCGTGCAAAGTACTTTACATACATTTTATCATTTAGTCCTCAAGAAGGAAACAGAAGTTACCCTGCTGGTAGATAAGTCTGATGACAAAGCACTGTTTCTTAAGGGGAATTCCTAGCAATTCATGGCCTTAATTGTGAGCATCTCATCCTGAGCCATTTCTATTCTCAATCATTCTACCGCCTGACTTTACAGATTTTTTTTTTTTTGGCTTACAGGTGGTATCAAACTAGCAGATATATTTCAACTGTCATGCCATATATGCTTTTTTATTTTTAAGTTATTTATTTTCAAGTTTATTTTAAAGTTAATTTATTTACTTTGTTTCATTTTGTTTTGTTTTTTATATATATATTTTTTTATTATACTTTAAGTTCTAGGGCACATGTGCACAATGTGCAGGTTTGTTATATATGTATACATGTGCCATGTTGGTGTGCTGCAGTCATTAACTCGTCATTTACATTAGGTATATCTCCTAATGCTATCCCTCCCCGCTCTCCCAACCCCACAACAGGCCCCAGTGTGTGATGTTCCCCTTCCTGTGTCCAAGTGTTCTCATTGTTCAATTCCCACCTATGAGTGAGAACATGTGGTGTTTGGTTTTTTGTCCTGGCGATAGTTTGCTGAGAATGGTGGTTTCCAGCTTCATCCATGTCCCTACAAAGGACATGAACTCATCACTTTTTATGGCTGCATAGTATTCCATGGTATATATGTGCCACATTTTCTTAATCCAGTCTGTCATTGTTGGACATTTGGCTTGGTTCCAAGTCTTTGCTATTGTGAATAGTGCCTCAATAAACATACGTGTGCATGTGTCTTTATAGCAGCATGATTTATAATCCTTTGGGTATATACCCAGTAATTGGATGGCTGGGTCAAATGGTATTTCTAGTTCTAGATCCTTGAGGAATCGCCACACTGTTTTCCACAATGGTTGATCTAATTTACAGTCCCACCTATAGTGTAAAAGTGTTTCCTATTTCTCCACATCCTCTACAGCACCTGCTGTTTCCTGACTTTTTAATGATCGCCATTCTAACTGGTGTGAGATGGCATCTCACTGTGGTTTTGATTTGCATTTCTCTGATGGCCAGTGATGATGAGCATTTTTTCATGTGTCTGTTGGCTGCATAAATATCTTCTTTTGAGAAGTGGCTGTTCATATCCTTTGCCCACTTGATGGGGTTGTTTGTTTGTTTCTTGTAAATTTGTTTGAGTTCTTTGTAGATTCTGGATATTAGCCCTTTGTCAGATGAGTAGATTGCAAAAATTTTCTCCCATTCTGTAGGTTGCCTGCTCACTCTGATGGTAGTTTCTTTTGCTGTGCAGAAGCTCTTTAGTTTAATTAGATCCCATTTGTCAATTTTGGCTTTTGTTGTCATTGCTTCTGGTGTTTTAGACATGAAGTCCTTATTTTATTTTTAAGTTAATTTATTTTTAGTTGCAGACTTCTAAATCTTGGGACAGTTTTACCTACAGAAGTGTATGTCCACCTTCTTTTAGAAAAGTAAGGTGTGGCAGCAATTGGCTGGGACTAAGTAGCAGCCCCTCTCTTCAAATGAAAAACAAGCTTTCAAGTTCACCATTAACATTATCTCCTTCGCCCCTTAGACTTTTGCATTTTAGGTGCCCTGATTCAATATAACATTTTGTTATCTTAAAATACTATCTAGATATAGTCAGCTAATCTCCACAATCTACTAACCAATATATCATAATTTTGTATACTAGTAGTAAATCCTGAGCCATGTCTTTGCAGGTGCAACAATTTGAGGCGTGTCAAAAGTAAAAAACAGAAGGGTCCTTTACCTATGGATAAAATGTTTGTTTCTACCATCAGATCTTCTGATTGAGGCATGTTTCACAAAGGAGTGGCCTTAGGAATAATATCACCTTATATGAAAGAATAATGTAACTGCTCCCTTACTCAGAGTTCATAAGCCTTTTTAAGGTTAACAGATGCCATGATCCAGATGGAAACTTCCATTAAGCTTGATGACTCTATCCACACAATCTATTCCAAAGCAAAAAGGCAGCGACACCGAACTGATAGATGGAAGCAATGACCAGCTGTAAGATTACTTGTGATGGGTAGGAATCTTGATAGTTAACTTCATCTGACAAGTAGTCAATTTCTTGAGATTCAGTGCTGTGTTTTTCTCTTTAGGGACTGCAACCTCTGGCTCGATCAAAGAAGCTAATTACTGATAAACTCTGTTATAGGGAATTAGAACTGACAGCTTAATTCTGTACTTAGTTCTGACATCTTTGGTATTGAGAAATTTCACAATGTCCCATCAGTAAATCTGCAAGACATCAGCTGAGGTGTCCCAAATAATTCCCCTAAGTGTTTCACATGTAGGAATCTATCCTACAGATATATTCACATATATATTATGTCATTTATTGTGGAATTATTTGTGAATGAAAATAATGAAAACCTGCTAAATGTCTATTAATCACCCGAAGGGGAAAAGTTAAGTAAACTATAACACATCCAATCTATTACTAAACGTAAATCACACGAAGGGTGGGACAGTTGTCTGTTTTCTTGATGATCCCCAGAGATTGGCTGACTTTTCGTCTAAAGGGCCAGATAGTAAATATTTTAGGATCTCTGTCTTAACTACTTGACTCTCCTTCTGTAGCAAAAAAGAAGCCATAGACAATATATAAACAAGAGAGCATGGCTGTGGTCCAATAAGACTTTCTCTACAAAAACATGTGACAGGCTAGATTTGACTCAGGGCTGTAGTTTTTCAAACTCATGCTAACAGGAATCATAAAACATCTACATTGCACCCATCGACAAATATCTTCAGGCCCATCTACTAAGTAATCGTAGCTAACATTTACCGAATACTTACTCTGTAACCTGCTAAGCCTGTCAGACACTAGTTAGGTAATTTTTATAACAAAATGATGATGAGATGGGTTATTACTATTTTCATTTTCCACATGAGGAAATGAGACATAAAGAGTTGCATAACTGCCCTTGCTTATGGAGCTGGGAAATGATAGAGCAGGGATACACCACCTCATTAAATCTACAGCCCATCTGTTATAAGCTGGGTCATGTGAAGATGCAGCCCTAAATCACTTAGCATGATATGAATGACAGTCAAATTATGAATAATTTCTCTTGCTTTACAGATAGGGAGACAGAAATACAAATGGAATTGCAAGATCTGCACAAGTCAGTTTTGAGTGACTAATAGACCCTCTCCTCTTGATCCTGCTGCATTTCATTTTCACAACATCTTCCAATGAAGTATCTGCCACTGTCAAGTCAAAACAGCAGCTTGGAAAATTGCTTCTTGAGGGCATGTCTTTGTCTTCATTTAAACAGTCCCAAATCCTCACACCTTCTATGGCTGCTTGACAGTCACCCTCACCTAATCCTAACCCCGGAGGTATATTTGTAGTTCTTCTAGGGACACAATGACAATTACATTGTAGGGAGCAGTGATCATTAATCTATTAATCAAGGCTGCCAGCTCAGACTTACATGCCTTAGTAATAAGTGGATAAAACACCTTAGAATTAACTGCTTAACAAAGTTGAGTTTGATAAGAAGCCAAATTGACAGGCTCCTCCCCCAACATCCAGGCTAACTTTTCACCAGCTATATGGAGGAAGCTATAAAAATCTCTCTCATAGATAACTGCCCATTAGCTGTACATTCAGAACAACTTCAGAGAGCTTCTCCTTACTGCTGCACTGCTATTTTCTTACAAACCTCCCACTCACAATAAACCATAACTGCCTTCAACTTCTGGAAATTAGCTGGCAGTCAAAACCAGATATTTCTTATACCAAAAGGGGAATAAATTGAGAAGTTCTCAGAGAAGCAATCAAGAGAATTTTAGAATCAACTCCTTTGTCCTTTGGCCTACTTCCCTGACTCCTTGTGGGTTCTAGGTACATAAAATACTCAGTTGTCATAACTACTATTCTAATATAATTTATTAATAATGATAATATGGGTACCATAATTCCTCAATTCTAACACACACATTTTTTTTTTTACATTCTACTTCTCATGTTTCACATTTCTCAAACCAGTATGCCTCTTGCCTATCGGTGTATATATTGAATATAGTGTGACTGCTTCTTCCTTTTTCCCTGAAAAACTTAATGATGCATATTAAATTTGTGGCATTTTAAGGTTAAGGAAATACGTTAAAAACTGACATATGTAATACAATTCTGTGATTGCAATCAACATAATCCAACTTAGGCCATCCAAAAAGAGAAATCACTGGAGAATGATTCCCATAGAATTGCTGGGAGAGCTGGAGGAGCCAGCTCCACAATGGGACAACAAAGAAGGTAAAGGAACTGCTTCCCAGTCTCATGAAGGAGCTGATGTGGAATCAAAGGATCAATTCATTTGAGTCATCATTGTTTAGTCTTTCTTTGTCATTCTGCTGAGGATTCAGTTCCAGAAGAAAGAGCCCATCTGATTGGCTTAGATCCAGTGTTTGCCCTGTGACTATGCCAGAGGGTGAGGAGGGGTGTGGAGGGAGAAGCTTGCAATGGCCTCCAGAACATTTTTGACGACTGTAGTAGGAAGGCAGAAAGACCCTGATTCACAGCCCCTCCAAGATCACACATAACAGAAGATAAGCAATTCTTCAAAAGAAAATTATGGTATGATTAAGAAAGAAGAGGTTATGCTGGGTGGCTAGAGCTTGTCCAGGACTTGAATGCTGAGACCACTTTCTTACCACCTACAGTCTCTGGTTAGATGCTCTCCACAGCCCCATAGGACAAGAATGATAAGCACTATTATCTTCATTTTTCACAAGAGGAAACACAGCCCCAGATAGGTTAAGTGACCTAGTTTATCAGTTGGTATGTGACAGAGCAGGACTGAAACCCAGCCTTCTGACTCACAGTTTATACTAATTACATTAAAGATGAATACAGGAGGAGAAAGCTTTCCCATTATAATCCTAAGGCCTAGAAGAAAAATAAATCTTTATCCACAAATTAGCTTGAGGAATAGCCCCCAGCCCTTTATGCCTACTACCTTAGGGTCACAGCAGAAAATTGTCTGGAGGTAGAAACAAGTTCCCCTAGTTATGTGATCTTCAGCAGAAAATGTAACTCCTCTAGACTCAGTTTCCTCAGTGGTGAAATGGTACAGAACAATTTCCTTGTCTTCCTGCTAGATTTACAGAGGAGACACGATATAAGAACCCAGGTGTAAATCCCTCAAAAACACTCAAGGATCTTTAGTTATAAGCCTGAATCATCATTCTCTGGTCTGATAAGTATAGAGTCACAATTCTGTGGGCCACAACCTAGATTTTCATTAAACTATTATTTTCTAGAACACAGTTTCTTTGGAATCTGACCTACCTTTTTTTAAGGAACCTAGGATAACACATATAAACTCATTCGCACAAAAAGAAACATTTTCATTCACAGCAACCAACTATCTGTGCTAAATTGTGAAATTTAAATTTCTTTTACTGTGTGTACCTTAAGTACACTAAAATATACCATGAGTATAACATGGACTTGGTATTCATGGGAGGTCAAGTGTTTGAAGAAATTAATCAATTTTGAGTGAAGAAGGCTTCCATCTTTTTCAAAGAATGCTTTGCAACAACTTACCACGGTAAAGAACATGGGTTTTGGATCCACGCCAGATGTTAACACAGGCTCTTGATGACTGTTTGATGTTGAGCAAATCACATACATTTTCCAGTCTTTATTTCCCCATTTATAAGCTGGGAATTAAAATGCATATTTTACAACATTATTGCAAGGCTTATAGCTAATACATATAAAATAGCTAGGATTTAGTAAACACATAGGATTCCAAAGCAGTAGTTATCATCATCATCATCTTATTATTATACGGATGATGTCATTAATCCTCACAATATTAAGAGATGCTTACTGTTTTCACAGATGTGTAGAGTGAATCTTAGAGAGAATTTAAATCACTTATTAAGGTTAGAGCAACACTGTTAACACCAAATTATGCTATTATTATTACTATTACTCTTGCATTTTACTATCTTTATTATTATATATCTTCAAAGACAGTGCAGAGTAAAATTTGGAGGGCACATGACACAGCAGCCATCTCTGTGAATGGCATTCAGTGCCACGGGAAAGGAACAGGATCTTAAATTAAGAGGAACTAGTTCTGAATTTAGGTCAAAATCTTCCAAGTCATGTGACCTTAAGTCTTCAGATGAGCCTTAATTTTCTTATCTGTAAAATAAGTTTCATAACAATCACCCCTTGGGATGGCTTCAAAGATCGAATATAAAAATATATACAACAACAGTTTACATAGTGTAAAATATTCAGTGAGCATACTTATGTTAATTTTGCTGATGCTATTGCAATTACCAGGAGCTAAGTTACAGTTAAATCTGTGGAAGCCGCCTTAGTTAGTAACAGATGCAAGAACAGTGAAGAAAAGTGTTTTTGGCTCCACTAAAGGAAAAACCAATATCAACTTCAACCCAATGTTGATAGCAAAGAAAAGTACTCAATCCAGAGTGTTACGCCCACATGGGCAGGATGTGATTCCAATACCTGTGAGAATACTAATAAGTAACAACAATAAATGGCTGAATAAATCTATCTCCCAAGATCAGAGGATCCAGAAAGAACAATGTAGAATGTAGACGTGATCAGTTTTGTATTATTTTATTAAAACATTCGTTACATGCAACTCCTTACAGTGTTCTCATGGCCTCAACATTACCACCAATTATCTCTTGCCATAATCATTTTATAAAACTAGAAAAGACAAAGAGAACTCTCCCAGGCACTGATCCCTGAAACTGAATCTTCTTTTCCATGGAAATATTATTACATAGAAATCTGGGGATTAAGGGAGATTTATCAGGCCTTGGTTAGCCATGATGACAGTCATTTGGCAGCCCTGCAAATCATTGAAGAGTTCTGTGTTAGCACTCATACCTTCAGAACCCATGCTCTGGAGTGGCAGGCAATTACTCACACCTGTTTGGCCTGGTCCAATTATCCTCCTAAGCAGTCCTGATCATAATTGCTACATTGGCTGATAGAACCCAACAAATGGGTTCAAGTCACAGCTGGCCCCTCAAGACAGATTTCCTGATTATATAGTTATTCGGGGGGTCAGTGTGAATGTTACACTTCTTTCTAAAGAAGTAAGTTGGGATGTGCATGCTACAGATTGTAGTAGTAACTTAGTAAAAAGTACAATCATCTTGTACTCTATCTGTGGCAGGATCATTGACAAAAAAATAGTCTAGTGGTGATAATCAATAGATTAACTCATTTATTCCTCATGGGGTACACTGGACTGAGATGGGCAGGATTTAGTGTATAAAAGGAGATATCACCATGCATATTAAATGAACTATTTACTAAGCCAATAGGTCTGTTATTTATGGAAACTAAAATAAAGTTCTTCTGAAAATTATGAAAGACTATTCTCTGGGTTCCTCCACATAGGACAAGACACACAGATAAGTAGAATCACCAGATGATAAGACACATGAGGACAGGGTATGTGCATGTTATTCCATCTCAAATGCTTAGTAGAGTGGCTGGCATATTGCAGGCACTTTACGAACACTTGTTGAATGAATGAAGGAATGAATGAATGAACTTAATAAAAGTAAGTTAGCTAGCCAGAATTAGAGGCCAACATTCAAGTGATCTAACATTCCTTGAAATAGAAACTCTTCCCAGTTGCTTTATTTGGTTTTAATATTTTATCCAAGTATAAACTATGTGGGAATGTTACCAGGGCCCAGAAAATATTGTGGGCATGATAAGACTTCCACTTAGCTTATGAAACTGAAAAAATAAGCAGCCTAAACATCCACTGTGATCTGAGCTTCTCTTTCAGTCCCCTTTCCAAATCTCAATTTCAGGTGGCTATTTCTATTTTGCAAGATCTCATTCTCAAACGCAGTTCTTACTACATGAATGCATTGTACCAACCATTTTTGCAAGGAAATACAAAATTTAAAATAAATGTCAAAACTCACAGCACAGGCTAATGTAAAAAAAGTTGACCAAGATGTTTTAAGAGTTTGTATAAAATATGTAAGAATAGAGTTTAGGAACAAGATTTATTTCTTGTTTGAAAAGAATAGTATTAGCCCAGCTTTTCCAGCTTAAGTTAATATTGGTCAGCTAATCTCTCATTAGACAGAGTTCACATGCTATAATTAAATTTAATAAATAGTCTCTATGATCTATAGTATTTACCTGTGACTAATAAAATTCTGTTCATACGTTAATAGGTGAATAATATTTATAAAATATTTTCCCATGTGAAATGTTTATAATCATTAAAAATAATTATTTGTTGTCAGGTGGACTAAAGTAGATAAATAATATTTAAATGCTAATGGTCTAAGTCTCAAAGCCAGTCCATGTTCTCACTCTATCCTGCAATGCTTATGGATTGTTTTCCTAAGCAACCAAGTAATTCTAAAACTTAACTGTGCATGTGATTCTCTAAAGCATCTGGTTAAAATATAAATTAAGGACTCTACCAAAAAGACTCCAATTTAGTATCTCTGAACAAAAGGAGCCCAGGAATTTTCATTTCAAATAATCATCCCAAGTGATTCTGATGCACTGGGGGTAAGGTCTAGATGTGGATTTATTTTTGAACTGCCCATTTATTCTAGTCACAATTTTGGGAGACAATCAATTCTAAAGTTCTCCAAAATTATAGTTAGAAAAATATGCAGAAAATTATGTGACATGCGTAAAGTAGAAGAAGATAAATTTGAAAGAATTAATTGTTCCAGGCCAGGAGTGGTGGCTCACGCCTGTAATTCCAGCACTTTGGGAGGCCAAGGCTGGTGGATCACCTAAGTCCAGGAGTTCAAGACCAGCCTGGCCAACAGGGTGAAACTCTATCTCTACTAAACATACAAAAATTAGCTAGGTGTGGTGGCATGCACCTATAATCCTAGCTACTTGGGAGGCTGAGGCAGGAGAATCGCCTGAACCCCGGAGGTGGAGGTTACAGTGAGCCGAGATTGCGCCACTGCACTCCAGCCTGGGCAACAAGAGTGAAAAGAAAAAACTCCATCTTAAAAAAATAAAAATTTATTAATTGTTCCTTCTCAAAGAGTATGAGACTTGCAATTTTAAAAAAGAATGAAACACCTTTCACATGCATAGATCTTGCTTCTATTTTTATTTATAAATTCTCCTTTTTATGTGGTGTTGGGCAGGAGTATTCTGTCCCCAAAAGCGCACAGAGGAATGAGAAAAACAATCAGGAAAATAATTGACACAATATAACACATAAGGCAGAACACAGTGCCTGATAAATCATATATTTGTAATAAACATTGAATAAAATGAGCAAATGCCTTAATTCGTTAATAATTAATAGTAGCTCATAGAAAAAACATATTTTTCAGGCATTAGAATTTGTATTCAATGATGTTTTTCTATAATATAATTCTGGAGCCCATTCTGTAAACTGTTTCAGTTGACAATAATCTTATTGAAGATTTATCCAGTAATCTTTTCATGGCAAGTGGTAGAAACTCCAGATCTACCTCCAACTCAAAGAGGCTTTATCCGAATAAGAGAGAGAGAGGATACAGAGATTTATAAAACTGGAAAGACCAAGATTGGATCTTTGCACTTCAGGTACAGCTGGATCCAGGAGCACAAAAGGCTTTTTCTCAAAGCTCTGCTTCTCCCATCTCACTGCTCTACATTTCTCTGTGTTTGCTCATTCTCAAGCAAGGTCTCTCCTCATAGAGACAAGATGGCGGCCATCCACTGCAGTCCACATCCTATCCTATCCTATGAATAATTTTACCAACAGAAAGAATAGTATATACTTATATCCCAATAGCTCAAGAAAAATTCCCCAAATGAGCTCTGTTTGGCCCTGATTCATATGATTTATGCAACAGGCCCATCAGTGAACCAATCGCTATGGCCAAGAATGCATGCATAGGCCTAAGACACACCTCTCCCTGGACTTGGAGCATGGCTAGCCACACCTGGACAACATTGACTTAAAATGGAGGAATGAATCACAGTTCCCAAAGAAAACTGAAAGTGCTATCACCAGAAGGTAAAATCTACTATATAAAATTCTACTATAAATACTGTCAAATGGAAGCCCTACAAAATGAACCAAGAGAAATTAGCTTTAAATAAAATTTTATGTGAGTGCAAGTATATGCATTGTGGCATTCCTGGGTCAGTGGCATGTATAAATACCTTTTTAGTCAAAAGAATAAAAAGAATAAGAAAGAGAAGGAGGAGGAGAAAGGGAAGGAAAAGAGGAGGAAGAGGAATAGGAGGGAAAGGGGGAAGTGGGGAGGAAGAGAAATTTGAGATGTTAAGGTGAGAACAGTCAGTTTGGGCTATTTCTTACCACTCCTACATTAAGATAGGCTAGTGGTTCACTGAATTTTAGGGCTAGAAGAACCTTAAAGACCACTTTGTCTAATTAAATGGGTTACAAATAAATAAATAAATTTCAAGATTTGGTTCCTTTCTACTTGTTCATTTCCATCTCTCACCACTCGAGCCCTTGTTCTACTGTCTAGGCCCTGTATTGTCCAGGGTAGTAGCCATTTGACTTTGGACACTTGGATGTGGCTAGTTCAAATAGAGCTGTGCTCACGTGAAAAACACACAGAACTTCAAAGACTTAGTATGAAAAAAATAATATAGGTCAGGTGCAGTGGCTCACACCTGTAATCCCAGCACTTTGGGAGGCAGAAGCGGGCAGATCATGAGGCCAGGAGTTCAATACCAGCCTGGCCAACATGGTGAAACCCCGTCTCTACTAAAAGTACAAAAGATTAGCCGGGCATGGTGGTGCGCACCTGTAATCCCAGCTACTGGGGGATCCTCCTGAGGCAGGAGAATCGCTTGAACCAAGGAGGCAGAGGTTGCAGTGAGCCAAGATCACGCCATTACTCTCCAGCCTGGGCAACAGAGCAAGACCCCGTCTCCAAAAAATAAAGAAAAAGAAAAAAAATATAAAGTGTCTTCTTAATATTTTATACTGATTACACATTGAAATGATAGTTTCTGGGACATTTGTGGCTGAATAAAACATATTATTGAAATTAATTTTATCTGCCTCCTCTTACTTTTTTAATGTGACTGCTATAAAGTTTAGAATTATAAATGTTATGTTTACTTGTATGACTCACATTTGTAGCTCATGTTAGGTTTTATTCGATAACTATTTTACCCACGCTGTCTTTTGGTGGCTGGAACATGTGTAACTGTGGGACCAGCCCAAACTGGATCTACTCTGTTGATAACAAAATATCAGGTTGCCTTTTAGCCATAACAGAGCCAAAAACTGCAAGTTGTATAGCCTGGGCATGTGCAATAGAAAAAGCTTTGACCTCTAACAATACCCAGAAGTCACAATTCTTCCCCTCTGCCTTCAGAATCAAGAAGATTGAGACTTGACCAGAACCTGAACATCAGAACTCTTTAAGAAGTAAGGACTCCATTGGCCAGGAAGATCCAAGGCTAAAATCTGCCTCAACATACTTTACTGTAAATGCTCAAATCTGAAGCCCTCCAATCAGACCCTGCCAAACCAACGTTCCTAAATCCTTTCCCTTGCTCTCTGATCCCTTAAAACTTGCCCCAGATCCCAAATCAGAGAGACAGATTTGAGCCTGCTTCTGTCTCTTTGCTGAAAGAAAGCTTTCTTTTCTCAAAAGTTGGTGCCATAGTTATTGGCTTCTGTGTGCATCAGGCAGCGAGCCCATTTGCTTGACAACACACACCATACTCTTTCTAATTTCCTGGCCATTGCACACGTTGTTTCCATGGCCTGGAACACTCCTACCTCCTGTTCATCCTGCAGAGCCCAGCATACATCACTCATCAGGAAGACAGTCCCTGAACTTACGGCCCCTGTGTATGTGTGCTCACAGCTTCCTGTCATCACATTCCTCACATTGTGTTATTACCATTCACTTAATTGTCTGCCTTAAGTACCCTGAGTTCAGACACAGTGTTTTCTTGTTCATTACTGCATCCTGAGCACTGCGCCTGGTGCACAGTAAGTGCTCAGTAAATATGTATTGGACTAATGTTGAATAATTATGGTTAAGTTAATCTCTCATAGTTCCCCAGAAACTCAGGTCTTTTGCCTTCCAGAAACAGAAATTTTGTCCTGTATTCAAATTTCTGGTCTTCCAATTTTCTGAAACTTATGATCCTTTCCTTAGCCACTACATGGCAAGAATGGTTCATTGTCATTTTCTTCCTCATAGATGACAAAAAAGGGGGGTAAGATAACCCCAGAGAACTGAAAGAGGATCCTTTGAAAAATCCACAGGAGCATGTTTCATAGCTAATGGATATCTACAATCAAAAGACTTGTGATTTAAGTATCAAGATAAACAACTATCACAACATTTAAAACACTCACTATATTTCCTTTCCAGCTTTTTAACTATAAAATCAATGGCATGTTAATGACTCAAGCATTAGCTTGCTCACTAGGAATTCCAGAACTTCTATTTTTGAAGCATAAATTCCTAAGTTGCTCAATTTACCCAGTTTGTCAGAACAATTGCCATTAGTAAATATAAATATTTAATGAAAATGAAAACTGTCATAAGCCGCTTCTCTTAAGCATCTAATGACTTACTGGAAGAAATAAAAAATATTAGTGAATTATGTCATTTACTAGTTTCCATCATATAGCAATCACCTGCAGATGTATTTGCTTATTGTACCTTGCTGTGTTTTGGAGTGGGTTTTTGTTGTAATATATTTATTGGGTTGTGGGTTTTTGCTTGCTTATTGGGTAACAAAGAAGTATCAATGATATACAGGGTGTTTCCTAGATATTAACCACGTGCAAAATTTTTTTAAGTTTTCTCAAAACCTTCATTGTGCTATTTGTTCCTGCCAGAATCCACTGTAAATAAAATAATTAAATATGTGTATGTAAGTGTAAAATTACAGTTAAATTACATTTACCCTACATTTTGTGGCTTGAAAAATGCCCTCACATATTTTATTTCATTGATCTTCAATGGAGGATATCATTATTTCCAGTTTACAGATGAATAAAAAGGACTGTTTGACCAAGTGCCAGAACCAAGACTCCACCTAAGACTTTGTTAAGTGATTTTTTCCTCTACTCAAAGCCTCCCTGAGATCTGCTACATTTAAAAAATAAAAAAGAGGAAAATTTGCTTTCATAAAATTTCTGATTTCAACTTGATTTTATTAATTGCCTCTTTCTAATTCAACTCAGACTGCTTGGCAAATAGTAAGTATTCATTAAATGTCAACTATATTATTTTTCTTTCAAAGCGAGGTTACCGAATAGAAATGGAAATGTTTTAAAAGTTAAGTTCTATTTCACTGAGATGCCATTGTATGCTAATTGTTCTCCTTCTAAGGGATGTAACTAGACCTCTTACTCCATGGCTCTAAATTTTTATAGTCAGCCTCTATAATTCTTTGGTCCTGTAAGGCAGAAGTTACATTATTTGAGTGGGGTCAACAGCAGAGGTTTCATATAATTATCGTAAGATAAAAGCCCTACTTTTCACCTAGAGCTTCTATAATCGTGCCAATTAGTATGAATTCCTCTTTCTGGGCCAATGGGAATGTAGTGTAAATTTTTTTCTCATTGGCTTCAAATAGGGCTGCATTACCTTTGGTTTATTTGGTTTGTTTTCAGTAGCTTTTTTCCTACCTTTTTTCTTTTAACTTTTAATTCTTAACTCCTCTCCTCCCACAAAAGAGTGCTTAAAACCTACTTTCAATCCTCTTAGAATCTCCCTGACCCTAGTTGTCCTCAGAATTGAACACAGAGACCCTAAAACAAATATTTTCAATCTATAGAAAAGGTCTTCAATTTTTTTCATTTTGCCTGAAAATATTATTTGATCTTGTTTATGTAGATAAAATGGATTCTAATAATGGTACTCTAGAGAATTGGATCTTCTGGTCCAAATTAGCTGTCCCTCAACCTGTTAAGTCCACTTTGACCAAAAAGGAACAAGTTTCTCTGGGTGATAAGAAAGCAAGGAAATCAAAAAAAAAAAAAAAAAAAAAAAAAAAAAAGAAAGAAAGAAAGAAAGAAAGAAAGGAAATCATAGGCAGAAAGGAAGTACCAATAGAATTAAGTGACTAGAAAGCTTATGCTTGGCTCTGGAATCCTCTCATTTCAACAAACATCAGAATGCCTCATATATACAAAATACTGTCTAGGAAAGGTTTAACTATTCTAAATTGTATAGCACAGTATTTTAGAAATTAAATTCTGTATTGGTTCATTTGTAATAGCTAGTAAAACCTAACTGCAATTAATGAATTTGTTACAGTTGGTATTAGTTTGTTACAACTAAACTGTATTAGTTATTGATGTAACGAACTCCAACACTTCATTCACAATAAAACTTAACTTCTGGCTCACTAAAATCCAAAATCAGAATTCCAGTTCTGCAGGGATTTCTCTTCCACATGGAGATTCAGGGACGTGGACTCCTTTCATTCCGTGGCCCTGTCATCTTTATCACATAACTTCTAAGGTTCATGTAGCTGTTGTGCTATGTGCTTCAAGCCATGAAAGGGGAAAGAACATGTAAGATCCCACACAGAAGGATTTTGTGAGCCAGCAGGGAAGCACCTCATAGTAATCTGTTCCCCATTTGGAATCTTATCACATAGTCACACCTAACAGCAAGGGAGAATGAAAAATGTCTGCTTGTGTATTCAGAAAGGAAAAACAAAACAAAACAGGAAAGAAATCTGTGCTACAAGCTTTAAGGTGAAACAAACTGTCATTTGAATCCTGGCTCCATAATCTTCCTTTGTAAGATGAGGATATAATAATATCTCCATATGGTTGGCTGTGAGGATACATGATATAATAATAACAAACTTCCAACATTTACAGTTATTCTTAAGTGCCAGGTAACAATCCAGCTTTTTCCACATTATCTCACACAGCAGCGGTCCCCAACTTTTTTGGCACCATGAACTGGTTTTCTGGATCACAATTTTTCCACGAACTGGGTTGTTGGGAAGGGGATGGTTTTGGTATGATTCAAGTGCATTACATTCATGGTGTAGTTTATTTCTAATTATTATTACACTGTAAGCTATTATGAAATAATTATACAACTCACCATAATGTAGAATCAGTAGGAGCCCTGAGCTTGTTTTCCTGCAACTAGATGGCCCCATCTGGGGGTGATGGGAGACAGTGACAGATCATCAGGTATTAGATTCTCATAAGACTTATGCAACCTAGATCCCTCACAGGCACAGTTCACAATAGGGTTCGCGCTCCTATGAGAATGTAATGTGCTGCTGATCTGACAGGAGGCAGAGCTCAGGCGGTAATGCGTGAAATGGGGAGCAACTGTAAATACAGATGAAGTTTCGCTGGCTCACCTGCCACTCACCTCCTGCTGTGTGGCCTGCGGGTTGAGGACACCTGTCGAACAGTTTTCACAATTCACCTATAAAATGGGGACTATTATTATCATCTCTATTTTATAGACTGAAGTTGTAGTAGATGAAGTCCAAAAATCGCCCACAATTGTTGATGTCTCCTTGTGTTCACACCCTGTACGATGTGACTTTGCAGCAATGCCCATCAAAATATAGAGTCTGTTTCCCACCTCATGAATCTGGGCTGGCCCTGGGACTTGCTCAAGCAGTAGAATTAGACAAAAGTGACACTCTGACCATTCTGAGCCTACATTACAAATAGCATGTTTCTACTAGCTGTTTTGGATCCCCAGAGCCACCATGTGTGGAAGTGCAGGCTTGCTATGCAGAGGGTGAGGCTATTCTAGACTGCATCATTGTCCTGGCTGACTCATTAGCTCATCACAGACAGACACATGAGCTAGCCACAGTCCTAAGACCAGCCTAGTCTAGTCCAGACCAGAAGAGCCATCCAATCAATCCACAGACTCATGAGCCTAATAAATTCTGCTTTTATCTGCTTTGGCTTGGTTATACAGCATTATTTGTGGTAATAACTGAGGCATAAACTCCAAGAGGTTGTATTACCAACTTAAGACCACACATCCAACAAGTGATAGAGCCAGGAACTAAATCATAATCTATGGAATTGAAAACCTATGTCCTTCAAGACCACACATCCAACAAGTGATAGAGCCAGGAACTAAATCACAATCTACGGAGTTGAAAACCTATGTCCTTACCTATCACAATATGCTAAGATAATTGTCTTAAATCGGCCGAAGTGCTTAACATATAAAAGCCATTAATACTATTCTCTATTATTAAACCCTATAATACAGGGCAAGTGAGTGTTTCCCTTGTCTGTGTCAGTTGCTCACAACTGTTTCTCCAAAATGAGCACTGTACCTGACATATAATAACTCTTCAGTAAAGATTTATTGAATAAATTACTGAAGGTTGGCTACTCAGATAAATCATCAATGAAGCCTGCCCTTGAAGAGCTGAGAGTCTAAAAGAGAAAATCAAATGCAGACATAAATAACGGTAATTTAACATGGGAAGGTTAAGTGCCACAGGCAAGGAATCAGTAGAGCATTCTCGGAATTCAGAGGCAGGAGAAATTACTTACTACAAGGGAGGCAATAAAATATTTCACTGAAGTGATGATGTTTAATTTTATCCTTAGTGCCTGGACTTTGAACATATGGAGACTATGAGGAAGGGGCATTACAGGCACAGGGACACCGTAAGCATCCCATGGGGTAAGAAACAATGCTATGAGCACAAGGAAACAGTGACTTCCATTGGGTTAAAAAATCAATGTAGCCTATTTCATGAGTCAAAGACTTCATGTAAGCAGATCCTCCTACTCTGACTCATAGACTGACTCATAGACAAATTGGCTGTGTTTTGTTCCCTTAGCTCTTCTATTTCTTATTGGTTCATTGATTCCTTATTCATTGATACATTGATTCATTCTTCAACAAATATCATTATGTCTAAGAACACAGGTAGCCTCCATTTACAAATACTAGAAAGGAGAAAGCATTTCATTGGCTCATTTTAAAACAGAGTATAAGATCTTAAAAGGCAAGGACACTTCTACCTTTCTTCACTTCTAAAAGCACCTGTCACATAATGGTACTCAACTGGACACTAAACACACAAATACACACACAAAAAGCTGATTTTAAATTAACTTAAAAGTTAAGAAAAAACTACCTCTTTTAGCCAACAAGGAGTTCACTTAATGTTCATTATCTGTTACTTCTATAAGGTTTTACTGTATTTCCCATTAGAGAAATCTAAATATTAATGAGCATCTTTATGTTCATTGACTGTGCTAGACATCAAGTTCAGGACTTTGTCTGAGATACAATTCTTGCCCTCAAGCAACAGAGAGGAGCTACTACCAGGGGCTCTTCTAGCTTCTGAGGGTACAAAGGTGAATGAGATAGAGAAATTCGTCGTTGTCATAGAGCTTCCAGACCAGAAGGAAGAATACCTGCAACATAGCAATATCCAAACATGCCTATAATAAAGAAATAGCCAATTATAAAATCTTTAAGATAACTTCAAACAGTCATACATGCTACAAGATAATAAAACTAAAATATAACAGAAAGCTCTGGTTTGTCTTTTTAAAATGAATTCAAGAAAGAATTCTGGAAGAACTAATAGTGACACTGAGAAGAGATTGACAAAATAAGTGTCAGCCACAGGACAATCTGAGGACAGGGTTCTAGGCAGTGCAAGTGGCAACTGCCAAGGCCTTAAGTCTGGAATAAATTTGGCTATCACATATGTATATCTGACAATTTAAAGTGAGGTAAGTACTTCCAAGGAACATACAAAGAGATATTGGCATACTACTAGTCAGTGATTCCAGTTCAAAGCTAGCCACAGAACTTGAGATAATCTTACCTAGAGCACATTCAGAATGAGTGCATGTATGTAGAGCGTGTTTGCCTGCTCTGTTAACCACAAGTTACTCTTGGCTGTCAACCATGAATTGGAGGCCATCCTTAACTGGCTTGGCTTCCTCGCTCGCTATCTCTCATGCTTTCAAGTTCTTGGCACTTCTGCGTGCCTGTGCTAAAATGGCAGTCTTAACCGCTGCAACCCACCCATCCATTCCACTCCCACCAACGTCTGTCCCTGACCAGAGACTCCTCAGCACCTGAGTCGTCAGGTAGCAAGCACCCTTTTATCCATAAACATAAGGTACATGCTCATTCTCCTGCCAAATTAAGCTGTTTATGGTTATCACCCAGGGAAGTAATTTGTTGATCAAGACAAATGCAAAGAACTTCATTTAGGAGTTATGTATTAAATGCCTACTGAGATCTTAATTGAAACTTTTATGTTATCCATGAAAAATTATTTATATAGGTCTATCTATCTTCACCTATAATAAGAACACAGGGATGCATGCTTTCATTGTCAGACACATTTCCAACTTTCATACGTACACCTATTAACACAGATATAAAGTTTAAAGTGGAAATAGGAGGACCTATGTTTTTCTGTGAGTTCTCTCATTGTTTTCACCTAGAAATTAGTTTAGGAGCCTATTAAAGCACTGTGCCAAAAAGCCAATGACTTCACTATAGGGGGATAGAGCCAAGTCAAAAGCCAGATTATAACATCTTCCCAGAACCCTAAAATTAGATGTTCATTCTGCTCATTTCCATAAATGTCTGTCATTTTTCTATCACAGCATTTACCACACTTAATTGTTATAGTTTGCATGGGGGTCTATAATTTTCTCATTAGAGTCAGTAAGGATAAGAATCTTACCCAACTTGTTCATCACGTTATCCCCAGTGTCTAGCCAATGTCTGGCATATTTATATTCATAATTTGTTAAATTAATGAATAAATGAGGCTATTCCTCAGAAACACTTTTTCAATGTAAAATAAAATTCATGCAATGAGTCCAGTGCTCTTAAACTCTTCCTGCCAATCACAATTCTGGCCACCACACCCCACAACCTCCATGTAAGAACACCAGTTGTATCTTGGTGCATTTTTCTGTAAGACCGCTCTTGGGGAAAATTCAGTCTGGGCACATGTAGAATGTAAGGTGGCATGTGCTGTCAGTAAGTATTCCATAAAATTAAGGAAATAAGGGATTGAAAAGCAAAGAAAATCATAAGCATCAGTAGAATACATCTTCTACTACCTTAGTCATAGTGGTAGTTTCTACCAGTTGTGATCAAGACTAAGTATATCATGCTGCTATAAAGACACATGCACATGTATGTTTATTGTGGCATTATTCACAATAGCAAAGACTTGGAACCAACCCAAATGTCCAACAATGATAGACTGGATTAAGAAAATGTGGCACATATACACCATGGAATACTATGCAGCCATAAAAAATGATGAGTTCATGTCCTTTGTAGGGACATGGATGAAATTGGAAATCATCATTCTCAGTAAACTATCGCAAGAACAAAAAACCAAACACCGCATATTCTCACTCATAGGTGGGAATTGAACAATGAGATCACATGGACACAGGAAGGGTAATATCACACTCTGGGGACTGTGGTGGGGTGGGGGGAGGGGGGAGGGATAGCACTGGGAGATATACCTAATGCTAGATGATGAGTTAGTGGGTGCAGCGCACCAGCATGGCACATGTATACATATGTAACTAACCTGCACAATGTGCACATGTACCCTAAAACTTAAAGTATAATAATAAAAAAAAAGACTAAGTCGTCAGGGGGCCACAGTCTTTCTTCAGGCCACAGTCCCCAAACAGAGCATACGGGATTTCCACTGTATTCGGGAGAGTTATGAAGTGTATAGAACTCTGTAAAGTTGTAAAGGTGGAAACTATCTGATCCCAGGGGCACTACTCACTTTGTAGATGTCATAGATTTCTGTATCCATTAGGACAATTTTAATACTGATGCGAGTAGTATCTTCCTCCAATAAAATCAGCATAGAATGTCAATTTTCCAGTAGATAGAAGTATATAACTTGAGGAAGGGTTGGCTGGAGGGGTTCCTACCAGGACAGCTGATCTCAGATGATGAGTTGGAGAGGGTCATGTCTATGCTTCAGGACAGTCCATCTTCTAATTTCCCTTCACATCACATCCTAGAACAGGAAACTCCCTTTGTCCTTCCAGCTTTGAAGATTTTTCATTCCATTTCTCTGTCTTCCCCCATTTTTTAGAGATGGAGGAAGGAAGGGTATCAGGTTTAGTAAGCTAATAGAAATAGGATTTTAAAACTATTTTTGTTTTTTTTTTCTTTTCCAACAGCAGACATAAAAATCAAGAAATGGAATTGGAGGCCGGGCGCGTGGCTCATGCCTGTAATCCCAGGACTTTGGGAGGCTGAGGTGGGTGGATCATGAGGTCAGGAGATCGAGACCATCCTGGCTAACAGGGTGAAAACTCATCTCTACTAAAAATACAAAAAATTAGCCGGGCGTGATGGTGCATACCTGTAGACCCAGCTACTTAAGAGGCTGAGGCAGGAGAATCGCTTGAACCCGGGAGGGAGAGGTTGCAGTGAGCCGAGATCACACCACTGCACTCCAGCCTGGGCAACAGAGCGAGACTCTGTCTCAAAAAAAAAAAAAAAAAAGGAATTGGAAAAACAAAACTAAACCCACCTTTCCATCCTTTCTGTTCTGATTTGGAGACGGGGTGCTGGGAAGACTGGAAAGTTCAAGATGCTAGTGAGCTAGTGACTATTTCTCCACCATATGGAGAAGATCTGTCTGCAGTAGGAAAGAATTAAGATTATCAGATACATGCAAAGGGAAAGCCTGATGGAGAGAAAGATTGACCTGGCAGTGTTGACTGCAAGGCCCTCACTCCTGCAGCAACTCCGTGGAATTTGAGGGCCACTCCCGTGTTTTTCCCACCGGCATAAACTAGTCAATTTACTGTTTTTGTTTAGTTCAGTTAGAGTTGGGTTTCTGTCACTTATAAACCCAAAGACTCCTGATTAATTTGATAATCATAACAACTTCCTATTATGAGGATTAAGATAGAAAAAAAGAAGCCACAATTATTCATAAAAATCAAATAAAAACAAGACCCTAATTCAATAAATTTACAATTTGTCCATTCTCTGGCATTCAGTATTACGTAAGTAATATATTTATGCACATTGTGTAATCTGCTTGGTGGGTTTAGCACAAGTCCTAGCACATAGTAAACACTGAATAAATACTAGGTAGTAATAGTTTTTAAGCCTCTATACAATCGAGTTCATGGCCTCTTACGACCTAGTAGTTTTTTATTCACACATTTATGACAGTTGGTATAAAGGACATTTTTTGTTGTTTTTATTTTGGGGAGTTAGGAAACCTGTTTGTTTTCAGAATTTTTAGGCTGTGAGTGTCCATTTACCATTTCTAATACAGTCCTGATTTCCTTTTGGTAACAACATTGTTAAAAGAGGTAGCATGTGACCCAGGGGCGACTAGTTTGACATGCATTCATACCAGGAATTTGAATCTCAAAAATAAAGAGGAAAAGAGAGTTCAAAAAAGATGGAGCCTAGCAATTCAGCTACAGTACCCTATCTATGAGTGATGGCATCATTCCCCCAGACTATCCTGGTTTCTTCCAATTCCCAAGCCTGGCTCGCCAGCCATCCATTGAATATGTATACCATGAATATCCTTTCTATAAATTCCTTTTGGCTTTAATTGGCCAGAGTCAGTTTATCTTAATTTCAACTAAAGGATTCCACCGGATAAACGAAGCATCATCATTAGCTATTTGATTCAGCTTTCAATAACAAATAACTTCAGTGTTTCCAATTAGCCTCCAATAACAGCAAACTTTATCCATTTTAGTGATAGTAATACTGTTAATATTAAAAATAGTTGTATTTGTGTATTTTACATGCATGATCTTATGTAAGATTCCTGACAACTTAAATAGTTGGGTACTAAGTTTGTCTCCATTATACAGATGAGGGAACTGAGGCTGTCTGAATTCAAGGAACTTTCCAAGAGCCACAATCAGTACCTGGTAGAAACGAAATTGTCATCTTATATCCAGCATTCTTTCCCTGTAACAACAAAGCCCTTTCTCTTAGAACTGAGCCACCCACTATTGCCTACTAGCTTAAAAGCGAGCAGGGATCATAATACAAAATCACCTGTACCTTCAGTGTTGGTATGCCATGATTATTCCTCATAATCACCAGGTTACCAGGCAACAAGCTGTAAGATGAATAGCACATTGGGAAGATAAAATGATTGGAGGGAGAATTAACTGATCTCTTTTATCTTCAGAATTATGCCTCAGACTTTGCTCTCTGTCGTTAGCTTTCTTTCAGTCATGAAATACATACATTTATTTTTTCCAAAACCTTAAAAGATTATATTTCCACCAAAAAAATTATCCATTATTTCAATGGCATCAAAACTTGCTATATAAAGAACGACTTTGCATAAATTTGATGTGAATTCTTATATTGAAAGATTAGTTTGAATTTTTGCAGATGATACATCTGTGCTATCTTACCCCAATTTCTTTCTCAGTATTTCTTAAAAGATGTTGCTTAAAATAAAATCAACTGAGCTATCATCACACCTCCATATAGAAGACATAGAAATTTTGTATGATTTGATTGATAAATCAGCTTGTTAATATTCATTTAAAAGCTCTTTTACCTGGATCTTATTTCTTTCTTTGTGCGCTTATCTAGACTTTTTAAAATTTCCTTTTTTGTACTCTTGCATTTTAAGTCCCAGAAGCTCAGTCTATTTAAAAATGCTTTGTCCACACTTTCTCTTGTACCTGAAACTGAACACACAAACACACCTGTGTACACACATATTGCCCTGTCTAAAACCTCATCCGCTTATTTTAGAATTTATATTATGGATGTATTGATTACTTCTTCTCAAGCTCTCTTGAAACTAATATATGTTGTAGAAGAAACACCATTGTGGAAAAGAGCACAAAAGGAAAAGAAGAAAAGAACCACTACTTGGAATATGTAGTAACAGTAATCAGTTAAGTATGAATCATATCCATTCTAAGGCAGTTGAAAAAATGTGTGTAAATGCTAAAGGGAAACATAAACAGTACTTTAAGCAAATGTATAGATGAAAATATCAGGCAATTATAAACAATTATAAATTTATCATAAGTTTTCAATTCTCATCTGTTGTTTTGTTTCACCTATACAGTGTTTAAATTTAATTAAACCTAAAGAAAATAAAACAGGATAAATTACTTTAAAATTTGAAAATTCAGTTTCTCTTGAAAACAGAAAGATCTGGTATTATTTGACACGAATTCTCCATGACAACGACTAACTAAAGCTGAATAGATGCTTCCTTTGGTATACGGGACAGTTTCCACAGTCCCCACCCCCCCATCAAACCCCTAATCTAACCTACTTCATTCATTCCCCTTACTTGCCTGGTCCCTATAAGCATGAGATTTTTCTGCTCCTACCAACACCTGTCTTCAAAACTTCTTCTGTATCTCCTATATTTTGAAATCTTGATGACAGCTTTTTTTTTTAACAATTACAATTTAATGTATTAAACTGATAAGACTTAGGTTAAAATGAATCTATAACCAAAAAGACCATGCACAATAAATTCTCAGTATTTTATTTTTAATATATTTCTTAACATATTAAAAACAAGAATTTACTTCTTATAGTTCTGGGGGCTGGAAAGTCCAAGATCAAGGTGCAAACAGATTTGGTGCCTGGTAAGGCTATGCTTTCTCATAGATGGTGTGTTCTGTCTCCACTCTCACATGGTGGAAGGGCCAAGGAGCTCCCTTGGGCCTCTTATATCAGGGCACTAGTCCCAGTCAGGAGGGCTCTGCCTTCATGACTAATCACTTCTGAAAGGCTCTGCCCCTTTATTCCCTTAATTTATATGTTTTAATTGACAGATGAAATTGTATTTACTGTGTACAAATATTTTGAAGTATATGAACATTGTGGAATGACTAAATCTAGCTAATTAACATATGCATTACCTTACATAGTTATCATTTTTGTGGTAACACTTAACATACACTCTCTTAGTGCTTTTCAAGAATATAATATATACAATATATTATTAACTATAGTTATCATATTGTACAATAGATCTCTTAAACATATTTCTCCTATCTAACTGAAATTTTGTATCATTTGACAAATATCTCTGTAACCCCCCCAGTACCCCCTGACCCTGGTAACCACTATTCTATTTTCTACTTCTATGAGATCAACATTTTTAGATTCTCATATAATGAGATCATGTGGTATTTGTCTTTCTGTGTTTGGCTTATTTCACTTAATGTAATGTTCTCCAGGTTCATCCATGTTGTCACAATGACAGGCTTTCTTTCTTTTTAAGGCTGAATAGTACTCCAGTTTGTATATATACCACATTCCTTTACCCGTTCATCTGTTGATGGACCCTTAGGTTGATTCCATGTTTGGCTATTGTGAATAGTGCTGTAATGAACATGGGAGTGCAGATATCATTTGACATACTGATTTCCCTTCCTTTGGATCCCAGTAGTGGAATTGCTGGATCTTATAGTAGTTCTATTTTTAATTTTTTGAGAAACCGCCATACTATTTCCATAATGACTGGACTAATTTACATTGCCACCAACAGTGTGCAAGGGTTTCCTTTTCTCCACATTATCTCCAACACTTGTTATCTTTTGTCGCTTTGATACAAGATGTGAGGTGGTATCTCATTGTAGTTTTGATTTGCAATCCCCTGATGATTAGTCATGTTGAGAATTTTTTCATATATACCTGTTGGCCATTTATATGTCTTCTTTTGCAAAATGTCTATTCAGGTCCTTTGCAAAATTTTTAATCGAGTCATTTTGTTTTCTTGCTAATAAATTCCTTATATATTTTGGATATTGACCCCTTATCAGATGTATAGTTTGCAAATATTTTCTCCATTCTGTAGGTTATCTCTTCATTCTGTTGGTTGTTACCTTTGTTTTATAGCAGCTTTTTAGTATGATATAATCCCATTTGTCTATTTTTGTTTTTATTACTTGTGCTTTTGAGGTTATATCCAAAAATTCATTGCCTAGGTCAATGTCATAGAGCTTTTTCACTATGTTTTCTTCTAAAGTTTCACAGTTTTGAGTCTTACATTTAGGTCTTTAATCCATTTTGAGTTGATTTCTGAATATAGTGTGAGATAGGGTTCAGAAGTCTGGGCTGCTGGAGGGCTGCCTATAGCTAAGGGCTGTCCAGAATCTAGGGCTGCTGTTGTCGGCCCAGAAGTGGTGCAGGCCAGAGATTGAGTCCACCACACAAGGCTGAAGCCTTAGGGTTATATGGTCCCACCTGGCACCAGGGTCAGTCTAGAGGCTCAATCCATGGATACTGGTCTGTAGTTTGGACTGTGGGGATCTGCCTGGTGCTGGGTGGTAAGCCCAGTGTTGGGGTAAAAGTCAATGTTCTGTATTCACTTCCCTCTCTTTGCCCCAAGCTGATGGTATCTCTCTCAGCCACTATGCTGCTTAGGTTTGGGGAGGGGTGTCTTGGGTAATATAAAATTGTTCTTCGGACCCTCTTCCATGTGCCTTTTATTGGGCTACAGCCACATTTTCATAGCTCTTGTGAAGGTATTTTCATATGTGGGTAGTTGTTCAAATTGATATTTCTATGGTGGGATGAGCCCTGGAGAGTTCTACTCCACCATCTTGCTCCCAGATTGTCCCTGAAGTCAGCTTTAATACTCCCTTCTCCCTCGCTGCCTATGTCCAGATGATCATCAGATCATTTCAGGCCCACATCTAAAACAAATCCCTATTTCTGTCCTTCCTTTATCTCCAAAGTCCCCATCCAGTTTTTTCACTTTGCTCATCTAAATGGCTTTCACAGACCACCAACTAAACGTGATTTTCAGGTTTCCCTGCAACCTCTGATCTATTGCTTCAGTGTCCTGATTGTGTCATTCTCTTGCCTAAAATTGTGCTTCCACCATTGCTTATGATAAACACTGTAGCATGGCTTTTAAAATCTTACATGGTCTTCCTACCTGTACCCCCAATTCATCTGTCAGCTCTCACCTCCCAAGTCTCTGCTCCCATCACTCTGCTCCAGCTGTGTGAATGAGTCATCCCTCCTTGCTCAAGCTACTCTACCTGCTCTCGCTACCTGAAAAGTCTATCTTTTTCTTTCCTTCTCCGCCTCTTCCACTTCCTCTCTTTTCCTTTTCCTTCCCCACCAGACAAAATCGTTATTCCTTCCTAGAATATCATATCCATGATGAGGCTTCTCCTAAAATCCCAAGCTGGAAGTATTTCTTCTTCTGGAAGTATTTCTGCTTTTGTATTCCCACAGTTCTTAGCTTTTATATTTTTAAATGACTCTTAAGAATTTCCTTGCACTTAAACTATATGTCAGATGCTTTCATTGGAGTGTAAATTCCTTGAGGCTAGGCACCATATCATAACATGTTTTAATTCTTTTAAAACTTCGTAAGTCGCTTGTTCACAGTGATAATAGATTCCTGAACATTTACTTAGATTCACACACTGTGCATAACATTTTACAAGCATATCTCATTTGTCCTTCACAAAGCTCAGGGTCTCTTATTTTACAGAAAAGGAAAATGAGGCTTTGAGATGTCTATTAACTAGCAAAATGTCCTAACATTAGCAGATGGCAGAACAAAGATTGAAAATCAGATTTTCCTAATCCAAAGACTATGCCCACTAAACTATATTCTGTGCTATGCTGAAAAAGAATTAGTTCATTTAAATATAAATATAACTTTGACCAAAGTGTCAAATAGGCACTAAACAAGTGTGAAAATAGGCACAAATCAGTATTCAGTCTTGAAAAAATACTTCTTTGAAATATTTTCCGTATGTTGGACAATTTTCTAACTGAAAGCAATATAGGATTAATAAAACGTTTCAACTTTAAGGTCAACATTTATGTCATAGCTAGTTAATTGGTAGCTTAAATGAAAAGCCATCCTATAGATGCAAATCTTGACAAGATCACACATTTAAGTTAATGGTAACTGACATGTCATATCCAAGTAATAAGGGAGTTCCCTCATCAAGTCTCCAGAGGTCATTAAAGAAAAGATCTTGTAACAGGTTAAAAAAAATAAAAGAGAGAGAATAGAACATTTTAAGTATATATTCTTATTAAAGATATTGACAACAAATGGATATGTATTATGTACCATGAGAAGAAAAGAATATTAGATCTTACTTGAGACAATTCAAATTAATTTCCTTGGGGAAATAATGAAATCTAAAGCTGCAAATCTCATTGAATAGATAAGAGAATGAGAAAATGGGAGATAACTTGTTTAGGGGCAAAAATCTAGTCACATTTTAAGCTCAGCCTAAAATGCAAGTTTTACGATTCCTAATTCAGATGTCATGCTGCTGTTCCTCTCTGATATTCTTATATGTTAAGTGTGCCAATGACAATATGTCTTCAGCAGTAGAAAAAGATGTGATGTAAGCTGTTTGCATTTTTTAAGTGATGAAGGTAGCTATCAAATCATTCACAGAAGTGGTCTATGCTCACTGTCTCTCGTTTCCTTCCTCCCACTATCTCCTTAACTCATTTCAATCAAATGTTCGCCTCCACCATGCCACCAAAGCCATGTTGCTCAATCCAGTAGTCATTTCTCACTTCTCAACTAACCTGGCCTCTCTGTACTTATGGGCACAGTCTCTCAGCATCACCATTATCAGGCACTCTGCCCCTGCCTCTTCCGGCAGGCTGGACATTGAAGATCAGGCTGGTATGCAAGAGAATGATGCAAGGATATAACACAGTGTGAATTGAGCATCAGCAGAATCTGCTAGAACTATTTTTGGATGGAATCATTTAGGCAAAAGGCAACAGAATTTTGCATTTAGTCAATCCAAGCTTTCTTCCAACACAAAATTGTTCCAAGACTAACATCTCTAACTTGGTCTCATCTTGGCATTAAATAACCTAAGTGCTAAACCCCTTTTCTTTTTGGCTTCCCTCAAGGAAACAATTCCATCATGAATACACCCAGCCTGACTTTCAGAATTTAAAAATGTTTCATATTAGTCTCCTAGATTTTCACTTACATCTTAGAAGATTCTTTAGAAATTCTCACAGCCCTAGTTTCCTCAGCTAGAAAACAGGGATAATGTTAGCATGTCTTTCATATAACTGTTGTGAAGATTATATACAGTGATTTATATAAAGCATTTAGCTTAATGCATTAATAATGCTAGATTTAATTGTACTCATTAGACTTTGCTGGGATGGTAGGTTAGTTATCTCTTTTAAGGTAGTACGTGTTCTTTAAAGCTCTAAACTCTTCAATTCCCCTGGGTTTTGCACCAGTTCTTTGCTCTACCTCATTGAATAAAAATTGTCTGTGTCCATTAGCTTAGCTCAGAGTGTGAGTCACCGGAGAATGAGTCAGGTGTTCCATTACCATGTGCCCTTTATATAATGCTAAGTTCCTTCACAGCTTTAGCTCAGATACCAGTCAATCTCACAAAAGTTTGTCTGTCTCAAGGGCTAAGAAATATTCTTTATTATATACTATAGTAATACTATGTGCTATTCTTAGAAATTAGAAGCATGAAAAAAGACAGACAAAAATCTACCTTTATGTCTTTATAGGAGCTTACATGCATATAGAGAAGAAAGACAATTAAAAACACAAATAAGGACAATATACAAATTTGACTCGTGTTCTGGCTCTATTTTAGACTTGTTAAATTTGAAGTGCCCACTAGACATCCAAATAGGCAGTTAGATATCTGAACTGATGAGCAGAAGTGGCTAAAGAGCTCAGAGGCAAAGTCTGGACAAGAGATATAAACTTGTAGGTCACAAATATATACATAACATTGAAAGCTACCACAGTAGTAGGAAAATTAGGAGGTAAGTATATACAGAAAAAAAGAGATAACCTGGGAAATCCAATACTTGGAGATCTGAAAGTAAGAGATAAACCAGCAAAAGGAACCAAGAGGGATTGGCCAGCAAGTTAGGAGGAAAAACATGTTGCCAGTCAAGGACAAGCTTTGCCTGGACTACACCCAGCCAATGATTGGGCATGGTCAAGGCTCCACTTGTGACCACCAATCATCCTGCCTGAATAGCCTACTCTTGCTTGAAGACTCTCCATTGGTCTAGCTGAGATTTTCTCTGAACTGTGCTATGGTCTGAGGTTTCTCCTTCCTTTCTCCTTTCACAAGTGCCAAACCTACCTCGTGGTCTGAAAGTTCTTTCTTCCTACTCCTGTTCACTCCCCCTTGGTCCTTCATAGGTGTTGGCCTGTCTTGGTGTCTGCTTTTCATGCTTTTCAGACCAGACCCAATAATTTGGTTTTGTTCGTTTTTTTTAGAGTCAGGGCCTCACTCTGTTGCCTGAGCTGGAGTACAGTGGCATGACCATGGCTCACTGTAGCCTCAAATTCCTGGCCTCAAGTGATCCTCCCACCTCAGCCTCCTGAGTAGCTAGGACTACAGGTGTGTGCCACCATGCTCAGTTATTTGTTTTTAATTTTTATACATACAGGGTCTCGCTACATTGCACAGGCTGGTCTAAAACTCCTGGCCTCAAGTGATCCTCCCACCTCAACCTCCCAAAGCTCTGGGATTACAGGCATGAGCCACCATGCCCAGCTCAGTCTAGGATAATTTGAAGGCTTGTGTTTTGCATTATGTTTTAGAGATTTCCCAGGGGATTCCGTTCCAGTCATCCACTGTGCTTTTGTAGTACAGTATTGCTGGGTCATGATCTTTTCAAAATATAAATCAGATATGACTTTCCAGCTTGAAATCCTCATAGTAGGAAAAAAATGCAAGAACTACCACATGTAACGTTATGGCTATATGTCTTTATTAATGATCTCTTCCCTTTTCTGTATCCTTCCCCCTTAACTACCCATTTCCTTTGTGCCTTCCAATAAACTTCTTGCATTTAAAACTTTGTCTCTGGGGAAATTTCTACTAAGATATTACAGAAAGAATAATGATCAAAATGTTTACAGTGTTTTTCAGCAGTAACTTAGGAGTGTTATTGTTTTCAGGGTTCCAGGTAAGTAGAAACGCCTGCATACTAGCTATTAGACAAGTAAGTGGAAATTTCTAATGGCCACCGATCCACATAGCCATAAAGTTGCCTGTGCTCACTCAAGTAGTTTCGGAGATTTCCATGTTTCCAATCCCAGGAGCCATTGGAACAACAGATGGCTAAAATATTTTGAGGTTTATTTACCTGCAGAGACTGTGCAGTTAATGAAAAAAAGGTTAGCAAGTGAACCTAATGCTGGAGTGCACATCTGGATGGAAGCTTTGGACAGCTGGGCATGGATCAATTCTGTTGTCAAAGAATTGAGGATTGTTGTAACTTTCCCACAAGGCATCTGTGGAAGTCCCCTGTTTCTAAAAGTTTTGGCCCTAGCCTTAGACCCTGTGCTCTTGTTTGTCAACACTTGCCCTTCACTAATACTCTCAATCCACTGTTAGGTTAAACTAGGATTCAAAAGCCTCCCTCTGTGGGCACCACTGATAACTCTCTAAGACCCTGAGTTTTAATCAGCTCTTCATAATCCAGCCATGCATTCTCTAGAGAGAGAAACTTTCTCATACCACCCAGCTTCATCTTGGGTCCCTTGTTAAACTATAAAATAATTTAAAACAAGGTAAAAAAAAACTAAATTAGGAAGCTAAATCTTCTTAAGAACTCAGCAATTCTACTTCTAAGAATTTATGTAAAGACAATAGAATCAAGGAAGGTCAATATTATTTGTACAGCAAGAAAGGGCAACATAAATGCTTAAAAATATGATATATGTTAACTGAATTATTATATAGCCAAATGATTAAAATTCTACACAGTCAAGCATGGTGGCGTGCATCTGCAGTCCCAGCTACCCTGGAGGCTGTGGCAAAAGGATCACCTGATTCCAGGAGTTTGAATCCAGTTTGGACAATGCAGTGAGAACTTGTCTCTCTCTGTTTTTTGTTTGTTTGTTTGCTTTGTTTTGTTGTTGTTGTTGTTGTTTTGAGACAAAGTCTCACTCTGTTGCCTAGGATGGAGTTCAGTGGCACAATCTCAGCTCACTGTAACCTCCGCCTCCCGGTTCAAGCGATTCTCCTGCCTCAGCCTCCTGAGTAGCTGGGACTAGAGGCATGCACCACCATGCCCAGCTATGGTATTTTTGTTTTTTGTTTTGTTTTGTTTTTTGTATTTTTAGTAGAGATAAGGTTTCACCATGTTGGCCAAACTCCTGACCTCAAGTGATCTGCTGGTCTCAAGCTCCTGACCTCAAGTGATCTCCCTGCCTCGGCCTCCCAAAGTGCTGAGATTACAGGTATGAGCCACCACACCCGGCCTGAGAACTTGTCTCTTAAAAAAACAAAAATGAGAAAAAAATACTACACCATTACTGAAAACATGAAATAATATTCATGATATACTACTGAGTTAAAAAAAAGACAAAATATAAATAGAATTCTAAGGAAAATATCTTTTAAAGTATATTATATAGAGGCCAGGAGTTTGAGACCAGCCTGGGCAACATAGCAAGACTCCATCACTAGGAAAAGCTAAAAAATTAGCCGGGTGTGGTGGTGTTACCTTGTAGTTCTAGCTACTTGGGAGGCTAAGGTGGAAGGATCTCTTGAGCCCAGGAGGCTGAGGATGCAGTGACCTATGATCATGCTACTGCACTCCAGCCTAGACAACAGAGTGAGACTCCATCTCGTAAAATAAATTAAATGTTAAAAGCATATTATATAGTTATATATCTGCATGTTTATTTCTGCATATGGAGAAAGAAAAGACTAGAAGGATATCACAAATAGTTATTTCTAAGTTGTAGAACTCTTAGTGATTTTCCTCTCTATCTTTTTCTGAAGTTCTCAATTTTTTGATGATGAATATGATTCTTTCAACATAAGGCAGTAAAAATGGGCAAATACTAGTTTAAGAGAAGAGAAAGAAATTCTCAATGTGCTCCAAAGACAACTGACATGACTTTGATCTGGATGGGGTGGGGTGGGGCCTGGAGCCAGGGGTCAGGCATCTATGCCAGAGAAGCCGAAGGAGAGAGGTTTCATTAGCATTTCCTTTCTGTGTCCTGACATCTGCAGGGCCTGAGGGAAGCTGTGGTTACTCTGCCCAGCGATAGAAGAATTTGTGACAGATGCAAGGGATCATCAAGTACCTTCTGTGTTCTAGGAGAAACAAATCTGCTAAAGGGAGCTGATGTAAACCCCTGACCCCGAAATGAAAGGACAGCAGAGAAAGATTCCAGTCAGCTCTGCTGCCACGTTCTTCAGAATGAATGAGATTAATTCTTTTAAAGTCATATAAACAAAGGCTTTGTGCTGTTACTCCACAAACAAATGTGAAATTCCAGAAGCTGAGCTTTGCGCACACCTACCTGTAAACCCCACACTTGGCTTTAATCTTGGATTAAGAGCTGTCAGGCTTGGTGCTTTGAGCTAGTCATTTAACCTCCTGGTGCTTTCCAGTGTGATGTTTGGAAAAGTCCAGCAATTATTCTGCCCTTGCTGTTGGAGAAGTTGTGTCGCAAGGTGGGAACATAGCTGCAAAATGTAGAACTGTCTGATATGGTCTGGATCTGTGTCCCCACCAAAATCTCATATGGAATTATAATGCCCAGTGTTGGAGGAGGGGCCTGGTGGGAGGTGATTGGATCATGGGGATGAATTTCCCCTTGCTATTCTCATGATAGTGAGTGTGTTCTCATTAGACCTGGTTGTTTAAAAGTGTGTAGCACCTCCCCCTTCACTTTCATCCTTCTTCTCTGGCCATGTAAGACGTGCCTCCTTCCCCTTTGCCTTCCACCGTGATTGTAAGTTTCCTGAGGCCTCCCCGGAAGCAGAAGCCTGTATAGCCTGTAGAAAGTGAGCCAATTAAACCTCTTTATCACTTACCCAGTTTCAAGTATTTCTTTATAGCAGTGTGAGAATGGACTAATACATTGTCTCAGGCCTAGTCAACTTTCTGAGCTCTGTAAGAAAGGGCTTTCTCCAGAAAAAAAATCTGAGCTGACATTCATCAGCCCACAGAACTATGGAGAGCTTTTGACCCAAGGGTCAGTTAAGGTTTTTGGTTGCAAGTAACAGAAATTGATTTTGGTTAATTTAAGATAAGCATGATGCGTTGGAAAATTACCAGTGTAGGAAAGAGAGGGAAGAGTAGCTTGGGCACGAGGCATCAAAAGAAGCATGGATTGTGTTAAGTTTAGAAGTCCAAGAAGGATGGCAACTACCTTGTAGCTAGGACAGCTATCAGGTGAGACTAATTTCACTGCTGCTGCTGATGCCACCACCACTGCTGCTGCAATAAATCATCTCTAACATTCCCTCTTGTCCTTGGGTCATTCGCTCAAGTTACAATGCTCCGGGTGACCAAGCATAGATCATGTGCCTGTCTGATGATTTTATGACTGCAAGCAGAGGGAGGACCTGGCCTCCTGGAAGCTGCAGTGCAAAGTGCTTTCCTGGAATTACCCTTCCAATAGTCCCAATTATGGTGACGGAAAGGTAATTCCCCTTAATCTGGGCATGTCTCTTTCTCACAATATAGAAAGCCAAACTCATAGTCCAGGCCACCCCACCATCAATTCAACTGAAGAAGGAAATATTGTGACAAAAATCAATGTTGTGTTAAAATCTGGTTCACGGAATTCTGACCTCAACTAGCTTTTCTGGTCTTATTTCATTACTGTCCTATAAAACCCAGACTACTTGCAACAGTATGTCCTAAAGACAATAGTTCCACTCTGCTACTTGATTTAAAAGGTGTCCCTTGCCCAGAACACAACACCTCTACTAACTTTTACTGTGTATCAAAATCTGTCTATTCTGTAGGGGCTTGATATGGTTTGGCTGTGTCCCCACCCAAATCTCATCTTGAATTGTAGATCCCATAATTCTCATGTGTTGTGGGAGAGACCCGGTGGGAGGTAATTGAATCATGTGGGCAGTTTCCCCCATACTGTTCTTGTGGTGTGAATAAGTCTCATGAGAGCTGATGGTTTTATAAGGGGAAACCCCTTTCACTTGGTTCTCATTCTCTCTTGCTGCCTCCAGGTATGAAATATCTTTTGCCTTCCACCATGACTGTGAGTCCTCCCCAGCCATGTGGAACAGTGAATCCATTAAACCTCTTTTTCTTTATAAATTACCCAGTCTCGGTTATGTATCAGCAGCATGAAAACAGACTAATACAGACCTAATTCATAAGTGTCACCTCTGTGACATTTTCCTTGGCCATCCCTGTTGGAGCAGCTCTCTGCCTCTTCTGAACTCCCATGAGATTCTATGTCCATAACCCTCTGAAGGCCATGACTCAGTGGTTCACCTCCAGAGTGATGCTACTTTGGAAAAATATTCCTTTTGTCCTCTATGTATTGCTGATTCTGCGTCTGTATTAATCTCTCTCACTCTCTCTTTCTTTCTCTCTCTCACACACACCCCTAGAAACTGTCTAGCAGAGGCAGACTTTCCAGGGGATGTTTATTAGTTCATTCTCACACTGCTATAAAAAACTACCTGAGACTGAGTAATTTATAAAGAAAAGAGGTTTAATTGGCTCACAGTTCTGCAGGCTCTACAGGAAGCATAATGGCATCTGCATCTGGGGAGGCCTCAGGGAACATACAGTCACAGTGAAAGACAAAGGGGAAATGGCACTTCACATGGCTGGAGCAGGAGGAAGAGAGAGAGAGAGGAGAGGTGCTACCTACTTTTGAACAACCAGATCTCATGATAACTCACTCCCTATCATGAGAACAGCACTGAGAGAATTGTGCTAACCCATTCATGATAAACCACCCTCATAATCTAATCACCTTCTACCAGGCCCCACCTCCAACACGAGGGATTACAATTGAATATGAGATTTGAGTGGGGACACAGATCCAATCTGTATTAAGATGAAAGGACAGAAATTAAGGTAGAGATAACAGAAGCTATATGAAAGGGGAGGAGGTGTTATAATGATGGCCAGGTTAATAAATTTTGTCTGCCACATTTCCATTACTCATATGGAAAATTACTTTGAATTAAAATTATTTGTATACATGCATTTTCTTCCCAACTGAATGTTGAGATCTTTGAGGGCAGAGACCACGTCTCATTCATCTCTTTTGCCCTCGGAGCTTAGCCCAGTACCTGATACATAGCAACCACTCAATATGCATATAATGAATTAATGAGCACATTAATTAGTTAATTAATTACAGGCCTCCAGTAGCCATGGCTATGCTGCCCAATAGTTATGCAAGAAAGCAAATTAATGATTTCCTAGCTCTTGATCCCCAGAAGTTTTTTTTTTTTTCTGCCGTGTCTGTATAGATATCACTAATAAGGACTTCAAATAAATGAGGGCTATCTGAAAGATAGGCTGACTACTAGGATCCCAAAACCCATTTTCATCTTTCACTGAAAGAAGGGCAGCTATGAACCACACAGCATACACTTTTTAACAATGAGATTTAATTTCCTTGCCTCTGGCAGTAGCTTTTAGAAGCAATGGAGTGGATGGCTGGGAGAGTATTCACAGGGGGTGGAGGCCTGGGGTCATCAAAGCTGGGAGATTAGTGATAGCAGGGCCCTTGTCAGAAGATGTACCACAGAACCTAACTCTCCCATCCCCTAGGGTCTGAAAGCTCCATGAGGAGTGATCATAACTATTTCATCGCTGTGGTTCTGTCTACTTTGCAAAGTTCATGAGCTATTCTAATCCTCTGAGCAACTGTAAGACTCTCTTTCCTACCCCATGTCTCCACACCTCATCCACTTAATTCCACAGTTTAAAGCCACATAGAGTGAAAGAGTACACACTAAAACAATGGTGATAAAATTAAGAGAAAAACAAATATTTGGACCACAGAACGTGATATCAGTGTTCAGACGTTTAAAACAATAGTCATGATAATACGAGCTCACATTTATTAAGCTCCTACTAGATATCAGTCATTTTCTACGCATTTCCTCCTCCAAACTGCCCTATGAAAAAAATCACTATTATCATTTTCATTTTACAGATGAGAAAACTAAGGTATAGAGAGGTTAAGAGGCTTGACGAAGATAAAAGCACAATGGGCTACTGTGTGACCCCAGGAGTTTGCTGGTCCTGTGCATTGAATCATCATATTAATTGTTTCCATGATCAAATCAAATTAGGAAATCATTATCTAAACAACAGTTCTTTAGTACAGGACTTTGCAGCTTTTAATATGCTGGTTTGCATTGGGATTCTGTGAGAGTTGTTTTCTAAACTCATTCGATCATGAATCATTTGTGTTACTTTGGGAAATATACCATAGGTTTACCCTTTATCTTGAATTCAAAGTCTCTGGAAAGCTATTTGATGCTTCTAAAGAAGGAACTGGGAACCTCACAGCACATTGTGAAAAGTAAGAAAAATTACCTTCCATTTACACTGGACCAGGCTCTGTAGTAAGTTCTTATTCCCATATGTAAAATGAAGAAACTGAGGCTCAAAGAGGCTTGCCCAATTTGCCCAAGTGCTGGAGTCAGAATTAAAATTCAGCCAGGCTGACCTCAGAAGCAACACTTTAAAGTGCTAGACTATAATGCCACTCAGACTGGTGAGCAACCAAGAATCTCTGAGCAGCAGCACATGACCATGGAACAGCACAAGCTAGCAGGGCAGTGCCTGGCTGTGACCTTGGGCTGGATCAACTTAACCTCACCAAACCCCAGTTTTTACATCCTTAAAATGGAGGTAATAGAACCCACATTCCAGAGGTTGATATGAAGATTGAAGTAGATAAGGCATATAAAGGACTTTTATTAGAGTAACTGGCCCATAGTAAATGCTTAATAAACAGAAGCTACTAATTTCCTTAACTACAAAGCACATAGTATTTTCATTTGATCTTCGCCAAAAGGCTGAGAAGCGATACACATAACATTTTCTAGAAACATTTTATCTTTCATGTTCCAGATCATGTTGTTTTCCTTGAAATTTCTTTCAGTGGACAGATGACCACAGGCAGAACAGGTAAGGCAACGTGGGGTCATGAACACTTGATTCATCTATCTGGTTAGGATAATTGCCACAGGGAGACATACCTGAACTCATCAGCTAAGTACCTCCCTTTTATTTAGTAACTGAACCCTTCCTCATCTGATCTCATTTGTTGTCTTCTAATCACCTTTTCAAAATTCCATTTAGATTTTCCTTCATAGAAGAGGCAGCTCTCTTCATGCATACTTCATTCTACCCTTGATTATTGTCTACTTCATTTGCATATAACTTATCTAATTATATTGTTACCTAGTAGGTCCCTGTAACCTAGTTTCCTGGGATGGTGCCTACCCAGCTGAGAACCACACAGACTTTCTCCAAATGGTTGAACACCAATATATTCTTGTTCACTTCACATTTTGGACACAGGACTATAAATACTCTGCAGTCTCTTTGGCCCTAACTGGCCTCTGTCTTCACATACTTAAGCAAGCACATCCTATTCTCCTTAATCCACTAATTTGATATATTGTCATTCAATAACACAGCATACAGAATGTTTCCAAGCATACATGACCATAGAAGTATACATTTGCAAGCACACTAGCTCTATACATACTGTATACACTTATATTTAAACATACATTTTCTTCTCTGATTCAATAGATTTCTATTCTGATCAATACTATTCATCAAATAGTCAGGAAAGAGAAAAAACACATTTACTACCATCCAAGTGCAAGCCATCATCAATGCCACCACTAGTCCATATGGTGGTTTCTTACAAATTAGAAAAATACACTCCCTCTGAGTAGCTATGGCCTTGTGACAAAATTTACAATAGGGAACATCTGAGTTGGACTGTAGCTCTCATTTTCCCACTTTTCTGGACACTCTCAGCAGCACAAATCCCAAATAACTATACATGGTAGCCCTGAACATCTTTTTCTTGATTACTATAATAACCTCTCATCTGATCTTCCTTCTTTTTTGTTCTTGACAAACTATATTTTATTCTCAACATTTTGATCTTTTCAAAATATAAATCAGATCATATGACTCTCCAGCTCGAAATCCTCATACTTGGAATAAAATGCAAGAACTACCACATGACCCAGCAATACCACTCCTAGATGTTTATCCAAAAGAATTGAAATCAGGATCTCGAAGAGATATTTGCATTCCCATGTTCATTGTTGCATTATTCACAATAGCCAAGATGTGGAAAAGCATAAATTCCCATCAACAGAAGAATGGATAAAGAAAATGTGGTGTATACATCCAATGGAATATTATTCAGCCTTAAAAAGAAAATCCTGCAATATGTGACAATATGGATGAAACTTGAGAACACTATGTATGTGAAATAAGCCAGTCACAGAAGGACAAATACTGTATGATTCCACTTACATGAAATATCTAAAAAGTCAAACTCATAGAAATGGAAAATAGAATGGTGGTTTCCAGGGGCTGGGAGGAGAGAAAATGTGGAGTTACCAAGAGGATTCTAGAGGTCTGATGTACAACATTGTGCCTATAGATAACAATGCTATGTTGCATTTTTAAAATTTAAGAGAGTAGATCTCATGCTAAATGTTCTTGCTACAATTAGAAAAATTAAATTTAAAAGAAAATTATTGACCCACAAGAGCCTGTATGATTTGGCCCCTCTCTTCATTGCTTCAAATCCTGCCCCTTTTGCTCACTCTGCTTCCATCAGAATGGCTTTCTTTCTGTTTCTGGGACATTCCAAGTTTATTCCCAGTTCAGAGATTTTGTTCCTTCTCTTAGTCCACTAGGATACATAACAAACCACTCCCCGAATGAGTAGCTTGCTACAATAAGCCTTTTGTGCATATTTGTGCATGGGTCTGCTGGTCAGTTCTAGATTTGCAAGGACCAGCTCTGCTTCAGGCCATAGGTCAGCTCAGCTTGGCTTCAAACTATGAGTTCAGTTCATATCTGCCTTGTGTGTGCCCAATTCTGCTTAACCAGTGCTACCCAGGCCATGTTCCTTTCATTGTGCGTAATAGGAGTACAAGAGACCAAGCTGAACTGTGAAAGCACTGAATTTAAAACCTTGAAGAACTTCCCATTGGCCAAAACAAGCCATTCAATCAAGCCCAACATTAATGGGGCAGGAAATGACACTCTGCCCACAATGGGAGGATACTGCAAAGTTATCTGGCAAATGGGGTAGATATATAATCCTATTAAGGACAATGAAGGATTAAGACCAATAATTCCATCTGCCAGGCCCCTGCTGCTACCAGCAACTAGAATTTTCTGTTCCCACATTTATTCGTGGCTGGCTCTATCTTTGGTTTCAATGCCACCTCCTCAGAGAGGCCCTCTATGACCACCTGTGCTCAGGTCACCCTCAATGGCTCTCTAATTCATTATCCATTTTTGTTTTGTTTATTGTATGCATAAATTTCAATTAACTCATTTGTTTGTTGGCTCACTTGTTCATTGTCTCCCTCCTCTGGAAATATACACAAGGATTTTCTCTGTCTTATTCACTATTTAAACTGCAACTAGAGCATCACTTAGCATACAGTAAGGGCTCAATAAATCCTTATAAGATAAATACATTCTAGAAACCTGCATTCTTATGTACACTTGCATTTTTGCTTTTCATTCCAATGTTAGTCCCTCAGCATATTTTCAGTTATTCTTTGTCAAATATAAATAAATGTCTGAATGCGGGGTGGGAGGGTCAGGGAGGAAGACTATGTACTATGTCATATAGTCAAAAATAAAGGATTTGGAATCAAGTTCTAGCAGTGTATGACCTAAGCCTTAGTATTATTATCTATAAAATGGGGGGGAAAAACTGCAGATTTGGCCATAGGGATTAAACTAGGTGATGCCTGTATAACACTTCCCTGAAGTTGGAGAGAGTAGCATGTAGTAAGATGGGAAAGGTAGACACAACTCAGTTAGTGGAGCCAATGTAGAGTCTCTTAATGGATGATTCAGAAGGGATATGTGTTTTCCAGTTTTTCAAACAGATTTTCCCTGTGTTTTTTCTAGTATAAGTGGATCCACAGATTGCCAGTCCCCATTGTCACCCAGGTCATTCTGCTGGGGCTGTGGATGGCTGCATTCCCCCATGGCCCTCTAGTGTTTGCAAGTGCTGAGGGACTTTTGGTGGCCTTTTTCACTGGCTTTTGTTTCCACAAGAATTGCTTCAAGCCGACAAGACTGTCTCCACATTAACCCTAAATGATATGGCCACACCTTTCTATCAGACCCTAATAAAATTCTGTTTTGGAGACATGGAGCCAGATGGAGTCCTTTTATTGCTCATCATTTCTGAGCATTCTCCTTCCTTGAAAAACTGTATTAATCAATTAATTTTCCCATGAGGTAGGTAAGAAACTAACTTGAAGAATTAGCATTTTGTTAGAAGGGTAAATTAAGGGAAAGAGTAACAACTCACCCTAATGTTAGTTCTCCTAGTTGAGCTAATATGTAGTTAATTCTCTTATTTTAGCATTAACTTTGCATTAGTATTGTCCTCCCATGTTCATAAAGATTACCAAAATTTAGTAGTTTAATAATGCTTTTGTGGCAATAGTATAAGAAAACAGTCACTCTTGTTTAGCGATAGTGCGAATCTATAATCTTTCCCAAGAGAAATTTGGCATTTCTATCTATTCCATATTTAAAATGCACATTCACATTGGCTGAAAAAATCAATTTCAAGGATTTAGGCTGGAGTTACTTTTGCATAGACAGATAGATAGATAGATAGATAGATAGATAGATAGATAGATTAAAAAATGTAAAGATTATCTATTAATCAATCTTTTTTCTCCACATTGTTGAAGTTGAAATAAACAGACATATAGTTGTATATGCTTAGAAAAGTTTTAGAAGGCTGCACAAAAAACTACTCAGAATGTTTAATGGAGGTAAAAAAGCCAAAGTGACAGAGAGTGAGTAAACACCAAGTAGAAAGAAAAAGCTTTTATTTCCCCCATTTAATGGGATGGTGACTGAATTCATTAAAGTTAGTATATTTTATTTTTATTTTTAAATATTTAATTAATAAAATTAAAAAGAAAGAAAACATTGTGTCTGTCCCTACAGGATTTTGGGATCTAGATATCATAGGGCACCTATCTTCTCCTCTTGCTCATGGTCCTGACTCACTTGCTCCTAAATCAGAGACAGGATACACATTCTTACTAAAATAAGAGAATTGTTTACATCTCAAGAGTTCTCCCTCAAATGATGCAAGGCAAAGGAGAAAACAAACATGCAGGAAGTCGCTGGCTTGAGGGGTGGGAACAGAATGGTGGACCAAAAATAACCGGCCTGGCATAACCAGCAAGCAACATCATCCTGTGGCAGGGAATCAGGGATGCCCTTTGGATCTTTTCTGAACTGAGGCTTGACTCTCCATGTTGAAAGTAGTAGAGCAGAATTGAAATACTGGTCTAATGAGTCCAAATTCATAATCATAGTCTGTAAAAAACTGAAATGAGGGTCACCTTGTCAAAGTCAAACACTGGAATTCAGTGGTTTTAACTGAGAGGGTTCCTGCAAGAGGTAAGAGATAGAGTAGGTATTTGCATCCTGGGCTGAAAAAATGAAGTGCATGTCACAGGAAAATTGGCTGTGAACATCCGTGATATGGGTTAACAATTACAACAGCAATGACAACTGCTATGTGTTGAATATGTACTGTGAGTCAGCCATTATGCTAAGCATGCTACATACACTTTCTCGTCGAAAGCTGCAACAGATTTATCAGGTTTATTTTACAGATTAAATACTTAGTCCTACAGTTTATAAGTGGTAGAGCCAGGAATAAAACTACATTGGCCTGATTTTCCAAACCCATGCTCTCAACTACTCTATGACAAGATGCTTTTATTTAGAATTGCCCTGGAATTCTAAGTGGCATTTTAGAGAGGCAAGGTCACCCAGGCTGCCCTGCACAACAGCAGAAAATTTCACATGTCTGAGCACCCATTATCCAGGCTGCCTGGGCCAAGACTCAGGGCAAGGGCCACCCTGCCTTTCCTTTTGCCATCTCTGAAAGAGGAGTTCTGCCAGAACCATAAGTAATAATGATTCACAAAGTGCACAGTCATTACTGTGTTGATAATTTCCCAAGCTACTTTGGTTTTCCCAAGCTCTTAGGATAGAAACAAACTTTTGCTTTTCTTCATCCTCCTTCATTTTGTTCTTTAAAACAATGTAACACTGTAAAGCAGATGCTGTTTTCTTCCTTTTAATATTGAGGAAATGGTTGCTCTGACACATCAAGCATCTTGCCCAAAGTTAGTTAACAAATTACCTAACCTCTCAGAATCTGTTTTTTCACTGATAAGTTGGAGATAATATCTAACCCTTAGAGTGGCTGAGATCATATTTCCAAAGTTCAGAGCAGAAAGTAGGCATTTGATAAACTGCACCTGCTCTCGTTGTTAAGTAATTATATTACTTAATGTGATACCATTGTGTGAAGCTGCATACAACATGCATGACCTTGAGCAAGTTACATAACTTATCGGAACACCTTTTTGTCCCAGGGGAGTATTATCATTCAACTTGCTTGGCTATTTTGAGGACTGAATGAAATAAATGCTCTACATAAAATAGCTACGCTAGTGACTGGTTCACACTCAAACCTCAATAAATAATCATCTCCATAAAAAAGAATGCTGTTGACACGTGTTCACCTATAGAACTCCATGAACTTGACCTATCATGTTTGAAAGCAACATCTTTGCTTTCTTTGCTCTTCCCTCACCACACTTTTTCCCAGACTCTTTAGAAATATATAGAATATTAAACAAGACTTTTTTCTCTCCATTGACATTGTTTTTTAATGGGACTAGACAGCCTTACAACAGGCTCCAGCTTTTTTTCTCATCCTTCAAGTCATGGAGGGCTCTTCCTAGCGGCCTGCAGTAAGAGGCCTCAGAGGGGGAGGCATTCTTGCCTGGATCTTATTCAGAAACACTGATGATGCAATTCTTGGCTCTGGCCACATGCTTGATTGATTTCCAGTACAGCATTTGATGTGAAGGGGAGGAAGAAAGAATCCCTCTCACCCATGGCTAGAAATAATTTCAGAAGGCTGGAGGCAAAGCAGAGGTGATGCTAGCTATCTCCTGGAACTGTTGATAAACCAGCAGTCTCCTGCAAGCCAATTTTATGCATTTGCTTTTCTATCTTTTTGCTCCCCACTACCTATGTCCTCTTACTGGGCATGCTGGGAAAAGCCTCACAAATTTAACTAAGGAAACTCTGGGTGTCCTGTCATCTAATCTTCAGCCTGAGGTTGTAGCTGCCTTTTGCAATGTCTTCTCTCCAAATCAGCATACCTGATTAGAAGACCTGTTCCCTCATGCTCAGCCTTTAGGTGCCCAGTTTTGGAATTCAGCATCTCTACATGAAATATGCCAGATCCGTCAAGAGGCCAGATGGTTCACAGATGCCTGGAAGCAGGGCAAAGTAAGCTGACTGAGGTATGTGGTGTAAGATGCAGCAAACAATATCACCAGGAGGCTGGAAACTCAAAGGTGATGTCAGTCATGTCGCCTCTTGATTCAGAAGGGTAATGATGTCAATCTCTAACTGCTGTCCTGAAATCCAGTTCAGTGAAAGCTATCACTAACCACAGTGCCTGTCTTCATAGGAACACAGGAAGCTATTTTTTCATCTGCTGTTTGTGATGTGATGATCTTCAAGAAATGCACATGCATAGCTTTAATTGAGACCTACAAAGGCCAAAGAGTTCAAATGTTTTAATTAAAAAATAGTACCGTTATATACTTATTACGTGTCTAGCATTATCTCTTCTAAATCTCACACTATTATATCAGCCCAGTCATTACAAAGTTATCCTCACTACACAAATGGAAAAATCAAGGAATGGAGAGCACTCTTAAATACCTTCTTCGTGACTGAAAAGCTAATGTATTCACCAGGAAAGCATCTGAAGGGAACAGAATACCCAACAGACAGTGAATTCCACAAGTGGGGATTGTGCTGTTCTTACGTGACAGTATGATGAGAGATAGGCAGCTATGGCCATTCATTTCGTGGTTCAAAAATGTCCAGCCAGCATCTCTGTGGATTTCAGTGGCCTTTCCTTCATGGTTACAGAATGACTGTTTCAACTCTGGGCATGAAGTCTGCATTCAAAATGGCTGAAACATATCAAGGGACAATGCCAGCATCTCTGTACATTCTATTAGGAAAACAATATCTTCCAGGAACTTTCTGAAGACCACCTGGTAACAACTCAATGGTCAGAAATAAATCACATGAACATCCTCTATCTGCAAGAGAAACTGGAAAATAAAGTATTTTGCCTCTCTAGCCTCCATAGTGGAAGCTGACGAGAGAGAGATTATGCTAGCTTGGACTGGGGCTAGCATACTTACTTACTGGGGCAGTGGCAGTAAAATTAGTGAGAAGTAGATGGCCTCAAGAGATATTTTGTGGTAAAAAATCATAAGGCAAATCTTGTAGACTGATTGCATGTGGAAAATGAGCAAGAAGAGGGAATCAGCAATGAATCCTAGGTCTCTAACTTGGTACATTCACTGAGATCAGGAGTCATCAAGAAGGAATAAATTTTGTAGATGAAAGCTCATGAGAAGAAGGTGGTGGCTGGCAAGATGGCCGAATAGGAACAGCTCCAGGCTGCAGCTCCCAGCGAGATCAACACAGAAGGCAGGTGATTTCTACACTTCTAACTGAGGTACCCAGTTAATCTAATTGGGACTGGTTAGACAGTGGGTGCAGCCCCCAGAGTGAGAGCCAAAGCAGGGTGGGGAGTCGCCTCACTTGGGAAGTGCGCGGTTTTCCCCTCACAGTGTAAACAAATCCACCTGGAACTTAAACTGGAAAGAGCCCTCCACAGGTTGGCAAAGCTGCTGTAGCCAGACTCCTCTCTAGATTCTTCCTCTCTGGGCAGGGCATCTCTGAAAGAAAGGCAGCAGCCCCAGTAAGGGGCTTATAGATCAAACTCCCATCTCCCAGGGACAAAGCACCTGGGGGAGGAGGTGCAGCTTCAGCAGACTTAAATGTTCTTGCCTGCCAGCTCTGAAGAGAGCAGCGGATGTCCCAGCACAGTGCTCTAACTCTGCTAAGGGACAGACTGCCTCCTCAAGTGGGTCCCTGACCCCATGCCTCCTGTCTGAGAGACACTTCCCAGCAGGGGTCAACCGACACCTCATACAGAAGAGCACTGGTTGGCATCTGGTGGGTGCCCCTCTGGGACGAAGCTTCCAAAGGAAGGAACAGGAAGCAAACTTTGCTGTTCTGCAGCCTCTGCTGGTGATACCCAGGCAAACAGGGTGTGGAGTGGACCTTCAGCAAACTCCAGCAGACCTGCAGCAGAGAGGACTGACTGTTAGAAGGAAAACTAACAAACAGAAAGGAATAGCATCAACATCAACAAAAAGGACGTCCACACAAAAACCCCATCCGAAGGTCACCAGCATCAAAGACCAAAGATAGATAAATCCACAAAAATGAGGAAAAAACAGCTCAGAAAGGCCAAAAGTTCCAAAAACCAGAATGCCTCTTCTCCTCCAAAGGATCACGACTCCTCGCCAGCAAGGGAACAAAACTGGACGGAGAACGAATTTGACGAGTTGATAGAAGTAGGCTTCAGAAGGTGAATAATAACAAACTCCACTGAGCTAAAGGAGCATGTTCTAACCCAATGGAAGGAAGCTAAGAACCTTGAAAAAAGGTTAGACGAATTGCTACCTAGAATAACCAGTTTAGAAAAAAACACAAATGACCTGAAGGAGCTGAAAAACATAGCACAAGAACTTCGTGAAGCATACACAAGTATCAATAGCCGAACAGATCAAGCAGAAGAAAAGACATCAGAGATTGAAGACAACTTAATGAAATAAAGTGTGAAGACAAGCTTAGAGAAAAAAGAATGAAAATGAACGAACAAAGCCTCCAAGAAATATGGGACTATGTGAAAAGACCGAATCTACGTTTGATTGGTGTACTGAAAGTGATGGGGAGAATGAAACCCAGTGGGAAAACACTCTTCAGGATAACATCCAGCAGAACTTCCCCAATTCCCCAACCTAGCAAGACAGGCCAACATTCAAATTCAGGAAATACAGAGAACACCACGAAGATACTCTTCAAGAAGAGCAACTCCAAGACACATAATTGTCAGATTTACCATGCTTAGAATTAAGGAAAAAATGTTAAGGACAGTCCCAGAGGAATGTCGGGTTACTCACAAAGGGAAGCTCATCAGATTAACGGTGGATCTCTCTGCCAAAACCCTACAAGCCAGGAGAGAGTGGGAGCCAACATACAACATTCTTGGAGAAAAGAATTTTCAACCCAGAATTTCATATCCAGCCAAATTAAGCTTCATAAGCGAGGGAAAAATAAAATCCCTTACAGACAGGCAAATGCTAAGAGATTTTGTCACCACCAGACCTGTCTTACAAGAGCTCCTGAAGGAAGCACTAAATATGGAAAGGAAAAACCAGTACCAGCCACTGCAAAAACATACCAAATTGTAAAGACCATCGACACTATGAAGAAACTGCATGAACTAACGGGCAAAATTACCAGCTAGCATCATAATGACAGAATCAAATTCACACATAACAATATTAACCTTAAATGTAAATGGGTTAAATGCCGCAATTGAAAGACACAGACTGGCAAATTGGATAGTCAAGACCCATCAGTGTGCTGTATTCGGGAGACTCATTTCATGTGCACAGACACACATAGGCTCAAAACAAAGGGATGGAGGAATATTTACCAAGCAAATGGAAAGCAAAAAAAAAAAAAAAGCATGGGTTGCAATCCTAGTCTCTGATTAAACAGACTTTAAACCAGCAAAGATCAAAAAAGACAAAGAAGGGCATTACATAATGGTAAAGGGATCAGTGCAACAAGAAGAGCTAACTATCCTACATGTAAATGCACCCAATAAAGGTGCACCCAGATTGATAAAGCAAGTTCATAAGACCTACAAACAGATTTCGACTCTCACACAATAATAGTGGGAGACTTTAACACTCCACTGTCAATATTAGACAGATCAACAAGATAGAAAATTAACAAGGATATTCAGGACTTGAACTCAGCTCTGGACCAAGTGGACCTAATAGACATCTACAGAACTCTCCACCCCAAATCAATAGCATATTCATTCTTCTCAGCATCACATCACACTTATTCTAAAATTTACCATATAATTGGAAGTAAAACACTCCTTAGCAAATGCAAAAAAAAAGAAAGAAAAGGAAATCATAACAAACAGTCTTAGACCACAGTGCAATCAAATTAGAACTCGTGATTAAGAAACTCACTCAAAACCGCACAACTACATGGAAACTGAACAACCTGCTCCTGAATGACTACTGGGTAAATAACAAAATTAAGGCAGAAATAAATAAGTTCTTTGAAACCAATGAGAACAAAGATACAACGTACCAGAATCTCTAGGACATAGCTGAAGCAGTGTTTAGAGGGAAATTTATAGCACTAAATGGCCACAGGACAAAGCGGGAAAGACCTAAAGTCAACACTCTAACATCAAAATTAAAACAACTAGAGAAGCAAGAGCAAACAAATTCAAAAGCTAGCAGAGACAAGAAATAACTAAGATGAGAACAGAACTGAAGGAGATAGAGACACGAAAAGCCCTTCAAAAAATTAATGAATCCAGGAGCTGGTTTTTTGAAAAGACTAAAATAGACCACTAGCTAGACTAATAAAGAATAAAAGAGAGAAGAATCAAATAGACACAATAAAAAATGATATAGGGGATATCACCACTGATCCCACAGAAATACAAACTGCCATCAGAGAATACTTTAAACACATCTATGCAAATAAACTAGAAAATCTAGAAGATAAATTCCTGGATGCATACACCCTCCCAAGACTAAACCAGGAAAAAGTCAAATCCCTGAATAAAACAATGACAAGTTCTGAAATTGAGGCAATAATTAATAGCCTACCAAACAAAAAAGCCCAGGACCAGACACATTCACAGATGGATTCTACCCGAGTTACAAAGAGAAGCTGGTACCATTCCTTCTGAAACTATTCCAAACAATAGAAAAAGAGGTGATTCTTCCTAACTCATTTTATGAGGCCAGCATCATCCTGATACCAAACTTGGCAGAGACAAGAAAACAACAAAAATTTCAGGCCAATATACCTGATGAACATCAATGCAAAAATCCTCAATAAAATACTGGGAAACCGAATGCAGCAGCACATCAAGAAGCTTATCCACCACGATCAAGTCGCCTTCATCCCTGGGACGCAAGCCTGGTTCAGCATACCTAAAACAATAAACGTAATCCATCACATAAACAGAACCAATGACAAAAACCACATGATTATCTCAATAGATGCAGAAAAGGCCTTTGACAAAATTCAACAATTCTTTATGCTAAAAACTCTCAATAAACTAGGTATCGATGGAGTGTATCTCAAAATAATAAGAGCTATTTATGACAAAGCCACAGCCAATATCATACTGAATGGGCAAAAACTGGAAGCATTCCCTTTGAAAACTGGCACAAAACAAGGATGCCCTCTCTCACCACTCCTATTCAACATAGTATTGGAAGTTCTGTCCAGGGCAATCAGGCAAGAGAAAGAAATAAAGGTTATTCAAATGGGAAGAGAGGAAGTCAAATTGTCTCTGCTTGCAGATGACATGATTGTGTATTTAGAAAACCCCATCGTCTGAGCCCAAAATCTCCTCAAGCTGATAAGCAAATTCAGCAAAGTCTCAGGATACAAAATCAATGTGCAAAAATCACAAACATTTCTATACACCAATAAAAGACAGAGAGCCAAATCATGAGTGAACTCCCATTCACAATTACTACAAAGGGAATAAAATGCCTAGCAATACAAATTACAAGGGATGTGAAGGACCTCTTCAGAGAGAACTACAAACCACTGCTCAAGGTAATAAGAGAGGATAAAAACAAATGGAGAAACATTCCATGCTCATGGACAGGAAGAATCAATATCGTGAAAATGGCCATATTGCCCAAAGTAATTTATAGATTCAATGCTGTCCCCATCAAGCTACCATTGACTTTCTTTACAGAGTAGAAAAAAACTACTTTAAATTTCATATGGAACCAAAAAAGACCCCATATAGTGAAGACAATCTTAAGCAATAAGAATAAAGCTGAAGGCACCACACGACCTGATGTTAAACTATACTACAAGGCTCCAGTAACCAAAACAGCATGGTACTGGTACCAAAACAGATATATAGACCAATGGAACAGAACAGAGCACTCAGAAGTAATGCCACACATCTACACCCATCTGATCTTTGACAAACCTGACAAAAACAAGCAACTGGGAAAGGATTCCCTATTTAATAAATGGTGTTGGGAAAACTGGCTAGCTATACACAGAAAACTGAAACTGGACCCTTTCCTTACACTTTATACAAAAATTAACCCAAGATGGATTAAAGACTTAAAAGTAAGACCTAAAACCATAAAAACCCAGAAGAAAACCTAGACAATACCATTCAGGACACAGGCATGAGCAAAGACTTCATGACTAAAACACCAAAAGCAATGGTAACAAAAGCCAAAATTGACAAATGGGATCTAATTAAACTAAAGAGCTTCTGCACAGCAAAAGAAATTATCATCAGAGTGAACAGGCAACCTACAGAATAGGAGAAAATTTTTGCAATCTATCCATCTGACAAAGGGCTAATATCCAGAATCTACAAGGAAATTAAAGAAATTTACGAGAAAAAAAAAATGAACAACCCCATCAAAATATGGGTGAAAGATATGAACAGACACTTCTCGAAAGAAGACATTTATGTGGCCAGAAAAACATGAAAAAAAGCTCATTATCACTGGTCATTACAGAAATGCAAATCAAAACCACGATGAGATACCATCTCATGCCAGTTAAAATGGTGATTACTAAAAAGTCAGGAAACAACAGATTCTGGAGATGTGGAGATATATATAGGAACAATTTTACACTGTTGGTGGGAGTGGAAATTAATTCAATCACTGTGGAAGACCGTGTGGCAATTCCTCAAGGATCTAGAACCAGAAGTACCATTTGACCCAGCCATTCCATTACTGGGTATATACCCAAAGGATTATAAATTATTCTACTATAAAGACACATGCACATGTATGTTTATTGTAGCACTGTTCACAATAGCAAAGGCTTGAAACCAACCCAAATGCCCATCAGTAATAGACTGGATAAAGAAAATGTGGCACATATACACCATGGAATACTATGCAGCCATAAAAAAGGATGAATTCATGTCCTTTGCAGGGACATGGATGAAGGTGGAAACCATCATTCTCAGCAAACTAACACAGGAACAGAAAACCAAACATTGCATGTTCTCACTCATAAGTGGGTGTTGAACTATGAGAACACATGGACACAGGGTTGGGAACATCACACACTGGGGCCTGTCAGTGGGTGGTGGGCTAGGGGACCGATAGCATTAGGAGAAATACCTAATGTAGATGGTGGGTTAATGGGTGCAGCAAACCACCATGGCACATGTATCCCTATGTAACAAACCTGCACATTTTGCAAATGTGTCCCAGAACTTGAAGTATAATAATAATAATAATAATAATAATAATAATAATAATAATAATGATGTCATGAGTGCACTCTTGGTTTTGTTTGTGTGTTTGAGACAGAGTCTCTCTCTGTCACCCAGGTTGGAGTGCAGTGGCACGATCTCAGCTCACTGCAACCTCTGCCTCCCAGGTTCAAGTGATTCTTCTGCCTCACCCTCCCAAGTAGCTGGGACTACAGGTGTGCACCACCAAGCCCAGCTAATTTTTGTATTTTTAGTAGAGATGGGGTTTTACCATATTGGCCAGGCTGGTCTCGAGTTCCTGACCTCGTGATCCTCCCACCTCGGCCTCCCAAAGGGCTGGGATTACAGGCGTGAACCACCACGCCCGGCCATGAGTGCACGTTTGTACCTATTCAGAATAAAGTGTCTTTCAGACATCTAAATACAGATGTTGCCAGTTAAATACAAAGATTGGAAGTAAGAGAAGTTGTCTAGGCTAACAATATAGAGGATTAACATTTATGGTTATCAGTCATTTGCATCAATCAATCCTTTAGTGATATCTCTGCTGTGTGGAATTTCCTATACCAGTTGTTCTCAAGCAGGTGCAATTTTTTCCACGAGGAGATACCTGGCAATAGCTAAAGACATTTTTGGTGTCTCAACTCAGGGAAGGGGTTCCTATTGGCATCTAGCAGACAGAGGCCAGGTATGCTGCTAAACATTTTAAAGTACACAGAACAATCCCTTACAATGAAGGTTTATCCAGTCCAAATTGTCAATAGTTCTGAGGTTGAGAAACTTGCTCTATGGTAAACTCAATTTTGACCTTAATATTTCCCTGATCCACAGTGTTCCTGAATGTTCCATTTTTGTATCCCATAACTTCCCACTATTCTGATGTTGCCACTGTCTTTAACTTGCCATGACATCATTTTACAATGGCTTTTCATATCATAACCTGCCCTCAGCACCAAGACTTCTCTGGTGGAGCTGCATGGACACAGATATTATTGTTGACTTGACAAAAGTTATGTTTAAAGTTATCTAGCACTAGGAGCCTGACTTCTTTTATAATTCACAATTGAAGAGGCTCCCAAACACCGAGTTAAAGAAAAACTTGTCCTTATAAATAAATTCAATCACTACCCATAAGACACTGAATTTAAGAGGTATCTTGAATGTGCTGAAGGTAACCTTTAGGATGTGTATAAATAATTGCTGTGTTAGACACAATGTTTTATCCCAAGCGGTAACCTAGGCTAAAAGTATAGAGAAAATTGCTTAAAATGGAAATCTGAAGATATTTGAGATACATCCTAAGTTTTTGAGGATGATGTCAATAACAGCCACATACCCTATAAACCATTACTTGGTTTTCCTCTGATAGTCACTTTCTTACACTTTTCTGATTATCCACTTGAAAAACATTAACTTGCCTTACCTATAAAAGCCATACAGTTGCTTCCGATGAGGCTTTATTAGCCATATTTATTTTAGAGATTCACTGTCATGATAAACCAATTGAGTAGGAGCTCTTTTTATTTTAGCAAGAATCTAGTACAGGAAATGTACTATTCTTAAGGACCTATTAAAAAGCTCAACATGTCTGAATTCATAGGCTCTGATCCAATGATGTGGAGACCAGCAGACCATTAAAATTAATTGAAAGTGCTGAACCATTTCAAGATTGATTTATTTTATATTACAAAAAAATTAAATAAAACGGGAGGTGCTAGGTTAGCCTCTGCCCTAAAGAATTAGTCTAAAATTACAATTGAAACATCTCAAATGGTATTATTGTGAAACTCATTAAGATATACATTAGGTTTCCAAATCATACTTATGCTCTTTGTAATTTAATAATGAGCTACCCTCATTTAGAAATAACTTGGCTCTCAATGGTGAGCAAGTAGTCAGGATTCCGACCAATTTGAGCACCTAGTGAGAACCTAGAATATCTTACCAGTGCAAAGCCACCTATTTAGGTGAGCTTTTTCTTTCTTTGGGGTACAAAAAAATTCTGTAAAGGAACATTTTCCCGCTAAACCAAGACTATGTTATTTTGTTGAATTCTGCATTCTTCTTTATTGTTCCTGGCATACAGGACATAACATTTGGAGGCATTTCCCCTGAAGTGTCTAAAGTGACTTCAATAGCAGCCATTCCTGTGTCTTCTGAACTGGTGGTAAAGGCAGGGAAAAGCAGGAAATCCTCTCTATAAATAAAAACATCTGCAACAAAGAGGTAACAATGACAAGCTTAAATCCTTGCACTTGCCAAGCTTCCCTCAAAGTATCCGTCAGGTCTCATCTTGCACCTCTCTCCCCTTCCCACGCTGAACCACAGCACACACAAGCCTTCTTCAGTTTCCCAACACACAGTGTTGTGCCTCATCTGTTCACCTGCAGTTCTCATCCCCTGAATGTGCTGCCCCCTCTCTCCAGGCAGCCAGCTTCCCATACACCCATCCCATGTCTTTCTCAGGAACCTGCCCAGCCAGCCACCTGGCACGGGGCTGATTCCCAATGTTATACCCTCCCTTGACATTCTGGGTTTCCTATAAATACCCATTCCTATAAATGTGTCGTAATTAATTAATTATTAACTGTATAAATATGTTTTAGTATCCTTCTCCTACTAGAATTTAAACCTCAAGCAGACAAGGATTGCCTGTTTTCATATTATCATCTCATCCCTAGAAACTAGCACAATGCCGAGAACATAGTACTCAATATATGTTGAATGAATACATAAAAATAAACTTTCTATTAACCTGGACCACATTCTTATTTTACTCATTTGTTTCTTTTCTGAGTATATATAATTGAGCACAATTTGCATTAACGTGTTCCCATTTGACAGGCAAAAGAGTCCCCCTCCCCACCCCGCTATATCCCAAGGGACATAATTAGCTAATGTGTATATAGATTCTAAGTTGACAGGGAGTTAACAAATCTACGGCTTTCATGGGTAAGGACAGTGTTTAATTCACAGAAATTAAAGATGAGGAATGTCAGTTAGTTAATCTCAGGCTGGAGAGAAAGAAGAATTGCCAGTTGCTGAGATCCTAGTCATTCTTTTGTGGCATATTTAAATGTTCCGACCATTTATTTATAATGAGGCACAGTGGGGAGCTAAAATGAACTTCCCCGTATAAGCTTTGCCAGCATTTCTGTGAAAGATTGGCACCATCTATCCCAGAGTCTTAGCTATTGCCTGTCACATGGTTACTCTACATGGGGCAGCATGCTCAAATTCCTGCAGGGGCCTGTTAATGCTTGAATGAAGCTGATTGTAGAAGGGGCTCTGTGGAAAACTGGAGCAGACTCCAATTAGCTGCAATCAATTCCTGCCATGTACAACATGGGGATCCAGTGTGGTTGTAAAATATTCCCATTTTTAAATGAGTCGTTTTTAAAATCACTGTGTATACTGTATACATTACACACACACACATATATATATTATACATATATATAAGGTATATCTGGAATGGATACATTCAAGGACCAAGGTTGCCAGATCTGCCTCATAATCCCTATCTTTGTTCTTCAGGGAACAGGTAGCTGTCTATGGCAAGAAATGCAGCCTGGAGCAGACCCACGCACTGTGTAGGGCAGAGAAACTAGTCACAGCCAGGTATCCTCTTGGCTCAAAGTTCAAAGAATACTACTTTACTTCCCCAATGCCAACACCAGATCAATCCTCCTCTCTCTGAAACCTGGTTGGTGATAAACACAGTCTTAATTTACCATATAGATAGAAAGCACCAGTTCCAACTTGTATTTGACCATAGAAAGTTGCCCTGCTAGAAAAAATTTTAACATCATTCAATTTATGTTCCTTCTAATACAGCCTGTTTCTCTACCAGTGAAAGAAAATTGCCGTGCTGCTTTTCATTTCTTTAATTCATTCATTTGTTGAGAAATTTTAAAAATATAACAAAAAATAGACTAAAACATGTACCTCCCATCAAAAGATAAAACTATTAAAATGTTGTCATATTTGCTTCAAGTTTTTCTTTAAATAAATGAAATAAAACATTACAAATTAAGATAAAATTTCTTTGTCCCAATTCCTAGTCTCTTCATCTCTCCTTTCTTCAAGACCATTTATTTGAACTATATCTATCCAGTCCCTTTTGCATTTTTACATGCATATAAATACATCAAACAGCAGCTGTATTATATTATTTTAGGTATTTTATTTGCATAAATGTCATACTACATGTAGCTTCTGCAATGTGTTTTATTGGTTATCACTGTGTATCTATCTATAGATACAGAGACACACACACACACACACACGAGAGAGAGAGAGAGAAAGAGAGACAGAGAGACAGAGAGAGAGAAAATGAGAGAGGCACAGAGAGACAGAGAAGAGTTCATGTTTTCACTTCTGTATAGTATTTCATTATATGAATATACTTTCTTTTTCTTTTCCCAAATGATGGCGTGTATGCCAGAACATGATGCAACATTGCCCCCAAAATTATCACTCAGATAAAGAAGTACCCATACACTAGACTTCACAAAGACTTTCATATTACAGTGCAATCTTGCATTTACTTTATTTCAAACCACACGACATTGCTGGGGAAGATACATTACCAGAAATAACTTGAAGCAATGTTATCTTTGGAAGAAAAAGGAGGAGGAGGAGGAGGAGGAAGAGAAGGAAGAAGAGGAGGAGGATGAGAGGGGGAGGAGGAGTAGGAGAAGAAGAAGGAGGAGGAAGAGAAAAAGAAGAAGGAGAAGAAAAACAAGAGGAGAGAAAAGAAAGAAGGAAGGAAGGAAATTAATATAGACTAGGTAATCACTTATAAGTAATTGCAAGTGTTGTGTGCCATTATGTATAAACCCTTTAAAGATCACCTTAAAACAATACAGTAATTGGTCAGGTTGTGGAGAGCAAATATATAGCAAGACAAATGAATAAGTCAGCCATCTTAATATTAAGACATGGATCCTTGTAGTTGGGGTAAAATTTCTAGACAAAGTGTTATAGACTGATTTGTAAACTACTGAGTATCACGTGCCCTGGGATACGATTTATATGACTCAGAAAGTGGTTCTTTTTAGATGAGAAACATGATGTCAAAGGCACATGGGAGAAACGTAAGTCAAATCATCATCTAACAGATGCAATCGGAGGAAAAAACACTTCTAAGTTATTATTTTGTACAACATGTAATTTTAAATAGGTATCGCTAACATTTTAAATAAACAGTTGACTTTTCACATCCCTAACAAAGTTCATATATTCAATTTGGCCCCAAACCATTTTTTGATCTTCTCATTTTAAAAAGGAAGGGGAGAGTATTAGCTCAGGCCACTGTAACAAATACCACACACTGGAAGACTTAAACAACAAAAATTTATTTCTCACAATCCTTCTGAAGTTTGGGAAGATCAAAGTGTAGGCATGGCAGGTTTTATTCTGAGGTCTCTTCTTAGCTGGTAGGTGGCCACCATCTCTCTGTGGCCCCTACTTTCTGTGCAGGGGTTGGGTTGGGGAGGGGAAGGAAAGCAAGCTCTATCAGGGTCCGCTGCTATGGTCTCCTTTAACCTTAAGTATTTCCATAAAGGCCCTCTCTCCAAACACTCCCAGTATTAGCAACACTGGGAAGTTAGGGCTTCCTCATACCAATTTTGGGAGAACACAAATATTCAACTCATAGGAGGTGTCACTGTATATTTTTAGTTATCTTATATTTAGGCATATGATAAATTACTTTAAACTTTTCTTTATTATAAATAATGTAGCAACAAACATCCTTGTACTAGTTTGCACATGCAGATGACCACTTTTGTTTGAAAAACAAAAGTTTTTCTGGTGTATATGCCTAGAAGGAGAATTTCACATTTCTTTCTTATTCTGCTAACGTCTTTAGAAATCTGTGCTGCTTCTCAAAGGATTTTTTTGTTTTTCAGGGGTCAAGGAGCCACTGCAAAATAGGCTGAAATCCCAGGTCAGCTCCTCTCAGAAGTCTCTCTAATAGCAGAGCCCTTTGAAGCACACCACTCTGTGCCAGCCGAGATGATCCTCCCTGGCTGGCTCCCTCACCCACCATTTGTGTATTAGGGACTGGGCAGAGTCGCAGTCTCAAAGTGGCATTCACAGGAATGGGTCATGGGTTGGCCCCAAGAGATTCTGCCACTTGCTTTCAGCCCATCTCTGCAGAGCAGCCATCCCTTCTCATTAGTATGGAGTGCAGATCCCAGAACAAGAATCCGTGCGTGGCCTCTGGGCACTCCAGCCAGAGCGCTAGGATTTGGCCATTTCCCGGGTACAGAGAGGCCTCAAGAGGATGGCCCTAGATGAAGGTAAACTCTCCCCTAATTAAGCTAAAGAGTGAAACTAACTCGAGATTTGAGAAACAGTAGAAACCATTAGTAACTCAGAGAAGCCTTGGATCCAGAAGCAGAGCAAAGAGGGAAAACGTGGTTTTGTTCTCCATGTGGTAATTCTGTAAGTTTGTCCCTTGCTAACGTGGAAGCTCAAAAGCTGATGTGTTTGATAAGCTGATGTGTTTGATGTCCCAGTGACTTCATTCAATGCAATGGAAAGTGCATAAACCCACAAAACTAGGTCCCCTCAGAAAAAGCTCCAATCCAAGTTACCTGGAATAACTCGGAACCAACCAACCATTCTGGGTTACAGTCATAGGATTTGAGCAGCAATTCTCCTTCTGGACGGCTGTGGAACAAGGTGGCTGTGAGCCTCAGTTTCCTCCTCTACAAAACAGAAATAATACCTATCTCACGGGTTTACTGTGAGACTAAGTGTCATAGTGCACATCGGACCCCTACCACGGCCTCTGTTACATAGGAAGAGTTTGACGCAAGTTAGCTAATTATATTTTCCTCTCTTCACTTTAAAAGTAACCAGAACCAATCCTAATGCTAATATCAATACTAATATTAATACAAACACTAATGAGATTAGTCACTGAACATTTATTCTATGCCATTGGGCTGTGTTATCTCATTCAACCTTCACAGTCAGGTTGTATTATTTCAATATGTTCACATTACAAATGAGGAAACCAAGACTCAGAAGGTTAAGTGATTTGCCCAACATCAGACAGTGAGTGACAGGCAGAAATAGAACTCAGACTAAATTAGGCCAATCTCACAGCTCCTTTCTTCACCATGATGGATCCCCTTTGCAAAGTTTCTCCTTGCAATTTGCAGGTAAATTGGGGTGAAAGAAATCTCTAGGAGAATCTGATATATGTATACACACACACCCTTGTTCTCCAAGAATGGGACAAAATTTAAAGTCCTTAATGATATCGCCTTTTTAAATTTCTAAATAATATGGAGTTGAGGGTTTTTCTCACCTGAAGTCTTTGGTGGTTGATTCACCTCATCTCTTCACTTCGCCTCTACAGATGCAACAGGGAAAGCCCACTACAAACTTTCTTGTTCTTGGACTTGATTGCACAGTCTCCAAATATGATCAGCAGTTACCATGAGACAGTTTTTGGGTTCTTTTTCTTTTTGGCTTTCTCTCTGTCTTTTAAACCCAGTGCTTCTCTCCTCAGGCAAAAATTAAGTTTTTGTTCAGACTCAGAGGATTCGGTTTACTCTCAATGATCGAAGAACAAGCATGTGAATGTTTTTCAAAAAAACACACATCAACAACTGCGAGAAACCAATAACCATTTATACTGGGGTTTGGAATAAATCTGGGGCTTGCATTTAAAGGTGGATATATCTGACATTCTAAAAACTGACTTGAGGCCAAACAATGAAGGCCAAACTCCGAAAAAAAGCAGACTCTGCAGCAACTGGAAACCTGATCCATTTTCTTTTCTTTCTGGGTCTACTTCTTTCATTCATGTACTTCTAAGCACCCACACTGTGCAAGGGGCTGGGAGTCAAAGCACTAAAGCACAGGCCTTACGAGTAAGTTGCTCACAAGATGGTGCAGCTAGTGCTATGCCGCAGGGAAGCCCAGAGCACCATCATAGCTATAAAAGCCAGTCATTAACTGAGCTCTGCTCTGTGCCAGCCATGATGCTTTTACATGTGTTCTTTTCTTCAATCTTTACAACATGACAAAGTCCTTATTATTACAAACGTAGAAACCAAAACTCAGGTGATGGGACTCATCCAAGGTCACACGTGTGCTAAGTAGCAGAGATGGGATTTAAGTCTAGAGCAACCTGATTTCAGAACCCAACCTCTTAACTACTCTGTAACACTGTCAAGAGAGCATAATGAAGGGACACAAAACCTGTAGTGAAGGGCAATTAGGGAGGTCTTTCCAGAGGAGGTGTCATCGGGGTCTGGAATGTATACACAATGGCCCAGGGGAAAAAGATGGCAAGCTGCTTCCTATATTTGTACATGGAGAGGCTGGAGAGCAAGCTGGGCCAGGCCATGAAGAGCCCAGTATGGCAGGCTAAGATGGGACTTGGTCTGGAAAGTCATGGGAAGCCACTGAGGAATTTCAAGCAGGAAAATTAGATGTCTAGATTTTATTTTTATAATGATCACTCTGGCTTCTCCGTGGGAAGTGTTCTAGAGGATGGAAAAACTAGATCATGGGAGACATGTCAGGCTAATAACAATACCAATGATAAAAACAGCAAGTAGTATTCAGCATTGCAATGACTCCAGAAGGCGTGATCAGAGCCTGAGAGGCTATGTAGAGTGTAATGAGTACATAGCAGTAAAGGCAGGAGCAGGAAAGATGACTTCTGTTTTTTGAAAAATAAGATTTTCTCTTTGGGAGAAGTCTTTACCCATTTATTTGCAGTGCAATTTTTATATAGTAATAGTTCATCAAAAGCCAACTGAGGTATCTTGTTCATTAGTCACTCTTTATACATTAAGTTAACCATTTAATACTGAACAATGTCAAGGATGAAAAAGAATACTCACCAGATGGTGCAGCCAGGGCTACGATAATGAGAGAATTAGATTAGATTTATATGACAAACAATGATGGAATAACATATAAGTTGTTTGCCTTAAAAATAATCTAGATAGGTATTGGTGGGGGAAGGAAATGGCTGTGTCTATAAAAGGGTGGCACCAGCAATCCTTCTGATGAAACTGTTCTATTATCTTCATTATGATGGTGGTTATATAAACCCACACATGATAAAATCATATAAAACTAAATTCACACATATATACATACACATAAATATGCAAATATACACATCAATACATATAAAACTTATGAAATTTGGATAAGGTTGGTGGATTATACCAACATCAATTTCCTGATTGTGATATTATACTAAATTTATGCAAGAGGTTACCAGTCAGGGAACCTGGGTTAAGCATACATAGGATCTCTGTGTATCATTTCTTATAATTGCATATAAATCTACAGTTATCTCAAAATAAAAAGGTTTTAAAAAACAAAATAATCTTACTTATTGCACATGCAGAATTTTTCAAGCAATTTCTTGAAGTTTTTAAAGCCTCTGAAATTCTGAATTTCTATACATTGTCATTATACAAATCCAGAGAGAGACAGCCAGAAAGTTTGTGCTTTGCCCTCAAGGGTAATATTGTATTAAGAGCTTTTACTGTAGAGCAAAACAGTGCAAATCCTGACTCCACTACTTCCAAAACTCTACCACTCACCTTCAGCAAGTTGTTTAACTTCGCTATGCCTCTGATTCCTAGTGAGTAAAATGCAATTTATAATTTTACATACCTCATGGGATTTCATAATAATTAAATGAGTTAATATGGTAACACTTAGAAGAGTGACTAGAACAAAATAAGCACCCCGAAAGTGTTAACTTTATTATCTATAAGGCTGCCACGTATCATTTCCTTCCAATCTCTCCAGCTTCTTCTTGCCCTGTTGTCCCATTACCATCATCTGCTTTAACCATAATTACTCTCATTTCAGAACCTTTGCATATTATGTCCCATCTCCCAGCGACCACCTATCACCTACTCACCCTCATTCAACACGCTAACCCTTCAGCTCCTCCACCCTAATCTCAATGCAAGCATCACTTTCTCAGGAAAGACTTCTTAGACCTCATTGTTAAGGTCAAATGTTCTATTTTTAAGCTCATAGATAGCTCAACACCTCATAGCATTTACCTGAGTTGTAGTTTCAGTATACATCTGGAGAGCTATGTGATTGTCATATGCTGCTCCACTAGATTTTAACCTCTTTGAGATGAAAACTGGATTTGATTTTGCTCTTCGTAGTATCCTCAGTACTTATCACAGTCCTAGGCTCACTATAGATACTCAGTAACTATTTGTTGAATGACTAAATGCTTAAACGAATAAATAAATCTATAATGACGGAAGCTGGCAGACAGGCCCAACTTTATAAAGGAGCTGTTCACCCAACAGAGAGCAGGTTTCTTTTCCTATCATCAGCTCACGAGAGAGAGAGAGCACATACATGCAAAGGGATTTTATATTCCACTGAGAATTTCCATACCTCTCATCTCAAGTTTTTATCACAGTGAAAGGGATTCTAATTCACTTACTTTTTGTAAGGCATACTGGTATACTTGACAAATAAAAGAGCCATAGACAATCAAAATGCCATTCTGCTTTGGGCCGTTTCACTTCATTCTAAACTACACACACACACACACACACACACACACACACACACAGAGAGAGAGAGAGAGAGAGAGAGAGTAAGTCACTCTCACTCACACACAAGAGAGACCAAAAGGGAAAATTAAATTTCCCCAGGTCTTTTCAAAAATCAGATGCATACCTCATCAATGTTTATTCAACTTCCCACTGTGCTGATTCTCAAGGAAGCAAATGATGTTTAATGGGAAAAAAGAGTAACTTAGAAGAATAAAAAATAAAGCTTACTATCAGGCTCTCCTCCATTCCCCAACTATATCCCTAATCTTTCTAGACATTTTACCCAACATCTCCCTCCGTTTTCCCTGCTAGGGCATATTAGCAGTAAGGTCCCACAGTTGGATTAATTGGATCAATGCTGAAGTTTTCATTTGCTACTTGAGTTTAACAAATTAATTTGGCATATAATGAAATATTGTGAAACAGTTTCAGAATGGATATTGCAAATACTGCCTTGTTCAATTACTGTCAAAATGCACATACAAGAAAAATATGAAAATCTGAACATATAATTGCAGACTTAATTACCGCTCTGTGCTAACCAAAGGCAATCATACTGAATTTGTCAAAGCATTTAAACTAGTTCTAAAGTCTTTCTCTAATTCCAAAGAAATGAGAACACATGAGCAAACACTAAACAGACAACTAACTCAGTCTTTCTCATTTTTCTTGGGTTGTTAAGACGGCATGAGAACAATCAGACCAGGATTTTTCAATGGGCCACAATTATGAATCTGTTATTACAACTTCATGGTTTATAAAGTACTTTAATGTACATTATCCCATTTGAATTATCTTGAGAATCGTGATTGTGTGTGAAATTTAACAATACTGTCACTTGTCCTCAGAGAATGACAATTCATTTATTTAAGGAATATTGACTGAGTGCCTACTATGTCTCACACTGTTCCAAGCACTAGGAAACAGCTGTGAACAAGACAATGTTCCTATTCTAATAAGGCTGACATTGTAGTGACAGATACAAACAGTAAACACACACAAACAACAAAAAAAAGCAAAATAATGTTAAGATACAAAATATGTGTCTGCTTTAGATTGGGTGTTCACTAAACGACTCTCTGACGAGATATTTGAGCATAAGCCCTGAAGTCTATGTTAGTATATCTGAGAAATGTCTGATCCCTACCTACTTAGTGCTGTCTTGATTAAACTATTAGCACGTTTTATGTAATAATCAAAATGCCTGAGATGACCATTTATTTCAATCTTCTTCCTGCTCATATTGTGACCAGAGCAAGTGCTTTATACAATGATCTGCTTTACTGAAAGCAGATCATTTGCACTAGAATATTGCTTTATGTCTCAGATAACTTCACATCTATTTTTCCTCTGATTTTCAGAAGAGGGTACTATTATCCCTGTTTTTCAGGTGAGAAAGCCGGGGCTTGCCGCAGATCATACAGCAAGTGAGTAACTCAAAATTCAAGACTACTGACTCCTAGTCCAATGCCCTCTCCAGAATACATTTACAGTAGATAGAGAACGCCATTCAATTTACTCAACAAGTATTAACATAAAATTGTTTCATTCATTGCCAGTTGATAGTGATTGCTCACGGTGAGAAAAATACAACTTTTGACCTTATGATGCTCCCAGTCACATTGGGATCACATTTAAATAATTCATTACAAACTCATGAGAAAAGTATAACACCTTGGAGAATCAGAGGAGGAGTTCCACAGGGGCATTGTTTAACCTGGGCCTTGAAGAATGAGTAGGAGTTTACCAAATAGAAAATAAGTCAAGAGGAGTTAGTCCAAAGGAAATTGGTCAAGTAGAGAGAGACAGGAAGGACGATGATGAGTAAGGAGAGCAGCAACCAGACTCTTGTGGCTGAGATGGAGAAGAAAGAATAAGGAGGGAGAGACAGGCCAAGACTCTGGTAACGAACGCAGGAACCGGTTGGCAATGGTACCAAACAGTAGGCTAAGAAATCAGGACTTTTTCTTGTCTGAAGTAGAGGTCACTGAAGCATTGAGAGCTAGTGAACAACAACACAATCACTAACTTAGAAAAAGCCTTCTGGAGGTAAAAATTGAGTGGAAGCTAGTCGTGGGTGGGGGCAGGAGAGCAGCTGTAATAGTCATAATTGCCCAAGGAGAAGCACAGACATCCTGAACTAGAACCATGCCATGTAAGTAGGCCGCTAATACTCCATCTTGAGTGGAGAAAAAATGGGAAGAGGAGAGAGCAAATATGTAGAAAGTCTTAGCTTTTTCAAAGTCCTCTCCAGGTCCTGGTATAGTTCAAAAGTTCTTTCATTTTGGTTTTGTTTTTTAATTGGAAGTAAATTCTTTGAAAGAAAAGTGAAGCCTTGGGCTTTAATTCTGCTGTTGTTTGAAAGTCTATATATATATATATTCAACCCCTGAGAGGGCTCTTTGATCTATCTCACTATATGGATGCTAGTCATTTGTTGCATGCCTCCATGGCAATAATACAATACATGCAGCCCGTGTGCATTGTCTGATCTTGTGTATATTGAGGAAGTGGGGGAAGGACACCTCTTGATTCCCCCCTTGAGTTGTTATGCTGTGTCTCTGGCCTTGACTGTTCTGACACAGACTAAAAAATCTTGTCCATTTCATTACTTTCTCTCCCCTAAAAGAGACTGTTTTGACAAGTGAGAGGTAATTGTTGTTTACTTCTGGCTAGTGTCAAAAGCTGTGTTTTGCTGGACACATGTGGCTGAGGCACTTCCTCCAAAGGGTGAAAGTTAAGAACTCTAACCTTGATAATTGAAGAAAAGGCTGGAAAACTGTTTGGCAAGTGGCCATCGTCTCACCCTTCACTGAAAGTATGATTCACCTCACAGGACTCCTCGCTCAGCTTAGGCCAGGAGAACAGGAAAGACAAGGAATCTGGAAGGCCCATTGCTCGTTAAAATGTGCAGCCTCTGCAGACTGTGCATCGGCAAGGCCATTTCCCCAGGCTCTGCAAGGCCTCTCTGCTGGGTTTGAATGTACAGATTCCTTGCTCTCATGCAGAGAAGGATCATCAGGACCTAGATCCACAAACATTTTATCTAGGCATAGAATAAGTGTAAATACCTGCCCCAACCTGCTAACCAATATCTACTGTCCTGTTTCTACCATTAAATCATTTATACTATTAAGAAAAATAGCTAATCCACAAAGAACCTTGATTCAAATCCTAGCTCTGTCACTTGCTAGCCATGTAGACTTGAGAAAGTTATTTCGTGTCTTTAAGTTGGTTTGCTCCTAAGTAAAATGGTGATACTAATAGAAACTATCACACAGGAGTGTTGTAGAAATTAGATGACAAAATATATGCAAAGCAGTATAATGTCTGGCTTGTAGTAACAGCTCAATAAATGTCCGTTGGCATGATTATCATTATCATCGTCATCATCATTTTCCTTCTCTGTCTTGCCTTACGTCTCTAATGCGGTGGTTAAAAGCATGAGTTTTGAAGTGAGAAGGACAAGTATTCTAATCCCACCCAGACCATTCATTAGGTGTGTGATTAACTCTTCTTCATCACCAAATAGAGATATGAATAACAATACTTACTCATAGGGCTTGGAAAAGTATTAAATAAGATCATCGATGTAAGACTCTTTTTTCTTTTTTTCTCCCCAGTTTTATTGGGTACAATTGACACAAAAATTGTACATATTTAGAGTGTACAATGTGATCCTTTAGTAAACATATACGTTGTAGAATGACTATATCAAGCTCATTAACAAATCAATTACCTCACATCCTTATCATTTTCTGTGATGAGAACATTTACAATCTGCTCTTAGTGACTGTCAAGTATACAAAAACTTAACTATAGTGACCTTGTTGTACAATAGATCTGCAGAATGTATTCCTCCTGTCTAACTGAAACTTTCTACCATTTAACCAATCTCTTCCCATTCCCCATCCTGCCCCCAGCCCCTGGTAACCACTATTCTACTCTCTGCTTCTACAAGTTTGAATTTTTTTAGATTCCACATACAAGTGAGATCGTGTAGTATTTGTCTTTCTGTGCCTGGCTCATTTCACTAAGCATAATTTCCTCTGGGTTAATCCATATTGTTGCAAATGACAGGATTTTCTTCTGTTTATAGACTGAAGAGTATTCCATTGTGTATATATGACATTTTCTTTATCCATTCACCTGTCGATGCACACTTGGGTTGATTACATATCTTGGCTACTTTGAATAATGGTGCATTAAACATAGAATTGCAGATGTCTCTTCAACATACTGATTTCATTTCTTCTGAATAAACACCCAGAAATGGGATTTCTAGGTCATATGGTAATTCTATATTTAATTGTTTGAGAGACCTCCATGCTGGTTTTCATAACAGCTGTACTGTTAGAATGGCTCTTAGAATGGGTCTTGACCACATGGTTCACACTAAATATATGTTATTACTATTATCCTTATCACCACTATTTCCAACAACACCCCAACTTAAGTGCCAATACACCAGTGACATGTATAAAATGTGGGAATGGGACAATGTAAAAGGCATCACTCCTATTTTCCTCTGTTCCTAATGACTTGGGGAGATCTGGGGCTGATGGGGAGTTCTATTTCTCAGTCCCGATGCTAGCACCAAAACAGTATAGACAGAAGGAGACTTTATACCGTACATTTAGGTTCAATATCTTGAACTCAAATGAAAGAACCCCACATAATAATTGGGATAGCATGAAAGAAAATATCAAAGTTATTGTTGCTGTTTTCTCTAGTATTCTGAATACTAAAAATCAAGGTGGAATAACTCTCTTTGAGCAGACCAAAAATAGACACTTTACTGGGTATTACATGCTTTGCTCAATGTTTTGTGTGCATTATCTCATTTATTCCTCACCATAGCTCTAAGAGTAACACACAATTGTTAGTCCCATGTGTGACTGGAGCTTACAGGGATTAGTGACTTATCTAAGTTTTCCCAGTTGCAGGAAGCAGAGCCAGCATATATATTTCCCTCTTAAATACTGTATTCCCTCTTTTTGATATGTTTGTTCAAGTTACATATTATCAATAACATAGTGACAGATTCAGTCAGTCATGCCTCCTGAAATTCTGTAGTTAGGATTCCAAATATTTGTATATTGGACAGTATCTGAGCAGCCTATTGCTAGTCAAAGCAAGAATTCAGGTGACCAACTGATTGGATGTTTCTCTTTTCATTTACATGTCTTAGATGCACAAAAATCTTTCAGATTGCCTTGTAGAGGCTGTCAGCTGGTAAACTTATCAGCCACAGAAGTATCAGTGATAGAAGTTGAAATTGGTGGATTATATGACTGAGGAGATTCTATATTAGATAGGAATTTGGACTCCAATTTTTATTTCCCTTCTAATAGATAAAAGTCTTTATTGTAGTAAAAGGAAATGGCAAATTTCATGGTCATGAACAAAGTTATATAGTTAGAAAACAAGTGGTCCCTATTTAGGTCCTTTGACCCATCCACAATTACTCTCAGGTGATAAGACTTCACTAAACAAGCTTACACTCAAGACAGGAACAGGCAAGCATTTTTTATATTGTGTTCTACGGTGCACAAGTATCTTTTCTTCAACAGTGTTTCTTGAGTGTTATTGTGTTTCTTGAGAAACACAGGAAATGTGTATTTTATGATAATTTAAAAAACTAAGTAAAAAATATTTTAACAGTCTTAACTATTTCACTTTGCTGAGCCTTTTACCTTTTAATAGGTATTGCAAATGTCTAAAAAGGGGCTACAGCATGCACCATTTACACAAATTATTTGATCACAGAACTTTCCAACAGAGCATACTTTGAGAAAAAACTGGTGCAACTAAAAAGTGCATGGGCTGTGGAGTAAGGCAGACTGAACCTGGCTCCCTCCTCACCAGTAAACTACTAAGCCTGAGTCCCTTTTTCCTCATTCACAAAATGACAAGTAATTAACTCAGTCAACCTACCTAAATTAAACAACGTAATAAATGCAATTTATCTGGCTTATCATGGTAGTTGCCTATTAAATGTTGGTTTCTTTTTTTTCTGTGCTCACAGTGTTGGGAAAACCAAGCTGATACGTATCACAGAAATGGTTGAACATCTAACAACCTATAATTTCACATATAGAGAAAGTCTCTGCTGGGTGACAAAATACTTCCAGACTGTAACTAGAGCCAGCTCATTGTATGAGGTGGCTTTAAATGACTTTCTCCCTATAGCAAATGTCATTTCAACAGTATTTTGCTATTTCGCTGATCTAAGACTAACATTTGATATTCTTCTAAGATCTTATTTGTCTGACAGAGCCCTTGACATTAGATTTCTTTTCTAGGCAGAATTTAACAAGTTCATCTCTGCCATTCCACAGAATTATAGACCTTGCATAGGCTTAGGACTCCCAGGAGCCATATTTGTAATACAGACATATGTGCCTTTTCCCCCTATGTATCTCCTTTAGATGCAATTGATTAAATCATACTTAAACTTGTTAAAAATTACACTTTGCTCCTCATTTAAATGGCTCTCTATGCACTGTTTCATCTTTTTCATTTCCACCTTATAATTTCAGAGAATTTTTGGAGATTATGTCCTTAGACTCCCACAAAATAGATATTTTTATCACTATTATACTGTAGCCCAGCGAGTTTAAGTGATTTTCTTAGAATCACACAGCTAATTAAGAACACAGTGAGACTTGAGCCCACTTCTTCCTGGCCTAGTCCATTTCCCAGCAGTCAGAATTCAATTCAATTCAATATTTATTTACTATATTATATATTAGGCACATAACAGTAGGTTTTATTGCTCTCACCAAGATAAGGAGTATTTTTTATTATTATTATATTTCAAAAGGCAAGTTTCCTGAAGTCATTTGCAAAGTCCTATACTCACAATTGCTTACTTTCAAGGAAAATGAGTCCTCTAGGGCATGAGAAGAAGTGGGATGGAAGGAACAATGAGGCACGTGTATAATTTCATAGCTGCCTATGTTCTGCAGATCCCGTTTTGGCTCCAACTTTCAGAGAAAAGAAGATCTTGCTCTAAAGATGAGCCAATCATCCTCATCCATTCATCATGTCCATATCCAAGTGTTTTAAGTCATTTATTCTAGAACAATAGTTTATTTCTCTTTTTCACTTCTTCCTTTAGTTCTGACATGTCACATACTAGAATCAAAGAATGGGCAAAGTAATGTTCACATCCATATGTCTGTATGGTATTTAAAGGTTGATATTTAAATGATTTGACATTTCCATTACAACCAATTCCTCTGAAACCAATTTTAGGGGATAAAATGGCAGAGCAGCCCCTTGCCTTACATCTAATCAAGGTTAGTTAGAAGTGCAATGAAAAAAATACTACAAAGTTTGTGTTGGACTTGTTTCCACGGTGTACATCTCATTGACCAAAACAAAGCTCTTTAAAAATGAAGACAGTAAAAAAGACCTGTGGTTCTCTCCATTACTCTGTTAAGGGAGGCTGAGGGATGGCTTCACAAAAAGAAATGGGTTTGAAAATTGCTGATGCATGCTTTATCACTGCAATTTCCACAAGGTTATAAAAGTCATGGTTGGATAAAATCTTGAAAGTGCCAAAGCAATGATCTAAGAAATGAATGCAGATAAGCCTTCTCCATTTTAAATTACGAGCAGTAGAACTAGAATAGAAATGATATCACTGCTGAAGAATCTAAAATTAAGTATGTGATTTTGCTCATTTGTATACAACGGGAAGTAAATCATTTCACGGACTTTGTACAACGAGTTCAAAATGCAGCTGCCAAGAACTCTCAACCTTGCACTACTGGGTAAAAGTCTGTATTTCTCCATGATCTTGCAAAATGTTCTAAGGCACTCTTTTATTTATTTCCTATGTGGAGGGAAAGCTGGAGTTCGTGTTTTGCATCTTTAAAAGACAAGGGAAGAGAGGAAAAGATACAATGTCCCTCCCTCGGAGTCCATAGGGGCCAGGATACTTCCATGTAGTTCAAGGCAGTTAACTTAGTCCTGGCCCCTTAGAGGCTGTAATGAAATATTGGTTTTAAGGCCCATGTGAAAATAAGGACATAGTATTTTTTCAAGGCCTAATAAAGTGACTCAAAGAGTGAATAAAAGAAAATTTGTTATACTTTGTATGTCTTTTTCAGGTCCTTTTGGTGTATATTTCATAAGGGTGTAGGTGCATGGAGGGGTCCTGAGCACATTCACAGGAAGTCTAAATTAAACAGAAGAAAGTAGAAGTTACAAGAACTTTGTTGTGGAAGAGAGAATTTTAAAAATTTTAAGTTTTTAATTTTTAAAAAATTATTAAATAAGCAAGTATTATCTACATACTAGAAAACTGATAAAACAAAGAGAAGTTTAAAAATTTTAAATCAACTAGAATCCCGTCTTGTAAAAGAACGTTTTCTATGCATAGTTTTTACTTACCAAAAGGGCATACATATGATTTTGTAAACTGCATGTTTCACTCAATAATATATTTTGATCCTAGGGGAATAGAGAGGCATAAATGTGGAAACACAAAGGACCCCAAGTACCTTGTGGGAGAAGAAATGAAGAAAGGGAACCAAAAAATATGGGCTGTATAGACTAGTAGGTGATAAAATGGAAAAACAAAGAACATACTGATTTCCTTTCCTTTAGATATATGCCCAGTAATGGGATTGCTGGTTATATGGTAGTTCTATTTTTGATATTTTCGGGAACCTCCACGATGTCTTCCATAACTATACTAGTTTACAATCCCACTAAACAGTATGTAAGTTTCCCCTTTTATCCACATCCTCAGCAACACTTGTTTTCTTCTGTCTTTTTGATAGTAGCCATTCCAACAGGAACTAGGTAGTATCTTGTGGTTCTGACTTACATTTCCCTGATGATTAGTGATATTGAGCATCTTTTTCCATATTATTTGTCATTTGTGTTGTCTTGTTTTGAGGAAATTCTATTAAAATCTTTTGCCTGTTTTTTTAATTGGGCTATTTGTTTTTTGTTTTGTTTTGTTTTACTGTTGAGTTGTTTAAGTTCATTATATATTCATTCTAGAGATCAACCCCTAGTTAGATGTATAGTTTGCAAATATTTTCTCCCATTCTGCAAGTTGTCTCTTAATTCTGTTAATAGTTTTCTTTGCTGTGCAAAACCTTTTTAGTTTGATGTAATCCCATTTGCCTATTTTTTCTTAGTTGTCTATGTTTTTGAAGTCTTATTTTTAAAATCCTTCCCCAGCCCAATACCACAGAGCATTTCCCCTATGTTTTCTTCCAGGAATTTTATAGTTTCCAGTTTTACATGTAAGTTTTTAATACATTTTGATTTGATTTTTGTATATGGTGAGATGTAACCATCTAGTCTCAATTTTCTGCATGTGGATATCCAATTTTCCCAGCACCATTTATTAAAAAGACTGTCTTTTCCTCAATGTGTGTTCTTGGCATCTCTATCAAAAATCAGTTGCATATAAGTGAGTGAATTTATTTCTGGGCTCTCTGTTCTGTTTCATTGTCCACTATGTCCTTATGTCCTTTTTTATGCCAGTACCATACTGTTCTGGTTACTATAGCTTTGCAGTATATTCTAAAGTCAATTCGTGTAATGCCTCCAGATTTGTTCTTTTTGCCCAGGATTGCTTTGCATACTTGGGGTCCTTTGTGTTTCCACATAAATTTTATGATTTTAAAAAAATCTCTGTGAAGAATATTCTCTAAATTTTAATAGGGATTGCATTAAATACATAGATTGTTGAGTAGTATGAATTAAAATTGTAATTCCTAAGTCACACCAGCTGCATTTCAAGCACTCAATGGCCACATGTGGCAAGTGGCTATGGCAGATTATAGAAGGTTTCCATCATCACAGAAGGTTCTATTAGACAGCACTAGCTTTAAGCATTCTGCTACTAAAATATCTATAGTATCAGAAGGTGTCTAGCTGTGTGTTACCTGTCTGCCATCAGTCATGAGACTTTTTAACTCTGGAAATAGTTGGCATTTTATTTTTCCTGCTTTCATTCATCCTGGAGAAATGTGAAAGCCCCCTTTCCTGAATGGATAGATTGTACTGTGCTCAGTGGCATCCAAAGACAGAGGAGTGCTTCAAGCAACCAATCTTTCCTGCACAAAGTTTATTGATATGAGGACATAGTTATGAACTTCAGTGAATGAAGCAAATTTTTGAAGCCCTTGTTAAAGGAAAGATTTATAAAGGCCATTTTCTGCTCAAAAGCACATACTCAATCAGCAGAAAGCCTCACTGCATAACTCAGAATACCTGACAGCATCACCACAAATCATCTTGACCAATCAGGTAAGAGAGCCAAATAGCAACCTGACTTGTAAGAATCCAAATTGCTGAATGCTGGTCTTCCAAGGAGTAGAAAGGCAATGAGATAAGAAAACCTAAGACAGCCGAAACAAGGAGCCTTCATCAGAGAATAAAATACAACCAGGCTAACTGCCATGGTGAACAATCTGCAGTGTTTATATAACACGTGGGGTATGAGGAGTAAACACACCAAAAATGGAGAATTTATTACCAGCTATTAACTGGTTTCCATTTTGAGTTATATATGTAGCAGAGAATCACCAGCTTCAGTACCTGAACAACTGACTTTGGTCACTTTCCCCAAATGTGTGCAACACGCCATTTACGTCAGACACAACCAGGGATTTAAAAACAAAATCAAGCTTTTGGCCCCATCCAGACCTATTACATCAGAATCTGGGAGTGGAGCCCAAGAATCTGTATTCTATAAGCACTGCAGGTGATTCTTATGCACATTGAAATTTGAGAACTGTTGGACCAGGAGAATAATTTGTCTCCTCCTACACTATCTCACCCTGTTTTTTTCCTTCTCTACCTCTTTCTCCTCCTCCTCTTTTTGTATTATAAAAAATATACTCAAAAACACACATAAACTTTTATGTCTGGCACAAATACATTATAAAAATTAAAGCAATAAATATTTATTGAATCATAATTGTATTTCCAAAAGTATTTATAATACTGAATATCTAGTAAATAATAAATAAATATCTCATAATTGTAATATAGTTAATTATGATAAGCCCACTCTGTGGTGTTTTAAGTATTTATTAAATATTACGTTTCCAGAAAGTTCTTAATAATTTGGGAGAAACTATACTGTTAAGTGAAAAGAACATTTTATAGTATTTTTACAAGGTATGATTGGAACTATGAAAAATGTTAGTATTAAATGAAAAACAACTAGAAAGAAATAAGCCAAAATGTGCCTCTAAGTAATGAAATTATGATTGTCGCTTTTCTTATTTTTTTATTTTCAATTATACAACTAATATGTAAAAATATATATAATTAGGAAAAAAAGTAAGTGAAAATATACCTCTTTAAGAGTTTATAGTGCCTTCTCTTTGATTGCACTGTGCATTTGGACCATGCTGACTTGCATCTCAACCCTAACCCTTCTAACCTGTTTGTATGTATTCTATTTGCAATTGTTGGAATTAGACTCCTTGCTTTAAAATTCTGCAATTTGAGTTCTAGCCATAGTCTATTCAACTGAATTTACTTATATGTTCCTCCATCTATCCATAATAACAAAAAAAGAATTAGAAACATAATAAGGGGAAGATAAGAGGCTTCAGACTGATAAGCCTTATAAACAATATCTAGAGCCAACCATTTGATACAGAATTTCACTCCCAGTAATACTTACACTAGTATACAAAGATATCTGCTCACAGCAGTTTCTTGTGGTACTATCCATAAAGGAACAACTAAATAAATTATGGTGTGTCCATCCAATGTAACAGCATTTAATGGTTAGAAAGATGAGTCTTACCATGGGACAACAGAATGTGGCACCTAGGAAGTACGAGTAACCAAAACTCTAGATATAACTACCAAGATACAGGAAATATGGGAACAGACAAACAAGTTAAATGACTCAGAAGGAAATCACCAGCCAAGCCCCAAATATGAGGGATTATTTAAGACCCATTTTTTCTAAGAAGTCAATGGCAGAAAAAAAAAAAAAAAGGTGGGGGATCAGGAAAGGGAAGACAGGAGACTGTTTTGGGGAAAAAAGAAAGGGAATAACAATCAAATGCAATGTATGGATTATGCTTGAAACCAGAATAAATCAACTATAAAAAGGCATTTTTGAGACAACCAGAGAAATATGAATATATATCAGGTTTTCGAAAATATCAAGGAATTATATTACATGTGATAATGGCATGTGATGGGATAATGGCATAGAGGCTACGTTTTCAGTTTTTAAACTGGAAAGTATTTACAAGTAAAATAAAACAATACTTGGGACAGGCTTTAATATATTCCATTAAAGAAAGTGGAGGAGACAAATGAACCAAGTTGTCAAAAGTGTAGATAATTTCTGAAGCAGGGTGGTAGGTATATGAGGATTCTTTGTACTATTCTCTCCATTTCTGTTTGTTAAAATTTTTTATAATGAAAGTTTTTTATGCAAAATACAAAAGAATGATGTAGATTTCTACGTTTTGACAGAACAGCAAAAACAGGAATAGCTAATATAATAAGGTGATGTAATAGTGTATGTTGCTATAAGATTAACAACTAATATATATAGTTTAGTATGTGCAAAGCACAGTTGAAAATATATTTTGTGGACTAGCTCACTTAATCCTTATAGCAACATTATAATGTAGGAACTTTTACGTCCTCATTTTATTAATAGAAATAGGAACATGGAGGCGCTCATAGTTAAATCACCTAAGGTCATAGTAAACTAGTAAGTAGTAGAGCTGGGATTTAAACCCAGGCTACATGGAACCACAGTTCATACACTGAACCATTACACAATCCTTGCTTCTCACAGATGCAGAATGATTCCATGATGTTTTATTAAGGAAAATAATCAGGGTGTAGACTGTTGTATATAGTATGCTCTACTTTTGCTAAGTATATCCCACATATGCATTGTATAGTTTTATTTCTGTAAATATGCACAAGAAACTATAAAGGTAGTTTAATTGGGGGAGAGAACCTGGGGATGGAAGGCATTCAGTTTTTATGAATTCTTTTCTTTATTGCTTTGATTTTTTTCACCATAAGCATGAATGGCTTTTTTATGTCAAAAAGGATAATTTGGGTTTTGAGATAATGGGCCATTTCCATTTTCCTGTTTATAATTTCCTAACTAAAAACAAAGCCCCTGAAATGTTACTGCAATATTTATAAGTAAACAAAAATTTTAAATTATATGTAAATATATGTAAGTAGAACAGAAGAATGAGACTGATCTTTATGTTCTACATTAGAAGAAATTCATGATAAGTAAAAAAAGAATATATTTTGGGGTTTGGGGGAAATTAATATAGAAATACAAAATTTATATCTGCATTTTGTAAACAGTCTGGAAGGACATATACCAAGTGGGTAACAGTGGTTAACCCTGGAAGTAGTTGTCCCTCTTTTACTTCCCCTAATCTGTCACCTCCAGTCATGCCCTAAATAGGCTGAGCCCACCTTTCGGTCTCCTCTGCTTTCCTGAATCCTTTCCCCAAACAGCTTTCCAGTGTGGCCACCCTGACTGCAGTGTGCTCCCAGCAGACATAATGGGCTGGTATTAAATGCTTCCAATAGCAAATAGAAAGAGAAGGGAGTCTCCTAGTTACAATTGTATTTCCAGTTTAAGAGTGCAAAAGTGGTGGGGATTAGAACAGAAAGATGGAGTTTATGTTTTTCAGATCTTTTATGCAACAGATATTATGGATCACCTACTGTGTGACAGGCACTTAGTAGACATAAGGACTTTAGCAGTGAATGCAATTTACCCCAACATTGCGCTCATGGTACTTCACTATTGGGAGAAAAAAATAGTTCTTTAATCTCAAAGTAATTTGGAAACCAAAGAATGAATAAAGATTTTGACAGCTTTGCCTAAGGATCATATGAGGAATGAAAGTAAGCCTCTATACTGGAAAGCAGTATGCTAGACAATTTTGATTTGTTGAAACTGACCTCTTCTTAGAGTTTGGAAACTATTTTTGCTCTCCTCCATTAAAAACTGAAACTTTATAAATGATAAATATACATTGTAATTTCTTTCTTTCTTTCTTTCTTTCTTTCTTTCTTTCTGTCTTTTTCTCTTTTCTTTTACTTTCTACCTTTTTCTTTCTTTCTATTATACATGGTACGCTTTTGTTAATGCACCCTTTTGTTATCTCTGTATTGGTGGTATGCATCCTATCAGATTAAGAACAAAGATCTCTGGCCTGCAGCCCTACTCACCTGCTTTTAGTCTCCTGAACTCACTTCATCCAGTTCTTACCAAGCAAGCTGTGTACAAGCTGTTAGCTTTTTCTTCCTGCTCTTTGCTTAGTTCACTTCCATTCATGTTAGATTTCAGCTCATTGTTGACCTCCTCAGGGAGAGCTTTCCTTGCCCTTCTCTAGGTCAAATATTCCTACTAGCTGCCTTCCTTACAACATGTATCCCATTTGAAATTTCACATTTGCTTGAGTTATCATTTGAATAATACCTGATTCTTCTGCTAGGATGTACTCTCCATGAGGACAAGTCAATTTCTGTTCATCATTGTTATCTCCAGTGCCTGCCATATTGCCAGCACTTAATAGCTATTCCACACATATTTGTTAAATGTATTAAGACAGCAAAGGCATTTATTTTATTTATTTGTTTCTTTCTTCCAAAATTTTAGTGTGTTCTATATGGGCCTAAGAGAATTTAATCAATCAATATATTATACATGGATTTTTAAGTTGTGGCTCTTTATCTAATGGTGCAAATCCTGACTGGCAAGCCCTTTTTTTGATTCCTAAATGTTTATTGATACTTATTTGTTGCTGGTCAATGATTTTCATTGTCTTATTCAAATTTAAGTGATCACTAAGATAACTTGAGAGAACTGAAATATTTTCCTTCTCAAACTTTCTTTCTCTGAAAGAACAGTAGCCAGTAAAATTCCAATTTAGAGTGCCAATGGCTTCATGTGGCATTTGTGGGAAATATGGAGAGATTAATGAGGGCTTAAGATCAGCCACTGAGTAGAAATTGGCATTTTTTTCCCCCTCCAACAACCTTTCTCTAGGAAACCTTGACTATCAGTAATTGTCGCATTTGGAGGCCATCTAGAAAGAAACTGGGCTCTAAGGCTTCACTTTTCTCCCAGAAGTCAAACAGTTCATAAAGCTTGTCATTGGGTTTTTTTATGAGATAAAGAATTTTCTTTCAGTCAACTTTTCTTTCTGAGAACAGGTAGGGCAGTGAAATTTCAACCTGAGGTTTGAGTGGCTGCAGGGAGGTGACAGTGAGATCGACTCCAAAAATCAGGAAGTAAGGAAAATTGGATTTTCTACCACAAGTTAAAACCTATAAAAAATAATAGGACAGAGTGAAGCAGAATTTTACAGAAGAGGAAGGTGAGGGTCGGTGAGTCAGAAAGCATCAAAAGTCACACAGTTGTAGGCTGTAGAGGCAGACTTTGATCCCAGAAAGCTTGTGTACAGAGTTCACGCCCATGTCCACTATGATAAGGACCCATTAAGTACATGAATCAAGCTCACTCTCTGCCTATGGGAGAGTTGAATGCACCACACTATCATAATTCTATCATAATGTAATGCCTAGAAACCACCAAGATCTTTCAACTAAACTTATGCTTTAATTTCATACTCATCAAACAAACAAACTGCTGATAATAAATTGGCTTTTGCATACATTTGTATGGCGAGGTACAAATGTGCTGGTCAAAAGACATACATACCTAGCCACCATATCAATTATATTTCTTAACATAAATTAATAAATTGACATTCTATTATAGATCAGTTGCTTGTGAATTTAGTTCAGTGGAGTCCATTCTGGAGACTTGGCATCTCACCAGGATCTAGCTTAGGATCACAGCTATTTACTGCCACCCTTTTGAGAAGTGTCTGAGGGACCAGCTGGCTTCTTAAAGATAATACATGTCCCTCTGTGGTGGTGTGTGTCTCTTTGGCTCCCCATAAAATTAAATACAGTTCATTTTAAGTTCACTGTTGTACACTAGAACTATAATGAGCTCTTATTATGGAAGATAACAGAATTCAAATTGTTTAGAATTTTTATCAAATCTTCTTTCTCTCTAAGAGCAAAGAGGTCAAGAAATGTCCAATTTGGAGGGATCATTAGTGGCCAAGGAGTTCACAGAGAGGTGATTTGAGACACAGAAAGATCAATACATTTAATGAATGTGACAAAGTATCCTCAACAAACTTTAGTTGCATTCAATTCCAGCACGGGTGTTCATGTCAAGTCGAATTTTTTTCTTCAAACCCACACTCTGATAACTATTTGCAAGTACAAGTTCAATTTGAGGCCAATGAATTCATATAGAGCTCAAAGAGAGTTTAGAGAATCACAAAATCTTTTGTAAATCAGGTCAATAAATTTAGCACTGGGTCCTTTACCTCAAAATGACAGTTACCTTATAGGTGAGTATTTTTTTCCTTTAGAACACCTTCTCAATCCCTAGACATCAGAGAACGTCTGATTTGGAGGTAGAGGTCAGTGCATCAAATGACAAATTTACTTAAAGGGTTTTCTTAAATCATAAAATCAGAGACCTGGAAAGAATTTTTAGGATCATCTAGTCTATTTTCGAACTCAACTATAGAGACTCCTGGGATGTGAGGCAGTGGGAGATGAAGCCATGGGAGTTTCAGTTTTACTCAATGCTATTTAATTTTAAACATTACTTTTACACTGAAGCAACCATGTATATATGATGGAGTAGAAGGCAAAAAAAAAAACCCTAATTTTCAAAGTAAAACATGATACTTCAAAGAAATTTTATCTAGTCATAGGCTCCTTCCACCTGTGGTCAAATTCTTTGAGGACTTGAACACATTCCTCCACTCTTTTTTTGTGGAAGAATTTAACAAACCTCGATCTAGCACCATTTTTAAACAGGCTCAGGGAAGGAAAGGGCCTTGGCCTCGGTCATGCAACCAGCATTTGTAAATGAATCAAGAATGGAACCCATCTGTCCAATGTGCTTTATTGCAGTCCAGCAGGCTCTTCTGAATTTAGGTTCAGAAGCTACTCTGGTTCTCACGTCAAATGAGATACTTTCTCCAGATGATTGATTATTTGCATGGGAGGAACATAAGCTTCAATATCATGGTAAATAACTTTTTTTAACATACATTTGGTGGTTTTCCTTTTCCTTAAAGTTGTTCAAGGCTATTCACGTACATAGAAGTGAAAAGTGACATAGAAGTGGAAAGTGGCATAGCAAGGATCCAAATCTATAGATAATCTGAGGTCTAAATGGCAGGATAGGAAATGGAAATAAGGTCCATTAGAACAGTGTTTCTCAAAATATGGTCCACAGATATCCTGGATCAGAATTATCTGCAATGCTTGCTAAATATGCAGATTTCCAGGCCTCACATACTATAAAACATAAAAACTTGTGAAGTGTATGACATTATTATCATTATATTTATCATTTTTGAAGGCACTCTATAATTGTTATTGTAGCATGAGGTCAAGCGAATAACATAGGAGCAAGAGAAAAAAATGATTTCTCTGAAAAATTAACAGGGAAACAGAAAATAATCTGAAAATAATCATTTTAATACTCAATATCTCTAATACATGCAAAAATAAAATGCAGTCATCAGAGAAAACTCAAAATTAAACTATAAGTAATTAAATATCATCTTCAAGATTTGAACAAGATTTGGAGGAAGGACACTGCATATATCAATGTGGAGATGAAAGGATACATATGCCCCCTTCCAAGATGTACACTTGTAAAAAGGGAAACAAGGCTATGTGGAAATTCATGAACCTGAAGTAAAATCACAGTGGGGAGTAAATGAAAAGACAGGCAAGTAGAACATTCATTGTATGAACATACCAGAGACTGTCTGGCCAGAGGGACAAAATCAATTATCTCTTCCAGATAGGAACCCTAAATTGGCTCCACCTCAGGTAGAGCAGAGATGGAATGCTTTATCTCTTTCTCTCCTGCCATGATTCCCTTAACTACAGGATCTTTAACTGGTTATGTTCAGGTGTTCAGGAAGTGAATATCTTTATCTCAGCTATTTTTCACTGAAATTTGAAAACAAAAAATGCCTATTCTAATTTAGACAAGATGGACCCATTCTCATACTGGAGAGGAAAGTAACACAGAGGAAAGAGAAGAGGGAAAACAGCTTAGCTTCATGGTTAAGAGGACAAGTTTTGTGATCTGGAGCAAGTTCATCTTTTGGTAGTTAAATTTCCCTTCTGTTAAAGCGGGAGTAATACCTACCTCAGAGGCTTTACATGAGGATTAAATAAAATACACGTGAAATGCTTAGCACAATGTCTGATATGTAGTAAATGCTCAATACTTGGTATTATATGTATACCTCAAGAAGGAGACTTCTTCAAACAAGAATATACTTTTCTTTGCTCTAGGTTCTCAAAATTTGGCAGCAAAGTCTGCTTTTGACAGCTAATTAGAAAACATTGCTTGATTGGAGTCAAACTGGAGGAACTATTCATTATAACCAAATTTTTTCCCTTAATCTTCACGAAAAAGTCCACCCAGGGACAGTGGCACAGCTTTTCTGTTATTATAGATCACAAAATGTAAGATCTGAATGTAAAATAACCAGGCTGGTCGGTGGTGTCCATTTTATCTTCTGTAGCTCTGTACTCAAAGATTATCCACATGGACCCGGCCTTTCCTCAGACTCAGACAAATTTAGGTGAAAAACACTGGCTTGCATTTCCTGATATTTCTAAAATAAACTTACACCAACTGTGCAATAAAAGGTTGATTTAAAAGTTAATATAAGAAAAGAAATAAAATTGGCTTCAAATAAAAAAGTATTTATTTCTTTTTCAGCCTGTGTTCTCTTGCAAGCGCAGTTGAACTAACTAAAAAAAAAAGTGGGTACAAGTGATGTCTGATAAGATTTTTGTACTTATTTGCAAGGTTGCAACAGAAGAAAATGAAACCATATAACAAGGTGGATATAATTATATGCTCAAGTCAATATCTACTTACTGCTACAAATCCTGCTCAGTCTTTTCCCTTTGGTGTCTCAATGTTGGTTTGGCTTTATCATTGCTTATAAAAATTTATCTGAATAAATTAAAGGAACCAGCCAGCTTTTTCATCAGAGTATAGTCATACAGAGATCATCTGCCAAATGCAATGTTCTTTTCTTTTTCAAGACCCTGGAAACATTTTCACCATTTGACATGCAAGAATCTTCACTCTTATAATGATCAGTGCAGAGAGGAGGCATCGTAATCAAGGAAAATGCCTATCAAATTGACTCCCCTCCTAAAAGCCATCTGTGTATAATGACTCCCTTGCAGCAACTGTAAAGTCATAACCAACTGAGAGAGTTTCTCAAGCTAAGAGAAAGCACAAATCACAGAACTGAGAATTATAGGACAATAAAATCATCCTGGCCACAGAAGATCTAAAATCACCCAAGTTATAAAATGTGGAATGATAAATCTTGTGTTATTTCATGCTTATGAAAGCTAACATATTTACTAGCCTCTGCCAGCACCCCACCTCCCCTTCTTTTGTTTCAATTTAAATATTGAGGAATACAAATATTTCCTGTTCCCTGGGCTTAATTAGTAACTAAAGTCTAGATTGGTTAGCTGCCTGAATCACAAGAGGAAAGGGGAAATATTTAAGAGAATTCCCCAACAGCTTTAAAATTGCTCTGTCTTTGGCCACATGAAAACAAAATAAAATCATATAATTTTATTGCTATAAGTTTAAACCTCTAATTTTACAAATGTTTGGGAATGATTTTCTCATCTCCCCTTTCTCATTGCCCCCAGTTTCAACCTACCTCAACCTACTCATGTCCTCTACTATATTAAAGAGAATTTGCCAGTGCCAGAGATCTGGGCATCATTTCTGTTGAGCCCACTTCTAAATCTCTGTGGTTGATAGCCACTTCTGTCCATCCTTGTGGTGTCTACCCAGGCCATGCCTTCACTATCTCTCCCCTAGATGGCTGTGATTGCATCTGAGCTCTTGCTGCACCTTCAGTCTTGCCATCTTGCCCTAATCCATACTCTCTCCTCAGTGGGGAAGTCAGAGAAATGCTTACAAAGAGCTAACTGCATCTCTTCCGTATTCTTTACTGACTTTTCATGACTCTCTGAATAAGGCCCAAGGCTCCTAACAGACTCACAAGACCCCTGATAATCCCAATCAAATTTATTCCACATCTGCCACTCATTTGTACCCACCACCTCAAGTTCCATTTAATTCCTCAAAAACAACATGCTCTCTCTCCCATTCCCACATTCTGCTCCTTCTGCCCCCAATACTCTTCTCCTGTCACCTCACTAACTCTTACTTACATGAGGTTGCAGCCTAATGCTCATCTTCTCCAGAAAGTCCTGAGCTCCCCTACAGATGTGATTGTGCACCCCTCTAGTGTGCTCTCAGAGCTCTCTCTAGAGCTGTCACAAAGCACTTGCCCTATGTTACTGCTGTTGCTCATTAGGTGTCTGCTTCTCAGCTAGCCCACATCATTATGACAGGAGAGATCAAGTCTATTTTATTAATTTTAATATCCCTACCTCTTAGGATAGTTTCTGGGACAAAGAGGGTATTTAAATTGTGTTTCTTGAATAAATGAATGAATGAACTTAAATAATTTTTCAAATTCTTAGTGATCCAGGTAGTATATTTAGAATTAGATACCAAACTAGTATTTATGCTCTACTACAGTTCGGAGGTGTTTACTTACTAATTTCACGCTATTAATTTATTCAGTGAATGCTATATTAAGTGTAAGAGTACATGCCAGGTGCAGTGGCACACGCCTCACAAAGTGCTGTAATCCCAGCACTTTGGGATTACAGGCCGAGGCGGACGGAGCACGAGGTCAGGAGATTGAGATCATCCTGGCTAACAAAGTGAAACCCCATCTCTACTAAAAATACAAAAAAATTAGCCGGGCATGGTGGCGGCTGCCTGTAGCCCCAGCTACTCGGGAGGCTGAGGCAGGAGAATGGCATGAACCCAGGAGGCAGAGCTTCCAGTGAGCCAAGATGGTGCCACTGCACTCCAGCCTGGGTGACAGAGCGAGATTCAGTCTCAAAAAAAGAAAAAAAAAAAAGAGTACAAGTAACCACTGAATATAACTTTAGAGCTTATAAAACACGTCACTCCTTAATCCAAAATCCTATCCTAAACATTAGCAACTTTATAACCTCATTTTAAAAGATGAAATTGTTTCCTTCCTTCTTTCTTTCCTTTCAATTCAGTTGGAAAGTCCTGCCACAAGGGAGGCATTGAGGAGGGTGGGAAGGCAGGGACTGGGACCTGACAAGGAGGGATTTCAAATGGGCCAGCAGACCAATGGGGTTAGGTGTTTGACTATGAGCAGGGTTTAGGCAAATAAGTAAACATATTAAAGATAATGGGAGCCAAATTACTGCTGAAGAAGGGAAGAAAGAAGGAGGGGATGAGAATGAACCCTGTGGTATGAACTAGACCTAGAGATATCACTGTAAACTCATGGTTTTCAATATAAAACTCTGGGACAGGAACAACTTTGCAGGTTTGAGAAACAACAGGAGAGCCTTTGTGGCCAGAACATAATGAGCAAGGCGGAGAGTAGAAAGAAAATGAAGTCTGGAGTTTACCAGGACCTATTAAACCAGACTCTCAGTAAATGAAACCAAGAATTTATTTCACAAGTTATTTTTAAGCACTTAAAAATGTAAGATTAGCCAGGTGTGGTGGCACGTGCCTAGAACTCAGTTGCTATGGAGGCTGAGGCAGGAGGATCACTTGAGACCAGGAGATAAGGCTGCAGTGAGCTATGATTGTGCCACTGCCCTCTAACCTGGGCAACAGAGTGAGACCTCATCTCTAATATAGTAATAATAATTTTTAAATGTACAGTTTCCTATACTAAAGAAGGACCTTAAAATATTAACACAATTAATATTTCTAACTTTAATGACATCAGAAATAATGTAAATAAGAAACTAGGAAACCAAGGGGAATAAATTGAATTCAGTCAGCATTAAATGGAATGGCACAAGCTAGCGATTCTTGATCATTGGTGTTTTCCGTTGTAGAGCCATTTTCAAGGATTTAAATCCCAGCACAAAAGAAATAAAAAGTTTACTATTTTTTTCTTAAAAGAATATTAACATAATTCTAGATAATCTGCTCTTGGGGTTGCTATTTATACTAAGTTGTATAGATAGAAAAGTTTATATCAGTAATTTGAATGGTAAATACCATTGTCGTGACTACATAACTCTACATTCTTCCTTTAGCAGTTAAAAACTATACTAATATTATCGAGAATAAATGTTCCTGATAAAATCTTATAAAAACTAAAGTTTTTAAACTAACATTTGCATTTATTTATTATTTGTAGTTAGAGGAGCCAAGAGAAATCTTAACCAATTTGCATAGGAACATGCAAACTAAGAGAACCTGCTTATTGGGAGGCCGAGGGGGGCAGATCACAAGGTCAGGAGTTCAAGACCAGCCTGGCCAACATGGTGAAACCTTGTCTCTACTAAAAATACAAAAATTAGCTGGGTGTGGTGGCGCGTGTCTGTAATTCCAGCTACTCGGGAGGCTGAGGCAGGAGAATCGCTTGAACCCAGGAGGCAGAGGTTGCAGTGAGCCGAGATTGTGCCACTGCACTCCAGCCTGGGTGACAAAGCAAGACTCAGTCTCTAAATAAATAAATAAATAAATAAATAAATAAATAAATAAACCTGCTTAACAACTATTAGAAAAACTCTCTAACAACTCTTTTGTGCTCAGGTTGAAAATCCTTTGACTTGGCAACCCAATCACAAGTGATGACCAAAATTGACTGGAGAAATGTTGCCTTCTTTCAATTAAAAAAATTTACCTTTGACTGATTGTCATGATCATTCTATTTTGGAAAAGTGTCACTGCAGTGATTGAAAACATGTTACGAGAGAAATGATTACCCACTGTATCAGTAAGGGTCTTGGCAGAAAACAGATGGCATACTCCAACTGAGTGATTTGGGATCAGTTTAATAAAGAGACTCTTTACAAAAGTGTGGGCAGAGTTTAGCAAAATCAGCAATACAGAACCCCAGGAAGAGCAACATCTTCAAGATCTGAGAAGGCAAAGGGAGGAAGTGGTTTAGAATCCAGAGAAAGTAGGTGTGTCTGGCAGGAGCAGGGACACAGCCAACCCACAGCCCAGCAGGGAGGTACCAGGGCAATACATACCCCAACCTCATTCTCCTCCCGCCTTCTGTCTCCCCATGGACTGAACCTCTCCTGAAACTGGAGAGCTCACTGAAACACACCATGCAGCTCAGCCTTCCATGACAAAGAGCAGAGAATATCCAATTGAGCTCCCTTCCCAAAGATCAGAATGATAAGAACTTTTCTTACATTACATAGTGTGCCCTACTTTTCCACAGAAATAGGACCAGGTTGTCTTTCTTGGGAGGCAAGACAACAGCCTCCGGATCACACATTTTCCCTGTCTTTTTGATCCATTTTCATAGTGATCATTCATGAGTCATTTTACTGATTTTGGTCATTCATCATCCATGTGCTCTTTGCTTGGTATCAGCCACCAGGCCTTTGTTAAAATGTCCACCTTCTCCCCCTGCAGCCTATTTGTTTGGGAACAGCTGCTGCCACACAAGACTTTGGGTGGGGTATGGCATAGGACTTTGATTATTATAATCACATCCTTCAACTACAGTTGACTTTTAGGGATACGTCTGGTCTAACTGATCCAAACAGACTGAATCCTATTGACTACTGGGTAAAGAGACACACACTGTCTCCCCCGCCTCACCTTCCACCCCAACCCCCTGCCTCAGTTTGAATGAGCAAGCCTCGGGGATACAAGAGGAGATGCTTGCTGAAAATAGAAGCAACACCAAGAAATTAGAACCAAAAAGGAAAAAAGAAAAACATCTTATCCTTACAAAATCAAGTTATTCCTGCCACCGTTCTTTTTTTAAAAATGAGGCAAAAAGTGCTCTTTATTGTTTGGGTCTGCTTTTCTGTTGTTCATCACTGAGAAACGTCTTATCAACACAATTGACTGTATCATACCTCTGTCAAGGCCTCTTGGTGCTTCCCAAAGAAGTAACTACTTTCTAGGTATTCACAATTAAAGTTATTGAAAACACCTGCTCATAGCATGTCATTAATAAACTTTTAGCAGCTTACTGAGAATCCTCAATGTTTATATGTTAATACCTGAAATTAGTTTACTTAGAAGAAATGTTTGGATTAGCCAATAATAATCTAATGAGATAATGAAAATATTACTCCTTCTACCTTTTGCAGATATTTCCCAAGGTGTTGCTATGTACTGGACAATGGGGACTTAAAAATGATTAAGATATAAAGTCATCAGAGAGTTCACTTGAATTAAGCAGAGACACATCATGAAGCTCACTTTACAAAAAGTGATATAATATTATAATTGAAATATATACCAGTTGCTAGAGGACCCCCCCCCCCAAAAAAAAAGGGAGCTGTTAATTGCAAGAAGTCTGGTAAGGCTTTATAGACATGGTGCCTTGTAAGCAGAACCTTCAAGTACACACAGGATCTTTGACAAGGAAGTGACAATGCAAGCCACACAGGTAGCATGAACAAAGGCACAGTCACCTGAGGCGGTTCAGTGTGACTTCTGTAAAGGCAGAGTAGCAAAGTGACTAAGGAGTGCTTAGTTCCACCCTGGCACTCCATCCTTAGCTAGCTACGTGATCTCAGGCAAGTCATTTAACTTTTTCTTTGTATCACCTTCCTCATGTGCAAAACAAGACTAATAGTAGTTTCTTGTTCATACTTGTCCCACAGTTCATTTAAGTAAGTTCTATTACAATTAAAGTACCCATCACTCAAAAAATGCTATTACTCGGAGGGAGATCATTGATTAGGCTGGAAAGGAAGACTGGTGCCAGACTGTGAAAATTCTTATGAAGTCTGCTAAATAATAGATTTTATATAATGTAGTTTTATATAATATAGTGGGTTTTAGATCAGATAATGTATGCACCAGACATCAAAGGTTTTAAATAGACATGAACAGGTTTGTATTTTAGAAAAAGAATTGTGACAGGGTGACTCTTGAAATTGGATGCGGAGAAATTGAAAGCAGGGAAACTGGAATATTACAACAGCCCTTAGATGATAAAGGATGCAGCCTGAATCAGGACAGTGATAGGAGAGGTGGAGAAGAAGTGACAGAAATTCAAAAGTGAAGGATCGAGCATGGTGGCAAAGTTTCTGGTGGATGATAATACCTTTAATAAATAAAGATCAGAAAAGAAGGAAGAGGGCTGGAGGAGGAAACAATAAGCCCAAGTTTTGGACCTGCTAGATGTTAGTTGTCTATATGCCAAACAAATGAAAAATTCTAGAAGCTGTTGGAAAAATGAGTTCAAGAGGGAGTCCCAGGCTGTAGACTGATAGATGAGAATCAACTACAAATACATTACAGCTAAAGAAAGGGAGATGATGTGCCTGCCCAACAACGAGGCTAGAACCCCAAAAAACACTAACGCAAATAGAAAGAAGAGTCAGCAAAGACTTAAAAGTAACCACCAGTGTGGGAGAATGTGAAGTGGAAGAGAGTCGTGATCTCAAAAGCAAGGGAGGAAAAAGCTTCAAGGAGCAACCTTTAGAAATTAAGGGTTTACAGAGATGGCACTTAAGATGCATAATGACAGAAGGACACCACTGCTAACAGGAATCATTTTTAAACCCAGAGAGAAGTTTCAGAGATGTGATAGAAGCTGCACTCAGACTGCAGTGGCTAATGGCAAAGAGAAAAGTGAGGACCTGGACCAGGTTGAAGGATCCACTCTTTCAAAGAGCTGGTTGGCAACTCTCCCAGGCTTCCCTCACTTTGAAATTCCACTGACCTTAGTGTCAGACCATATTATAACCACACAATGTGTGTAATAGGGCTGTGTTGTTGGCTGGCACTCCTCAAAATGGATCTTTTATAATCAGAAAGCCTTGTTTTTGAAAAGCCAGGCAGTTACAGACAGCATTTTGTTTGACTTTTCAAGAACTTTTCCTCTATTCCCCTTGTAAGAATTTTACTCAGGACAAGTAGCAGTGATTTAACAGTTACATTTCCAGTTTCTGAAGGCAGACAATAAAACACTGATGAGGTCTTATTCATTCATGGGTCATCATCAGGAAATAGTGAATGCTAAGAAGAGTTTTAGGCAATTCAAGCAATATAGAAGTTGTCCGTATATATATTAATACCTTCTTTCATATTTATTATGGCTCTGGAAAAGAGAGGTCAAAGCTTATTTCCAAAGTTACCTTGTTAACCTTCAAATCCATCTTTGGATATAAGAAAGAGATAAATATTTGCCCCAATATATAAATAGATAAGTAGAATTTCAGAAGATCCAGAAGGAGCTCAGTGTCCAGAGTTTACAACAGAGATTTCTGGGCATGATTATTGAAGCATTAGAGCAGTGTCCATCAAAGTGTGATCCATGAACCACTTGTATCAAATTTAGGTTAGGTCCCTTTTTTTAGAAATGCATATTCCTGAGGTCCCTTTTAGATCACTGATCTCCTTCTCTGAAGGCATACCTTGAACTCTGAATTTTTAAAAAATGTCACAGGAGATTCTGATGTATCTCAGCAGTTCAAAAGTATTTAAAGATCTCCAGTGACTCAACAAGGACAGAGTACTTATTGAGCATCTACTAAATGCCAGTTATTTGCTAGTCACTTCAAACAATGTCAATACGTATAACACTTTTCCTAGCCTAAAGTAGTTTTACTACAGTTGAGTATTATTGTCTTCCCTGTTCATAACCCCTAGATTTGGGGTAGCATTATCACACAGCCCAGCTGATTGGACCAGGAATACAACTGGACAGCTGACCAACAATTCTCTCTGTGTATCAATAATTTGAAATAGGACACAGAAACTGTAGGTGGTTGGTGATGAATGCTGAAGCTGATCAATTAGGAATAGATTTTTGGTTAGTGGCTGTGGTGAGCCATATGCAAAGGGAGCCAGCAGGAGTATCAAATCAAGAAAAAGAGAAGGATGGAGGAAACTCACAGAGAGAAGCAGTCCTTGAGAGCCAGGGAAAAAGGTCTTAGTTCCTGATAACTTTCTAGTTTCCCCAAGGCCCTACTGCCACTGCTTCCATGAGATTCCCTATATCCTTACATTAAAACTTGTGCTCAGGCCAGACATGGTGGCTCATGATTGTAATCATAGAACTTTGGGAAGCCGATTGCCTGAGCTCAGGAGTTCGAGACTAGCCTGGGCAACACAGTGAAACCCCGTCTCTACTAAAATACAAAAAATTAGCCAGGTGTGGTGGCGTGTGCCTGTAGTCCTAGCTACTCTGGAGGCTGAGGCAGGAGAATTGCTTGAACTCGGGAGGCGGAAGTTGCAGTGAGCCAAGATCACGCCACTGCACTCCAGCCTGAGCAACAGAGCGAGACTCTATCTCAAAAAAAAAAAAAAAAAAAAGAAAAGAAAAGAAAACTTTTACTCAAACTAGGTTGATTGGTTTTCTGCTGTCAGAGATTATAAGAGCCTTATGTGGAGCACCTAATGTGTAATTGAATAAATTAAGCACGTGCAATTCCATTCTTCTTCCCTATCGCAGTAAAAGGGAATCACTTTCTGGCTAGTTGTGTGAGCCAGAAATCTTGATATCATTTCACTCCCTCATCTCTCACATCCAATATCACCAAAAATTACTGATTTCAGCTCTGGTATTTCTCAGTGCTATTTATTTCTTTCCATAACTATTATCTGTTATCCTAGATTAGGCTACCTAAGTCCCTGCCTCAGGCACATTCTGGTCTACCCATAACCCACTCTTTGTCCTGCCCAGGTAGATATCTCCAAAATACATCTGAAAATCTGATCATATCCCCAGTACCCTATTGCCACACCAACCATCATCCAATGGTTCCCCATTGCATTTGGTATAAAGATCAACATCCTCAAAAGAGCCGACAAGGCCCAATGTGGTCTCACCTGACCCTACTCTTATCTTGAACCTTGTATTCTCTGTTCAACCCTCACTGGCCTTCTCCCAGGAGATAATACTTCCCATGCTTCTTTTCACCACAGCACCACTATGAATGCACTTCCTCAGTCTCTAACACTCCTGTCTCCCTATATGCCTAGGTAACTCCTCCTACTCATCCTCTGGACCTCATCTCCAGCATTTTTTCTTTTTTCAGGGAAGCCTTTTCTCATCTCTCTGACAAGGCCCAATATCTCTAGTGTAAATTGTCATGACACCGTGTGACTTAACTTTTTAGCACTTACCACGATTGCAACTTTAAAGTTGTGTGATAATCTAATCATCTAATAATTACCCATTAGGCTACCCAGTGTCTGTTTTGTTCACCAGTATGTCCCCAACACCCAGCACACTACCTGATACATAGTGAGTTCTCTGAAATACTTGTTAAATAAATTTTGAATGACTAGAATTGGTAAGAAAACAATCAGAAACAGTGCTTGACAACCAAATTTTTATTAACCAAAGCATAAGTTTGCCCAAGCTGGCGACCAGATGAGGAAAGTAGAAGATGGAAAAGTCAGGCATGCTTATGAAAGGTACTGATATGAATGAGGTAGAGACAACAGGGAGCTTGAGTTAGTTGGGACTTTGTTAGGTTATGGACCAAAATCATTTAGAAACTTGAGGTAAAATAGCAATCTAATGACAAACAGATGACAATCCACATGACAGGCAATCTGGATCATGAGCCAGAGCAGGACTACAACAAGACTTCTGACTAAGAGAAAATGTCTGGGTGAGGATACAGACAATTGAGTGAGAATGAAGTGAATGACCTGGGTTGTCAAGGAGCCAGACAGAACACCAGAGGAGATGCCGCTGGTGGAGCAAGATGAGAAACAGTAGAAAGGAATAGTTGCAGGGGGAGTCAGATCTTAATCTATACTTAGTATGTGCCAGGTAACTGTCTAAATGCTTGAAGGCACTATTTCATTTTAATTCTCACACTAATCCAATGAGGTAAGCAAGCTAAGTGTACCAGTTTTACAAACGAGAAAACTGAGGCCTGCCCAAGGTCAACACTTAGTAAATGGCAGCACCAAAGTTTGAACCCAGAGAGGCTGACTCTATACTTTTATCTACTATAGTATGCTCTTTTCTTTTTAAAATTTGGGACCAAAATGGCTTATTGATGAAGTTGGTTCTTGCCTTGGCTACAAAACGAGATCAGAAAAACAGTCTGTGAGAACAAAAGTAAGATGGGAGAAGCTTCTTATAAAATAGAATCAGAGGTCCCTAAATAGATCAAGAAATGAAATTATTTAATGTCATGTCATTTAATGAGCACTAAGTCATAGTTTTTAACAGTATAGAATCAGATAAATCTGGTTTCAAATACTGACCTAGATGTGTGGCTGTTACTTAAACTCTCCGACATTTGGTTTCTGTTCTTAATGGGACTATTAAAACCTGGCTCATAAAGTTGTTTAAAAGAAATGAGATAACGTATTTGAAAGTCATTAGTACAGAACTAAAGGATGTACTCGATAATTAATCAGAAAAGATATTTTACAGAACTGAGATATTTGTAGAGGTTGTTGAAGGGGGAATATGAAACTTCATTGTTGTTATACCCATGAACCAAATGGTTCATTACCAGTGATTTGACAGATACACATATGTGCATGGATAACCTTCTTATTAGCTAAATGTCTCCTGTGGGAAGACTAAAAATTCCACAGTGAAGGCTGTTGAATGGAGCTGATAACTCTGTAGTTACAATTTGCCCTAAGAAATGCTGACAGCTAAAGTGAACTCACCTTACGTGACACTCAGAATTCTCCAAGCAGCTTTAGAATTGGCTTTAGAACTATGTCTGAGAGTCAAAAGCTTTAAGGCTTCCATTTTCAAGCCATGCCTTAGAGCATACCCATAAGAGCTACTCTTCCATAAAGCAGTGAATCTGGCTTTGCAAGACTATCATGCTTATCTTTAAAAAACTGAAGAGTCTGAGGATTTTGAGGCAGACTCACCAGTGACATTGCAGCTCTTGACTTTGAAGATGGAGCTAATGAAAATATGAAAAGCATTCATCCTCAAACCTTTTAATAGACTTGGCACATTTTTGGAGGGCAATTTGGCAAAATCTATGAAAAAAATGTGATGCACATTTTCTATAATCCAGCAAACCAACTCCTAAGAATCTATTCTATAAAAATGTTTGCACAACCATGAAAATAAATATAAGTAAAAAAGTGTTTTGGGGCCGGGCACAGTGGCTCACGCCTGTAATCCCAGCATTTTGGGAGGCTGAGACAGGCGGATCACGAGGTCAGGAGATCGAGACCATCCTGGCTAACATGGTGAAACCCCGTCTCTACTAAAAATACAAAAAAATTAGCCGGGCGTAGTGGCAGGCGCCTGTAGTGCCAGCTACTCAGGAGGCTGAGGCAGGAGAATGGCATGAACCCGGGAGGCGGAGCTGGCAGTGAGCCGAGATTCCGCACTGCACTCCAGCCTGGGCGACTGAGCGAGACTTCATCTCAAAAGAAAAAAAAAAAAAGCGTTTTGGGAAATACTGTAATAAATGTCCATCAAAAGAGAAATGATTTTATAAATTAGGGTATCTACATTAAGTAAAATGCTATGGGGCTAATAAAAAAAAGAAAAAGACAGATATATGTCTACTGACCTGAAAATATTCTGTTACACTAAGCTTAAAAGGCTGCAGAACATCAAAAATACATAATGTAGTCTTTTTTGTTTAAAATATGTGTCATATATGTGCACATACACATGCATAAACAAAACACATGTATAAACAAAATCTATAGCAATGCATCTTAAAATCTTCTTTCCACTTTCATCCACTTCTTTCTCATCCCATGACTCCTCTATTGCCCCCTCCTCCTTATTTCTAAGAAAAGTCTGGCTCTAGCACGAGTGCCCAGCATGAGAGCCTTTTGTCTTTCTTAGCCTATCTTCTTGCTTCTCCTGTTTTGTCTACCTCTTCTCTTTTTCCCAATTCTGCATCACCAACCCCAAAAACCAAGCAGTCAATGTGGAACATTTCTCAAGGGGAATGGAAAGAGAAGATACTGAATATATTTTCCTTGGTAAAAAGAGGTAAAAAAAAAAAAAAAGAAGAAGAAGAAGAAGAAAAAGAATACCCTCTTTATTGTATAGGAGAAGAAAGACACTAACATACAGATGCTCCTCGACTTATGGTGGGGTCATGTTCCAATAAACCCATTATAAGATGCATTTAATACATTTAACCTACCAAACATAGCTTAGCCTAGCCTACCTTAAACATGCTCAGAACATTTACATTAGTCTACAGTTAGGCAAATCATCTAAGACAAAGCCTATTTTATAGCAAAGTGTTGAATACCTCATGTAATTTATTGAATACTGTCCTGAAAGTGAAAAACAGAATGATTATATGGGTACTCGAAGTACAGCTTCTACTGAACGTGTCACTTTTGCACCATTGTAAAATCAGAGATCACAAATGGAACCATTGTAAGTTGAGGACTGTCTGTACTAATAAGTGCTGTTCCATCATACTTATTCTCCCCTCTTTCTCAACCAGTAAGCTCAAGTGCCACAAAAACAGAAACTGTAGTTTCATTATTATATCCTCAGAACCTATCACTTACCCAGCACATAGTAGGTGCTCAATAATGTTTGTTGAGTATATGTTTGAACAAGTAATGCCCTTAAGCAGCTTACATCCTGTTAGGAAGGCTTGTAATTGGTAAATTAAGTAATTTATCCTTAATATCACACGTGCTGCTGACCCACTATTACCTGAGAGGCTTTTAACAGCTTTAAACAACCAACTGCCAATAACTAAGAACTTGCTTCTGCAAAGTCTGGCATGCTAATACAGCCTGTCAGCCAGGGAACCCAGTGAAGCTGTGCTTAGCAACCAGTCCCTTTGCTATCTATTTTGGTTAGATATGTCAAAAGTTATTCTAACTTCATTCAATCAATGGCTTCATGTTGTGAAAGAAAGACACTGCAAAGAGATGAGAAAACAGAATCAAAGACATGTATGTTCAACACTTCTAAAGGCTGTACCAAAATGCCTCTCTTCTTTCCCAGTGCAGTTAGGGCTGTAATGCACACTTGTTTACAATCCATCTGGGAGGGACCTATAAGCAGAAGGAAGGCATCTTTGACCTTCATCTCCCTGGAAGGAGAAATACAGAACAGCTGTCTGTTTACCATCCCGACCTCATTTCCATGACGTTGAACCACTCATTTGGGAATCATGAAAAATAGGACTGTTTCACTTTTTTTTTTTTTTCCTAAAATGTTCTTGAAGACACTAGGCCCTGGGTAAGCTACAAAATGACTGAAACTGCATGCCACAAAGATTTGTTAGGTGGAAAGGGAAAGATATTTAGCCTCCAAGTTATGAATAAAGTACAACACACAATCTGTATATTTTTGTCTTTCTGTACCATGACTTCTACTTAGTATTTTGACTCATAATTTCCAGAGAAAATTCTTTGAATGCAAATACATATTAACTTCCAATAAAATAACTAAGGCGAAAGTTGGGCCCTTGACCAAGAGCAGCACTTTTTTCTTCCTTTTTTTTCTTTTCTGTATTGGTGCATGCCATCTTGGTTCAAGTGAGTGCCGACAAGAATGAGCAAGATCACATTACATCCCCTAAGCACGGCTCCCAGACAGGGGCTTTATTATTTCATGTATTCTAGATACACCAGTGAAAATGGAAGGAAATCCTGCTGTTTTCATTCAATAAATTGTCTTATGCCTTAAGTGAGTTTTGACTTCAAAATTAACAGTACTAGGTGCCAGTTTGAACAGGAAGGCACTATATAAGTCATTGAGTCCATGCATGTCCTTGACAGAGGACAATTAGGACAATTTTTTAGATGAAAAGAAAGAGAGAGCATTACCTAAAGTCTCAGCTGGTGTCAGGCAAAAAGAAAAACTAAAACTAACTCACTGCTCAGTATTCTTTTCACTGTCACATAGCCTCTCACCTTGAACTGAGACCACCATCAATATAATAAGATTTAAATTCAATACATTTGCATGAATGCCTCTTATGGCCCCAGAATTAGGCTAGACTTCTGTGAGAGGCATATAAAAAGGTATAAGTCAAAAAAAAGTATAAGTCTCAGCCACTGCCCTTAAGGACCTAACTTCAGAGACGAAAGTCATGCATTTTGGAGGGGCAAATAGGAGGTGACCACTAATGGGTATAGGTTTTCTTTTTAGGATGATGAAAATGTTCTGGAATTAAGATAGTGGTGATGGTTGTTTAACCTTGCACATACACTCCCACTGAATTGTATGTACAATGGCAAATTTTATAGTTTGTGGATTAGATCTCATTTTTTTAAAGTCATGCATTTCAGGTAATTAGTAATGAATCAGAATCTAGTGGCAAAAGATGGCTTGTGGCATTAAGTGAAAATCAGAAAGGCTGACTAGCAAGTGCCAAATACTTCACGTAAAAGCAAGAACTTAAGGAAATATACATTGGGCTTTCATAATCCCATAAATCCTGTAATGATGGCAGTCTTTTACAACTTCTTCCTTGTTGAAATTAGTCCTTGACTCCAGAAAAAACCTCCAGTTTCGCCTAAAATACCAGGATTATATATTTATTTTGCATAAATTTATGGCGTAAACATCAATCTCTCCTTCAATTTTTGCTCTGTGTATCTAAATTCAGTTAATGTACATCTAGATGATCTATTATGGTTCATTTTCATGATTCATAAAATGTGTTTGTACATTTGAAGTGGTTTGCTTTGGTGCACCCATTGCCTGCCTGGCTCTGCAAGCATGTGGAGTCAAAATTTGGTGGCAATAACATGAATAAGGGCAGGAATGTAGGCAAGGAAATAAAGATAGATTCTGTTAAAAGATTGTCTTCATGTTCTTTGTGGGAAAAGGTACCAGAGTAGGTGAGTAAGCATTTGCACTGAGGCAAAATGCTTCAAAAGTACACACAAGTTTTATAAATCATGAAAAAGAACCATAGGAGAAAATCTAGATGTGCGTTAACAGAGTTTACAGACACAGAAAAAAAAAATGGAAGGAGAAGATGGGTGATTATACCATAAATTTAAACAAAATAAATACATAATTCTGGCACTTTAGGCCAAAGTAGAGTTTTTTTCTAGAGCCAATGACGAATTTCAACAAGGAAGAGGTTTCAAAGAACTGACTCTTTATCTCAGGATTTATGGGACTATTAAAGCCCAAAAGAGCATTCATGGATATTTCCCGTTTGCCTATTCAGAATCCATTTCCTGTTCTTCCCTTTTCATGTGGGAAATCACACCATCACCATTCTTTGTTAATGTGGCTCATGCTGACTCCAGGGGTGGGCACATGATCCACGCTTGGCCAATGATCTTATCCTCATACCCTGGCCACAGCCATGGTCATGTGCCTCAAGTCAGCATGCAATTCTGGAACTTTTGATATCACCGTTTAGGAGAGAAATATCCTTTTGTACAAGGATTTCTAATTCTTTGAATGATGCTAGCCAGGAACTGTGGGGAACCACCCACAGACGGGACCTCCTGGAGAGTGAAGTCAATAAAGAGCCAAGAAATGGAGAATCAGATTCCTGGTGACTAAATGTGAGCTCCTGGATCCACACATAACTGGAGCCACTGCCCTTGGATTGTTCGGATAGATGAATGAATATATTTCTTTCTGTTTAAGCCATTTTGAACCATGTTTCTGTCAATTTCAATAAAAAGTCATGATAAATGCAACATCCTGCTCAACCTTAAACTTTCCAGATGAGGAACTGAGGTCCAGAGAGGAGTATGAAGTTGCTTATGGTTGCACAGTAACCAACAGCAGAACCTAGGCAAAAATGCAGACAGCTTCGATTTTAGTCCACTGCCTTTTCTTGACACTGTCACTGAAGATTCATTTTGGTAAGTGAAGTAAGCCAGACGCAAAAAGAAAAATACTGCATGATCTCATTTATGTGTAAAACCTACAAAAGTTAAATAGACCCAAGCTGAGAGAATGGTGGTTACCAGGGTTAGGGAGGTAGAACAAATGAGGAGGTGTTGGTCAAAGAGTATAAAGTTATAGTTACATACAATGAGTAAGTCTAGACATTTAATGTACAGCATGAGTGCTACAGTTAATAATACTGTGAGAATGCCAGAAATTCCCCCATGAAAGTAGATTTCAAGTGCTCTCACCAAAAAAAGTAACTATAAGAAGAGATGGATATATTAATTCACCGACTGTCAAAGTCTTTTCACTATGCATATGTACGTCAAAACATCATGTTGTGCAAGTAAAATATAAGCAATTTTTAGTTAAAAAGAAAGCTCAAAAGCATTGATTTTACTTTTTGAAAAAGACTCATTCTGGAAACAATTAGACAACCAAAGTTAAAATGTCACCCATAAGCCAAAGCTTTTAAAGAGAAACTTTGGTGTACCTGCCTCTGAAAATTACATGTTTTCTCTCAAAGCACCAAAAAGCATCAAGGATCAGCAAACATCCAATGGCTTCACACTGTTATTAGAATGAAATTCAAACTCCTTTCTGAAGTCCTCACACACTTGACTGATTGGGCCCCTGACTTTCTTGCCACCTCATCTCATGCAGTGCTTTCCTTCTGCCACTATGCTCCAGCCACTCTGGTTTTCTTTCACAGCCTTGAATGTCCCTCACTCTTGTCCCACTCACTTTTGCATGTGCTCATCCCTCTGGCTAGGATGCTTGTCCTGAACTCTTGGTACAGCTGGCTCCCTCTCATCTCCAGGTTTCAGTTTCAGTGTCACCCCCATCATGGAAGTCTTTCATCAAAGCAGAACCCTCTCCTTATAACTCTTGAACTCAGAACACTGTTTTAAATTTTATCTATTTATATTGCCATTTTATCCATTATTTACATGTTTGTTTTCTTCCTCTCTCCTGGACTTCATGTGAGCAGAAGCACAGCTCTACAGACCACTGTGAAACCCCAGTGCCCAGCATTTAGAATGCATTGAATAAATATTCCAATTGATGGAAGAAATAAATAAAAGATAACCCCCCTTTCCTAACTTGAGCTCACAGCCTTTCCAACTTTTTCCAAATAAGGCTTCATCTTCTTTATTCCCAAAATGAGAAAGCTTCAGGAGACTTCCATTATGGCGTCCCTTGGCTAGAGGAGGGAGTTCCCCAACCCTTCAGGCTTCCTGCGCTTCCCGGATGAAGTGACACCCCACCCTGCTTCGGCTCACCCTCCGTGGGCTGCACCCACTGTCTAACCAGTCCTAATGAGATGAGCCAGGTACCTCAGTTGGAAATGCAGAAATCACCCGCCTTCTGTGTTGATCTTGCTGGGAGCTGCAGACCAGAGCTGTTCCTATTCGGTCATCTTGCCAGCCACCCAGAAGTATTCTTCTTAGAAAACCCTTATAAGAGCATTTTTGCCATTTAAACAGCAGTGATTTCCCAAAGCCATTTTCTAAACCTAAATTGCTGGGCAGCTTAGCTTCATCCAAGCCTGTGTCCAGCAAAGGAAGGCAGGTGGCTACTGCTCCATTTGCCAGTGGCGATCAGGCCTAAGTGACTGAATTGCCCTTCCAGGTGATTTGCCCTGTTATTGTTTTGACATGGAACCATTATATTAATTCTGACATTGGCACTGCTTGCTGCATCAAACCAAGTGTCTTTGCTGCCAACTTGAATAGGTAAATATTGTATTTTCATCCAATTCAACTGTAAATCTCATAAACTAAGCCTTGAGAAAAGGTGTATTTAACCTCACATGGATTGCAGACAATTGTAATGCAGTAATGCAGGCCACTGTAAGCCAAGAAGCTTGGTCACTTGTAGTCAGCTGGCAGACATGTCAACTCTACAGCTCATGCTCACCTTGTTATGATCCTTTTGGTTTGCAGACAAAAATAAACGTTTTAAGCAAAAATAGAAATTTACTGGGTCACTTAACTGAAAACTCCAGTAGTAAATCTGTGCCTGGATTCAGGATTTCAAATCATGTCATTCTCAACTCTGCTCATTCACACACTTCCTTTGCAGGCTCCTCATGGTGGCGAGATGGACAGCCATTCTCCAAGCCTCCATGCCAGTAGGTGTAAGTCTAAGCAAACATTTCTTTAAGTTTCATTGGCTCATGTGAGGCCATATGTTCATTTCTAAAATAATCAGATTATTCTGAAAAATGTCTAAGGCAATATAATCTCTTAACGTAGATAGAATGACCACATGGACACATCTAGAGCTTTGGAGTGGAGTCAACTCTACGTGAAGCTCATGGTTAAGGACTAAGAAGTGGATTACTCCTCTGGGGTAGATCAGAGTGCTGTTACAAGTAGAAAAGTGAATGAAAGCTTGGCAATAATAATAATGGACTTCTGCTATACCACGCAGGTTACTAAGCCTCAGAAGTGTTCTTGCAATGGTGACAACTGCCAAATAGCCCCTGTATCTCTATGATGCCTGGGTCAACCAAAGAGAAATAGGGGCAAGAGACAATGGGATACAGAGGACTGTATAACTGACATATTCTAAATTCTTTACAAACCAAAACCCATCTACCTACTTCTCTTATTTTTTGCCAAGTACACCACACATCCACTCTTCCAACGCCATCAAGAGTAACAACCAACCCAGGGTTTGGACTGAAACACAAAGGGAATGTCTCCAACACCAGCATTTTGCCATTCCATTTATATACACCTCTGAGAAGCAATAAAGAGACACAAAAATGAAAAGAGAAGAGGAAAAGAAAGGTGACAGTATAAAAAGGGAAGGAGGAAGAAAAGATACAAGGAGAATAATCTGTAAAGGTAAAGAAAAAGTGAAAAAGGCCCCACATGGTGGTTCATGCCTGTAATCCCAGCACTTTGGGAGGCCAAGGCAGGCAGATCACTTGATGTCATGAGTTCGAGACCAGCCTGGTCAACATGGTGAAATTCTGTCTCTACTAAAAATACAAAAATTAGCCAGGTGTGTTGGTGTGCACCTGTAATCCCAGCTGCTCGGGAGGGTGATGCAGGAGAATCTCCTGAACCTGGGAGGCGGAGGTTGCAGTGAACCAAGATCACACCACTGCACTCCAGCCTGGGTGAGAGAGTGAGACTCCATCTCAAAAAAAAAAAAAAAAAAAGAGAGAGCAAGAGAAAGAGAAAGAAAAGGTGAAAAATATCTCTGAGGGGTGAAAGTGTGAACAGTTTTCTTTTTCTATTTATTTTGCTTATCTAATTTTTCTATAATAAACATGTATTATTTACACTAAATGTGTTTCTAATAAATAAAAGAATTTCTTCCAATTATATCCTTCTATGGCCAGAGTATATATATCATTTTCATATATGATGTTGGAGTTTTAACAAGGAGGATAATAAATAACAATAAATAAAATATCTCTTTATTTTCCCCACCAAAATTCACATCCATTTCAGAGATAAATGCAGGAGTGAAGCCAAGAAAGATTAAAATATTAGCTTTATTACCTATTGATATGGTTAGGGTTTGTGTCCCCACCCAAATCTCAAATTGTAATCCCCATGTGTCAAGAGAAGAAAGTGATTGAATCATGAGGGTGGTTTCCCCTTTGCTTTTCCCATGACAGTGAGTTATCATGAGATCTGATGGTTTGGTTTGGTTTGGTTTGGTTTGGTTTGGTTTGGTTTGGTTTGGTTTTGAAACAGGGTCTCACTCTGTCACCAAGGCTGGGGTGCAGTGGTGTGATCTCAGCTCACTACAAGCTCTGCCTCCTAGGTTCAAGTGATTCTCCTGCCTCAGCCTCCCAAGTAGCTGAAATTACAGGCATGCACCACCACATCTGGCTAGTTTTTGTACTTTTAGTAGAGATGGGGTTTCACCATTTTGGCCAGGCTAGTCTCAAACTCCTGACCTCAAGTGATCTACCCACCTCAGCCTCCCAAAGTGCTGGGATTACAGGTGTGAGCCACCAAGCCCAGCTGATCTGATGGTTTTATGTGTCTGGCACTTCTCCTGCTGGCACTTCTCTTTCCTGCTGCCATGTGAAGAAGGTTCTTACTACCCCTTTGCCTTCCACCATGATTGTAAGTTTCCTGAGGCCTCCCCAGCCATGTGGAACTGCGAGTCGATTAAACTTCTTTCCTTTCTAAATTGTGTAATCTCAGGTATTTCTTCAGAGCAGTGTGAAAACAGACTAATACACCGATAAATCTGATGTTGGATAAATAAAATGCTATTTTCAAGACAATTAGGCTCACTGATATTTCAGCCTCTCATTTAGACAGACTTGCCCAATCATAGCTACTGGTAATTCTGGACGATACTGGGCCTTCTCCTTTGGAGGCCTGCTCCTATTATATGGCAGAAAGGAGAAGCACAGAAGGAATGCTCCTGCTGGCAGAGTTCCTCCCAAAGACCAAAAAGAAAGAAAAGTGTTTAGCCATGCATGCTTAGATACTTCTCCTAAACTCGCCAATCAAACTACTCAATTTCCTGGGAAAGCATGAAAGAGGGAGTGAGGAAGAGGCCAAGTGCACTCTAATAGAGACCCCTCCACATGGAATCCACTGCCAGGGGACAGAATTCTCCCCCAATCTCCCCCGGCAGATGTTAGCGTCTATTGTAAGCCAGCCACCATATATTAACTCTTATCCCTATCACTGGAATTAAGATAAATAAAAAATGTTATTCAATATTTGGTTATCCACGACTATTCTCAATCACTGGAAGTCAATAAGAATCCTTTTTTCTAAATCAACCAACTAATTAGATCAGCGATCATAATGGAAAAACTTGCTTCAGGAGGAACTTGCAAGGACTATATTATGATAATGGTTTTATATTATTTACTATCTATAAGATTAAGAAGATGATGACATGAAAATAAATGTGACACTGACTTCTTTCTCTTTTAGAATTTCTCTCCCAGTCAGCCATCTTCTCAGGAGAAAGATAGTGTTTGCTATTGCACTTTTAGGTCTTCTTCTCCCTGGCCTGCCTCATAAATAATGATGAAATCTTAGCTACTTAGATTTCTGTTGCAGCCAGCTGCTTTTATTTATGAATAACTTGGGCAGCCAATCATTTCCTGCATGCTAGCACAATACTACTCTCAAAGAGAAGGCATCAGGTTACTGGGAAAACCTGGGACAGGATGTTACACACTGTACCTGCCACCCCACCACCATCTCAGAGCAAAGATTTATTCAGCCCACTGGAATTGGCATATATTTTATTGCTGCCATCATAAAGAAACATGGCAGTCTGCTCCTTCTGGTCTATTGCTGTTTGAAACTTTCCTATTTTCATGCTTCCTTCATGCTGTTTCAAAGAAACACTGTAAAGATTTTACAAAGGTTATCAATTACATCATCACCTAGAACATCAGATAGCATCCTCACCAGTTAAGACCCATTGAGTGATGAAAAGTACAGACTGAAAAACTGTCAGGAATAGTTTGTGTCTAAGCAATGAAATCTTGTTAAATAAAATTCAAAATAGAGGGCAAAACAATCAAAGTGTCTCAAATGTTCATCTCATTCTTACAGATGAATTAATAAAGAAGGAACTTATTACTTGATTGGCAGTCAAAAGAAAACCTGGTTTTTCTACAGAATATATTCTAAACTTAAACTATTTTTAATGTAACATGTCTGGGTGGATCCAGCCCTTAATTGTAATTTTTAAAGGAATATAACATAATTATGTTGCTAGGATTTTTATTTTTCATTTCTGCCTTCTCTTTTCTTCTCATTATCATGGTCCATGAAGATAGAGGCTTGGCTTTTGACTTCCTAAAAGCTACTAATATTACCCTGCATTATGGAATCTTGATGCAGTGATATGGTTTAAGAGAAAACAAGAATGCTTCTGGGCAGCAAGACCTGACTGGGCTGACATTGGAATATGTGATTTCCTCTGCAAGATCTCAAAAAACCTATGACAGTTTGCAATTGTTTTCATTGCTCAGGTTAAGGGAGAAAGAAAGTATTTGTTGAATATTTATTACGTATTAGGTATTTACATAAATTAGACATTTTGTCAGGCAACAAATGTTCATTGAGGATTTACTGTGTGCCCGACACTGTACTAGGTGATGTAGTGATGGTACCTCCCAATGTTTTTGCTAGTTGTCCATCACAGTCGATTGTGAATTTTGTAAGTCTTTGCTCAGAAAGCTTGTGTTAGTTTGCTAGGGCTGCTATAACAGAGTATAGCAAACTGGGTGGCTTAAACAAAAGAAATGTATTCCCTCACAATTCTGAAGGGGAGGAGTCTGAGATCAAGGTGTTGGCCAGGTGGATTCCTTCAGAGGGCTGCGAGGGCTATCACATGCCTCTCTCCCAGCTTCTGGTTGTTCGCATTGGCATCATCATCCAGATCTCTGCCTTCATGTTCATATGGTGTTCTCCCTGTGTGCATGTCTGTGTCCAAATTTTCTCTTTTTATAAGTATACCAGTCATATTGATTAGTACCCACCCTAATGACCTCATCTTAACTAGATTACCTCTTTCAGTCTATGGCACTGGGGGTTAGGACATCAATATATCTTTTATTAGGGGACACAATCCAACCCATAACAAGCCTCCAGAACAGAGGTACTCACATCAGAGGTTTTCCACTATGACGTGAATACAACATTCACATGAACATACTCCTATGGGATATTTTCACAAAGCTCATTTCCACTCACTTGAACTCTATCTTTGTCCTCTCATTTATGAAAAAAAAATTTGCAGGAGTAGTTTTTTAAACACAGTAAAACTACATTTTACAAGCATTATAATAATGAGGACAGCCTCAACCAGTAAAGGCTGTGGTGCTGATGCTATGAGCTTCAGTTTATAAGTAACTCTCAGAATTAGCAGTAACTTCTTTCCTCTGTATCAGATCTCAGAACCAATCCATGCATTAATCATATTAGCTCCACCTTCAAAATATATCCAGAATCTATCCATGTCTCATCCCCTCCTCTGCTACCCACTTGTCCAGCTATCACTATCTGTTTCATGCACTCTTACAACAGCTTCCTAACTGGCCATGCTTTTGTCATTGTCCTCCCATTGTCCCCTAACTTATTTTAAATGTAACACACAATTCTTTTACAGAATAAGTCAAGTCATAACACTCCTCTACTAAATACCTTCCCAAAGCTCCCCATCTTATTGAGAATGAAATTAAAGTCCATACAGAAACCAAGACATTACATAAGCTGGTCCATTACCACTCTTCCTTTAGCTTCTACAGTTCTCTCTCTTGCTTACCGTAATCCAGCCATTCTTTAAACATGCTGGGCTCTTAATAAATGTCTGCTGAATGAATGAATCCAAATGGCAGAACATAATTCTAGTGACTTGAAAAAGCATTTTTATACTAATTACACATAAATGTACTCTGATGTTTTTTAAAAACTTAATTCTTTGAAAACATTAAGATTTCAGCTTAATTCCCCAGGTTCAAATTTCAGTTCTACCACCTATATCTGTATGGTGCTGGACACGTTATCTACTCTCTTTGTGCCTCAGGTAAACCAAAATAAAATTCTAAGCCCTGCAACTGTCAGAATGGGCACTTCCTCTTGGCCAAGGGCATTCCAAAGTTAACCTGAAAAATGAGTTCAGGCTAGGACAGGAAGTGGGGGGCCAAACATGCCTCATTATATCTGCCTCCCTTTGGAATTCAGGCACAACTGACCAGCATTAACATTAAAACAGAGACCTTAAGACTTTTTGCAGCACTAAGATACCACATTCCAGACTGATTCTTATCCAGCATCACATGACAGATAGCAGGCAATGAAAGAAATTAAAGTATTTTACCCTAATATATATTTCTTTGACATATTTTCAAATGGTCCTGAAAAGCTATCTCTTCCTGGGAAAATCTACCTTCTGTAGAGAATCCCCCTCCCTTTCCAGACTTTTCCTTGATCCAGGAGAGAATTAACTAAGAGTCTGGCACCTTTTTAAGTCTGATAAGAAATATTTACAATCTATTTTTTTGGCCAGGTGCGGTGGTTCACGCCTCTAATCCCAACACTTTGGGAGGCTGAGGCAGGTGGATCACAAGATCAGGAGATCGAGACCACCCTGGCTAACACGGTGAAACCCTGTCTCAACTAAAAATACAACAAATTAGCCACGCTTGGTGGCAGATGTCTGTAGTCCCAGCTACTCTGGGAGTCTGAGGCAGGAGAATGGCGTGAACCCAGGAGGCGGAGCTTGCTGTGAGCCGAGATTACACCACTGCACTCCAGCCTGGGCAACAGAGTGAGACTCCGTCTCAAAAAAAAAAAAGAAAGAAAAAAGAAAAAAAAGAAGCATTTACAATCTATTTTTTTAAGCATGCTACCTGGAGACTTTATCTGTATAATAAGAACCTTGGTCTCCACAATGCCTTGTCTTAACCCACACACTCTCTTCTATGGATTCCAGATCTTTAGATAAATTGGTTGAAAAAACCAATTGCCAATCAGAAAATTTTGGCTTCTCCAGTGACCTGGACACCCCCACTACTAGTTGTCCTGTCTTTCCAGACTGAACATCTTACATATATTGATTGATGTCTTATGTCTCCATAAAATGTATAAATCTAACCTGTACTCTGATGACCTTGGGTGTATGTTCCCAGGATCTCCTGGGGCTGTGTCACTGGCAATTGGTCATTCATAACTTCCTCAGAATAAATCCCTTAAAATATTTCACAGAGTTCTATTCTTTTTGTTGATATCTCATATAATCCTAACTCATAGGATTTTTTAAGGATTACCTAAATTAATACATATAAAGCACTTAATGTACAGCATCTGTGTGCTATATAAATGTTAACTATCATTATCATAATTATTTTAGTTATGAGAAGATGACATTTTTAATTGATACAAACATCAAATAATTTTATTTTTCCCAATAACTGCTACTGACTGTACTCCATCAAAGCCTTTGGCACCCTGATTAACATTTCCACAGCTAAATAAATTATGTCTCTCCCAGTTTCATATGTAGGGAAGGATGCAGTCCATCCCTGTACCTGCCTCCTTTATAAGGTGTATACACATTAGTGCTGGGCGGAAAGTAGAACTTATCTCCAGTGTAATTGCTCTGAGTGAGGTATTCCCATTCGGTCTGGTTCTTCGTCTTCACTGAGGCTGTCTGGAAGTTAGTTCCTCTCTTAGCAGAGTTTCAAACTCTTGTGGGGTATACTTTGTGATTACTCTTCTGGCATGAGAGACCCATCTGGCTCAAATTCTCACCCCACCACCAGCCCTCTCCTGGATAGTCCAACCCATAACCTTTTATTGCTCAAGTATACATAGCCCAACAAGCTACCCTCCCTTAGGCAATAGGATATAGAGGGAGTAGCAGGCTACCTTCTGAGGTCTCTACTTAACCCAAGGAAAGTTCACATATTCTTTCATACCAAATAATGAGAATAGGGGCTGCCTTCTCCTGACCCTTTTCCCCCTCATATACACATAACTTTTTGTATCTTTATGCAATCTCTCCACCACCGTCTTCTACATTCTAGCAACCTCAGTACTCTACTAGTCTAGGCTTCTAGCAACATTCAGACAGAATATAATAACTAGTCCCCAAATAATTGGAAGAGAATGTTTCAGCACCCTCAATCTTTTTCTTTTCTTTTTTTTTTTACTTTAAGTTCTGGGATACATGTGCAGAACGTGCAGGTTTCTTATATAGGTATACATGTGCTATGGTGGTTTGCTGCACCTATCAACCCGTCATCTACCTTTTAAGCCCCACATGCATCAGGTATTTGTCCTAATGCTCCCCCTCCCCTTTCCTCTGCCCGCACAACAGGCCCCCATGTGCGATGTTCCCCACCCTTGTGTCCATGTGTTCTCATTGTTCAACTCCCAATTATGAGTGAGAACATGCCATGTTTGGTTTTCTGTTCCTGTGTTAGCTTGCTGAGGATGATGATTTCCAGCTTCATCCATGTCCCTGCAAAGGACATGAACTCATTCCCTTTTATGGCTGCATAGTATTCCATGATGTATATGTGCCACATTTTCTTTATCCAGTCTATCACTGATGGGCATTTTGGTTGGTTCCAAGACTTTGCTACTGTGAATAGTGCTGCAATAAACATACGTAGCATCTTCAATCTTTTAGAAGGGGAGTGGAGGAACCCACACCAAATTTTTGCCTCCAAGAAAAGAGGAGAGGGTAGATATGATTACCATTTTATAAACTCTGCATTCTGTGTGGGCAGAAAAAGGGGTCACCAGAGATGTCTTTTCTCCCTGGAAACAATGGATATGTTATGTTACATGGCAAGGGGGAAATAAGGTTGCAGATGGAATTAATGTTATTAATCAGCTGACCTTAAAATACGAAGATTCTCATGGATTATCTGAGTGGACCCAATGCAATCACAGGATCCTAAACAGTGGAACAGGGAGGCAGAAAAGAGAGAAATAGAAAGATTGCTGCTCTTGGGAAGAACTCAACCCAACTTCGTTAGCTATGAAGATGTAGGAAAAGAGCCATGAATCAAGAAATGCAGGCAGTGCAGTCTCTAGAAGTCTGAAAAAGCAAGGAAATAGACTCTTCCCTAGAGACTCCAGAAATTAATGCAACTCTGCTGATACATGATTTTAGTTCAGCGAGATCCATGTGAGACTTCTGACCTCCATAATCGTAAGATAATATTTACGAAATTTGTCTTGTTATAAGCCACAAAGTTTGTAATAATTTCTTACAGCAGCAATAGAAAACTAATACACCCTCCAAACGTAACCCTCTATCTACCCTGCTGCCCCACTCTGAGGTGATGGCACTGGTGCTAGTGAAATTAGTCATCTTGTCAGCATGAAGAGAAGGTGGCTGTCCTCACCAAAAGGCAGTTTTATAAGCTTATGTTTTGGGGTCCTTACCGACTTTTGTTTTCAACTGAGAGCCTTGTCCATCCATTACAGCACTCTTCACCTAGTGCCATCATGCTATACATTCATCCCTTGGTATCTGTTGGGGAGAGGTTCCAGGACCCCTGAGGATGTCAAAATCTGTGGATGCTCAAGTCCCTTATATAAAATGCTGTCACATTCGCATATAACCTGTGTATATCCTCCTGTATACTATAAATCATCTCTAGATCACTTATAACACATAATACAATGTAAATGCTATGTAAGTAGCTGTCATACTGTATTGTTTAGGAAAAATCACAAGGAAAAAGATGTGTACATGTTCAGCATAGGTGTAACCATGTATTTTTTCAAATATTTTCAATCCACAATTGGTTGAATCCATGAAAGTGGAACCCATGGACACAAAGGATTGACTATACTCACAATGAATTATGATACATGTCATGCTTAATGACTGAGACCTTTGAGTGATAGGAAATGTTATGGGACCCTGTTGTAGTGATGCTCTGAATCATCCCTTGAACTCTTTTCTGCTGCTGACTCATTAGGCCTGGCTCAGGGCAAACGCTTCTTCTATAATTCCAGAATCGGGGTTTGTCTGCCTCAAAAACCCATGTCTTGAACCCCTACACTTTATTTACTACCTGCTGATACTCAGGTCAATAAAGTCAAATGATACAAATCTTTTCTCATTAACCTGACATCTACAGGAAGATGCCTGAGGGACTCAATGCTCTAACCTGCTGGAGACAGCTAATTTATCTAAAATTGATTGAATAAAGGAGCTATGATTCATGCATTTGATGAATTGCTCTTAGATTATGTGCAGGACACCGTGCCTAGCTTTCTGAATACTGTCATTTCTCCATGCTGTCCATCCACTGATTCTTCAAAAATAAACACAAGATAGATAGCAGAAATTAGAATGTAAAGGGACCTTTCTATAGTTTCCTCTTTCAAGACTTAAAGTTTATGACCTCTACAGTCCTAGCATTGCTTCACACAACAGACAGAGGGATTTTTAAAATAAATACCTAATCACATCTTGCCCATGTTCTCTTCACTATTCTCCAATCTTACAACCAAGAAAAATATATTGAAAATAATCTATAAAAGTAGCCCTTCATTATTGGTCCCTGACTATAACTGTTGCTACCTCAAGGGAGCATGAGGAAGATTACATTAGACCTTGCATATATTGCGTCTGGAACAGAGACTGCCGGCAGTAATTAGTCACCCTTTTGACCTCTCCAGCCCACCTTGCATCACTCCTTTTCTTGCTCTCAAAGCTCCAGCTGTCCTGGCATTCTCTCTACTCCTTCTATGCTCCACAGACCTTCTTATGTTGGGAACACTCTTCTCCATCCTCCCAACCACGTTTTACCTAAATTATTCCTGCCCATCTTGAAAATCTCCTTCTAGACATCACTTCTTCAGGGAAGCCTACTTCTCTAGCTCTGAAGAATAGATCAGGTTGCCTATTTATGTGCTGTCATGGGCCTTTTTGTAACTATAACAGCTTTATTAGTATATAATTCATGTACTATTTAATTCAACCATTTAAAGTGTGCAAGTCAATATTTTTTGGTACATTCACAGAAATTTGCAATCATCACTATGTTAAACTTTAAAACAGTTTCATCACCCCAAAAAGAAACCCCATATTAGCAGTCACTCCCCATTCCCACCAACCACTCTAGTCCCTGCTAACCACTAATCTGTCTTCTGTCTCTATGGGCTTGCCTGTTCTGGACAGTTTATATTAATGGACTCATACAACATGCGGTCTTTTGTGTCTGGCTTCCTTTGCTTACCACGTTTTCAAGGCTCATCCATGTTGCAGCATGTATCAGTACTTTGCTCTTCTTTATAGCTGAATAATATGTTATTGTACAGACATACCATATTTTATTTATCCACTCCTTACTTGATGGATGAGAGGGAAAATAATATGGCAGAATAGAACTCTCCAGGGATTGCCTCCTACAGAAACATCAACTTGAACAATATCTACATGCAAAAAATCTTTCACAGGAGCTAAGAAAATAAGGTGAGAGATCACACTACATGGTTATAGCACAATAGTAAAAAAAAAAAAAAGATGCAGTTTGTTAAATTGTACAAAAATAGATAGAAGGAATAAGTTCAAACAGTAGTAGTATAGTAGGATAATTCTAGTTAACAGCAATTTATTATATATTTCAAAATAGCTGGAAGAATTGTAATGTTCTCACTACAAATAAAATAGTAATGTTTGAGTTGATAGATATCCCAATTAACTTGATTTGATCATTATGTATTGTAAAAGGGTATCAAAATATTACATGTACCCCTAAAACATGTAAAATTATATCCATGCCAGTCTCAGAGGCCATAAAATTCTGTCCAGCATTATGCTTGTTGCAGCGTTCCTGAATTTAAGGCACTTCCCAGCACCACAACAGACACAGTGGTTCCAGGCTTAGGGACCCTGCCAGCCAGCCTTCACAGAATCTCTAGACAGGTTTCCTGTTACAGAGCATCTCAGACAAAACTAGCTTGCAAAGACTGGAATAAATACCTACTTCTTTAAGTGCACATACATCAGTGCATAGCCAGAGTATCAAAAGCAATCAAAGAAACATGACAGCATCAAACAGACAAAATAAAGTACCAGTTATCAGCCCTAAAGAAATGGAGATGCATGAACTACCTAGCAAATAATTCAAAACAACTGTTTTAAGTAAGCTCAGCAAACTGCAATAAAATACACAGAAACAATTCAATGAAATGAAGAAAACAATAAATGATCAGAACAAGAAATTTAACAGAGAGATTAAAGTTTAGAAAATCAAACAGAAATTCCAGAGCTGAAAAATACAATGAAGAAAATAAAAAATGCAACAGAGAAAATCAATAGTAAAATAGGTCTGGCAGAAGAAAAAAATCTGTGAACTTAGACAGTTTACTTGAAAATACAGTCAGAAGAAAAAGAAAAAGAATGAAAAGGAATGAAAAAATCTTACAGGATTTATAGGACAGCATCAAAAAAGGAATTTTTCAAGTCTTAGAAGTTCAAGAAGGAGAAGAGAAAAATAAAAGGTCTCCAATAGATTCTATCCAAATAAAACTACACCAAGATTTATTATCATCATTTGATGAATATTTGGGTTCTTTTTAATGGAACTTTGAATTTAACAGTGGGTAACTATATGTGATGTGATTATTTCTTTAACATCTGTCTTCCACACTAACAGGCCTCTTAAAGGCAAGTATCATATGTACTTTTTGCTTATCATTATATCCCCATCATCAACAAATATTAGCTGAATAAAAAATAAACAAATGCATAAATGAATAAGTTAACTATAGGACATTGAAACAAATGGAACTAATCAATGACGAATGACATTTCTTCTCAGTGTAGGGATCCTCCTCTCAATCCATCCAGAAAATTTTTCTTACTAATTTCCCCAACATTCTGCAGTTTCAACTTTTGGCATAATACATGCCAGTTGCTACATCAGCTTAGCTGATATCTGGACAATTTGACCTTACTACCACTAGAAACTTCATCCAAGGAGAACAAAATCCCGAGGAAGATATCTCCCATCTTGCCACATGCTGAAAGCAAGCATTTCTAGCCCATCTTTATTGACCATGAGTACCTGTGAGGAAACAGGCAAAAGCAACCACCCATTCTACCTCCTACAAAACACATGTGCTCCCCAACATACCAACTTTCACTTAGAAAATGTGTGAAGCTTTTAAAATAACTTAGTAGAGCTGCAAGTGGTGGGAGTGCAAAGAAAGTATGATTTGAGTCCCAGGCTGCCAGCATTTCAGGCATGCTCAGATATGTCTAGCTCCCTTTTTTTTCCCCTGGGTCAAAGGTAAATATGGCCATTTTTGGAGAACCATCACAGTCTGTTGTACTGAAAAATGTGTGAAGAGCAAAACCATTGCCAGCAGAAAAGAAGTAGTCTGTCCTGGGCAGTCCCTGCTGGAGAAAGCATTTTGGGTGACTGAGAATGTCCTGCTGTTAAATACAGATATAGTTTTATGATGGTAATCTTTCACTATACTTTTTATTGCTGACGTTCTAATGCTTCATACTAATAGATCACAGTACAACACAGTGTAATGCAGACTGGGAATTAGTCTTAGTGGTACCTATTTATTTGTGAGTGCTTACTGTATGATGCACAATACTATGCACTGAATACACATCAGTTTGCTGGATTCTCACAATGGTGCCATTAAGTAGATTTTATAATTAACCCAATTTTATAAATGAGTAAACAGAGTTAGAAGGGTCATTATGAACTTTGAACAGTTTATAGTTGGTAGTGGTAGAGCTGGGACTTGATCAATGAATAAGATCTGTATTCTTAGTCACCATGCTAAAAATGTATCAGTCAGATCACTGGGTTCTAGCTCTGTCCTGATACTCATCAGTTGTATGGGCCATGAGTGATGCATTTAATAACTCTGTGCCTCTACTTGTTCACTTGTAAAATAGGAGAATACTCTGAATACCCTGTTTAGTCTTACAGGGGTCTGAAGATCAGGCTGACATAAAATACACTTGGGAACATTATGAAGAGTGTGAAAACACTATAGAAACCCAAGGAAATGTATATAACATGATTATTATGCATAAAATCTTCACTAATTGATAATTTAGAAACTTCCCAGAGGAAAACATCAACATTCATACATATAATTCTTGTAAATTATTAGCCTGGATGGGGAGAGTTTGCTGTTAACATTTTGGTAAGAAAGAGCTAGTATTCGCAGATGCTATATGGTTCTGGTTATGTCATCTTAGCTAATCTTTATCATTTAATTCATCAGTTTTATTGCCCTTGGGCAGAGCAATAATTGTGTAATTGTATTTTCTGGCCCATTGAAGTTTAAGGATACTGTAAAGCCATGACAAGAGGAGTCAAGTTTCAGGTTTATTGAATACATAATTTAACTATGTGGCCTGCATCCATTAAAAATCAGAAAAAGCAAATAGAGTTGTCTGTAGACACTGGCTGGAGTGAATCATTGAGTCACCTGCATATCATTTTTTGATGCTAAATAAATACAAAAAAGACTTTTAAAGTTCTCATATGTATGCATTTTGGATCGAGGCTGAGCCCCCCTTTGTCTGAGGAGGGGTGTTGGCAAGTTTTGTGATACTTGACACTTTTTAAGTTATTGGGTCTTATCCAATAGAAAGGAAATGAACACATATTCACATTTTAGTAGCATGTCATCTCTCTTATACTATCTCCCATTGGCTCCCCCAGTGTTTAAGGGCACAACCTTGCCAGGTTCATCTTTAATCCTATATTTCAACTAGAAGACAGCTCTGTATACAACGAGTATTTGGTAAATCATTAATACTTAGCCAAGATGAATGAATAACTTTCCAAATAAGACCAAATAACTTTCCAAATAAGATTCTATTCCTCTATAGAATTCAATCTATTGACCATTCCAGAAATATTTTATGTTAGGCTGAGAGTCAATTTATGATTTTGGCAAGCCTTCAGACCAACACTGTAACAATCCAAGAATCTGTTACAGTAACTTGTGTTGCCTTAACTAATATAGGTGGCAAGGCCATACATTCTTGGATAATGTCACAATGGGCTATAGATAACCAAAAGCAATCAGGGAACAAGAAAACCAAGTTATAAAATGTTGTCAGAAGGAGAGTTATATGGTAAACAGAAGCCACCCCCTAATATTGAGGTTAATATTCAACTGGTTTATTTAATAGCAGGAGAGAAACTCACTTCAGTGTTCATGGATGTCAATTTGAGATTCTGAGATATTCAGTCACTCTGACTTGATGAATATCCCCAATTCTGGATCATGATTTTTCTATACCATTCCCTAACATGTGGCTCAGAGGCCTAAGCTAAGTTTCTTAGGCCACACACTGTCCACTGACTACCCTTTGTCTAGTGCTGAGTTGAGTAGAGCCATAACACACTCCCATCTCTCCTCAAGAGAATGCATTTGTAAGACTGTTAATTCTGTAACCAAGGGGCAGAGTTGAAAACAGCTAAGCCTTATGTGAACCAAGCCTTCAATCTTATTTTTGTCCTGCTCTTCTGAATTAGCCAGGCCCCCGTGTTCATGAATATCCTGAGAACCCAGGTGCCATCCTAAACATGGAGTGTTCTGCAATTGCAGAGGAAAGGTAATGCAGGCAAACAATCCAGGATATCCACCCGAAGATAAATAATGTTGAACTTGAATTACTGGAGCTAGCTATTAGCATTACCGTATTTCTCCTACCACCAGTTGAAATTTGCTTAGCAAGATGCCTGCTTGAAACCTTTCAATGACTTTCCATTGAGCTTAGAATAAAATCTCAATATTCTGAGTACGAATTACAAAGCCTTCTATAATCTGCATCCCACCTACCTCACCTACTTTGTATCTTGTCTTTCCCTTTCTCCTTTTATTCCCTTCCTACCATTTACCTCCACCAAGAGGAAAACACCAGACTTTTGTCTCTGTTGGCCTTAAAATAGCTCTTGCCTCTTCCTAGTACAGAAGCCCCAATTCTCTCTTGCTTGGCCAACTCCCATTCAGGTTTCAGTCTGTATTTAGATATCCCTTCCTGAGACTGGCATTCCCAAACCATCTTCTACTCCCCACAAAGTGCTGTCATAACAGCCTGTCCTCTGCCTTTCATAGAAGCCATGTGTTGTCAATATCATCACACATTTGTTCAGGCCACACCATAAGCCTAAAGTGGTTTTTATGTCTTCTCCTCTGCTTTCCTACTGTCTGGCACAATGTCTGGTATTGCGCAGACATGCAAGGATATATGTGGGAGGTTTGCGTCTTCATTCTTGGGACAGTTGAGATTTGCATTAATGCAGTAAGACAAGTCTCTTGCAGGTTTTTAATCTCCCCACATCCATTCTGTGACTCCTTTTTTGCACAACTGGATACTTGGTGCCTGCCAGGTCATATCCTTTCCTATTTCTGAGTTGATGCATTGTTAGGAGTTAAAATCTTTAATTCCATCCATGTGAACATTTAGGGTGAAAGTGCTTAGTCAAAAGGTGTATTAATTATTTGGCCTGCATGGTACATGGCACCTAACCAGACGTTGAAGCCTGAGGTCACTTGGGAATGAGCCTCTTGCGATTTTACATTAGCCTAAGAGCTTTCAGGAAACCTGAGTGCATCACCTGTGTACTGCACAAGATAAATTGAGGACCAGTCATGCACCACATAGTGAGGGAAAACATCCTTATTCTAGTCATTATTTCAAACAGTAAATGCTGTTTCTCAGCAAGGCATGAGTGTCCTAGTGTTACCAGTTATCTTTTTTTGTTCCAAATCAACTGATTCAAATTAGCCATATTCAGTGCAACTTAAAAGAAATCACAGAAAATAATCCTGTACATGAGTATTGCTCAACCACAGGGACAGTCCTAATTTTGTGTTATAATGAGTTGTGAGTGGTGCTACAGATAACTTTCTATTCATATTATTGTGGTTAAGAACACAGTCTCTGGGGTCACAAAATCTTGGTCCAGATCCCCACTCTATCACCTACTGTCAAGGAAGGACTTATACAAGTCCCTTCTTGTCTGTATTAGTCCGTTTTCACACTGCTATAAAGAACCAGCTGAGACTGGATAATTTATAAAGAAAAGAGGTTTATTGACTCACAGTTCTGCAGGGCTAAGGGAAGGCCCCAGTAAATTTATAATCATGGCAGACGGTAAAGGAAAAGCAAGGCACATCTTACACAGCGGCAGGAGAGACAGAGAGCAAACAGGGAAGTTCCACACATCTTCAAACAACCAGATCTCATGAGAATTTACTCACTATCACAAGAACAGCAAGGGGGAAGTCGGCCCCCATGATTCAATCACCTCCTACCAGACCCCTCCCCCAACACATGGGGATTACAAGCCAAGATGAGATTTGGGTGGGGACACAGAGCCAAATCAAAGCACTGTCTCAGAGTCTGTTTCCTCACCTATAAAATGGTGATACAATCAGAAATAATGAGGATATCACCACTGATCCCACAGAAATACAAACAACCATCAGAGAATACTATAAACACCTCTATGCACAGAAACTAGCAAATACAGAAGAAATGGATAAATTACCAGACACACACACTCTCCCAAGACTGAACCAGGAAGAAAATGAATCCCTGAATAGACCAATAACAAGTTCTGAAATTAAAGCAGTAATAAATAGCTTACTAACCAAAAAAACCCCAGGACCAGACAGATTTATAGCTGAATTCTACCAGAGATACAAAGAAGAGCTGGTACCATTTCTACTGAAACTATACCAAAAAGTTTAAAGGAGGGACTCCTCCCTATTTTATGAGGCCAGCTTAATCCTGATACCAGCACCTAGCAGAGATGCAATTTATAAAAGAAAACTTCACACCAATATCCCTAATGAGCATCGACGCAAAAATTCTCAATAAAATACTGGTAAACAAAATCCAGCAGCACATCAAAAAGCTTATCCACCATGATCAAGTTGGCTTCATCCCTGGGATGCAAGGTTGCTTCAACATATATAAACCAATAAATGTGATTCATCACAAAAACAGAACTAAAGACAAAAACCACATGATTATCTCAATAGATGTAGAAAAGTCCTTTGATAAAATTTAACATCCCTTCATGTTAAAAGCTCTCAATAAACTAGGTATCAAAGGAACACACCTCAAAATAATAGGAGCCATATATAACAAACCCACAGCCAATATCCTACCGATGGGCAAAAACTTGGAGCATTCCCCTTGAAAACCAGCACAAGACAAGGATGCCCTCTCTCACCATTCCTATTCAACATAGTGTTGGAAGTTCTGGCCAGGGCAATTAGGCAAGAAAAAGAAATAAAGCATATTCAAATAGAAAGAGAGGACATCAAATTATCTTTGTTTGCAGATGACATGATTCTATATCTAGAAAACCCTATCATCTCAGCCCAAAAGCTTCTTAAGCAGATAAGCAGCTTAGGTAAAGTCTCAGGATACAAAATGAATGTGCAAAATCGCTAGCATTCCTATACACTAGCAACAGGCAAGCAGAGAGCCAAATTATGAATTAACTCCCATTCACGATTGCTACAAAAAGAGTAAGATACCTATGAATACAGCTAACAAGAGAAATGAAGGATCTCTTCAAGGAGAACACAAACCATTGCTCCAAGAAATCAGAAAGGACACAAACATATGGAAAAACATTCCATACTCATGGGTAAAAAGAATCAATATTGTGAAAATGGCCATACTGCTCAAAGTAATTTATAGATTCAATGCTATGCCCATTAAACTACCATTGCAGTCATCACGGAATTAGAAAATTCTATTTTAAAATTCATCTGGAACCAAAAAAGACCCTGAATAGCCAAGAAAATCCTAAGCAAAAAGAACAAAGCTGGAGGCATCACACTACCCAACTTCAAACTACACTGCAAGGCTACAGTAACCAAAACAGCATGGTGCTGGTACAAAAACAGACACATAGACCAACGGAACAGAATAGAGAGTTCAGAAATAAGACCACACACCTACAACCATCTGATCTTTGGCAAACCTGACAAAAACAAGCAATAGGGAAAGGATTCCCTATTTAATAAGTGATGCTAGGAGAACTGGCTAACCATATGCAGAAAATTGAAGCTGGACCCCTTTCTTACACCTTATACAAAAATTAACTCAAGACAGATTAAAGACTTACACATTAAACTCAAAACTAGAAAGACCCTAGAAGAAAATCTAGCTAATACCATTCAGGACCTAGGCACAGGTAAAAATTTCATGACAAAAACACAAAAATAAAGTGCAACAAAAGCAAAACTTGTCAAATGGGATCTAATTAAAGAGCTTCTGTACAGCAAAAGAAACTAGCATCAGAGTGAACAGACAACCTACAGCATAGGAGAAAATTTTTGCAATCCATCCATCTGACAAAGGTCTAATATCCAGAGTCTACATGGAATTTAAACAAATTTACAAGAAAAAAACAAACAACCCCACTAAAAAGTGGGCAAAGGACATGAACATATGCTTCTCAAAAGAAGACATTCACGCATTCAACAAACATGGAAAAAAGCTCAACATCACTGATCATTAGAGAAATGCAAATCAAAACTACAATGAGATACCATCTCCCACCAGTCAGAATGGTGATTATTAAAAAGTAATCATCACCAGCAGATGCTATCAAGTTTGCAGAGAAAAGGGAACACTTTTACACTGTTGGTGGAAGTGTGAATTAGTTCAACCGTGGTAGAAGACAGTGTGGAAACTCTTCAAAGATCTAGAGACAGAAATATCATTTGACTAAGCAATCCCATTACTGGATATATACCCAAAGTAATATAAATCATTCTATTATAAAGATACATGCATGTGTATGTTCACTGCAGCACTATTCACAATAGAAAAGACATGGAATCAACCCAAATATCTGTCAGTGATAGACTGGATAAAGAAAATGTGGTATATATACACAATGGGATACTATGCAGCCATAAAAAGGAATGTGATCAAGTCCTTTGCAGGGACATGAATGGAGGTGGAAGCCATTATCCTCAGCAAACTAACACAGGAAAAGAAAACCAAACACCACATGTTCTCACTTACAAGTGGGAGCTGAACAATGAGAACACATGGACACATGGTGGAGAACAACACACACTAGGGCCTGTCGTGGTGGGGTGGCGAAGAAGGGAGAGCTTCAGGAAGAATAGCTAATGGATGCTGGGCTTAATACCTAGGTGATGGGATGATCTGTACAGCAAACCATCATGGCACATGTTTACCTATGTAACAAATATGCACCTCCTGCACATGTACCCCTGAACTTAAAATTAAAAAGTTGAAGATTTTAAAAATGATAACAATAATTAATAGTTAATTTTATAGTGCTATGGTTAGAATTACATAAGGTAATCTATGTAATGATAAAGAGCCAGACACCTAGAAAAGTTGAGTATAATAATCGTCCATACCTCACAGGGTTATTTTGATACTTAAATGATAGTCATCTTAAAGTGCTTGGCCTAATGCCAAGCACATACTAAACAATAAACGAAGTCTACTATTAACTAAAAACAGGTTAACCAAGTCTGCAAAGGGACCTTTTTTTAATAGAGTGAGCAAAAGTAATGACTATAACAATGTCTCCCCTGCTTATTTGCATTCTAGTATACTTTCTTCAGTGGGACAGAATGGGGTGGGGTGTCAGCCTGGGGGCCAGAGATACCGAAAAGCCTTGGCACACCCATGAGAACAGAGTACACCACATGTGTGGACCCCTCCTCTTTGGTATCATCACAGATGAAAGACTGTGAGTCCATGAATCACTGCTGTAGATCATGCCATAAATCCGTGCTCTTGAAACCTAGAGAAATCCCTGGATCATCCAGAGATTTCGAGTCTATTGTTCCAGGCTCTTAATAACCCTTTCTTAGAACTGTGAAGCAAGTGAAAGAAAACTGAGAGTTGATCCACAAAAGCAGATTTCTTATAAGAAAAAGTCATATTGAAAAAATGCAGGGGACAGAAGGGCAGACAGAAGCCAAATTGACAGTGCTCACCCTGTGTCCTCCCCTTTCCTCCCACGAATTCCCCTGCCAGAAATGCCCTTTATTGCTGTACTTTGCATTTCCACACCCATTATCTCTACTTATATAAGTCCTAATTTCTGCATAAAACTTCTCCCATCAGTGCAGTTCACAATAACCTGTCCTTCCCTAACAACTCAATATTCATTAATAACATAAAGGCCAGGTGCAGTGGCTCACACATGTAATCCTAGCAATTTGGGAGGCTGAGGCAGGTGGATCGCCTGAGATCAGGAGTTCACAACCAGCCTGGGCAATACAGTGAGATCCCAACCCTAAAAAAGAAAAATTAATAACATTGCTTAAGTGCCCTTCTCAGTACCTAACACATAGTTTTATAACTGCTGCTAACTTATTAGCTGTCAGCTTGTTTTAATCACATACCAGCTCATTTTGTTATTTATTCCCTTATTCCCTCAATAAGAACATAAGCTCCTATGGGCATAGACTCATGCTTCTCTTCCACCCCACAGAAGTCCCCATATATCCGACATCTCTGAGCATGAGGTAGGTCAGACTCGCTAGATTTTAGAAAAGGAAAGTTTGAGATTATTAAATCCAACCTCCTAATAGTACTGATGAGAAATCTCAGGCCCAGAGAACTTACATAACTTGTTTGAGTTCAAATATATAGATGGTTATAAAGCCAGGATTATAACTATGACCTTTAGACCCATTATCCAGTGTTTCTCAACAATTCTTGTTATCCCTAATTCCAAGGAAAGGAAATATGACAAAGAAAGAGACAGGGGAGGAACTAAATATAAAATATACACACACGCACACACACAATTCAGTGAAACTAATTGGTTATTGTAAAGGCCAAATATGCCAAGAGTCTATCTGGCCTGCTATCAGACTAATGTTGTGAATGACTGCTGAATTATTACCCACAACTGGGTAATTGTGGCCAATGAAATGAAGATACAGCATCAAGCCAGGGAACATCTGGAAAACATATAGATCAAGCCTTATCACCATTCATTATCACCAATTCGTGGCTGGCTAAACTTGGCCACTCCCAGATGCCATGGAGTTGGGAAAAAAGTGTGAAAAAGTATCCTATTTGGTGTGTGATATTTCTGTAAAAACAGTCCTCGAGCTTGGAGAATGCAGAGACTTACGTTATCCTTTGTGGCAAAGCAGTTTACTTCTAGCCTTCGGGCCCGGGTGGCTGGGATGTTTTATACATCAGCAAGCATTAGAAAGATGCCGATGTCGAATTGACTTTCTCCTCTTCATGCATCTTCAGTTAACATCTGCTGACAGGGCATATACCCATGAAAACAGAGTCATAAAATTCAGCTCTAACTTTGCAGGAGATACTAAAATATATCTTTGGGGGCAATAGAGAACCTAGTCCTAATGATGTTTACATAGGAGCATAAATAGTAAAATTTGGCTTTTCTATCGCACTTTGAGAAAGCATAATACTTCATACTCAATTTTATTAGCTATTCCTTGTGGGCTTCCATTACATTATAATAAGGTACACCAAGCAAACTTTACAAACAGCCCAATCATGTCCTCCTTATTCAGCTGCAACCAAACTGTAAAATATCATTTCTATTTCCTTGATTCACTGGTATTTGACTCAGATTTTCCCTGGATGACTCAGCTACTCCCAGGCTGAAAACAAGCTTTGAAGATAACTTTTTTCAGGCCACTGGGGTACCTCTGAGTAACTTACTTTGAAGTATGATAGCAAATGAGTAAGAAGGAAAATTTCATTTCTGCCATTCTGGCAGCCACCACTTAGAAAGAGGGAGTAGAAATTTCTTAATTGATCATTTTTGCCTGCTTACTAGGATTTAGGTACAAGAAGCCTCATGCTGCCAGATGAAGCAAGAGGAAAATTCCATTTCCCTTCCAGCAGCCCCACTGATGTTTAATACTGTTTCATTCGTTTAGAACTACTCCCCTAACGAACATCACTGTCATCAACATCATCATTTCCATTTCTACCATTTATGGTATGCTCAGATATTCTAGGCACTATCTTATTTATGCTATAGTATATTTATCCTATACATAGATATTTTTCTTATGATACAAGTAAGGACACCAAAGCTTAGAGACTGGAAACCATCCAGACTGTTCACGTTGCCCTAATTCCTCCTGAGCAGCACATCTCCCTGCAGGCTCCTACTCAGCAAAGAACGCCATATGCCAAAAGCCCTACCTTTCCTTTCCCATAAAGAAAACTCCTATTCCCTCAAGTGTAATCAATCTGACTGCTTTTGTCCCAAATCGTACTTAAGTATGAATGAATGAATAGACCTGTAATCCACCCAGAGATTATTGTTCTTATATTCATACTCACATCTATATGTAGAAGACTATTGTCCCAAATTAATTTTTAACTCTTAGAATTTTAAGTAGTACAATAAGGTGGCATTAAGATAATTGAGAGAGGGTGCACATGTGTCAAAAATGAACTGACTTGGCAGGTCAGTCCTACCTCATGCTCTCCTGAAGCATTTACCCTTGCTCACAATTACACTCATGCCTTTGCCCAATCTGAGACGCCTGGATTCTCTCAAAAATAGTGATGATGATCCCTTCCCATCCTCCCTTGGAAGGCAGCACCAGCAGCAGCCAGGTTCAGAAAGGAAGTGAAGCCCTGCAATGACTGTTTAAAATCCACACACTGTGTTTTAGGGTATGCTTTTTATTGGTAAAAAAAAAAAAAATCGTCATTTTCTCCTGATTATAGGAGTGATATATGTTAGTAGTAAAGCATTCAGAAACTAGAGAAGATAAATAAGAAAATAAGTATCTATAATCTTACCTCTAGTTTATTACCACCTCAACTGTTTGTTGTATTTTCTTCCAGAAAGAGGGAGAAAGAGAAAGCTAGTGGCTGGCTATATAAATAAAATGTAGCAATTTTTTTGCACAAAATACCTACTGCACAAACAGTTTAAAATTCTCTGTGTGCCTAACCTTAATTTTCAATGGGTGCATAACTGTATTTTTGCATCATCCTTCCCTTACTGTTGAGCATTAGGTTATTACTCATGTTTTACTTTTATAAACCAGGCTCTGGTAAATGTCCTTGCATTCAAATCTTTATTCACATCTCTGATTACTCACGTTAGAAAGGCTCTTACATGTTCAATTACTCTACACAAGGTGAATTTTAATTTTAATACTTTTGATATACATTCCCAAAAAGTAAAGGTTAATGGTTAAAAGAGTGTAATTTACATGAAAACTATCTGAACATGTCCATACCACCACACTCTCGGTAGAATTGAATATCATCATTTTTTTTCTTTGCCATCATAACAGGCATAAGTCACATCACTTTCTTTGTTTTCAATAAACTATATTTTATTTCTAGTAAGGCTGAATTTTTTTTCATAAGTTCAGAAGGTTTTTGCATTTATTCTTATGTGAATTACCCATTTATGTCTTTTGTTATTTCATTAATTGTAGCCTCAGTGCTTTTCTGGCCTCATTGATTAGCTTTATATGCATTGCCACATTTATTGAAGACATTTTTCTAACTGTTTTCTTTTGTGATTTCTTATACTGATTTCATGTTTAGAAAATTCTTTCCTACACTAAACTCATATACATATTTTTCCATGTTTCCTTCTAGTATTTTATGGTTTGGGTTTTTATGTTAAGTTTGTAAATCCACTTGTAATTTATTTTGTTGTATGGTTTGATGTAAGAATATTATGTTTTTGCACAAACAACAAATGCATCCAACACCACTTTTTGAATAGCCCATCAGCTCCTCATTGGCTTGAGATGATGCATTCTTTAATATGCATGATATTCTTATATGTACTACATATGAATTATGTACTAGGATTACGAAGGGAGTATGAATTGCACTTACCAGACCTCCAAATTCCTACATATTCTCTGCTTATCTTTCCAACTTTACCTCCTTTCTCCCTACATTTAGAGCTCACTGGCTTTTTCTTATTCTTAAAAACTAAGCTATTTCTAGCCCCAGTGCTTTCACCAGAGTTTGTTCCTTCTTTCTGGTCTGGTCCTCCCCCAGATTATTGGATGGTTCCTTTGTCTCATTCTGGTGTCTGTTCTAAAATCCACTTCTGTGAGAGGTCTTTTCTGATCACCCAAATGAGAAATATCCCTTAGATACTCAAGTGTTCTCTGTTCTTTCATGAATTTTATTATCTTCATAGCATTTATTACAATCTAACATTTCCTTATTATTTATGTATGTGTTTGCTTATTTATTTATTTATTGTTTATCTCTCCCACTAATATGTAGGCTCAACAAGAGGAACCTTGGGACCTTGACTGTCTTGTTCAGCATTATAAATATTCTCTGAGCCTAGAACATGCCTGAAACATGGCAGATAACCAACAATCATCTACTACAATAATAAAGAATTTTAGGAATTTCATCAATATGTCAATTTATACTTGTATTAGTACCAGTCTTACTAAATTGTTACAAATCTAAAATGCATCTTAGTATTTGGGGGCAAATTCTCCTCATCCTATTTCTTTTCAAACTTACCTTTGTCTATTAGTCCAGATAATATCTAGAATCAGTTTGTCAGATTATCTGTCTCACATATACTCCATTTTATGTCCCATCCCGAGGAAAACTCTGGCCCCCAGAGTTTGCCTATGCCCCCCACTGACATTAATTAAAACCCATGAATACAGTAAGATAGAATGGACACTGTCTAGACTCATGGGAATATTGAATTGTTCAGTATTTTCATAAGACCACCTGATGCCCAAACTCAAGGAAACGCATGGATTCTTCAATCTGAAAAGATTAACTTGCTTCCTTACCAAATAAGAATTTAAGTTCCTTGGCTAGGCATGGTGGCTCATGCCTGTAATCCCAGCACTTCAGGAGGCTGAGGTAGGAGGATTGCTTGAGCCCAGGAGTTCAAGAACAGCCTTTGCAACATGGCGAGACCCTGTCTCTACAAAACATAAAAATATTAGCTGGGCATGGTAGCGCATGCCTGGGGTCCCAGCTACTCAAGAGACTGAGGTAGGAGGACTGCTTGAGCCCTGGAGGTTGGGACTACAGTGAGTCATGTTTATGCCACTGCACTCCAGCCTGAGTGATAGAGCGAGACTGTGTCTCAAAAAAAAAAAAAAAATTGAGACCCACATTGATTTGGCCATAACATCACATTGAGCACTGGCTTTATTTTTTAAGTATCTATTTCAAAATAATGGATGAAAATAATAAAGCAAAATTTTTAATATTTTTCTACTTTGGAGAATAGACCATTTCATAGTACAAAAGGAAGTGATAATTCAGCAATCTCTGGATGAAGTGGACTATGGAGAGTAACAATCTATGTAATTTTGAATGTTAGGATGAAGTTTGTATGTTCATGGCAGTGCCATGGCATTGATTTCAGGGCACTTTAGCTGACAAAAATGTTCAGGCTTCACTGATTACTCAAAAGCTCTTGAGAATTTTTTTCATAAAAAAGCACAAATATCCCACACTAAATCAAAGCTGCCATGATAGAAAAGCTGACCATCCCTGCTATGTGAGGGACCCTCCCAGGAAACCCATTCTTTACCACAGGAATTGGGCTGGAGCCACTGACTAACTTTGCTAATGCTCATATCAGCATTTGACTTGCATACTTAAAACCTTTCCCTGGATCTGATTTGATTCTGAAATAAAAATGAAACTTCCTCAGCTTGATGTTAATGGCCACTTGGTGATGAGTGCTGCTGTGCTATCGTCTAAACCTACTATGTCAGTCTCACTGCTTCATGTACATTCTTCACCTCTACCTCATCCTACATTCCATACACTATCCATGAATGTGCTGAGAGAGAGGAAAATTTCTATATACATTTAAGCTGGCTCAAGACTAGCTCATAACTTAAATGCAGCATGAGTTGTAACAGCAAATGAGCTGAAACAACCATCTTGCGCATCATTAGAAAACTTGTTAAATCAGCCAGGCACGGTGGCTCACGCCTGTAATCCCACCACTTTGGGAGGCTGAGGAGGGTGGATCACAAGGTCAGGAGTTTGAGACCAGCCTGGCCAATATGGCGAAACCCCGTTTCTACTAAAAATACAAAAATTAGCTGGGCGTGGTGGTGGTGCCTGTATTCTCTACTCGGGATGCTGAGGAAGGAGAATGACACTGAGGAAGGGATGCTGTAAGGCGGAGGCTGCAGTGAGCCAAGATCACGCCACTGCACTCCAGCCTGGGCAACAGAGCGAGACTCTGTCTCAAAAAAAAAATTGTATATATGTATATTTCTATATAAATATACACACACATACATACACACACACACACACACACATTGCTATGGAGTGATGACCACAGCAGAATAGAAAGTGCAAGTTGTAGACAAGTGTGCAAAATCTGCTACTCTACATCTAAAAAAGAGGAAACAAATGTATTTACATCATTGCTTATATTTTTTAAAAAGTGAAAATCCAATCATAAAATTTTTGGAATTGATTCTTTCAAGAAGACAAAGTAAATAGAGCTGAGAGTTAAGAATTCAAGCTAGACTTAATTACTTTGTTGCATAACAGGTAATTAACATTAAAATTATGTTTTAATAATTATAAAATAACATTTAATGTAAAAATGCAACCGACAGACATTGAAGATAAAATGAAACATATTAAGCTAACTATGTAATGACAGAGAAAGTAACTATTTCAAGTCACCAATAGGCACCAATAGTTTGACTACACCTTCCTATTGGAATATATACCTCAAGAAAAGAAAGAATTGAAAATAAAAACTATTTTTAGTAATCATGTTGTTGGCAATAATGTTGATATTTTTATTCTGAGACTACTGTGAATGTGACTAAGCAGAAAAGTAATTATGTTAGTGTTCTTGAGAGCTGAGGTATCCAGGATGGGAGAAAGAAAATGGATGTAAGATCAGTAAAGTAAAATAAAAAGACTGTAGTCCTGAATATGGATTGGAAGTATCAGTAAAATTCATGATATATTTTGTTTCTTAAAAAGAATCATACGTCCTAGTCTTGTCTATTGAAAAGGCATAGAAACAAGGAAGGACTCAGTAGCAAAGGACACTTCTAATACCAAAATTGTGGCCCCTAAATACCATTTCCCATTTAAAGGAACCAGGGCTCCTTAGAGAAGTGGCCAAATACAAGTCTGTGGTAGGAAATCTGTAAAATGAACCTGAACATCTTGTGATCAAGGAATCTATGAAAGGTTTCTAAGGTCATTTCAAGAAGACCCAAGAGTTAATCCGAACAGCCAGCTATTGGCAAAAATTGCGGCAACTGGAGTCCATTGCAATCAGTTAAAACATCCAGCAGTTTTAAAATATGAATTTATAGTATGACTAACAAAAACATTATAGGCAACTTTTGAATCCTAAGGAATCAACTCATTAGACAGAAAACTAATGAAAAAGAAAAGGAAGAAAAGGCAGAGGAAGAGGAAAGGCAAAGAGAAAGTATAAATCCTGCCTTTACCACATGAACTGTACTGCAGAGTCATCAAACAGTTCAACAACTTGGGTTGGAATCAGCAGAATTCAAAATATGAAAACCTTGTAGGAAAAACACCTGAGTTCTTCAACCAAAAAATCAGAAGAAAAAAGATGTGGTAGATGAACTCATTGATTAAGAGAGACTCAAGTGATATATCATTTAATCATGAACTATGACCTTATTTGGATCCAGACTCACACAAACTGTAGAAAACAAAATGAGACAATCTGGGAACCTTGAACACTAATGATATTAAGAAATTACTGTTAAAATTTTTAGATTTGATAGTGGTATTGTGATAGTATTTTTAAAGAATATCTTTTGTCTTTTGGATATAATACTTAAATATGAATGAAATTGTATGCATAGTATTTGTTTCAAATTAATTGGGGTATTGTTTAGTGAATGGGGTATATAGGAAAGATGGGCTGTGAGATTCTGATTTTTAACCCTTGATAAGCATCCATAGAGGCTTACTATGATATTCTCTTGTATATGTTTGCATTTTTTCATAATAAAAGTTGCATTTATAAATTAAAAATAATTTCCAAAACATTTGTGTAATAGAACATAGGTATGCCTATTTCCCCACACCCATACTGGCAATGAGTTTATCTTTTATCATTTGTGCCAACTGATAAAAAGTATCAGTTTGTTTGGTGTTTTTTTTGTTTTGAGTCAGTGTATATCTAGTCCATGACACATTAATAATAAATAACATTAACTTTTTTTACTAATTATAGAAATGTGGCTTACATCTTATTGTTTTTCTGATCTTCCTGACTTTCATCTCAATTTGCTTTGAAGAATTACGCTCACTTCAAAAAACGTATTAAAAGGAAATATTCTGTGACATGTTCATTGATGTATGCATGAAGATCCTCATCACAGTATTATACATAAAACCAAAAATTGGAAATGACCTAAATGTCCAACTTATGTAGCCACAAAAGTAATTATATAGATGTATATTTATTGACAAGAATATTCATAATTCATCAAGTTAAAACTTATAAAAAACATATAAGTCCATAAAATATTAAGAGTGATTGTCCCTAGGTGGTCAGATTGTCAGTAATTTGAGGTTTTGCTTATCGTATTTTCTATTTTTTAAGCAATGAACTCATGTTAGTTTAACAAAGACTAAAGTTTAAGAAGAGTCATAATAGACCAGGCACGGTGGCTCACGCCTATAAATCCCAGCACTTTGGGAGGCCGAGGTGGGCAGATCGCTTGAGGTCAGAAGTTCAAGATCAGCCTGGCCAACATGGTGAAACCCCATCTCTACTAAAAATACAAAAATTAGCTGGGTGTGGTGGCGGGTGCCTATAATCCCAGCTACTCAGGTGGCTGAGGCAGGAGAATTGCTTGAACCCAGGAGGCAGAGGTTGCAGTGAGCCAAGATCGTACCACTGCACTCCAGCCTGGGCGACAGAGCCATCTCAAAAAGAAAAAAAAGAAGAAGAAGAAGAAGAGTCATAATAGACACACACACACACACACACACACACACACACACACACACTAGTTCAAAGCCAGAGTCAATAAATGGCACACCACATGTCAGCCATGTTATTTACTATCGATTACCCTGCACTATTTATTTTTTTGGCACGGCCTTTCTATGACAGGTTAATCTATAGTAATACCAAGAGAGAAAGCAAAGTCTTTTAAGCCTTCGTGTTCAAAAAGAAGAGGTAAAGGTGGGTTGTAGTTTGGAAGCACCAAATCAAAGAGCTCAAAATTATCATAGACAATATAAATAAAATTGCAGAAACTGGCAAAGCTCCACCTTTGCCAGTTCTATACATTCATGCATCCACTGATTAATTCAACAAATTCTCATTTAACACCTCAGTGTGCCAGGCACTGGACTAAGATGTCAGTATTGTAGTGTATGCCATACCCTGGTCGTTAATGAATTCCATGTCTATTAGAAAAATAAAACTTCAGACTACTGAAACCTGCTTGGACTCTCAGGTTTTTCAAGTTAAACTAGCCCCTCCAGAGTAGACTGTAAATCAGACTCTCAAAGTCTGTGCCCTCCCTAAAAGTAGCATCATCAAAAGTTGTATTCCTCTTTTGAATAAGTTGTTCAAGTACCTCCCCTTCATTTTTTAATGGTTACATGTCTACTTTTAAAATTCATTTCCATCATATCACTCTGGGTTATTCAGTATGTCTAAAAAATTAATTCAGATAAAATGAAACCAACAGTTAGTTACCCTTTCCAAATATTTCTTCACTCATATCTATTCAAAAGCCTTAGCCAGGTGTGGTGGCACACACCGATAGTTCCAGGGACTTGGAAGGCTGAGATGGGAGCCCAGGAGGTGAGCTCAGGAAGTAAAGGCTGCAGTGAGCCGAGGTGGCACCACTGCACATTGCACTCCAGCCTGGGTGACAGAGTGAGAGCCTGTCTCAAAAAAAAAAAAAAAAAAAAGTCTGTTTAGGCTCTGAGCAAAACAAAACAAAGAAAAAGAGCAAAAAATGAAAGAAAGAAGAAATGGAAGGAGGGAGAACTTATGTTAATATACTCAAAAGATTTAAATTACTTAATGACTTTATTTATTCAGCTAGCTCTGACTCTCCTCTCCAATTAAGTTTATCAGAAGGGAGGTTATTAGTGTACAAAGAAAAAGGTAACACAATTTTATCTCTATTTTACAGACAAGAAGCATAAAGACATACTAATTAGACCTGGCATTTATCCTGGAAATGAGGTCTCAGTACCACAGCTTAGGGGAGTGGTTCTACTAGACGAAAAATCAGCCAAAACATTGGGTGATTCTTGTTCTTGTTTCAAATGAGAAGAATATCAAATTCTTCTCATTTGAAAACCAGGTTCTTGTTGTTGTTCCTGCTCATCAAACTCTAAGACTGCTCATCAAACTCTAAGACCAAGCCTTCTTGCCTACAATAAGTCACTGACTATTTAGAAGGATCAAAAAATGCACAGTACTTCCCCACAACAAACACTGTGATTTATTCTCAGTGGGGACCCCTGCGCAATCAGAACCTAAACATCAGAGTTCGTACATGAGATAAACTCACTTTGTGTCTTGACTTTAAGAGAAGTCAGTCTTCAAAATACAGATTCAAAGAAAATATATAGTATAAGACCCTGGACAATGGATGAATTTGTTTGCATATCTTAAATATAACTTGAGAAGCAGAATTAAAATATTTTATGCTAAAGAAACTGCTCACTAATGGCTTGTCCTGATTTGACCCCCAACATTTCTTCCCTCAGTGATTAGTCATTTGTCACTGTTCCATAGTCCATTGAGAAGATGAATGGCAAACACGAAATGCAAATTAGGGGCTCCATATGGTCAAAAAATACTACATAGCAGAAAACATAAGCACATCAGTAGAGTTAACCTTGCTGAACATAAGTAATTAGAAACTGTTACTATTACAAGCTCAAATATTGATATGAAAATTAAATAACTGAATTTTTAGCAAAGATTTCTAGATCTGAGAAAATTTATGACACTATTTCCTTAATTATAAGGCTTCTACAAAGAGCATGGAAATAAATTATCCTATGTATTAGCAACTAAATGTAGTAACTGTACTATTTAGTGCCCGAATATTTTATTTTCCTTTACTATCCCTAGAAAAGGTAGTACCCAGTCTTACCTATCTGTAGACTTCAAGCCATATCTAGCCAAAGGTACATGACATAACAGATCTGGAAATTTTGCCAACTATCTGATGATAGATGCACACTGAACTAATCCATTGGCATGAATTCTGACAGGGGTATCAAAGCATTTCACAGAGTAGAAAAAATTAGTTCAGAACAATTTAAAATTCGAGATAAATGAGTATTGGGTTGAACAATACAATACTGCCAATATTTGACCATTTTTAACCTATGAAGGCAATTTCAGATACTTCAAATGAACTTATGGCATGCATCCTGCCACTTTCTCTTTCTCACCCAGACAAACATACTGATATGGCATTCTACATGTTAAGTCAAGAATTCTTAACTCTATGTTCAAGCTATCCAATATCAATCAAATAATAATCACTATCAGAAGGGCAGGTGAATCTTGTTGAAAATCCCAGATCTAGATTTCTTTGCTAACATACTGCACCTGCAAGATTTATTTATTAATTTATTCACTATTCATCCAGTAATTACTTTTTAAATATTTGCTCAATGAATTGCATTGAGTAAGGAGCTGGGTGAATACAGAAGTGTCTATACATGGAGATTTATAAGCTATTTTCTGTGCAGAATATACACATAAAAACTATGCATCAAAACCAGATAGTAAACGTAAGATGCTATTGGAGAAAATAAAGCAATACTTGGGCTTCAGCACAAGAAGAAAGGAACAATCCCATGGGTTAGATTGGCCTGGAAGGCTTCATTAAAAGTTCAATATTTAGATAGGTAGGCTTTCAATAGACAAAGTGAAAAAAAGATGGCATATCAAATAGAAAGAACTTTGTGATCCGGAGGGAATGTTCATGATATGTGTGAATGAAGCAAGGGGTGGTAAGAAAAGAGAAGTCTATTAAATAGACCAGTACCAGTGAAGTCGAAGTTTTACCAAGGGAGGATGAGAGATAAAGTTGGAGAACAAAGTCAAAATTTAGAGTGGAGAAAGCAGTCTAAGCAATATAATAGTATTCTCTAAGTAATAGGGTGCTGCTGAACGCTTTGAGCAGAAGCATGACAAGATGGATTGTTCTCGAAAAACCGGTCTAGCATCTATGTTTAGGATGAATTGCAGGTAGAGACAACCAGAAGCCAGCTAACAGATGATGTTGCCATAACAAAAAAATAGATAAATCTAAAATGTGCTTACTAAATTGCACCCTAAACATATAAAAGACTATTATGAAGTGAAATAAAAGAATACGTAATTTTGGTATGAATTTGGATTCAATTCACCAAACACTCATTCAGCACTCCTCACTGTTGTGGCACAGTAGCATTTCATTTATTCAACAGAAATGTAATGAGTACTCTGTTCCAGACATTTCTTGGCTCTGGGGATAGAGGATGAAGTAAGCACAGACAATCTATGGTCTCAAAGAGCCACATTCCAGTGAGAGAAACAGTAAACAAGAAAAAAGAAGAATATATATCACAATTTGTAATAAGTGTTATAAAGAAAACAAACCAGGTGCAATAATAGAAAATAACGGATCTTCTTCATAAGAATGGTAAGAAAGAGTTTGCTAAAGAGATGACTGTTAAGCTAAATACTCAAAGAATTATTAGAGTTCTGGTTCCACTGGTGCAAACATACCAACCATATATTTCAAAGGCAACATGGTTTTTCCTTCCTTTTTTATCCCCCTCTATGTCAAAACTTGATTCAGCCTATAGGTTGTTACCCTTTCAACTAATCATGGACCCCAATAGTTGTGGGACCGAAAGAGCTGCGAAGGTGGTCATTAACTTGCTAGCAGAGAGGCAACATGGAGACAGTAATTGCTGCCATAAATCTACACCTTAGTAGTAAGTATTTATTGACAGAAAGTCATATTTCTGCCCATGACAGTTCTATTACCACACAGCCATTCAAGGCTGAAAGTCTATTTTTGGCAGCTATTTAGCAAAGTCTAGAAAGACAGAGTAACTTGTTATACTCTTACACTTCCAAAGAATTCAAACATTTGGTTAAATCAGCAGAAAGAATAATCTTGTTGTGTTCACTAAATCCAGGCTCAACTGACCACAAACCCTTAGGAGGCTTGGAAAGCCTTAGAAGACTCTTTTTCTGTTTCTTCTCATTCTTCTTTCTTAAGGCTTTTTGTATCCATGAAGGTCCCAACTTCCTATCTCGGCCAATAGCCATGATGACTACTGGAGGAATTCTCATGGTTACCCCCTTTTCAGCACTGGACTGTTTCTGTCTTACGCTCGAGATACTTGAATGCATGACTAAACTTACCATATAGATGATAAACTCCATGAATGTGTGTTAGATTGCTCCTTAATGACCTCCGTAGCATTTGACATGTACTTAATAAATATTTCTGGGTGGGGGAAGAATGAGCAATGAATGAAGTATTAAAATAAATTTCAGATAAGATCCCTGAAAATGTCTTTCATAGGCAAAAGCAAATCAGATATTTTCTAGATCTGTGATTCTTAAACCTAGTTGTACATCAGAATCACTTGATAGCTTACTCAAAATGCAAATCCCTGGGCTCCATTTTCCTAGCCCCTCAACACCCAAGAATCTGAGCAAATCTGGGTTAGGTTTAAGAAACTTTTATTTTAAAACATCTTCCAAGGTATTTCTAATCCAATAATTTCAATAACAAAAACCAAAGAGAGCACCAACAGAATGTGAGCCTATTATGAAAAGCTTTAAAGGCTTACAAAGAAATATGTTCTATGTTATCTGTGACATTTTTAAAAGTTGTTAAAAACACAAGATCTAAATAGCCAGAAGAAAAAGAATCTCAATTGAAGTTTAGCTTTCTAAAAAGCTAACAAAGTTAACATTTTTATTCAATAATTCTTATTTTTATCATGGACCATCAATGAAGTAGAATTAAACATTTTAAATGAAGTTTCTGCTTCTTTGAGTATGGCACAATAGGTATTCCAAATGCCTTCTGCATGATAAAACAGCTAGATCCCGAGTAAAATCTTTTTATTGCATTGCTAGGATAGCAATCTTTAATAAGAAGGAAAATCTCTGCTGACACCAGAGTGATGAACAGTAAGTGCATCCAAAAGGCATGAGCTTCTCTCAGGGGGGGAAAAAAAAAAAAAAATATATATATATATATATATGTATCTCACAGGTGTGATGGGGGACACCATGCCTTGACCCAGTAGCAAGGTAGAAAAACTGAATATGAAACTCACATATTAAGCCAAGGACCCAAGATTTGGAATAGAGTGATCACTGCTCAGTAGCACTCTTTGGCTTTTAGGAAAATTTTCAGCAAAAATAATTTCTCATTGGAGGAAAAACTCTCGATTTAGACTTCAAGTTTCCTACAGATTAATGGCAATCAAATTTGTGTTAACAATCAAAGATCAGGAATTACACAAGGAAATAAACCAAAATCAGTGAGAATCATCAGAAACAATAAAAAATAGACCAATAAGGACTTCAGATACTGAAATCAGCATATGAAATATTATAAACATGTATGTATGAAATGTTTAAAGAAACAAAAATAAAATATCAAAAAATAAGCCCAGGCTGGTGTGATGGCTTATTCCTTTAATCCCAGTGCTTTGGGCAGCCAAGGCAGGAGAATCACTTGAGCCCAGGAGTTCAAGACCAGCTTGGGCAAGAGCAAAACATTGTCTCTACAACAATAAAATTTAAAAAAATAAATCTGGCATAGTGAAGCATGCCTGTAGTCCTAACTACTGGGGAGACTGAGGTGGGAGGATCACTTTAGCCTGGGAGTTTGAGGTTACAGTGAACTATGATTGTGTCACTATACTCCGGCTGTGATGACAGAGGAAGACTGTCTCAAAAAAGTAAGTAAATAAATAAATAAAAATAAGCACCAGAAATATTTTGGAAAAATAATGAAAATATAATTGTGAAATAAAAATTTAGAGGATTTTCACAGCAGATTAGAAACAGTTGATGAAAAAACTGAAATAAATAAATTGCTTAGCCTGAAATACAGAGAGAAAAAAATGGAAATTACAGAGAAGAGGTTAAAGGAAGAATAATAAGGTCTAAAATCACCAGCCCCGTTGATGGTTTTAGAAATATCAAAATAAGTCTAATTAGAATCCAAAAGAAGAGAATGAAAGAACGAACAGAAAAAAATATTTCAAGCGATAAGATTTGAAGTTTCTACATCTGTTAATGGGGAGCTAGATAATTCGGACTAACTCTTCCACTGAAAACAACTGAAACATTTAAAAATATATATTCTTAGAAGAACTTTTAAATCATATTGAAGAGTTAATAAGAGAGTGAGAAATTACTGAACTGTGATCCAAAATAAGACATGAATCTAGACAAGTGGGTCTAATAAGCAGGTCCACTTTGGCACTGAGAGAGTTTGCTGATCCAGGCAAGGTAGCTGGGAGACTGATGTGTAACTTTGACACAGTAACTTTGAGTTTCCTAAGGCAAGGATGTGAATATAAGTAACTTATTGAGAGATAATCCTAGAAAACACAATTAGGGTAGTGAGGAAGTTAGTTTGGAAAACAGTATCAACAAATAATGATATTATTAGCAAGTTCCCACTGCAAGTAACTAAAGCTCATTCCTACTATGAAACTTTGGGAAGTAGTGCAGAGTACGTGACTAAAATCCATTTCACCCTAGGAGAAAAGGAGTTGGAATATTTATCCACCAACTTTCACCAGTCATTGCTTTAGTGTTACTCCAAGGAAAGTTTTTATTTTCTGGCACTGCGGACCTGTCATGTATTGAAGAGAGTGGGCTCTGGGTACTGCAGAAAGCCCTGAGGCAAAGATATGCAGATTCTGGTAGTCAGAAGGCTGGTATATAAAATATAATAGTAAAGCCCAAGGAGTTATGGGTAAAATAACTCAAGCACCTGCTTTAGGTGACCTCACAAAGGTAGAGAGAAAAGTCCAAGCCCAAGACAGATAGCACATAGGGACCTTAGTAAAATATCTTTTACTTTGTGCTAGCATCTGGAAGGAATTAATGCTAAAAGTAACAGTGAGGAAAATAAAAATAAAAATCTGCATTGGACAAAAGGAATTCCATTTTAGAACTAAAGTTACTTCTACACATAAATTTTAAAATATGACTTTTAGGAAACAATAAAGCAATGTGTGAACAGGAGATAGACATCATGAGGAAGAACTGGGAAGACAACAGACAACAGAAATAGACACACAAGACTTCAGGTAATGGAAGTAGCAGATGCAGACCAGCTATGTTTATCACAGTAAAGGAAATAAAAGCCAAGAATTACTATTTTAACAGGAAACCAGAAACCATAAAAGTTGCCATACTAGAAACTTGAAAAATAAATGGAAATAAATTTTTATACATATAAATTTATATGAATAAAAATATAAATCTGTAATTGAGAACTCAATGGATAGGTTTAAGACCAGATTAAACACAGGTGAAAACAGAATCAATGAACTGAAAAATACATAAAAGAAAAAAATCAGAATCAAGCAGGAAGCAACAAAATGCGGGTGAATCACCTGAGGTCAGGAGTTCGAGATGAGCCTGGCCAACAAGGTGAAACCCCGTCTCTACTAAAAATACAAAAATTTGCCAGGCGTGGTAGCAGGCATCTGTAATCCCAGCTATTTGGGAGGCTGAGGCATGAGAATTGCTTGAACCCAGGAGGCGGAGGTTGCAGTAAGCCAAGACCGCGCCATTGCACTCCAGCCTGGGTGACAAGAGCAAAACTCCATCTCAAGAAACGTGAAAAATAACTCGATATTTTTTTTTCAGTTAGAGACATGGAGAACATGATGAGAAGACCTCACATACATGTAATTGGAGTCCTGAAAGAAAAGAACAGATACTACTATTGAAAGAAGTAAGTTCTGCGAATTTTACAGAACTGATGAAATACATCATAACATATTCAAGATAAATAAAAGCTAAATAGAATAAATAAAAAGAAAAGGACATAATTAAATCAGAGCAGCTAGAAAAAAAAAAAAGAAAAATCTTTGAATGAGACCAAAAAAATGATTACTATCGACAAAGAAGTAAAATGTAAACCAGGGGCTAACGGCTAACTTCTCAGCAGCACACTGCTTGAATGATTTCTTCAATGTAGTGAAGTAAAATGATTGACAACCTAAAATGTTCTACCAAGTGAATGTATGCTTTAAACATGGAAGCAAAACAAAGACATTTTTCAAACAAAGAACTGATAGTTCACCGCCAGAAGACTTACAAAATAAGACAATTACCAAGGGTGATCTCGGGCAGAAGAATACTCATTACAAATGAAAAATTAGAGATGCAGAAAAAGGTAGAGGGAAAAAGGATAAATATACAGGAATGCTTAAATAAGTATTGACTTTTAAAAATAATAATAATACTGACTTTAGGTTTTACACATACATACCTATACACACACGTTAGCATTTAATTTGGGAGGGGGTAAATATGTATTCTGAGGTGGACTGATTTTAGGAAGAGAATAAAAGTGTCAATTATTAAAATATTTTCATAAGTGAAGAATACAAGTTATAATTTCTAGGATAAACTTTAAAAAATTAGACAAAGACTAAGTAACTTTCAGTGTACCCAATAAATATAAACAGAATGATTAAATAGAATAGTCAATCTAGAAAAATAAATTAGAGAAAAGATGATATACAGCAGGTGAAAGGAAATTAAAAATACTAATAAGACAGGTTTCAGATATCAGTAATGACACTATATATAAATATCTTTTTTTTAGTAATTAGGTCAGATTTTTAAATTATATTTATATTTTTCTCTTTATTATTAACTTTTAGGTTCAGGGGTACATATGCAGGTTTGTAATATAGATAAATTGTGTGTCACGAGGGTCTGATGTACAGATTATTTTATCACGCAGGTAATAAGCATACCCAATAGACAGATTTTTTACCTACTCCCTCCTTCCACCCTCCACCCTCAAGTAGGCCCTAGTGTCTGTTGTTCCTTTCTTTGTGTCCATAGGTACTCAAGGTTTAGCTTCCATTCATAAGTGAGAATATGCAGTGCTTGGTTTTCTGTCTGTGCACTAGTTCGCTTAGGATAATGGCCTCCAGTTGCAAAGGATATGATCTTGTTCTTTCTTATGGCTGTGTAGTATTTCATGGAGTATATATACCACATTTTCTTTATCCAGTCTATCACTGATAGACATTTGGGTTGATTCCATGTCTTTGCCATTGTGAACAGTGCTGCAATGAACATAGACGTGTATACGTCTTTATGGTAGAATAATTTATATTCCTTTAGGTATATTCACAGTAATGAAATTGCTGGGTCAAGTGGTAGTTCTAAGTTCTTTGAGAAATCACCACACTACTTTTCACAATGGCTAAACTAATTTACATTCCTACCAGCAGTATATAAGCATTCTCTTATCTCCACAACCTCACCAGCATCTGTTTTTTTTGGTTTTTTTTTTTTTTTTTTTTTACTTTTTAGTAAAAGCTATTCTAACTGGTGTGAGATGGTATCTCATTGTGGTTTTGATTTGCATTTCTCTAATAATTAGCGATGTTGACCATATTTTAATATGCTTGTTGGCCATATATATATATATATATATATTCTATTGAATTATATATATATATTCTTCTGTATATATATATATTATTTTGAATATATATATATTCTTTTGAAAAGTGTCTGTTCATGGTCCTTTGCCCACTTTTTAATGGGGTTGTTTGGTTTTTGCTTGTTAATTTATTTAAGCTTTAAAGGGATTCTGGATATTTGACCTTTGTTAGGTGCATAGTTTACAAATATTTTCTCCCATTTTATGGGTTGTCAGTTTACTCTGTTGAGAGTTTCTTTTGCTGTGCAGAAGCCCTTTCATTTAATTAGGTCTCATTTGTCAATTTTTGTATTTGTTGCTCTTGCTTTTGATGTCTTCCTCATAAAATATTTTCCAGGTCCTTTGGTCAGAATGGTATTTCCTAGGGTATCTTCCAGGGTTTTTATAGCTTTAGGTTTTACATCTATATCTTTAACCCATCTTGATTTAATTTTTGTATACGGTGTAAGGAAGGGGTCAGGCAAAAATCTTCTGCATATGGCTAGGCACTTATCCCAGCACCATTTATTAAATAAGGAGTTGTTTCCTCATTGTTTGTTTTTGTCAACTTTGTCAAAGATCAGATGGTTGTAGGCATGCAGCTTTATCTCTGGACTCCGTATTCTGTTCTATTGGTCTATGTGTCTGTTTTTGTAGCAGTAGCATGCTGCTGCGGTTTCTGTAGGCTTGTAGTTTAGTTTGAAGTTGGGTAACATGATGGCTCTAGCTTTGTTCTTTTTGCTTAGGATTGCCTTGGCTATTCAAGCTCTTTTATGGTTCCATATGAATTTTAAAATACTTTTTTCTAATTAGTTGCCATACTAGAACCTTGAAAAATAATGGAAATAAATTTTTATACATATAATTTATATATATAAATTTGAAGAATGAAGAATGATGAATACAATTGAAGAATGTCATTGATAGTTTAATAGCAATAGCATTGAATCTGTATTTTGCTTTGAGCGGGATGGCCATTTTTAAAATATTAATTCTTCCCATCCATGAGTATGGAATGTATTTCCATTTGTTTGTGTCATCTCTGATTTATTTCAGCAGATTTTTTTAATTCTCATTTCAGGGATATTTCACCTCCTTGGTTAGCTGTATTCCTAGGTATTTTATTCTTTTTGTGGTTATTATTAATGGGATTGCATTTTTGCTGTGGCCCTCAGCTTGGACATTGTTGATATACACAAATGCTACTGATTTTTGAACATTGTTTTTGCATCCTGAAATTTTGCTGAAGTTATTTGTCAGATTTAGTAGCTTTAGGGCCAAGACTATGGGGTTGTCTAGGTATAGAATCACATCATCTACAAACAGAGATAGTTTGACATCCTCTCTTCCTATCTGGATGCCTTTTATCTCTTTCTCTTGCCTGATTGCTCTGGCTAGGATTTCCAGTCCCATGTTGAATACAAGTGGTGAGAATGTGAATCCTTGTCTTGTTCCAGTTTTCAGGAGTAATGCTTCCAGCTTTTACCCATTCAGTATGATATTGGCTGTGGGTTTGTCATGGATGGCTCTTATTATTTTGAGGTATATTCCTTCAGTGCCTAGTCTGTTGAAGGTTTTTCACATGAAGGGATGTTGAATTTTAAACAAAGGCTTTTCTGCCTCTATTGAGATAATGTGGTTTTTGATTTTAGTTCTGTTTATGTGATTAATCATATTTCTTGATATACATATTTTGAACTAACCTTGCATGCCATGGATAAAACCTACTTGATCATGGTGGATTAAGTTTTTGATGTGCTGCTGGATTCAACTTGCTAGTATTTTGGTAAGAATTTTTGCATCGATGTTCATCAAGGATATTGGCCTGAATTTTTCTTTATTTATTGTGTATCGGCCAGGTTTTGCTATCAGGATGATGCTGGCCTTATGGAATTAGTGAGAAGTTGCTCCTTCTCAACCCTTTTGGAATAGTTTTAGTAGGAATTTTACCAGCACTCCTTTTACATCTGGTAGAATTTGGCTGCGCTTTTTCTGGTTGGTAGACTTTTTATTACTGATTCAATTTTGGAACTCATTAGTGGCTTTTCAGGGATTCAGTTTCTTCCTGGATCAATCTTGGGAGGTCATATGATTCCAGGAATGTACCATTTCTTCTAGGTTTTCTAGTTTGTGTGCAATAGAGGTGTTTGTAGTAGTCACTGAGAGATTTTTATATTTCTGTGGGGTCAGTGATAATGTAACCTGTGTCATTTCTGATAGTGTTTATTTGGATCTCCCCTCTTTTTTACTTTATTAGACCAGATAGCAGCCTATCAATCTTATTTATTCTTTCAAAGAACAAAATCCTGGATTGATTGATCTTTTGTATGATTTTTGTGTGTGTCTCAATTTCCTTCAGTCCAGCTCTGATTTTTGTTATTTCTTGTCTTCTGCTAACTTTGAGGTTGATTTGCACTTGTTTCTCTAGTTCCCCTAGGTGTGATGTTAGATTGCTAATTTGAGATCTTTCTAACTTTTTGATGTGGGCTTTTAGTGCCATAAATTTGCTCTTACCACTGCTTTAGCTGTGTCCCAGAGATTCTGGTATGTTGTATCGTTGTTCTCATTAGCTTCAAATAATTTATTGATTTCTGCTTTAATTTTATTGTTTATCTAAAAGTCATTCAGGAACAGGTTGCTTAATTTCACGTAATTATATGGTTTTGGGAATTTTTTAGTATCGATTTCTATTTTTATTGCACTGTTGTCCAAGAGTGTGTTTGGTACATTTTGGGGTTTTTTGATTTTGCTGAGGGTTGTTTTATGGCTGATTGTGTGATCATTTTTAGAGTGTATGCCACATGCAGATGGGAAGAATGTATATTCTGATGATTTAAGGTAGAGAATTATGTATATGTCTGTTAGGCCTATTTGGTCAAATGTCAAGTTCAGGTCCTGAATGTGTTTGTTAGTTTTCTGCTACGATGATTTGTCTAATACTGTCAGTGGGGTATTGAAGTCCCCCATTATTATTGTATGCCTATTTAAGTCTCTTCATAGGTGTCTAAGAACTTGCCTTATGAATCTAGGTGTTCCCTGTATTGGGTGCATATGTATTCAGAATAGTTAGGTCTTCTTGTTGAACTGAACACTTTACCATTATGTAATGCCCTGCTTTGTCTTTTTCCATCGTTGTTGATTTAAAGCCCGTTTTTTTTTTTTTTCTGAAATTAAAATAGTAAACCCTGCTTTGTTCTGTTTCCCAATTGCTTGGTAGATTTTTCTCCATCTCTTTACTTTGAGCCTATGCTCATCACTGCATGTGAAGTGAGTCACTTATAGACAGCATACAAGTGAGTCTTGCTTCTTTATCCAATTTGCCACTCTGTGCCTTTTAATTGCTCATTAACATTCAAGGTTAATATTGATTTGTGCAGATTTGATCCTGTCATCATGTTGTTAGCTGGTTATTATGCAGACTTGATTGTGTGGTTGCTTTATAATGTCAGTGGTCTCCATACTCAAGTGTGTCTTTGTGATGGCTGGTAACAGTCTTTCTTCTCCATATTTAGCACTCCCTTAAGGATCTCTTGTAAGGCTGGTCTGGTGGTAATGAATTCTCTTAGCATTTGCTTGTCTGAAAAGGATCTTATTTCTCCATCACTTACGAAGTTTAGTTTGGCTAGATATGAAATTCTTGGTTGGAATTTCTTTTCCTTAAGAATGCTGAATATAGGCCCCCAATCTTCCAATTTTAGGGTTTCAGCTGAAATGTCTGCTGTTAGCCTGATGAGATTCCCTTTGTAGATGATCTGCCCCTTCTCCCTAGCTCCCTTTAATATTTTTTCTTTCATTTCAACCTTGGAGAATCTGATGACTATGTGTCTTAGGGATGGTCATCTTGTATAGTATCTCATAGGGGTTATCTGCATTTCCTGAATTTGAATGTTGGCCTCTCTGGTGAGGTTAGGGAAGTTTTCAAGGATGATATCCTGAAATATGTTTTTCAAATTGCTTGATTTCTCTTCTTCCCTTTCAGGGACATCAATGAGTCACAGATTTGGTCTATTTACATAATCTCATATTTCTCCAAGGTTTTGTTCATTCTTCTTTATTTGTTCATTCTTCTTTAATTTTTTCTCTTTATCTTTGTCTGACGGAGTTATTTTGGAGAACTGATCTTCAAGCTCTGAGATTCTCTCCTCAGCTTGGTCAATTCTGCTGTTAATACTTGCAATTATATTATGAAATTCTTGAAATGAGTTTTTCAGCTCTATCAGTTCATTTTGGTTCTTTCCTAAAATGATCATTTCATCTTTTATCTCCCGTGTCCTTTTGTAGTCTTCCTTAGAGTCCTTGCTTTGGGTTTCGACTTTCTCCCGAATGTTGATGATCTTCGTTCTTATCCATATTCTGAATTACATTTCTGACAATTCAGCCATTTCAGACTAGTTAAGAACCATTGCTGGGGGACTAGTGTGGTTGTTTGGAGGTAAGAAAATATTCTCTGGCTTTTTGAGTTGCCTAAGTTCCCGTGCTGGTTCTTTCTCCTCTAGTCGCTCCTGGGTCTTGGAGGAACCCCTGCTGATTACTGTCTCTGTACCTTCATTTCCTTTGTTAGATGTTCTGATCCACAGGTCTCCCTTAAGCAGGGGCAGCAGTTGGCAGAGAGGCCATATTCTTGCTGGGTCAGCCCTAATCCGCTGTCTGAGTGCTTCCTGGGAGAAGATGGGGTTGCACCTGCCTGCAGAGTTTAGGCATAAGTGGGACTGCTGGGTTGAAAGCTCTAGCAGCTGTGGTATGTCTGGCTACTAGAGGAGGGGCTCAGTGGGGTCACCCACCTTGCCATCCAAGTGCTTCCCAGAAGAACAGGAGGCTGTGCCCACCAGCTGAGTTCACACAGAAGTGGAACCACTGGGCTAGGAACTCTAGCGGGCATTTCCTGCCTGGCTACCAGTGGCAGGGATGAATGGGGTCACCCACCCTGCAGTCCAGGTGCTTCCCAGGACAACAGGAGGCTGCAGCCACCTGATGAGTTCAGACAAAGTGAGATCACTGGTCTGGAAGCTGGTACTGGGCCTTGTCTGGCAAAGGAGGGTAGAGCAATCTAACTGCTCCCAGGAACCACGACTGCAGCCTCTATTAGGGCTATGGTGCTGGTGCTGGTCTGCTCCAGATCCCAAGGCTTATAGAGGTCCTGCTGGACTGGAGAGATGACCCTATAAAATGCCCAGGTAGCTCTCTGCCTCAGTATAGAAGTGCAGTGATAGGGTGCAGCGGGCCCAAGGAAATTCTCTCATTCACAGTCTTGCATGGGTCTCTGTGGAGGGTGTGAATCCCCTGGGGGGCTCTCACTCACACCCTTTCCCACATTGAAGAGGTTCTACTGACTCCACACTGAGCCCAGACAGGCTAGTGGCCAGCTTTGCTCCTCCCTGCTCTCTGTGTCCCCCTGCTTCCTTGATGGATCCCAACATGGTTTCTTGGATAATCCGCCTGCAGGGTTAGTGTTCACTAGCCCCTTTGTTTCCTCTCTGTGAGAGCAGTGCTCATGAGCTGCTTCTAGTCCACCATCTTGACCCATCCCCTGGAACTATCTTCAGGTTAAGAGAAAAGATCATCATTCTCAATTTAAAAAAAAAAAATGATAATTCAAAATAAGTATGTAGAACACAAGGACACAGGACCCAACCTGAAGCAGAGCCACCTAGCCAATCCACAAGCTTATGAGAGATCCTGACTAATTGTTGAGTGCCATTGATATTTTGTCTTCTTGTTATGCACCAAAATCTGGCTGAGACAGAAATTAGTACCTAGATGTAAAGTGCTGCCATGATGTAATACTGGCTTTGAGACTGAGTGGCAGGTGTAGAAAAACAACTGTAACATCTATTCAGCCTCTAAGACAAGTATTTTCTCCTACTTTCTCTTCAAAAGTGGCCAAATCAGAATAGAAGGATCTTGTTTAAGTTGATAAGGGTTAACTACAAAAATACAGAGAAAATATCAAAGTTAATCACAACAGGTCAAAATTCTTCTTTTTGAAATCAGGAAGAGATAAGAAACCACTCTCATATAATGTATTTAGCAGTGAACAAAAGACCCTAAACTACAGTAAACAAAATAAAGAAATATATTTCTTTATATATTTATAATATATAAATTAATATATAATAAATAAATATTAAAATATGTAATATGAAATATAGAGAGAGAGAAGAATTGTAAATGAAGAAGTAAAATCGTCATTAAAATTCTGGCAGATAATGTTTCTGTACAGTGAAGATCCAAAGACTGTACAGATAAATTATTAGAACTGAGAAACGAATTTAGCAAGGTCAATTTTTTTTTTATATGGGGTCTTGTTCTGTTGCCCAGGCTGGAGTGCAGTGGCACAATCTTGGCTCACTTCAACCTCCTCCTCCCAGGTTCAAGTGATTCTCCTGCCTCACCCTCCCAAGTAGTTGAGATTACAGGCATGCACCAACACGACTGGCTAATTTTTGTATTTTTAGGGAAGACAGGGTTTCACCATATTGGCCAGGCTGGTCTCCAACTCCTGACCTCCAGTGATCCAACTGCCTTGGCCTCCCAAAGTCCTAGGATTACAGGAATGAGCCACCACAACCAGCCTCAAATTTTAAAAATTACTTGCAATACCATAACCCAGCAACTAATAGAAAATTAAAAATTCTTCTAAGACCTTTCATAATAGCTACAAAATTACCAATACATAGGATAAACCTAGCAAAATGGGTATAACTCTATTCAAAACAGAAACATTGTATTATTGGATTAAACAATACTTAATTAAATGAAAGAATATACTATTATCAGATACACAAAGACACAACTTTTTTAAAATTAATTTTCCACAAGTTGATCTATAATTTCAAAACAATCCCTATCAAAATCCCAACAGATATTTTTTGCTTGTTTGATTGTTTGTTGTGGTAAATGAAATACTAATCCTAACACGTGTATGAAATTGCAATAGGCCAAAAATAGCCAAAACATACTTGAAGAATGGTAAAATATAGTAGATCTAGCTCTATGAGAAGTCAAGATTTACTGAAAAGCTACAGTTATTATGAAAATGTCATATTGATACAAACATTGACAAATAGACCAATGGAACAACTCAGAGAAAAACAGACCCATGAACAAATAACACTTTGTATCTAAGATGATAATGCAGAGCAGTGTGAAAACCAGGTGTTTTACCAACTGATATTAGGACAATTGGACATCCATATGTAAAAAAATTTGTAACTTGATCCTTACTTCATACAATATATAAAAATCGATTCCAGGTGAATTATAAACCTAAATATAAGAGGAAGAAAATTAATTTCTTCCAAAAAATAAACAAAGATAAAACAAAACAATACACAATGTAAGTAAATATATTCATGTACTTAGGTAAGGGAAAGACTTATATAATCTTAAAGGAAAAGATTGGCAAATTTGAAATCATTTCAATTAAACACTTTTCCATCCAAAACACAAACAACAAACCACAGAATAGGAGAAAACATTGGCAACAAGTATGATTACAGAGGAATCATATTCATAGCATATTATAAAATCCTACAAATAAGTAAAAGACAGACAATTCAACTTTATTTTTTTAATTTTATTTTTCCATAGGTTATTGGGGTACAGGTGGTGTTTGGTTACATGAGCAAGTTCTTTAGTGGCAATTTTTGAGATTTTGGTGCACCCATCACCCAAGCAGTATACACTGAACTCTATTAGTAGCCTTTTATCCCTCGCCCTCCTTCCACCCTTCCCCCCAAGCCCCCAAAGTCCATTGCATCATTCTTATGCCTTTGTATCCTCATAGCTTAGCTCCCACATATCAGTGAAAACATACGATGTTTGGTTTTCCATTCCTGAGTTACTTCACTTAGAATAATAGTCTCCAACTCATCCAGGTCACTGCTAATGTGGTTGATTCATTTCTTTTTATGGCTGAGTAGTATTCAATCATAAATACATACCACAGTTTCTTTATCCACTTGTTGATTGGTGGACATTTGGGTTGGTTCCATGATTTTACAATTGTGCTGCTATAAACATGCATGTGCAAGTATCTTTTTCGAGTAATGACTTATTTTCCCCTGGGCAGATACCCAGTAGTGGGATTGCTGGATCAATCCAGCAATTGGTATAAAAATAGAATTGGTAGTTCTATTTTTAGTTCTTTTAAGGAATCTCCACACTGTTTTCCCTAACAGCTGTACTAGTTGCATTCCCTGATCACTGAAAGGTACAAGTGTCCCCTGATCACTGCATACATGCCAGCATCTACTGGTTTTGATTTTTTATTATAGTCATGCTTGCAGGAGTGAGGTAGTATCGCATTGTGGTTTTGATTTGCATTTCCCTGATCATTATTTGTGTTGAGTATTTTTTCATATGTTTGCTGGCTATTTGTATATCTTCTTTTTTTATTTTTATTTATTTATTTTTTTATTATACTTTAAGTTCTAGGGTACATGTGCACAACATGCAGGTTTGTTACATATGTATACATGTGCCATGTTGGTGTGCTGCACCCATTAACTCATCATTTACATTAGGTATATCTCCTAATGCTATCCCTCCCCCCTCCCCCCACCCCACAACAGGCCCCGCTATGTGATGTTCCCCTTCCTGTGTCCAAGTGTTCTCATTGTTCCTTGATGAAGCTGGAAACCACCATTCTCAGCAAACTATTGCAAGGACAAAAAAACAAACACCGCATGTTCTCACTCACAGGTGGGAATTCAACAATGAGAACATTTGTATATCTTCTTTTGAGAATTGTCTATTCTTAACCCACTTCTTGACAGGATTGTTTGTACTTTTCTTACTGATTTGTTTGAGTTCATTGTAGATTTTGGATATTAGTCTTGTCAGATGTATATATTATAAAGATTTTCTCCCATTCTGTGGGTTGTCCATTTACTCTGCTGTTTCTTTTGCTGTGCAAAAGCTCTTCAGTTTAATGAGGTTTAGCTATTTATCTTTGTTTTTATTGCATTTGCTTTTGGGTTCTTGGTCATGAAATCCTTGCCTAAGCCAATGTCTAGAAGGGTTTTTCCAATGTTATCTTCTAGAATTTTTATAGTTTCAGGTATTAGATTTAAGTCCTTAATCCATCTTGAGTTGATTTTTGTGTAAGGTGAGAGATGAGGATCCAGTTTCATTCTCCTACATATGGCTAGCCAATTATCCCAGCACCATTTGTTGAAAAGGATGTCCTTTCCCCACTTTATGTTTTTGTTTGCTTTGTCGAAGATCAGTTGGCTGTAAGTATTTGGGTTTATTTCTGGGTTCTCTATTCTGTTCCACTGGTCTTTGTGCCTGTTTTTGTACCAGTACCATGCTGTTTTGGCGACTATGGCCTTATTGTGTAGTTTGAAATCAGGTAGTGTGATGCCTCCAAATTTGTTCCTTTTGCTTAGTCTTGCTTTGGCTATGCGGACTCCTTTTTGGTTCCATATGGATTTTAGAATTGTGTTTTCTAATTCTATGAAGAGTGATGGTGGTATTTTGATGGGGATTGCACTGAATTTGCAGATTGCCTTTGGCAGTATGGTCATTGTCACAGTATTGATTCTACCCATCCATGAGCATGGGATGCATTTCCATTTGCTCGTGTTGTCTATGATTTCTTTCAGCAGAGCTTTATAGTTTTCCTTGTAGAGGTCTTTCAGCTCCTTGGTTAGGGGTATTCCTAAGTATTTTATTTTTATTACTTTTTTTTGCAGCTATTGTAAAAGATGTTGAGTTCTTGATTTCATTCTCTGCTTGGTTGCTGTTGGTGTATAGAAGAGCTACTGATTTGTGTACATTAATCTTGTATCCAGAAACTTTGCTGAATTATTTATACGTTCTAGAAGCTCTCTGGAGGAGTTGTTAGGGTTTTCAAGATAAACAATCATATCATCAGCAAACAGTGACAATTTGACTTTGTCCTTACCAATTTGGATACCCTTTATTTCTTTCTCTTGTCTGGTTGCTCTGGCTAGGACTTCCAATACTATGTTGAAGAGGAGTGGTGAGAATGGGCAGCCTTGTCTTGTTCCAGTTCTCAGAGGGAAAGCTTCCCAATGTATAGTTTAAATCCATTGTTTCTTTGTTGATTTTCTGTCTTGATGACCTGTCTAGTGCTGTCAGTGGAGTATTGAAGTCCCCCACTATTATTGTGTTGCTGTCTGTTTCATTTCTTAGGTCTATTAGTAATTGTTTTATGAATTTGGGAGCTCCAGTGTTAGATGCATATATCTTTAGGACTGTGATATTTTTCTGTTGAACAAGGCCTTTTACCATTATAAAATGTCCCTCTTTGTCTCTTTTAACTGCTATTGCTTTAAAGTTTGTTTTGTCTGATGTAAGAATAACTACCCCTGCTCGCTTTTGGTCTCCATTTGTATAAAATGCCTTCTTCCACCCCTTTACTTTAAGTTTATGTGAGTCCTTATGTGTTATGTGAGTCTCTTTTTTTTGTTTTTTTTTTTTTTTTTTGAGACGGAGTCTCGCTGTCGCCCAGGCTGGAGTGCAGTGGCGCAATCTCGGCTCACTGCAGGCTCCGCCCCCTGGGGTTCACGCCATTCTCCTGCCTCAGCCTCCCGAGTAGCTGGGACTACAGGTGCCCGCCACCTCGCCCGGCTAATTTTTTGTATTTTTAGTAGAGACGGGGTTTCACCGTGTTAGCCAGGATGGTCTCGATCTCCTGACCTCGTGATCTGCCCGCCTCGGCCTCCCAAAGTGCTGGGATTACAGGCGTGAGCCACCGCGCCCAGCCGTGAGTCTCTTATAGGTGGTAGATAGTTGGTTGGTGAATTCTTATCCATTCTGCAGTTCTGTATCTTTTAAGTGGAGCATTTAGGCCATTTACATTCAATGTTAGTATTGAGATGTGAGATACCCTTCCATTCATTAGGCTATTTGCTGTCTGTGTACATTGTTTTAATCTTTTTGCTTTTTAAATTTCATTTTCATTTTACAAGTCCTGTAAGATTTATGCTTTAAAGAGGTTCTGATTTTATCTGCTTCCAGGATATGTTTCAAGATTTAGAGCTCCATTTAACAGTTCTTGTAGTGGTGGCTTGGTAATGGCAAATTACCTCAGCATTTTGTTTGTCTGAAAAAGACTGTATCTTTCCTTCATATATAATGCTTATTTTCACTGGATACAAAATTCTTGACTGATAATTGTTTTGTTTGAGGAGGCTGAAGATAGGGCCCCAATCCTTTCTAGCTTGTAGGGTTTCTGTTGAGAAGTCTGCTGTTAATCTGATAGGTTTTCCTTCATAGGTTACCTGGTGGTGTTGTCTCACAGCTCTTAAGATTCTTTCCTTCATCTTAACTTTACATAACCTGATGACAATGTGCCTAGGTGATGATCTTTTTGTGATGGGTCCCCCAGGTGTCCTTTGTGCTTCTTGTATTTGGATGTCTAGGTCTCCAGCAAGGCCAGGGAAGTTTTCCTCAATTATTCCCCTAAATATGTTTTCCGAACTTTTAGATTGCTCTTCTGCCTCAGGAATGCCAATTATTCTTAGGTTGGTATCAGGGGAAATTCAGCCAGATATTGGGCGAAATTCACCCCCGATATTTCACGTAGGTTCTTTTCTATACTCCCTAAGTGTCGGCCGGTCTGAGAAATAAAGGGACAAGGTACAAAAGAGAGAAATTTTAAAGCTGGGTGTCCAGGGGAGACATCACATGTTGGCAGGTTCTGTGATGCCCCCCAAGCCGTAAAACCAGCAAGTTTTTATTAGTGATTTTCAAAAGGGGAGGGAGTGTACAAATAGGGTGTGGGTCACAGAGATCATGTGCTTCACAAGGTAATAGAATATCACAAGGCAAATGGAGGCAGGGCGAGATCACAGGACCACAGGACCAGGGCAAAATTAAAATTACAATGAAGTTTCAGGCAGGCATTGTCATTGATAACATCTTACCAGGAGACAGGGTTTGAGAGCAGACAACCAGTCTGACCAAAATTTATTAGGTGGGAATTTCCTCATCCTAGTAAGCCTGGGAGCGCTATGGGAGACTGGGGCTTATTTCATCCCTACAGCTTTGACCATAAAAGACGGCCACCCCCCGAAGCGGCCATTTTAGAAGCCTACCCTCAGGGATGCATTCGCTTTCTCAGGGATGTTCCTTGCTGAGAAAAAGAATTCAGTGGTATTTCTCCCATTTGCTTTTGAAAGAAGAGAAATATGGCTCTGTTCCACCCGGCTACTGGCGGTCAGAGTTTAAGGTTATCTCTCTTGTTCCCTGAACATTGCTGTTATCCTGTTCTTTTTTCAAAGTGCCCAGATTTCATATTGTTCAAACACACATGCTCTACAAACAATTTGTGCAGTTAACACAATCATCACAGGGTCCTGAGGTGACATACATCCTCCTCAGCTTATGAAGATGACAGGATTAAGATATTAAAGTAAAGACAGGCATAGGAAATCACAAGAGTATTGACTGGGGAAGTGGTAAGTGTCCATGAAATCTTCACAATTTATGTTCAGAGATTGCAGTAAAGACAGGCGTAAGAAATTATAAAAGTATTAATTTGGGGAACTAATAAAGGTCCATGAAATCTTCACAATTTATATTCTTCTGCCATGGCTTCAGCTGCTCCCTCCGTTCGGGGTTCCTGACTTCCCTCAACAGGTTGGGTCATTTATCGTAATACCAGACATCTTGGAGGCTTTGTTCATATTTTCTTATTCCTTTTTCTTTGTCTTTGTTGGATTGAGTTAATTCGAAGGCCTTGTCTTCAAGCGCTGAATTTCTTTCTTCTACTTATTTAATTCTATCGATGAGATTTTCCAGAGCATTTTGCATTTCTATAAGTGTGTCCAATGTTTCCTGAAGTTTTGGTTGTTTTTTCTTTTCTTTCTTTTTTTTTTTTTTAAATTGAGACAGAGTTTTGCTCTTATTGCCCAGGCTGGAGTGAAATGGCGCTATCTTTGCTCACTGCAACCTCCACCTCCCAGGTTCAAGTGATGCTCCTGCCTCAGCCTCCCAAGAAGCTGGGATTACAGGCATGCACCACCACGCCCAGCTAATTTTGTATTTTTAGTAGAGATGGGGTTTCACTATATTGGTCAGGCTAGTCTTGAACTCCTGACCTCAGGTGATCCACCCACCTCGGCCTCCCAAAGTGCTGGGATTACAGATGTGAGCCACCATGCCCGGCCGATTGTTTTTTCTTTATGTTATCTATTTCATTGAATATTTCTCCCTTCACTTCTTGTATTGTTTTTTGGATATCCTTGCATTAGGCTTCACCTTTCTCTGGTGCCTTCCTGATTAGCCTAATAACCAACCTCCTGAATTCTTCTTCAGGTAAATCAGGGATTTCTTCTTGTTTGGATCCACTGCTGGTGAACTAGTGTGATTTTTGGGGAGTGTTAAAGAGCTTTGTTTTGTCATGTTACCTGAGTTGGTTTTCTGGTTCCTTCTCATTCGGATAGGCTCTGTTAGAGGGAAGGTCTAGGGCTGAAGGCTGTTGTTCAGATTCTTTTGTCCCACAATTTGTTCCCTTGATGTAGTATTCTCCCTCTTTTCCTATGGATGTGGCTTCCTGAGAGCCAAGCTGTATTGATTGTTATCTCTCCTCTGGGTCTAGCCACTCAGCAAGTCTACCAGGCTCTAGGCTGGTACTGGGGCTTATCTGCACAGAGTCCTGTGATATGAACCATCTATGGGTTTCTCAGCCATGGATACCAGCACCTGTTCCAGTGGAGGTGACAGGAAGGTGAAATGGGCTGTGTAAGGGTACCTAGCTTTGGTGATTTAATGCTCTATTTTTGTGCTGGTTGGCCTCCTGCCAGGAGGTGATGCTTTTCAGGGAGCATCAGCTGTGGTAGCATGGAGAGGAACCAACAGTGGGCAGGGCCCTAGAACTCTCAAGTATATATGCCCTTTGTGTTCAGATATCAGGGTGGGTAGGGAAGGACCATCAGGTGGGGACAAGGCTAGGCATGTCTCAGCTCAGACCCTCCTTGGGTGGGTCTTGCTGTGGCTGCTCTGGGGGATAGGCATGAGGTTCCCAGGTCAATGGAGTTATGTACCTAGGAGGATTACGGCCACCTCTGCTGAGTCATGCAGGTTGTCAGGGTAAGTGGGGAAAAGCTGGCAGTCACAGGCCTCACCCAGCTTCCATGCAATCTGTAGAGCCAGTCTCACTCCCACCATACCCCCGCTAACAGCACTGAGCCTGTTTCCAGGCAGTGGGCAAGCAGGGCTGAGAACTTGTCCCAGGCTACCCGCCTCCCAGCTGTGAAAGAAAAAGGCCTTAGTTCTTCCCCCACGTGTGGAGTCTGCACACCAGATTGGTGCCCTCTCCCAACTTCTGGCCAGGAGGTTTCTCCACTGGTTCAAAGTTCAAAAGTTCAAAGTTCAAAAGCTACAAGACTCAGCTGGAGGCTTCCTTCTCCCTGTGGCATATTCCTCCTGCCTGTGGCCACGCTCCCAAAGGACCTGTGATGTTAGGCAGGAATGGCCTGTGTGGGGACGCAGGAAGCTCCCAGGGCCTTTTCCACTGCTTCCTCTACCCCTGTATTTCACTCGGCTGTCTAAATTGACTCAGCTCCAGCTAAGGTCAGAATCTTCTCCTGCAAACTAGACCTTCAGTTTCCCTAGCAGGAGTGTGTGCCTGGGGGCAGAGGATCTCCCTTTCCCACTTCCACAGTTTGGGCACTCACAGTATTTGGGGTGTCTCCCAGGTCCTGTAGGAGCAGTCTGCTTCCTTCAGAGAGTCTGAGGGTCCTCTCGGTTTCCTGATTTATTCCTGCGGTCATTCTGGAGCTAAAATTCATGATGTGAGCCTCCCCCTGCTGCTCTGTCCATCTGAGTTGGAGCTGCAATCTAGCCCTGCCTCGCATCCACCATGATGCCTCCTCAACATCCGACAATTCAATTTTAAAAAATAGGTAAAATACCTGTACAGGCAACTTGAAAATGGGATAGGAAAATGGTCATAAAGCATATGAAAACCCATTATCAATCAAGACAATCAGTAAATATATGAAAATCAAATAATAATAGAGAAATTCCAGCTGAAACCACAATGAGGTTACAACATACCCACCAGATGGGCTAAATTTAAACAGTCTGAAAATTTCAAGTATTGATGGAATGAGAAGCAATGGAAATCATCAAAGACTATTGTAAATTATTTTAGGCTCTTCAGAAAATAGTTTATCATTCTCTGGTAAAACTGAAAGTACACATATTTTGTGGCAGTGATTCTGCTCCTAGCCATGTGCATATGTAAACCTGAACACATTCATATTATCCATAGCAGCATTATTTGTAGTCGCCCTAAATTACCACAGTCCAAAAAGAGAGGAAACATGTTGAATGCTGAACAACATAAATTAAAGAAAAATCTACATTTAAAAATATCATAGTGAAACACCAAAGCATAACTCCAGTAAAACACCAAAAGCAAAGAGATCTACAAGCAGCCAGAGAATGGTAAATACATATCAGTATACATTTGTCCGAGCCTACAGAATGTGCAACACTAAGAGTTAACCCTAATGTAAACTTTGGACTTTGGCTGATAATGATGATCCATGTAGATTCACCAACTGTTAGAAAGGTAGCACTTTTGTGGGGGATATTGAAAATGGGGGATGCTACGCATGTGAGGGAGCACTAGGTATAGGGGAAATCTTTGTACCCTCCTCTCAATTTTACTTTAAATATAAAACTTCTCTAAAAAATAAATTTTTTTTAAAAAGTCCAGGTGTAGTGAGTGGCTCATGCCTGTAATGCCAACAATTTGGGAGGCCAATGAAGGCAGATTACTTGAGCCCAGGAGTTTGAGAACAACCTCGGTAACATGGCAAAATGCAGTGTTAGTGCACACCTGTAGTCCCAGCTACGTGGGTGGCTAAGGTGGGAGAATCACCTGATCCCAGAAGTCGAGGCTACAGTGAGCCATGGCACAGCTTTGGGTGTCGGAGTAAGACCCTGTTACACACACACACACACACACAAAATTAAAGATAGCCAGGGAAAAATAAATAACTTACAAAAGAATAACATTAGGCTGACATCTGACTTCTCAAATGCCACAATGAAAGCCAGAAGACATCTGAATAACATCATCAAAGTAGTGAGAAAATAATTGTCAGCCTAAAGAAGAGTTGCATACCAGAAAAACTAACTGCCAAAAATAAAAATAATATATTTGATAGGAAATTGTATCCAGAATATGTAAATAACTCTTACTACTCAGTAAAAAGACTGTTAAGACAATTTAAAAATTTGGCAAAGTATCTGAATAGACATTTCTCCAAAGTAGATATACAAATGGCTAAGAAGCACATGAAAAATTGTTTAACATCATTAAGTCATTAAGCAAGGTGAATCAAACCCATCACACTGACTAGGACGGCTATCATAAAATTATAATAATAATAACAACAACAGCAAATCCTAGCAAAGATATTGAGAAATTAGAGCACTCATACATTGCTGGTAGGAATGTAAAATGTGCAGCTACAACTTGGCAAAAAAGAGTTACCATGTGCCCTAGCAATTCTAGCTGTATACAAAGAGATTTGACATTCTATATCTACACAAAAACTTGTACACACCACTGTTTTTAGCAACATTAGTGATAAAAGCCAAAAAAGTAGACACAACCCCAAATCCCATCAACTGCTGAATAGATAAATTAAATGTGGCATACTCATACAATGAAATATTATTCTACAATAAAAAGGAATGAACTGCTGATACACATGTTCTCACTGATATATGGGAGGCAAAAATGAATAAATTAATTAAATGAGATCCTGGAAGAAGACAGTAGAATTGTAGCTATTAGGGGCATCAAAGGGTAGGGGGAATGGAGGATAAAGAGGTTAGTTAATGGATAGAGAATTATAGCTAGATTGGAGGAATAACTTCTAGTATTCTATGGCACTGTTGGATAAATATGGTTAGCAGGAATTTACTGCATATTTTCAATAAGCTAGAAGAGAGAATTTCGGATGTTCATAACACAAAGAAATGATGAATGAGATGAATACACTCATAACTCTATTTGGTCATCACACATTGCATGCATGTATTAAAATATCACTTTGTATTTCATAAATATGTACAGTTATTACATGTCAACTAAAAGTAAAACAAAAAGAAAAAAAACTACTGATACATGCTACAACATGGATAAACCTGGAAAACATTACACTAAGTGAAAGAAGCCAATCCAATAAAACCACCTATTATATGATTCCATTTATGTTAACTGTCCAGAATAAACAAAGCTTTAGAGACAGAAAACAGATTTGCCATTGTCTAGGGCTGGGAGTTGAGGAAATCTGGGGAATAACTGCTAATAAGAACAAAATTTTTTTTCAGGTGGTAAATAAAATGATCTAAACTTTAAGGTGGTAATAGTTGCACAACTATGTGAACATATTAAAGACTGTTTAATTGCATACTTTAAATAGGTAAATTGTATGATATGTGACTTATATCCCTATAAAGCTGTTGTTCAAAAAGAATAGTAGTGAAATAAAGTCATTTTAAGATGAAAACTAACAGACTTTAGCAGTAACTACTTATGCTAAAGGAAATCCTAAATTATATTCTCCAGGAACAAATCTGAGATACAATGATTAGTGAGCAAAGAAACTGTTGGAAATATAGATGAACCAAAACAATTATATGCCTGTGAGATAATAATAATATTTATTGTGTATTCGTTAATAAAAGAATTAACCTACTGGGCAAAAATAGCATAAACTTGGGAGGGATCATTGGAGTTAAAGTATTATGATTTCCTTGTATTGTTCAAGAAGGTTATTAAGATATTTGAACTTTCTTTAGTTAAATAGAAAGTTTCAAAAGTAACTACTAAAAATTATAAATAATTTGGCCTAAGTTCTGAAAGTATAAATAGAGAAAAATGGAATAAGTAATTTAAGATAAACAAAAAAAGACAGTAGGAAAAGCAGCATATAAAAAGCTAGACAAATTATCTGTATTTAAAATCCAAAAGAATCTATGAACACATTATTTACTATAAAAGTTTAACAAAGTGGCTAGATATAAGACATATAAAAATTTATTTTATTCTAACATAGCAGTAATAAAAGGTTAAATCACAATTTTTTAAAAAATTATATATTATTAAAATATCCCTTTTCCACAAATTTATCTGTATATTTGGCAGAATTTTAATGTAATATAAGGGTATTTTAGAATGGTAAAGACTTTCCTGAAGAAAATAATAAGATAGTTTGGTGGTCAGGAAGAAGAATCACTTCTGCTACTAGATATAAGACCTCATTTAAACTAAAGCCACAGGCCGGGAGTGGTGGCTCATGCCTGTAATCCCAGCACTTTGGGAGGCCACAGTGGGCAGATCATGAGGTCATGAGATTGAGACCAGCCGGCCAACATGGCGAAACCCCGTCTCTACTAAAAATACAAAAATTAGCCAGGTGTGGTGGCGCGCACCTGTAATCCCAGCTACTCGGGAGGCTGAGACAAGAGAATCACTTGAACCCAGGAGGCAGAGGTTGCAGTGAGCCAAGATCATGCCACTGCACTCCAGCCTGGGTGATGGAGCAAAACTCCTTCTCAAAAAAAAATAAATAAATAAATAAATAAAACAAAAACTAAAGCCACAGTAATAAAAACAATGTAGTGGCATTGACACAGACTTAGACAAACTGAAGTGAAGTAGTATATAAAGCCAAAAAACTGATACATATATCTGTGGAAACTTGAGATAGACAGACAGATAGATAAATAGATAGGTAGGTAGATAGGTAGGTAGGTAGATAGGTAGGTAGGTAGGTAGATATCCACACCTTGTGGATCATCGTGGAAAGCAAAGGTTATTCAGTAAGTAGTGTTAAAATAAGCATTTCCCCATATAAGGATCTGAACTCTTTTTGCTCATACTTCTGACACCAAATGCATACAGCTTTTCCAACAGCGCTCCCCAACTCTCCAACACCAGCTGGGTGGTCTACAATTCAATTCAATTCTGACACTGTCTGCCAGGAGTTAGCATCAGATCCCACAAGTTAAGGCCTCAGCCCCACAAGACTGCCTTCATTTCAGATGCCAGTTGCAAGTACCAAGTTGTCGCCAGTACGTCAGATGACCAGCTGTAAGTTCAGGGATTCTCATGCCTCCACCCAGATTTAATAACTCACTAGAACAGCCCAAATAACTCACGAATGTGCTTTACTTATTATTACCACTTTATTATAAAGGATATAACCTGGGGACATCCAAATGGAGGGCACACACATAAGGCAATAGTGGGGAAGTGTGCTGATCCTCCACGGCTTCTCAGAGCATACCACCTTCCCAGAACCTTGATATGTTCACCAACTCAGAAAGTCTCCAAACCCCATCATTCAGGAGTTTTTATGGCAGTTTGATTATATAAGTATGATTGATTAAGCTATTGGCTATGGTTGATTAACTTAATCTCCAGTCCCCCTCACTTCCCTGAAGGTGAGGGAGAGGGATGGGACTGAAAGTTCCAGTCTTCTAATCATGTCTTGGTCTTTCTGGCAAGCAGCCCCTATCCTGAAACTATCTATGGACCCCCAGTCACCAGTCATCTTGTTTGCATACAAAAGACACTCTTACTGTCCTGGAGATTCCAAAAGGATTTGGAAATATGTTCCAAGAACTAATATATATTTCTTATGCCATAAGGGAAAAACTGAAACTATGTATCTTTTCTTATCCCATACACAAAAATAAAATCCAATTGGATTAAAGGCTTGAAGTAAGAAACAAAACTGTAAAGCTTTTATAAGAAAATAGAGAATATATGTATAAAATCACAGTAAAAAATTATTTCAAAACAACACACTAAAAGCACTAATTATAAAAGAGATTTATAAATTTGGCTACATTAAACATTAACAGCTTCTGTTCATCAAAAGACCCCAGAAAGAATGTGAAGCATCAAGCCACAAACTAAGAAATTTGCAACATGTGTAATCAACAAAAAATTAATAGCCTTTATATCCAAAGAGCTCCTATAAATCAATGATAAAAAATTAAACAATACAATGGAAAAATTGTCAAAATATATCAATAGTAATTTTATAGAAGAGAGGCGCAAATGTCCCATAATCATAAGACAACAATCAACCTCATTAGTAGTCAGGAAATGCATACAAAGATACCATTTTATACTTATCAGAAACACAAAGTTTGATAATATGATATTGATGATACCAAGTGTTGGCTAATACGTAAGGATCTCTTAAACTCTGCTTGCAGTAGTATAAACTGGTACAACTATTTCTGGAAAATAATTTGTCATTACCCTTCAAAGATGAACTTTCTCATATTTTTATAGTCTATGAACTAGCAATTATACTACCAATCATACATACAGAATCTCTTGTCCAGAACACATGTACAAAGCCATTCATAACACTTGCTTCTTACAGCAAAAATCTACAAACAACTCACTGACTATTGAGAGGAAAATAAATAAATTATTTACTACATATTTATATAATGAATTGTTATATAGCAATGAAAATGAATGAACTGTAGCTGTGCACATCATCATGAATAAACCTTAGAAACAAAATAATGAATTAAAAAACAGGTCACAGTAGACCACAGACAGTATATGCTAACATTTTTATAAAACTTATTTATTCTCTTCAAATGCAGAAAGCAAACAGTCATTTTTTTAAATTCCAATAAAAATCCAACATCTTTTGTTTCTCTAATCAGAATTATTGGAATTGACTGTGTGGAGAAAACATAATGTATGTAACTGTAATTCTCTTGCTTGGTTAAGCAAATCTTTAGAGTGAGCCAATTACTGTACTGAAGGAAGAACCAAATAGCACTGTAAGCCTCTGGCACTGTCAGAAAATGGAAAACTGTGGTTACTGAAAATGTATACTTTAAATAGAGTGACCACTAAAACCATATGTGGATTACAATGTTAAAAAGGACTATAAATGTACTATAATTCTTGACTTCCCTCCATCTTACCAACAACTATTGTTGGCTCTACTTTCAAAATAACTAACTGATCTTTGACAAAGTTGGCAAAAATATACACTGGGGAAAGAATACCCTATTCAATAAATGGTACTTGGAAAATGGAAGGCCATATGCAGAAGATTGAAACTGGACCTCTATCTCCCATCATATACAAAAATTAACTTCAGATGGATTAAAGACTTAAAAATAAGACCTGAAAGTATAAAAATCCTAGAAGAAAACCTAGAAAAAAACTCTTGTGAACTTTGGCCTAGGCAAATAATTTATGACTAGGTCTTCAAAAGAAACACAACAAAACCAAAAATAGACAAATGGGACTTAATTAAACTTAAAACCTTCTTCATAACAAAAGAAATAACCAACAGAGTAAGCAGATAACCTACAGAATTGGAGAAAATATTTGCAAATAATGCTTGTAACAAAGGGCTAGTATCCAGAATCTACAAGGAACTCAAACAACTCAATAAGAAAAACATAATAATCCTATTTAAAAGTGGGCAAAGAAGAGCTGTTTTTCAAAAGAAAGCATACCAGCAGCCAACAAACATGAAAAAATACACAACGTCGCTAATCACCAGAGAAATGTAAATTAAAACCACAATGAGATACCATCTTACATCAGTCAGTATGGCTATTATTAAAAAGTAAAAAAATGTAGATATTGGCAAGGATGCAGAGAAATGGGAACGCTTATACACTCTTGGTGGGAATGTCAGTTAACACAACTTCTATGGAAAACAGTATGGAGATTTCTCAAATAACTAAAAATGGAATTACCCTACAATCCAGCAATCCCACTACTGGGTATCTACCCAAAGGAAAATAAATCATTTTATCAAAAAAAGATACCTGCACTTGTATGTTTATTGCAGCACTATTCACAATAGCAAAGTCATGGAATCAACCTAAGTATCCATCAACAGATGAATGGATTTAAAATGTCATGTATAGGCCAGATGCGGTGGCTCACGCCTGTAAATCCCAACACTTTGGGAGGCCAAGGCGGGTGGATCACCTGAGGTCAGGAGTTCGAGATCAGCCTGGCTAACATGGTGAAACCCTGTCTCTACTAAAAATACAAAAATCAGCTAGGCATGGTGGCAGATGCCTGTAGTCCCAGCTATTCTAGAGGCTGAGGCAGGAGAATTGCTCAAACCCGGGAGGCAGAGGTTGCAATAAGCTGAGATTCTGCCACAGCACTCCAGCCTGGGTGACAGAGTAAGACTCTCCCAAAAAAAAAAAAAAAAAAAAAAAAAAAAAAAAAAAAAAAAAAAAAAAAATTTGTGTATATATACCGTGGAATACAACTCAGCCATAAAAAAGAATGAAATCGTATATTTTACAACAACATGAATGCAACTGGAGGCCATTATCTTTAATGAAATGATTCAGAAACATAAAGTCAAAAACCACATGTTCTCACTTACAAATGGGTGGTAAACAATGGGTATACATACCTATACAGAGTGGAATAATGGACATGGGAAACTTCAAAAGGTAGAACAGTAGAAGGGGGTGGGTACAATGTACCCTATTCAGATGATGGGTACATTAAAAGTCCAGACTTCACCACTATGGAATATATTCACATAACATAACTGCACTTACACCCTTAAATCCATAAAAATTTAAAATAAAATAAATATCCAGAACTAACCATCTCTCACAACTGCCAACCCTACTTTCCTAGTCCATACCACACCACCGCCATTTCTCAGCAAAACCATGGGAAAAGCTCATTACCTGATCTCCCTACATCAACCCTGGACTACCTCTCTCACATAACAAAGCTCTTCTCAAAGTAGCAATTACTGTTTGAAAACTTAATTTCTACTACATAACAACTCTAATCAACCCATCCACAACCACTACCAGTGGCTTCTCATCTCACATAGAATAAAATCCAAGTTCTGTATGATCATGGCCCCAGGCTACTTCACCAACTTAATCTTATAATATTCACTCAACTCATCATGCTGACCCCTTTCCATTTCCTTATATGTGCTAAGCAGGGCCTTGGTAATTACTGTTAAATAGCTAGCTAAATATAAATATGTCCTGGATGTACAAATGGTGAAAGTGTGCCATGCTTCAATGTTTATTATTTATCCAATTCTACACACCTGTGACCCAATAAAAAACATCCTTATTATGCCTGATATGGAGGAAGTGGTGTCTTCCTTTTGAAGAATTTTGGGAATATTTTACATACATGACTTGGGAACTATTTACACATTGTATTTTACACAGAACTGTCTAATTGCCCAAAATATACTCTCTCTATAAGGCAATTAGGCAATCTATACAGGTTCTGTTAAGCATACATATATATATCATTTCCTCTCTCCTCACCTCCCCAACTCCCAAACCCATCTGCCCACCCCTCACAAGAAGAAATGTGTTTTCATTATTGAATGCTTTCTGGAGAAATCTGAAGGATTCTTGAAAAATGCATTCTTTTTTATTTTTATTTTTTAGACGGATTCTCACTCTGTCATCCAGGCTGGAGTGCAGTGGCGCCATCTCAGTTCACTGCAACCTCCACCTCCCGGGTTCAAGCAGTTCTCCTGCCTCAGCCTCCTGAGTAGCTGGGACTACAGGTATATGCCACCATGCCTGGCGAATTTTTGTATTTTTAGTAGAGATGGGGTTTTGCCATGTTGGCCAGCCTGGTTTTGAACTCCTGATCTCAGGCGATCCACCCATCTCAGCCTCTCAAAGTGCTGGGATTATAGGCATGAGCCACCGCACCCAGCTGAGAAATGTATTCTTAATGAGATTTTGAATAATAACTTGAAGTGGAAGAAATAACCCCTTTATCACAGCCAGCTCCTCCTCTTCTTTCAGGAAGAACTATGATCTGTGGTTATTAACTGAGCATTTTATGGGCAGAAAATGGAAATCAAAGACAAGAGAACCATGATATAAATCCTGATCTGGCCTCTCAATTAAAATGATATTAAAAAGCAGTATAATTTTCCACCACAGCCCACGTGGAAAACGGTTGCAGAATGAGTGGACTTCCTTTCCAGAAAGCAAGATAAAAAATGCTTTTAGCCCAGCACAGCTTGTAGCACATACAGAAAGTCAAAAGAAATTCAGAAAATGGGCAAGGAAGGTGGTTTGAAAATTTGCTTCGCCTGAGCTGGCTGAATTTATTCCTGGTCCCAGAAGAGTAAAAATTAGTGTTTTCAAGTCTAATCTACCAGAACCACTAAGTCAGCCCAGCTTTGATAGCCTTAGCTGCACGTGGCTGTTCAATAGACAAGGGGAGCTTAGGAACTGCTCCTAACACCTGCCTCCTAGGCCCTGGAGCTCTGGGAGAACAGGGTTGTGACTGGGCCCTACAGGTCCTTGAAACAAGTGTCAAGAAGAGATTCTAGAGCAGAAAGGTCACACTCTATGAGGAGAGAGTATGAGTAGCCTGGTGTGCACATCTGCATTTGTCTCCCAGCCCAAAGGCAGTTTCGTTCAAGTCCTTTTTCTTTTCAAGGAGCATCTTGACATTTTGTCAGTACTTGTGGTTTCTACTTAATGACAGATAAGGAGTGCTGGGTCCTGACCTCCCTTTGTGTACGTATCACTGATGAGAGGAGCATGCCTGCCTGTGGGAATTTGGAAGTAAAGTGGCCCATTAAACAGGCAGGTCTATGACAGGTAGATTTAGAAACCAACTATGTGAAAACCACAATGATGATAATAACAATTATAACAAGTATGGAGGCTTAATATGTGCCAGGCACTTTGCTAAATTCTTTAGAGGAATTATCTAAACTTGATCCTCATAAAAACTCTATGGGAAAAAATATTGCTGTGTTACCTGCCCCTTTTTATAAATGAGGAAACTGAGGCATAGAGGGCTTTAAAACTTCTACACTCTACTGTCTCCTTAAGCAGGATACAAACCCATCTTGCACCATCCTTTTAAAATGCCTCCTTCGTAATGCTTTTTAAAATTCTTGCAATAAATATACCCTTTGAAATGAAAACCCCTATGAACTATAGGTATTGTCTGGAAAACACAGCACATAATCAGCCATTAAAATCTTAACACAAATTAATTTATCACATTAGCTTGCAAGGAGCAGGGTCCTAACTGTGAAGGAAAACAAGGCATTTAAGCTTTAATGGGGATGAAAGATTCAAGACATTTCTGGAAAATGTCTGCTCCTTGAGGTCAAAGGGTAGACTTTTGTTTTAGCATATTCAGACTCTATTATGCTACTAAGTGAAAAGTGTGTACTCAAAAAAATGTTTGGATGCATGGATGGATGGATGGATGGATGGATGGATGGATGAGTGGGTGGATAGGTGGATCTGTGGATAGGTGGATGGATGAATGAGTTATTCTCTCTAAAGACCATTGGGTTTCATGAGCAGTCAGTGGGTAAGTGGAGGACAATGGAGCAATGAGGTGATTCCATAATTGGGAAGAAACAGCACTGGGTGACTATGGGAGAGGAACTGGGTGACTGGAAAAAGTGGTAGAAAAAAAGCTTCCTTTTTTAATGTATACCTTTTTGTGCCCTTGGGTATGCCTTACCTATTCCAAAAATTAATTTGCTTTAATTTGGTACATAAAAGGACAAGGAAGAACTGTAAGACAAACATTCTCCATTGCACAAGCCTGCCTTGAGTGAGTCTGAGTAAACTGTATCAGCAACATCCCATTAACTGTAAAAGCTGTCTTTTCTTTCCTTAAAACGTGTTCTTCCTTGTATCTGGTTGTTAGCCAAGATAAGAAAAGCCAGAGTCCAAATAACTTTTAGGATGCAAGACCTTCTAAAAGATTTGGATGAGTGAAAAGAGGTACTATTCACCCAAAGAACTACCATGAGACCATGGGGAAGGCCTTGGTGGCATACCATTGGCTGCCTGATTTAGAAAGTATGTGCACCTAAGACTGAAAAAGAAACTACTGCTCACCTTTTAGGTCAACATATACATAAAACTCCTGGCATTCTCATTATTCCTGTGACTACTAGAATTCTGCAGTCTAACACATTTTTGAAGAGAATATATAAACAGAAAATATGAAATCTTGGTGCTTACCTATCTTCATTAGATGTTCTGCCACTGAGTACCATGCAGTTTGGGCCAAATCAATTAATTTCTCTAGGACTCAACTTTCCTCATATGTGAAATGGGGATAAACCACTAATTCTGGTTTCAAAGGATCATGGAGATAATCAAAAGAAGTGATTGTGAATGTACTTTGTAAATGAAGCTCCACACACAAATATAAGAGCACAACTATTCCTTTCCCAGTATGCACCCAGCCCCCATTTATAGAACTTCTCGAGAAAATGTTGAGTCCACTGATCCCCCAACCACACCAGCTTTCTGTGGAATGTTATCACACAACAAAGTCTCTTCTAGGAAACTAAGCACCTGGAAGACCTTATTAGGTGCACCAGTTGGCAAGTCACTGCTTCAGAATATCAGTCAGCCAAGAAACAGTGTGGCTGTGTGCCTGCCTTATTCTCAGAAATACCATAACTAAAGGTCTTGTCTCACTCCCAGTTATAAGCCATGTGACCCTGGAAGAGTCCTCCAACCTACCTGATCCTCAAATTTACATTTACAAAGTGGGAATCGCAATATCTTTCTTCCTTATCCTACAGGCTTGTAGGGTATGAATCAATAAGACAATAGGTCATCACAAAAAGTTATTCTCATCATATACATTGTCTGCCCCTATTGAAATGTAAACACCATGAGTTCAAGGGGTTTGGACTGTTTTATTCACTGACACATCCTCAGCATCTGGATCCTCAGCATCCAGAATAATACCTGGCACATAATGGGCATTCAATAAACATTTGTCAATGAACGAATAACTAATAAAGGCAGTAACTCTATATTGTCACCAATATTATTCTTCCAAATGTTCATTTAAAATTTAAAGTCCAAAACTTAAAGCACCCATTTTGTGTACATATTCATTTATTTGTAGTTTAACTCTACAATGTACATTACATACTAGAGAAGAGATTTTCCTCTAAAATACATAAGAGAAACAGAACATAAAAAACTGTACCTCAGGCTCCACAGTGACCATTGCACCTGCAAACAGGGAAATCAGTCTTTGAAAATCTGGCTCTAAATATTTTCTGAAATAATTAACTAATTGCACTATTTAAAATAACATCTGATCCACTATTAAGGGGAATGCCAAGGTAAAATAAATAATAACCCCTTAAGGCCTACCTAAGCAGGAACTGAGACTCTAGGTCTTTGGAGACTGGTTATAATTGTAGCTCCCAAATCCATTGTTCTGCCTCAAACCATTCTGTGAAACCTATCTCCCATCCTTAGGTAAACAAGCCTCGGAGGTCTATGTTTCTCTCTTTCTTACGGTAATTGTAAATACTTCAAAATGGCTACCATTGACACCCTTCCTAAAGCAGAATTTAACAATATTTATCAAAACAATCACCGAACTTTAACATTGCTCATACCCTTTCACCTGGTTAATTGTAATAACAAAAATTATAAATCACTTAACGATCTAACAATAAGAAGTTGATAATTTTTAAAACTATTTTTAAATGGTGAATATTAGAAAAAATCACATTCAGAAAGCTGCTTGGTGGTTTCAGTGGACACAGTTCTTCTTGTATATAGAGAATTTAATAATTCATAAACCACAAATATCATATCACTTGTGACTCTACCTGCTCAGGGAAAGGTAGGACTGAGAATGTACCCATTTTGCAAATTTTGAAATATTCTCCATAAGTTTAGAAAGTCTGCCTGTAGAAAGAATCTGGTAAGCAGTTGTGACTGGAAAAATTCTAAGGCAGCCCTCAAGAATCCCACAGCCTGGTGTACGCATCCTCTATAATCATCTCCCTTGAGAGTGAGTTGGACTTATGTATGTAAGATAACCCTCCATGATTATGTTACATTATATGGCAGAAGGGATTTTTCAGATAAAATTAAGGTCCCTAATCAGTTAACTTTGAGTTAATAAAAAAGAAGCCTATCCTAAGTGGGCCTGACCTAATTAGGCAAGCTCTCAAATCCAGTCAGAATTAAAGTGAGACAGAAATCTGCTCCCAGTCATGAAGGAGAAAGTTCCCATGGTATGGAGAGGGCCATGTGGCACCGTGTGACAAGCAGTATCTAGAAGCAAAGATTAGCCCCATTTGAAAGCCATCAAGAAAGCAGAGACCTCAGTCCTACAGCTGAAAGAAAATAAATTCTGGCAACAACTCAAGGGAGTGTGGAAGTGGATTTTTCCCTAGTCAAGCCTCCAAATGAGGACACAGCTGACTAAGACCTTGATTTGAGCCCTGTAAAATGCTGAACAAAGGACCAGTGAATCCATGCCTGGTCTCCTGACCCACAGACACTTGGAGACAATAAATTCTTGTTGTTGTAAGCCACTAAATCCATAATAATTTGTTATGCAGCAAATTTTTTAAAAACCTAATATAGTAAAGAGACATGTTCTAGAATCAAGTTACTCACCAGCTAGAGACTGATTTTCAAGTCCAATGTGTTTCATGTACCTCCAGTTCCCCAGGTCTAAGGTCTGACTCGGCCTTTGCATGAATAGTAAACTCTAGTTCACATTTTCCTGGCCCTCTCTCGTCAACCACAGCAAAGGCAAATGGCCAGCAACAGAGAGAATAAGCTACATGTCTTCAGGACCAAGAAAAGCAGCTCCAATTATCTCCAATGATCCTACAGGACTGCTCCATTTGATAAGGGAATCAGACAAGCTCTGAGTTGGGAAGCTTTGCATCAGCATACTCCAATATCATGCTGTTTGCTATTTTGATTTCCTAGGGGAGACAGAAAAATTTCACAAGTGCACTCAATTGCTGTCAAATCAGCCGCCCTACTTGTGTTTCTCTGGAGCTGCTGCTGCTGGCTTTACGTCTCATTAGAGTAAATGGGCATGGTTTTCCCTGATTCTCACCTCTATAGGCAAATGTGGATCTCTTAGAAAGCAATGCAACCATTTCCAGGTAATTTTGCGAAATACTTCCTGATGTCCAGCAAACTCTGCCACAAGGATGCAAAAGCCATGTTCCCTGCATTCCCATAGCAGGAGACAGGATCCTTTCCTCCTCCCACTGGGAGAGCACAGATGCCTCATGTTAGATAATTGCTAGAAACATTGCTTAACATGATATAAGCCCCATGTGCCCCAGCTCCCACAGGCAACCAAGTACATTCTGCACATCAGCAGGGTGAGGAGATAATCCCAGAAAATAGTTGCTCTTTCTTTCTTCCAGGGTGGTACATTTTGTGGCAATGTAAACAAAGACACATTTGCTGAAACAACTGCAATAGTCTCAAAGTTAGTCTTCTTCCTTCTGGTCTTGCTTCTTGCAATCCCTGTATTTCAATCTGCTGAGAGTTATCTTTCTAAAATACAAACATCACTGGGTCATGCAAACACTCTGCCTCTCCACTCCCAAAGCAAACACTGCTGCAAATTCTCTCAGGCCTTCAGGATAAAAATCCAGACTCTTCAGCATGAGACACCATGTTCTATGATCCCCTTGTCCCTCCAAACACCTCGCATTCAATGCTCAACAAGTATTGAACTAACTTGCAATTCTTGAGACCCACCAAAATCATTCTCACCTCTAAGTTATAAGGTGCTATTTCTTCCACTCACTCAGAATATTCTCCCTCTATTCTTTTCACCTGATTAACTCCAAGTCAGTTCCTTAGATTTCAGCTTAGAGTCATTTCCCCTAAAAGCCCTCTCTGATGCCCCTACCCCAGTGATGGGCTAGGACATCTAACAAGATGCTTCCCTCCCTCCCTGGCTGTTGAGGCATTCAACATACTCTAATAGAATCACTTATGTAATAGTCTTTCTTCCTCACTAGAAACTCATCAGCTTTATCTAGCTCACTGCTTTATCTCCATAACAGTACCTGGCAGAATTCAGGCACTAAATAAATGTTGAATAAAGGAAGAAAGGAATCAGCGAATGAAGTCATTCTTTTAAAATATATTTTTGCTAAAATTTTATTTGCGTATTCAAGGCCCTCTAGGATCAAAGCTTAGCCCAGTCTTCCAACGTCTTATACAACATCTATCAACACTCTGTAGCAGCCAGTCACAGTTAACCATCCCCTATTTCCAACCCATGCTCCACACAGTCCTACCTCTGAGTCTTTGTTCACACTGCTCACTCAACAAGAATGTGCACACACCAGAATGCTACTATCAAAACACTTCCTCTTTAAAGACTTAGTTGGTTTCCCTGATGCAGATTTGATCTCTGCATCCCTCTCGTCCTTAAAGTATGGTGCTTCTACCTTCTGTTTAGCACTTTGGGGTTTTTGTCTAGGATTGTTTGTGTCTGTCTCTTCAACTGAAACATAAATTCCTTAAGGACAACAGTTTTTATATGCCTTCATCACAGAATCTAAAATGGGTTTAGTCATCACAGAATCTAAAATGGTTCTTAATAAATATTTATAGTATTATATAATATAGAGTTCACTTTATACAAGATGATTCTGTGCCTTAATGTGGTTTTAGGATTAAATAATAGCAATAATAATATTTAATATAATATATACCAGGTATTAACTTCATACACCGAACTCTGGTTGAATACTTCATATTCATTACTTGTGATCTATTCAATATTACATGGTGGATATTAGCATCCCCACTTGAAGAAGAAACTGAAATTTAATTTATGTAAGCTGACAGAGATCACACAGTGAATAAATGGCACTCAAGCCTGTCTGGCAGCAGTGCCTGAGCTCTCGCCTCTAACATTCTGTCTTTGGCCACTTTGAGTGTGCAGCATGACTCTAAATGTTTGCATCATTTCAACAGCATAAGCCTCTAAAGTGAAGCCTGGCTTTCCACAAGGTCCTTCGATGTTTGAAATAAATCAGACCTACAAAGTTTCACAAACCTTTCGCCTACTCTGTCTGGCTGGCCACAGGCTGTTAATGATCTTTTACCAAGAGCTTTACTCCCTAGGGCATATCCATAGGTGATACCCATAAGCTGGACAACACTCGTCTCTACCTGCTCTTCAATCCTGGATCTGGCTTACACATTTACAAATTCATATACCTGTGATAAAATAAATACTTCTGCACTTGTGGCAGCTGAACCATGAGTGTGGACTCTTTGCAGGGAAAGTCAAGGAGTGGGAGGGAAGACCATTGAAGGCAACATGGTAGCAGCTGAGAAGTGAGGCACAACACATTACCACATCCTGCTGAATTATTTTCCAGTTGCCTAGCACTATTCTAAGCACTTTACATTCATTACTATGTTTCATCCATACAACTCCCTATGATGGGTGCTATTGTTATACCCAATGTAGAGATGACAAAACTGACAAAGTAGTTAAATTATATCGCTTAGGTCACTCAGCTAAGAAGTAGAAGAGCAGTAATCAAACACAAATCTGTCTAACTCCATAGCACATGCTCAATGCCATTCTGATATGCTGCTTCTGACATCTATCCATCTCGGTCTGTATAATATACTGACAAGCATTATCCAAGCTTGTATCTAAAGAGTGTGCTCAGAATTGCTCTCTTTCTGCATAAGTGCTTAGAACAAAACAAAGAGAGCCCCAGGCACATCAACCCAAATAACTTCTCACTCCAGGGGCCTTCAAATCCCAAAGCTACTTTCTCAAGCATCTGGGTATTTGTCCCAAATCCTGACCTATTTCTAACTTGTGTAATTATATTGTCTTCCTAATTGCTCTTGGGTATTCCACTGTGTGAAACTGGCACAGCCAGTTCTCAGCCACTAGGCAATGTTGCTAGGCAGCCATTAAACAGCTGTTTCTATCCACCAGAAGAAGTAGATACATATCTAAAGGGAATGAAAATATTCTTTCAGAGTTTCACCACTTAAACAACAGAAAATTGCCTGGGATTTCTTTTGGGGGCATAGGTTCCAAACTTTGAAGACGTGCACTCTTAAAGGATTAACCCAGTGATCAAACCGTAGCCTTAGAGAAGCATTACTGAATTATTACATTTTTTAAAGCAAATAATTCCTCTGGAGGTGAGATAATCATCCTTTCTCCCTTTCCAGGCTATTTCCACTATTTTCAAAACTTATCTTTTTATCAAAGCTATTCTACCAACGGAAAGATGAAGTGAACTGCTCAAGGCAGAACACAGTCAAGCAGAGAATAGACATCCATCATTTATGGGGTCTAAATAAAGGTCATATGCCTCAGATGGGAGGTTTAGACCCAAAGACTCTTCCAACTGGAATTATCTCACATTCAATTCATATCAGAAACTGACCATGAAAAAAAAACAGTTCTAAAGGTCTTCAGGTATACTGAAATAGTGATAATATTAACAACCAACGTTTATTGGGCACTGCATAACAGACATTTTACATGCATTATTTCATTATAACCTCATAAAAATCCAATGAAGGAGATACTGTCATTGCCTCCATTTCATATGCCAGCAAAGAAAACATGAGAAAGGTGAAGCCATTCGTCCAGTGCCCCATGCCTGGGAATGTTGGAATCAGGAAATGAACACAGGTACCTCTGACTCTAGAACCTAGTCCCCTCATTTCTACACTGTGCTATGTCCATACATTTTCAAACTCTGTTTTCTCCTTGGAATAGTCCTAAGGTCTTGCCCAGAATTGGGACTTCTCTGCCAAAAAAAAAAAAGAAAAGCATTTCTCAGAACTGAATCATATGGTTAACTGTCAGAAGAAAACTTGAAGATGAAGGTGAAATGAATAATGAATAACCAGTGGGAAGAAAAAACCAGTATAAGAAGAAGGCACATGAGGACCAAGAGAATTTAAACACTTTTTTCATTTAGTAAGAGTGTGGGAGGAAACACAGAGGTCATCATTCCTAACTGCCTCTTTGAACACACACATGGGAAGTGGGAAAACCACTTTTTCAAAGTCTTAATGTTAATGTCACAGTGATACAAACACAAAACCATTCTTTTTTTTTTTTTTTTTTGAGATGGAGTCTTGCTCTCTCTCCCAGGCTAGAGTGCAATGGCACGATCTCGGCTCACTGCAACCTCTGGCTCCTGGGTTCAAGCGATTCTCCTGCCTCTGCCTCCCAAATAGCTGGGATTACAGGCGCGCACCACCACATCCAGCTAATTTTTGTATTTTCAGTAGAGATGGGGTTTCACCATGTTGGCCAGGCTGGGCTCAAACTCCTGACCTCAGGTGATGCCCCTGCCTTGGCCTCCCAAAGTGCTGGGATAACAGGCCTGAGCCACCGCTCCCAGCCAACCATTCTTAATATACTTCACAACTGTCAGTTTCCTCATTGCTAGTACTATTATTGATATTGGTACTACTACTACTACCAGTACTATTAATACAACCACTGTGATTTTACAAGAAAACCTAGGAGATGCCTAACTTAAGCTGTTCCATGCTGTGTTCCCCACTAAACGGGCATTACAATATATTCTGGCACTTGTGCTTTATTTATGTGATAATGATATACACTACTACAGCATACTCAAAGCTGCTTTTATCCTGACAACATGGCCTCCTCACCCCCTTCCCCCACACACACAGTCACCCTCAACTCCATTCCTTTGTTTAATTTTTTCCAAGTACTTATTATTATCTAAAATTATTTTTTATTAATTTAGATGTTAACTGTCTATATCTTACCCTTGCTATTCAATGCAAGTACTAGAAGAGCATAAGCCATGTCTCTCTTGGGTGTCACTATATACGTAGAGCCTTAACAGTGTTTGTTGAGTGAGTGAAGGACAGTGCCATTGGCATGGGTCAGTTCAAGTACATGAATGTTTCCTTTTAAGCAGATCTGTCTGGAGCAAGATAGAGTCTATGACCAAAAAAACAGAAAGATGGAAGAAACATAGAACATTTCTATATTTTATGTCTTATCATGATATGATCTCTGGCATCATCATTTGTAAAAAATAAAGCTTTTAAGTAGCATGCATCTCCTTCAGCACCCAAGAAGCAGAGAAGAAAAATGGCGTGTTGTCCTATCTTGTTCTGTAATGAAAATTGGTGTAGACATTGTTCAATACTTGCTACTTCTTGGTATAGGAGCTTACGCCAGCTTTGGTTGCCCACATGATTTTGTGGGCCAGCTAGAGTAAAATAGTGTTTTAGATCTTAAATGGTGTTTTAGACCTGGATTAGGTATTTTGGACCTAAGAGTATATTCTTCAAGATAATCAGTAGTCAAATAAACAGCAAAATATGAAAGAAGTAGATTGGCCTTTCCCAAAACATATAACTCTAGCTTTAGAAGACCACTTACAAAGGTCCCTACAGAGCAGGTTTCAAACTGTAGCTAATAGTTAGAAGGAAAACCTATTGCATATATAATTCTAAGAAGACAACTTTGGGCCCTATTATTTTGTTAAGAGCAATCTCAGAAGCATAAATATCATATACAGATCATAATAAAGATGTGGAGGAAAGTAACATAATTATAATAAAACTCACTTCTAAGAAGAAAGAACACAGCTTGAAAACCAGAGGGAGAAGGGCAAGAGGGTGGGTGGGATCACAGAGGTCTAAGCATAGTAGAATGCATTGTTTTTGCCATCTGGAATCTTCTTATTAAAATGCCCCATGCTATAATTCCCTGAAAACTGTCTCAAACATTTAGAGCTAAAACATCTAGCATTGAAATAATTACTTTGGAGTCTTGGGGCTCATAGGATTATACTCTGGATCCACTGATGAGCTTACAAACATAGTACCTCAATGTCATATTACAGCCCCAAGATTCTTTGCTTCAAACTTACGCTTCTATCTGCCTTTTTCCTATTCAATGCGATCTGGAAACTATTCAAATCCAATGTTGGGAAAGTGCGTTGGGTTGGGCCTAAGGGATATTTTCTTTAGTCCACACATTTTATAAAGAATTGAAATAAGATTTAACAAAAGTAGGTGCGAGCTGAGAGGTACAGAAAGAAAAAAAGATTTAATAAATAGAAAAATTCATATCGAAAAACAAAATACAACTTCCCAGATTCTCCTGAATTTTGTTTTTTCTCTTTAACTTAGCCTATACTCCCAGATGGCCAAAAGCAGTTGAAGCTGATGAGAAGTGCCCCCTTGGAAAAGGGCATGTGTTTTTCAGTTTTGAACAGGCCCCACCACCCTCTATTGTCTCTTAGCTTTAAGGTCTGTATATTGGCATTTGTCATTATATTCACATTGGTGGGGTTTTTTTTAATATTCAGTATACAAATGTTTCTTGGAATCAGTGTCTCTATCAAACATGTGAAATCAAAAGATGAAGAGAGCTGTGATGGTTCAAGGAAATTCACTTGGAAAGGTGAAACCCCGTCTGTACTGAAAAAATACAAAAAAATTGGCCGGCGGCCGGGCGCGGTGGCTCACGCCTGTAATCCCAGCAATTTGGGAGGCCGAGGCGGGCGGATCACGAGGTCAGGAGATCGAGACCACGGTGAAACCCCGTCTCTACTAAAAAAATACAAAAAATTAGCCGGGCGTGGTGGCGGGCGCCTGTAGTCCCAGCTACTCGGGAGGCTGAGGCAGGAGAATGGCGTGAACCCGGGAGGCGGAGCTTGCAGTGAGCCGAGATCGCGCCACTGCACTCCAGCCTGGGCGACAGAGCGAGACTCCGTCTCAAAAAAAAAAAAAAAAAAATTGGCCGGCCATGGTGGCGGGCGCCTGTGCTTCCGGCTGCTCCAGAGGCTGAGGCAGGAGAATGGTGTGAACCCGGGAGGCGGAGCTTGCAGTGATCCGAGATCGCGCCACTGCACCCCAGCCTGGGCTACAGAGCGAGACTCTGTCTCAAAAAAAAAAAAAAAATAGAAGAAAAAAAAGAAAAGAAAATTCACTTGGAAAAGGCAAGGCCAAGTGTCTTCAAGACAGCTTTGAAGTACAAGTTGGAGGATTCACCAACCCCCCAATAACAAAACATATTACAAAACTATAGTAATGAAGACAGCATGATATTGGCATGTGAACAATAAACAATCAACAGAACAGAACAGATGCAAACTCATATATATGACAACATGATATATGATGAGTGTGGCATTACAAATCAAGGGAGGAAGAAGGCCTGCTCAATAAATAGTGGTAGAACAATTATTTAATTGATCTCAATGTTGTAAAATAAATTAACATATAACCATATTTTATACCAGGCCCTAGTGGGTTAATACCCCAAATTTAAAGAAAAAACAAAATTTAAAAACTTGAGAGAACATAGAGCAATACACTTACAATATTGGGGTAGAAAAGGATTTGTTTAAATAATGTATATAAAGTGCAAGCCACAGGAAAAAGTGAGGTAAATTTGACTATTTAAAACCTAACAGTTCCTCTCAACAAAAAGACACCATCAATAAGTTAAAACATAAATTACAATATGGAAGAAGATATTTGTAATATACCTAACTGGCAAAGGATTAGTATCCAAAACTACTATAAATCAATCAGAAAAAAAAAGAGAGAAATAGGTAAAAGATATTAGCAGACAGGTCTTAAAGAGAGAAAATCTAAATGGCCATTAATACCATAAAGAGATGGTAAACTTTGTTAAGATATCAGAAACACGAAAGTTAAAACAACAAGATGCCATTTCGCAAACACTAATGACAAAAAAATGTAAAATTGACAATACCAGTGTTAGGATACAGAGAAATGGAGATTTTCTTTTATTATTATTATTTTACTTTAAGTTCTGGGGTATGTGTGCAGAACATGCAGTTTTGTTACATAGGTATACACTTGCCATGGTGGTTTGCTGCACCCATCAACCAATCTCCTACATTAGGTATTTCTTCTAATGCTATCCCTCCCCAAGCCCCCCAGGGGGGCCCTGACAGGCCCTGGTGTGTGATGTTCCCCTCCCTGTGTTCCTGTGTTCTCATTGTTCAACTCCCACTTATGAGTGAGAACATGTGGTGTTTGGTTTTCTGTTTCTGTGTTAGTTTGCTGAGAATGACGGTTTCCAGCTTCATCTATGTCCCTGCAAAGGACATGAACTCATCCTTTTTATGGCTGCATAGTATTCCATGGTGAGTATGTGCCACATTTTCTTTATCCAATCTATCCTTGATGGACATTTGGGTTGGTTCCAAGTCTTTGCTACTGTGAATAGTGCCGCAATATACATACGTGTGCATGTATCTTTATAGTAGAATGATTTAAAATCCTTTGGGTATATATTCAGAAATGGGATGGCTGGGTCAAATGATATTTCTAGTTCTAGATCCTTGAGGAATCACCACACTGTCTTCCACAATGGTTGAACTAATTTACACCCCCACCAACAGTGTAAAAGTGTTCCTATTTCTCCACATCCTCTCTAGCACCTGTTGTTTCCTGATTTTTTAATGATTGGCATTCTAACTGGCGTGAGATGGTATCTCATTGTGGTTTTGATTTGCGTTTCTCTAATGACCAGTGATGATGAGGTTTTTTTCATTTGCTTATTGACTGAATAAATATCTTCTTTAGAGAAGTGTCTGTTCATATCCTTTGCCCACTTTTTGAAGGGGTTGTTTGTTTTTTACTTGTAAAGTTATTTAAGTTCTTTGTAGATTCTGGATATTAGCCCTTTGTCAGATGGATAGATTGCAAAATTTTTCTCCCATTCTGTAGGTTGCCTGTTCACTCTGGTGATAGTTTCTTTTGCTGTGCAGAAGCTCTTTAATTTAATTAGATCTCATTTGTCAATTTTGGCTTTTGTTGCCATTGCTTTTGGTGATTTAGCCATGAAGTCTTTGCCCATGCCTATGTCCTGAATGGTATTGCCTAGGTTTTCTTCTAGGATTTTTATGGTTTTAGGTCTTACATTTAAGTCTTTAATCCATCTTGAGTTGATTTTTGTATAAGGTGTAAGGAAGGGGTCCAGTTTCAGTTTTCTGCATATGGCTAGCCAGCTTTTTCAACACCTTTTATTAAACAGAGCATCCTTTCCCCATTGCTTGTTTGTGTCAGGTTTGTCAAAGATCAGATGTTTGTAGATGTGTGGTGTTATTTCTGACACCTCTGTTCTGCTCCATCGGTCAATATATCTGTTTTGGTACCAGTACCATGCTGTTTTGGTTACTATAGACTTGTAGTATAGTTTGAAGCAAGGTAGCATGATGCCTCCAGCTTTGTTCTTTTGGCTTAGGATTGTCTTGGCTATGCAAGCTCTTTTTTGGTTCCACATGAACTTTAAAGTAGTTTTTTCCAATTCTATGAAGAAAGTCAATGGTAGCTTGACGGGGATAGCATTGAACCTATAAATTACTTTGGGCAGTATGGCCATTTTCATAATGTTGATTCTTCCTATACATGAGCATGGAATGTTTTTCCATTTGTTTGTGTCCTCTCTTATTTCCTTGAGCAGTAGTTTGTAGTTCTCCCTGAAGAGGTCCTTCATATCCCTTGTAAATTGGATTCCTAGGTACTTTATTCTCTTAGTAGCAATTGTAAATGGGAGTTCACTCATGATTTGGCTCTTTGTCTGTTATTGGTGTGTAGGAATGCTTGTGATTTTTGCACATTGATTTTGTATCCTGAGACTTTGCTGAATTTGCTTATCAGCTTAAGGAGATTTTGGGCTGAGAAGATCGGGTTTTCTAAATATAGAATCATGTCATCTGCAAACATAGATAATTTGACTTCCTCTTTTCCTATTGGAATACCTTTTATTTCTTTCTCTTGCCTGATTGCCCTGGCCAGAACTTCCAATAATATGTTCAATAGGAGTGGTGAGAGAGGGCATTCTTGCCTTGTGCAGGATTTCAAAGGGAATGCTTCCAGTTTTTTCCCATCCAGTATGATATTGACTGTGGGTTTGTCATAAATAGATCTTATTGTTTTGAGATATGTTCCATCAATACCTAGTTTTTTGAGAGTTTTTAGCATGAAGGGGTGTTGAATTTTGTCGAAGACATTTTCTGTATCTATTGAGATAATCATGTGGTTTTTGTCATTGGTTCTCTTTATGTGATGGATTAAGTTTATTGACTTGTGTATGTTGGACCAGCCTTGCATCTCAGGGATGAAGCCGATTTGATCATGGTGGATAAGCTTTTTGATGTACTGCTGGATTTTGTTTGCCAGTATTTTATTGAGGATTTTTGCATCTATATTCATCAGTGATATTGGCCTGAAATTTTCTTTGTTTGTTGTGTCTCTGCCAGGTTTTGGTATCAGGATGATGCTGGCCTCATAAAGTGAGTTAGGGAGGAGTCTCTCTTTTTCTTTTGTTTGGAATAGTTTCAGAAGGAATGATACCAGCTCCTCTTTGTGCCTCTGGTAGAATTCGGCTGTGAATCCATCTGGTCCTGAACTTTTTTTGGTTGGTAGGCTATTAATTACTGCCTCAATTTCAGAACTTGGTATTGGTCTATTAAGGATTCGACTCCTTCCTGATTTAGTCTTGGGAGGGTGTATGTGTCCAGGAATTTATCCATTTCTTCTAGATTTTCCAGTTTATTGGCGTAGAGGTATTTATAGTATTCTCCGATGGTAGTTTGCATTTCTGTGGGATCAGTGGTGATACTCCCTTTATCATTTTTTATTGCATCTATTTGATTCTTCTCTCTTTTCTTCTTTATTAGTCTGGCTAGCAGTTTATCTATTTTGTTGAACTTTTCAAAAAAAAACAGCTCCTGGATTCACTGATTTTTTGGAAGGGTTTTTCATGTCTCTATCTCCTTCAGTTCTGCTCTGATTTTAGTTATTTCTTGTCTTCTGCTAGCTTTTGAATTTGTTTGCTCTTGCTTCTCTGGTTCTTTAATTTCGATGTTAGGGCGTCAATTTTAGTTCTTTCCTGCTGTCTCTTGTGGGCATTTCATGCTATAAATTTCCCTTTATGCGTTGCTTTAAATGTGTCCCAGAGATTCTGGTATGTTGTGTCTTTGTTCTTATTGGTTTCAAAGAACATCTTTATTTCTGCCTTCATTTCATTACTTACCCAGTAGTCATTCAGGAGCAGGTTGTTCAGTTTCCATATAGTTGTGTGGTTTTGAGTGAGTTTCTTAATCCTGAGTTCTAATTTGATTGCGCTGTGGTCTGAGAGACTGTTTGTTATGATTTCTGTTCTTTTGCATTTGCTGAGGAGTGCCTTACTTCCAACTATGTGGTCAATTTTAGAATAAGTGTGATGAGGTGCTAAAAAGAATGTATATTCTGTTGATTTGGGGTGAAGAGTTCTGTAGATGTCTATTAAGTCCACTTGGTCCAGAGTTGAGTTCAAGTCCTGAATATCCTTGTTAATTTTCTGTCTCGTTGATCTGTCTAATATTGACAGTGGGGTGTTAAAGCCTCCCACTATTATTGTGTGGGAGTCTAAGACTCTTTGTAAGTCTCTAAGAACTTGCTTTATGAATCTGGGTGCACCTCTATTGGGTGCATATATTTAGAATAATTAGCTCTTCTTGTTGCATTGATCCCTTTACCATTATGTGATGCCTTCTTTGTCTCTTGATCTTTGTTGGTTTAAAGTCTGTTTTATCAGAGATTAGGATTGCAACTCCTGCTTTTTTTTTTTTTTTTTTTTTTTTTTGGCTTTTTGCTTTCCATTTGCTTGGTAAATATCCCTCCATCCCTTTATTTTGAGCCTACTTGTGTCTTTGTACATGAGATGGTCTCCTGAATACAGGACACCAAAGGGTCTTGACTCTATCCAATTTGCCAGTCTGTGTCTTTTAATTGGAGCATTTAGCCCATTTACATTTAAGGTTAACATTGTTATGTGTGAATCTGATCCTGTCCTTATGATGCTAGATGGTTATTTTGCCCGTTAGTTGATGCAGTTTCTTCATAGTGTCGACATTCTTTACAATTTGATATGCTTTTGCAGTGGCTGATACCAGTTGTTCCTTTCCATGTTTAGTGCTTCCTTCAGGAGCTCTTGTGTCAGGCCTGGTGATGACACAATCTCTCAGCATTTGTTTGTCTGTAAAGGATTTTATTTCTCCTTCATTTATGAAGCTTAGTTTGGCTGGATATGAAATTCTGGGTTGAAAATTCTTTTCTTTAAGAATGTTGAATATTGGCCCCACTCTCTTCCAGCTTGTAGGGTTTCTGCAGAAAAGATCCGCTGTTAATCTGACGGGCTTCCCTTTGTGGGTAACCCGACCTTTTTCTCTGGCTGCCCTTAACATTTTCTCCTTCACTTCAACCTTGGTGAATCTGACAATTATGTTTCTTGGGGTTGCTCTTCTTGAAGTGTATCTTTGTGGTCTTCTCTGTATTTCCTGAATTTGAATGTTGGCCTGTCTTGCTAGGTTGGGGAAGTTCTCCTGGATAATATCCTGAAGAGCATTTTCCAACTTGGTTCCATACTCCCAGTCACTTTTAGGTACACCATTCAAACGTAGATTTGGTCTTTTCACATAGTCTCATATTTCTTGGAGGCTTTGTTTGTTCCTTTTCATTGTTTTTTCTCTAATCTTTTCTTCTCACTTTATATCATTAAGTTGATCTTCAATCTCTGATATCCTTTCTTCCTCTTGATCTGTACGGCTATTGATACTTGTGTATGCTTCACGAAGTTCTCGTGCTGTGTTTTTCAACTCCATCAGGTCATTTATGTTCTTCCCTAAACTGGTTATTCTGGTTAGCAATTCGTCTAACCTTTTTTCAAGGTTCTTAGCTTCCTTGCATTTGGTTAGAACATACTCCTTTAGCTTGGAGGAGTTTCTTATTATCCACCTTCTGAAGCCTACTTCTGTCAATTTGTCAAATTCATTCTCCATCCAGTTTTGCTCCCTTGCTGTTGAGGAGTTTTGATCCTTTGGAGGAAAAAAGCCGTTCTGGTTTTTGGAATTTTCAGCCTTTTTGCACTAGTTTCTCCCCATCTTTGTGGATTTATCTACCTTTGGTCTTTGATGTTGCTGACCTTCAGATGGGGTCTCTGAGTGGATGTTCTATTCCTTTCTGTTTGTTAGTTTTCCTTCTAACACTCAGGCCCCTCTGCCGCAGGTCTGCTGGAGTTTGCTGGAGGTCCACTCCAGACCCTGTTTGCCTGCGTATCACCAGCGGAGGCTGCAGTACAGCATAGATTGCTGCCTGTTCCTTCCTCTGGAAGCTTTGTCCGGAATGGCACCTGCCAGATGCCGGCCAGAGCTCTCCTGTATGAGGTGTCTGTCAGCCCCCACTGGGAGGTGTCTCCCAGTCAGGTTACACAGGAGTCAGGGACCTACTTGAGGAGGCATTCTGACCCTTAGCAGAGCTCGAACGCTGTGCTTGGAGGTCCACTGCTCTCTTCAGAGCCATCAGGCTGGGACGTTTGGGTCTGCTGAAGCTGCATCCACAGCCACCCCTTTCTCCAGGTGCTCTGTCCCAGGGAGATGGGGGTTTTATCTGTAAGTGCCGACTGGGGCTGCTGCCTTTTTTTCAGAGATGCCCTGCCCAGAGAGAAATCTAGGGAGGCAGTCTGGCCACAGCAGCCTTGCTGAGCTGCGGTGGGCTCTGCCCAGTTTGAACTTTCTGGCAGCTTTGTTTATTTACATTATGAGAGTAAAACCGCCTACTCAAGCCTCAGCAATGGTCGACGCACCTCCCCCCACCAACCTCAACCATCCCAGTTTGATCTCAGACTGCTGCTGTGCTGGTAGTGAGAATTTCAAGCCAGTGGATCTTAGTTTGCTGGGCTCTGTGGGGGTGGGACCCACCGAGCCAGACCACTTGGGTCCCTGGCTTCAGCCCCCTTTCCAGGGGAGTGAACGGTTCTGTCTCACTGGCATTCCAGGTGCCACTGGCATATGGAAAAAATAAATAAATAAATAACAACTCCTGCAGCTAGTTCAGTGTCTGCCCAAATGGCTGCCCAGTTTTGTGCTTGAAACCCAAGGCCCTGGTGGCAAAGGCACCGGAGGGAATCTCCTGCTCTGTGGGTTGCAAAGACTGTGGGAAAAGTGCAGTATCTGGGCCAGAGTGCACAGTTTCTCAGGCTCAGTCCCTCATGGCTTCCCCTGGGTAGGGGTGAGAATTCCCCCAACCCTTGCGCTTCCCGGGTTATGCGATTCCCCACCCTACTTTGGCTTGCCCTCTGTGGGCTGCACCAACTGTCCAACAAGTCCCAATGAGATGAACTGGGTACCTCAGTTGGAAATGCAGAAATCACCCTGCTTGTGCAGCAGTCTCACCGGGAGCTGTAGACCAGAGCTGTTCCTATTTGGCCATCTTGCCAGCAATCTGAGAAATGGAGATTTTTATACACGACTAGGGAAGACAGACATTGCTTCACTGCCCATTTTGGTAAGGAATGAGTATAATTAGTAAAGTTGAAGATGTATATATTTTTTAAGAATTTATTGTAGTAAAGAAGATGTGTATACCTTTTAGTTCAGTAAGTCCCTAAACAAAAGAGTACCTTCTGAAACTCACACATATACGCTAAGGAGACATATCCAAGAATGAACTAACACTGTGCATATCAACATGAATACATCCCTAAATAAAATGCTGGAAGTTTTTAAAGTGGACTACAGTGTCATTTATAGAGTTAAACACTAAATAATGTTTGAAAGGATGCAAACAGTACTGCATTTTGTTAGCAGGTCCATGCCTATAAGACAAAAAGATGTTTTTAAATAATAAATAATAAAAATAATAAATAATAAAATAACAAAACTTTATTTTCAAGTTAATAGTTATCTTTGGTGAGGGAAGGAGATTATAAGGATTGAGTTTTCATTTTTTGTTAAAAAGTCAGTTGTCAGTTTTATTGTTGGTTCATGAAAGTAATTTTTTTCTCTCTGCTATTAAGATTTCTTCTTAGCTCCTGGTTTACCTCAGTTTTATTTAGATGAGTTTAGGCGGTTTTTTTGTATTATCCTCCCTGGGGTTTGAGGCTCTCTGTAAATTAATAGATTAAGATTTTTTGACAATTTAGAAAAATACTTGATTATTACATTTTAAAATACTTCTGCAATATCCTTTACTCTTTCTCTGAGCCACCCCTTATAGGTATAAATAATCATATACATATATAAATATATATAACATAATATACATATAAATACATAATATACATATACATTTTAAACCTTTCATCGTGTTTTGTCTTTTATACAGATAGTCCCCAACTTAACAATGGTTCAATTTCTGATTTTTCCACTTTATGATGCTGTGAGAGTGATAACCATGCAGTAGAAACCATACTTTGAGTACCTATCAAAGCATTTTGTTTTTCACTTTTCATGCAGTACAATCAGGCCTCCAAATCCATAGGTTTCCATATTTTTGCATTCAATCAATCACAGATCAAAAATATTTCAGAAAGAAGCAATAAAAGAGAAGGCAAAAATAAAAAATAATACAAATAAAAACAATACAGTATAACAACTATTCCTGTAGTATTAGCTATTATAAGTAAGCTAGAGATGACTAGCATGAGGGAAAATGTGTGTAGGTTATACGCAAATACTATGCCATTTTATATAAGGGACTTGAGCATCCACAAATCTTGGTAGCCTTGCAGTGGAGGGGCGGGATCCGGAACCAATCCCCTACAGATATACAGAGATGACAGTATTCAATAAATTACATTACATATTTAATACTTTATTATAAAATAGGCTCTGTGTTAGATAATTTTGCCCAGCTGTAAGCTAATGTTAAGTGTTCTAAACACATTTAAGGTAGACCAGTCTAAGTTATGATGTTTAACAGGTGAGATGTATTAAACCCATTTTTAATTTATGATATTTTTAACTTATGATGAGGTTATCAGGACATAACCTCGTCATAAGTCAAGGAGCATCCGTACTCTCTTCTCTATTTTCCATCCTTTTCTTTCTCCACACTTGAGTCTGGTTGTTCTCTTCTGTCCTTCAGTTCACTAATTCACTTATCAGTTGCATCTAAGCTGTTTAAACTGTCCATTTAATTCTTTATTTCAGTGATTGCATTTCAAGGCTCCAAATTTTGTATTTAGATTTTTTCATAGTTTCCAATTTTCCATCAAACTTCTACATCCTGTCTCTTAATTCCTTGAACGTATTAATTGCAATTGTTTTAACACTAATATCTGGATCTGCTGTGGGGTGGTTTTCACTGTCTGTTTTTATCTCTTGCTTGTTTTATTGTCTGTTTTTATCTCTTGTTTGTTTCTTGTTGTTTGGGTCAAATCTTCTACGGAGGAAATATTTTATTGAGTATTATATATTACACATGAGAAATGTAGAAAATATCTGAGACTCTGAAGGATGTTATCTTCCTGCAATGTTTCAAATTATATTGATCCAATCACACAGTGAGATCATTCAAAGTTGGACTTGAATTTCTCCAAGAACTAATCTATTTTTAATTCACCGTCACTCCTAAGATCTGAAATGAAACTTTAAAGTTTTACTAAGGACCCTCTTCCCTAGCGTTGCCCTGAATTCTATTTTCACCATTCTGCCTGATGAGGATTCTTAATGCTAAATTCAGCTTCTCAGTCCCTGAGCTACTACTTCTGAAATCAACAATCATCTCAAGGAGACGAGTAGCACTGAATGCCAGGATCACCTCTATGGGATTCTCTGCTCCCTCAGATCTTTACCTGATCCTCTCTTTCTTCATGGCTTTCTGTTTCCTTCATCCAGAATTTTTAAATGTATCATTCCGCCTGTTTAGTTGTTCTCATCCAGAGTTTTGGTCAGAGACAATCTGGTTTGGCATCACCAGAAGCAGAATACTGCTAAGGTGAATTTTGAGCATATCGAATCGCACATATATACATATATATATATATATATATATATATATATATATATATATATATAGACTAAAATATTTTTTTTAATTTGGTTAAAATCTATTCAGTCATTTTCACACAATATAACAACAAGCAAACAGAAAAAAAAAGTAATTTTACTTATATTCTTATAGAGGCTCTTCAGAGGAAAAAAACCTAGAACCTGAAATCTATCATGTCTTAGTTTTAACTTATTTTCTGTGATACCTCATGAAAATGACACAGACTTGGTTCCAAGATGGCTGAATAGGAACAGCTTCAGTCTACAGCTCCCAGTGTGAGCGATGCAGAAGACGGATAATTTCTGCATTTCCAACTGAGGTACTGGGTTCATCTCACTGGGGCTTGTCAGACAGTGGGTGCAGGACAGTGGGTGCGGCCCACCGAGCGTGAGCCAAAGCAGGGCGAGGCATCGCCTCACCTGGGAAGCACAAAGGGTCAGGGAATTCGCTTTCCTAGCCAAGGGAAGCTGTGACAGATGGCACCTGGAAAATCGGGTCACTCTCACCCTAATACTGTGCTTTTCCAATGGTATTAGCAAACGGCACACCAGGAGATGATATCCCACGCCTGGCTCAGAGGGTCCCACGCCCACGGAGCCTCATTCATTACTAGCACAGCAGTCTGAGATCGAACTGCAAGACGGCAGTGAGGCTAGGGGAGAGGTGCCTGCCATTGCTGAGGCTTGAGTAGGTAAACAAAGCAGCCTGGAAGCTCGAACTGGGTGGAGCCCACTGCAGGTCAAGGAGGCCTGCCTGCCTCTGTAGACTCCACCTCTGGAGGCAGGGCATAGCCAAACAAAAGGCAGCAGAAACCTCTGCAGACTTCAATGTCCTCGTCTGACAGCATTGAATAGAGTAGTGGTTCTCCCAGCACGGAGTCTGAGATCTGAGAACAGTCAGACTGCCTCCTCAAGTGGGTCCCTGATCCCTGAGTAGCATAACTGGGAGGCACCCCCAGTAGGGGCAGACTGACAGCTCTCACGGCCAGGTACCCCTCTGAGATGAAGCTTCCAGAGGAATGATCAGGCAGCAACATTTGTTGTTCAGCAATATTCGCTGTTCTGCAGCCTCTGCTGCTGATACCCAGGCAAACAGGGTCTGGAGTGGACCTTCACAAACTCCAACAGACCTGCAGCTGAGGGTCCTGACTGTTAAAAGGAAAACTAACAAACAGAAAGGACATCCACACCAAAACCCCATCTGCACGTCACCATCATCAAAGACCAAGGTAGATAAAACCACAAAGATGGGGAAAAAACAGAGCAGAAAAGCTGAAAATTCTAAAAATCAGACTGCCTCTCCCCATCCAAAGGAACGCAGCTCCTCGCCAGCAATGGAACAAAGCTGGATGGAGAATGACTTTGACAAGTTGAGAGATAAAGGCTTCAGAAGATCAAACTTCTATGAGCTAAAGGAGGAAGTTTGAACCCATCGCAAAGAAGCTAAAAACCATGAAAAAAGTTTAGACAGATGGCTAACCAAAATAACCAGTGTAGAGAAGTCCTTAAAAGACCTGATGGAGCTGAAAACCATGGCACGAGAACTACATGATGAATGCACAAGCTTCAGTAGCAGAATCAATCAACTGGAAGAAAGGGTATCAGGGATTGAAGATCAAATGAATGAAATTAAGCAAGAAGAGAAGTTTAGAAAAAAAGAATAAAAAGAAACAAACAAAGCCTCCAAGAAATATGGGACTATGTGAAAAGACCAAATCTATGTCTGATTGGCATACCTGAAAGTGACAGGGAAAATGGAACCAAGTTGGAAAACACTCTGCAGGATGTTATCCAGAACTTCCACAACCTAGCAAGGCAGGCCAACATTCAAATTCAGGAAATACAGAGAACACCACAAAGATACTCCTTGAGAAGAGCAACTCCAAGACACATAACTGTCAGATTCACCAAAGTTGCAATGAAGGAAAAAATGTTAAGGGCAGCCAGAGAGAAAGGTCGGGTTACCCACAAGGGGAAGCCCATGAGACTAACAGCTGATCTCTCGGCAGAAACTCTACAAGACAGAAGAGAGTGGGGGCCAATATTCGACATTCTAAAAGAAAAGAATTTTCAACCCAGAATTTCATATCCAGCCAAACTAAGCTTCATAAGTGAAGGAGAAATAAAATCCTTTACAGACAAGCAAATGCTGAGAGATTTTGTGACCACCAGGCCTGCCCTACAAGAGCTCCTGGAGGAAGCACTAAACATGGAAAGGAACAACCAGTACCAGCCACTGCAAAAACATGCCAAAGTGTAAAGACCATCGATGCTAGAAAGAAACTGCATCAATTGACAGGCAAAATAACCAGCTATCATCATAATGACAGGATCAAATTCACACATAACGATATTAACATTAAACGTAAATGGGCTGAATACTCCAATTAAAAGACACAGACTGGCAAATTGGATAAAGAGTCAAGACCCATCAGTGTGCTGTATTCAGGAGACCCATCTCACATGCAGAGACACACATAGGCTCAAAATAAAGGGATGGAAGAAGATCTACCAAGCAAATGGAAAACAAAAAAAGGCAGGGGTTGCAATCCTAGTCTCTGATAAAACAGACTTTAAACCAACAAAGATCAAAAGGACAAAGAAGGCCATTACATAATGGTAAAGGGATCAATTCAACAAGAAGAGCTAACTATCCTAAATATATATGCACCCAATACAGGAGCACCCAGATTTATAAAGCAAGTCCTTAGAGACCTACAAAGAGACTTAGACTCCCACACAATAATAATGGGAGACTTTAACACCCCACTGTCAATATTAGACAGATCAACAAGACAGAAAATTAACAAGGATATCCAGGAATTGAACTCAGCTCTGCACCAGTGGACCTAATAGACATCTACAGAACTCTCCACCCCAAATCAACAGAATATACATTCTTCTAAGCACCACGTCGCAATTATTCCAAAATTGACCACATAGTTGGAAGTAAAGCACTCCTCAGCAAATGTAAAAGAAGAGAAATTATAACAAACTTTCTCTCAGACCACAGTGCAATCAAACTAGAACTCAGGATTAAGAAACTCACTCAAAACCACTCAACTACGTGAAAACTGAACAATCTGCTCCTGAATGACCACTGGGTACATAACGAAATGAAGGCAGAAATAAAGATGTTCTTTGAAACCAACAAGAACAAAGACACAACATACCAGAATCTCTGGGACACATCAAAGCAGTGTGTAGAGGGAAATTTATAGCATTAAATGCCCACAAGAGAAAGCAGGAAAGATCTAAAATTGACATCTTAACATCACAATTAAAAGAATTAGAGAAGCAAGAGCAAACACATTCAAAAGCTAGCAGAAGGCAAGAAATAACTAAGATCAGAGCAGAAGTGAAGTAGATAGAGACATAAAAAACCCTTCAAAAAATCACTGAATCCAGGAGCTGGTTTTTTTAAAAGATCAATAAAATTGATAGATCGCTAGCAAGACTAATAAAGAAGAAAAGAGAGAAGAATCAAACAGATGCAATAAAAAATGATAAAGGGGATATCACCACCGATCCCACAGAAATACAAACTACCATCAGAGAATACTATAAACACCTCTACGCAAATAAACTAGAAAATCTAGAAGAAATGGATAAATTCCTGGACACATACACCCTCCCAAGACTAAACCAGGAAGAACTCGAATCCCTGAATAGACCAATAACAGGCTCTGAAATTGAGGCAATAATTGATAGCTTACCAGCCAAAAAAAGTCCAGGATAGATGGATTCACAGCCGAATTCTACCAGATGTACAAGGAGTAGCTGGTACCATTACTTCTGAAAATATTCCAATCAATAGAAAAACAGGGAATCCTCCCTAACTCATTTTATGGGGCCAGCATCATCCTGATAACAAAACCTGACAGAGACACAACAAAAAAAGAGAATTTTAGACCAATATCCCTGATGAACATTGATGCAAAAATCCTCAATAAAATACTAGCAAACCAAATCCAGCAGCACATCAAAAAGCTTATCCACCATGATCAACTGGGCTTCAGCCCTGGGATGCAAGACTGGTTCAACATACGCAAATCAATAAATGTAATCCAGCATATAAGCAGAAACAAAGACAAAAACCACATGATTATCTCAATAGATGCAGAAAAGGCCTTTGACAAAATTCAACAACCCTTCATGCTAAAAACTCTCAATAAATTAGGTATTGATGGGATGTATCTCAAAATAATAAGAGCTATTTATGACAAACCCACAGCCAATATCATACTGAATGGGCAAAAACTGGAAGCATTCCCTTTGAAAACTGGCACAAGACAGGGATGCCCTCTCTCGCCACTCCTATTCAACATAGTGTTGGAAATTCTGGCCAGGGCAATCAGGCAGGAGAAGGAAATAAAGGGTATTCAATTAGGAAAAGAGGAAGTCAAATTGTCCCTGTTTGCAGATGACATGACTGTATATGTAGAAAACCCCATCGTCTCAACCCAAAATCTCCTTAAGCTTATAGGCAACTTCAGCAAAGTCTCAGGATACAAAATCAATGTGCAAAAATCACAAGCATTCTTAAACACCAATAACAGACAAACAGAGAGCCAAATCATGAGTGAACTCCCATTCACAATTGCTTCAAAGAGAATAAAATACCTAGGAATCCAACTTACAAGGGATGTGAAGGACCTCTTCAAGGAGAACTACAAACCACTGCTCAATGAAATAAAAGAGGACACAAACAAATGGAAGAACATTCCATGCTCATGGATAGGAAGAATCAATATCATGAAAATGGCCGTACTGCCCAAGGTAATTTATAGATTCAATGCCATCCCCATCAAGCTACCAATGACTTTCTTCACAGAATTGGAAAAAACTACTTTAAAGTTCATGTGGAACCAAAAAAGAGCCCGCATTGCCAAAACAATTCTAAGCCAAAAGAACAAAGCTGGAGGCATCATGCTACCTGACTTCAAACTATACTACAAGGCTACAGTAACCAAAACAGCACGGTACTGGTAACAAAACAGAGATATAGACCAATGGAACAGAATATAGCCCTCAGAAATAATACCACACATCTACAACCATCTGATCTTTGACAAACCTGACACAAACAAGAAATGGGGAAAGTATTCCCTATTTAATAAATGGTGCTGGGAAAACTGGCAAGCCATATGTAGAAAGCTGATGCTAGATCCCTTCCTCACACCTTATACAAAAATTAATTCAAGATGCATTAAAGACTTAAATGTTAGACCTAAAACCATAAAAACCCTAGAAGAAAACCTAAGCAATACCATTCAGAACATAGGCATGGCCAAGGACTTCATGTCTAAAACACCAAAAGCAATGGCAACAAAAGCCAAAATTGATAAATGGGATCTAATTAAATTAAAGAGCTTCTGCACAGCAAAAGAAAACTACCATCAGAGTGAACAGGCAACCTACAGAATGGGAGAAAAATTTTGCAATCTACTCATCTGACAAAAGGCTAATATCCAGAATCTACAAAGAACTCAAACAAATTTATGAGAAAAAAACAAACAACCCCATCACAAAGTGGGCAAAGGAGATGAACAGACACTTATCAAAAGAAGACCTTTATGCAACCAACAGACACATGAAAAAATGCTCGTCATCACTGGCCGTCAGAGAAATGCACATCAAAACCACAGTGAGATAACATCTCACACCAGTTAGAATGGCGATCATTAAAAAGTCAGGAAACAACAGGTGCTGGAGAGGATGTGGAGAAATAGGAATGCTTTTACACTGTTGGTCGGACTGTAAACTAGCTCAATCACTGTGGAAGACAGTGTGGCAATTCCTCAATGATCTAGAACTAGAAATGTCATTTGACCCAGCCATCCTATTACTGGGTATATTCCCAAAGGATTATAAATCATGTTACTATAAAGACCCATGCACATGTATGTTCATTGCGGCACTATTCACAGTAGCAAAGACTTGGAACCAACCCAAATGTCCACTAATAATAGACTGGATTCAGAAAATGTGGCACATATACACCATGGAATACTATGCAGCCATAAAAAATCATGAGTTCATGTCCTTTGTAGAGACATGGATGAAGCTGGAAACCATCATTCTCAGCAAACTATCGCAAGGACAAAAAACCAAACACCGCATGTTCTCATTCATAGGTGGAAATTGAACAATGAGAACACTTGGACACAGGAAGGGGAACATCACACACCAGGGCCTGTCATGGGGTGGGGGGAGGGGGGAGGGATAGCATTAGGAGATATACCTAATGTAAATGGCAAGTTAATGGGTGCAGCACACCAACATGGTACATGTATACATAAGTAACAAACCTGCACATTGTGCACATGTACCCTAGAACTTAAAGTATGATAAAAAATAAATAAATAAATAGAATGACACAGACTCTCTGTTCTTAGTCTCCTTAGCCTATCTCACATGTTTATTTGGAAGATTAATTAGAACACACAGACAAAAGCATCTAGTACAGTGCCTGGAACATGCTCATTACTTCATAAATATTAGTTTAATTATAATTTGTAGAAATAAGAAAGTATTCATTTTTTATTTTGCTATTCAAAATTTTATTACTGGACTTGCTGGAAGGAAATGGGTCAAACAGATAATAATAATAATAGCTGATTCAATAGAATTCTCAGCATGCATGCAAGGATTTAGTGTTAGTTTAAGGATTCTGGTACATAATTACACTATTCTTTCCCTTAAAATGGATCCAATTGTGAATTTTTTTAAAATAGAAAATCAACGTGAGAAGAAAAGTTTTCAAAAAAATAAATAAATAGGCATGCTCAGATGTGAAAATTACTGGATGACTCTACCTGCTGGCCTCATCAAGGATACATTAGCTGAAAGTGAAATGAGGATCGTGGCTCATGCCTGTAATCCCAGCACTTTGGGAGGCTGAGGCGGGCAGATCATGAGGTCAGGAGTTCGAGACCAACCTGGCTAACATGGAAAAAGCCTGTCTTCACTTAAAATGCAAAAAATTAGCCGGGCGTGGTGGCACGCACCTGTGGTCCTAGCTACTCGGAAGGTTGAGGCAAGAAAATTGCTTGAACCCGGGAGACAGAGGTTGCACTGAGCCAAGATCGCACAACTGCACTCCAGCCTGGGCAACAGAGCAAGACTCCGTCTCAAAAAAAAGAAAGAAAGAAAGTGAAATGAGCCCTTAAGTGCTAACGAATACATCAGGCACAAACTCTGGACTCCTCAAATGTTGACTCTGCCTCAGGGACAGGCATCCAAGGTTACTTCTCCAAAAGGGAGACAAAGACTCAAAAAGACTAATTTTTGCTCATGAATTCTCTATGCTAGTATCTATGATGGGTTAAGCATTCCACAGTCACTATCTTTCTGCATCCTCTCAAAATCTCAATAGTAGAGGTATCATTATTCCCCCATCTCATCCCATATTCTACGAGTCATATAAATAACATGCTCATAGATGTCATATAACTTACCAAATCACACAGTCAGTGTGCTACAGACAATTCAGTTAATATATTGAGTACCTCTTGTGTGCCTGGCAATGTGTTAGGCACTGAGGCTACAATAGTGAACAAGACATGTGTCTGCAAAAAAGATAAGCCAATGGCCATGCTCTAAAATCATCTCCTTTTATTATAAGATGTTAACGTGACAAGTGTTAGGACTATGAACAAAAAAATGTTAAAGGAAGAAGAGTGAAAGCAAAACCATAAGGCAGATCGAAAATGTGGTCAAAGAGTAGCCTTGTACCCCACCAAGTCCATTCCCTGCACAGACCCAGCCCTAGACCCCTCCTGAAATTCATATTCAGTTCTGCACTTAATGGAGCATGCATTTCCATTGAGATGCAACATGTGATGGGATCTGGATGTGTGTCCCTCCAAATCTCATGCTGAAATGTGATTCCCAGTTTTGGAGGTGGGGCCTAGTGGAAAGTATTAGATGACTGGGGCAGATCTCTCATGAATGACTTAGTGCCATCCCCTTGGTGATGAGTGAGTACTTGCTCAGTTAGTTCACATGAGATCTGGTTGTTTAAAAGAATCTGGGACCTCTCTCTCACTCTCTCTCTCTAGCTCCCTCTCTCGCCACGGGATATGTCAGCTCCTCCTTTGCCTTCCGTCATGACTGAAAGCTTCCTAAGACCTCACCAGAAGCAGAGCCAATGCTGCTGCCATGATTCCTGTACAGTCTGCAGAACCATGAGCCAAAATAAACCTATTTTCCTTATAAATTACCCAGTCTCAGGCATTCCTTCATCACAATGCAAACTAACACAACATATAAATCAATAAATAAGCTAGATAGTTACAGAGTAAGGGATAAGGAAAAATAAAACAGAGTAGTGGGACACAGAGTAACTGGAAAGGGGGAACTTTAGGTACTGTGTTTCAGAAAAGCCTCCATGAAGATGTGGCATTTAAGCTGAAATTGGGAAGATGGGAAGTTCGAGGCAGATGCATGAGAACTCAAGGCAGAAAGAGTTCAGCACACTGGGAAAATGAACCTACAGCAGAGGGAGCAAAGGAGAGTCTGACCTAAGAGGAGGCTGGAGTTAGGGAAGGGTCGGATCACACGCAAAGTGGTAGGGCTATGGCACAGACTTCAAGGTCAGCAAGCTGGTGCCCATCTCACTCTCCAGCTGGTAATAACATACTGTTATTCTCTAGATCACAGAGACTACTCACCAATAGCCCAGGCACTGGGGCAGAATCAAGTCCAGCACCATTATCTCATTGATTCCATCTGGAACTTGGCAGTTGGTTCCTTTTCACTTCAGTTCACAATTAGAAACTTCCTTGTCCCCATTTTCCCCTTTTATACCCTATGTGTACATTTATTTCACCGTATCAGACTATAATTCCATTTTAAGGCAGACTCAACAAAAACTATCACAGTGCTTTACACACAGTAGGTGTTCAACAAATGTTAGCTAAGTTGATTATCAAAAGCAGACATGGACCTAGCAGCTGGAAAGTTGGAATATTCAAAACTGTAGGCTGGTAGGAGTCAAGAAGTAAAGGACTCTCCTAGCTTAGAATGGGATGTGGGGAAGGCATGGTGGGAAAGGGACTCACTGGCATGCCTTCCCTGTTTCCTTCTTTGAATTGCTTCCGTCACTTGTACTTACCCTTAAGCTTTGTGGAGGGAGATATGGACCTCAGAATGTGGCCTCTGGCCACCCAGCCTCGTGTAAATGCACTATTGATTTTTCCAGAGAGAGCAATTCAAAGAAAAGGAAAAATACATTTTTACTGTTATGAATAGTGTAATACAACTTCATTTAACACTGTAATTGAATACTTACAATTTTTTTAAATTGTATATTTAGCATTGAAATATGGTGAGTCTATGTGGGAAGGGATAGAAAAGGGTAGCAGGAGAGTACTTAATGCCTAGAAAAAGACCTACAATGCAAAATAATAATCATCACAGCTCTAATATTAATAATAGTAACAGTGGCTACCGTATATTGAGCTACAGTGTCAAAGGGATTGAGCACTTTATCATTTTCACCTCTGCTTATAAAATTGCCATGAGGATGATTACTCCATTTTGAAGGTAATGGGAAACTCAGGTTCATGGAGGCTGTCTTTTGCCTAAGGATTCATAGTGAAGGATGAGCAAGGTCAGGAATCACAGGTTTCTCTGGAGGACAGCACAGTGGTTAAGAGTATGGCCTTTGGAGTCAACAGAAGAGACATCCTGGGAAACATGCCTTCCCTAATCTTTTTGTGTTTCTTTTCTAAATTATGAAGGTGTTGAATTCCATCATCTCCACAGCCCTTTCTAGCTCGATGCTCCAAATTGTCGCAATCCAGCCCAAGGCAGGACCACACTACTGTGTCTTTCTTTCCTGTTCTGATCCTCCTACATCAGCTCCTGGCTCCTCCTCCTAACCCTCTAGGCAGAATAAAGCCCAAAAGTAAATTCAAGGAGACAGCTTATTCCTATATTCTATTACTGACAGGGAAGACTGAGAAAAAATGCACTCACTCAATGGCTCCAGCAGTAACAGCAGTGCTTTCTAAGCCACCAAAAGGACTCTTGAAATAAAGAATTAATGGACGCCAGAACAAGCATCAGGCCTATTGGTGCCAATGGGGTTGTGCATGCATAATTTAGTGTTATACTGTCAACTATGAAATATCTTTGGGCAACAGCCTACATTTCCTTTGAACAACATGAATCTTCAGAAGAAATAGGAACAGGAGAAGGGAGAACAGTGTCAAAAGCACTATACGAAAGAAGATATCAAAAATGCATCTGAAGAGTTTGAATAAAATTGTCTCAAAAAATATAAAACTGGGAAAAAGCGGTATTTCTAAATTAATATATTACCGCTTGAAGTATGTATGTGTAATGAACTGAATAAACACTATTTGTAGATCGGCAACTATAGTATTTCGCCTACAGACTTAGAAGTATATATGTTCAATTGAACCAAAACTTTGTTTTAAAAATCTTATTCTTTTTGGAGAAAGTGCAGCATCACCTAATTCAAGATTGCCTTACATTGGGGCATATGAGGTAAAATAGCAGGTGCTAGCCTCAATCTTACTGCTTAGGTTACAAAACTGTTCTTGAATGCCTTCCTTATGTCAGGCATCAAGCTAGTTTCTGGAAATAGAAAAAGGTACAAAACACTCTAGAATAGTGATTTCCAACAAATGTTTGAGGAAAAGCATTGTCTGCCTTAACTTTGACTTTCATATATGTATACAAGGCCTGCTTTTCCTTACGTTTCAGTAAGCATACGGTCTCTTTTGGCACCAGCTTAATGGTATGCTATGTATCTTTTATTTGCGCCAAGTCTTACACAACTCTGTGCGGCATTGCATGACCCACTTAACTATAAATTAGAACAGATGTGACTTTACCCACATGAAGCCTCAGTTACAGCAAAAATCAGTTCACACATTATTATTAATCATTTGACAGCTCACTTCTGCTAGGGATGCTGGCTGAGATCCACTGCCTGGAAGTATTCAAATAGAAGAATGGACCCTGTCACTGTATGATTCAGTGGAAACCTCTAAACCAAAGGTACTTCCTCCACTGGCCTGTCACAATGCCTGGGATTCACACCGTGGACATGATTCCAGGACGTTAAAAACAAACAAGCCATTAAAAAAAAAAAAAAAAAAAAAAACATGTTATGCTTGCAAGTGCCATTTAGAAGGGAAAATACATTAGCCGCCTGAGAATAAGTTATTCTAAACAGCATGTAGTCAACAAGTTAAGAGAAAAGGTTCTGCAAGAATGTGACCCAGGATACTGCTGGGTGAGTTAGAATTGAGGAAATAATATAAAAAAATAGATTATATTTTCTCAAGAAAAGAGGGCCCTGCCCTGGAGATAATAAACATCTCAGAACAGTGTAAAGAATAAACAGAGCATGGCCAAAGGAGAGATGAGCAGAGCCTGAATTGGCACTCTGCTTACTACATAGTTTTGTCAAGAAATGCCTAAGCTAGATGAATATACAGGATTCTGTTTCCAAATCATTTTTCCCCAGCTACAATTTAATATCTCGGGGTCCAATGCAGGCACTTGTCTAGATCAATAGCCCACTGTGAACAGATCTTGACAGCTGCTGCTTTTCACCCTAACATGATGCTGGTGAAATCTCAAGCAGAGACATGGGCCAACCATTCCTAGCTATCAGCCATCCGTTCTTTGGCAACAAGTAAAGAAATCATAGAGAAAACCAGAGAGACATGAGATCAAAGGAGCAAAATGATTGACTAAGACTGGATTCGCATAAGAGAAAAACTGTCTCCCAAATGTTATTGTGGAAGCTCATTTTGGCCAAATGCATTGCTTTACTGATCCATTCCATTTCTTGGCTTCTCTCCCACATCCTTAAGTCTCCTGTTCAGTACTTGCTGGATTACAGTGTAGGGAGAAAGAAAAGGGCAATGCTCTTTGGTAAGCAGCTATTTTGTCTTTGCTATAGTTTGAATGCCCCCTTCAAAACTCATGTTGAAACTTCAACCTCAATGTGGCAGTATTGAGAGGTAGGGCTGTGAAGAGGCAATTGGATCATGAGGGCTTTGTCCTCATTAATGGATTAATTCACTTATGGATTAATGGGTTAATGGATTAATGGGTTGTCATAGGAGGGGAATTGGTGGCTTTATGAGAAAAAGAAGAGAAATCTGAGCTAGCATGTGAACAGGCTCAGCCCCATTGTCTGTAATTCTCTGAGCCACCTTGGGACTCTACAGAGAGTCACCACCAGCAAAAAGGCTCTTACGAGATGCGGCCCCTCACCCTTTGACTTCTCAGCCTCCATAACTTAAGAAATAAATTTCCTTTTCTTTATAAATTACCCAGTTTCAGGTATTCTGTGATAAGCAACAGAAGACAGACCAAGACAGTCTTCAAACCAGAAGTACAGATTCTACACCTGTAATCGACAGTGAAAATATAATGGCTTCTCATTCTTTTTTAGGTTTTCTAAATTATTATTATTCACAGAAGCCTCATTGAATGGCTTCTGATTCTCATGGAATTTCAGAAATGGTCTTCAAAAGAAATGAGAGAATCAGTAAATCTATAGATATGGGACATGCTGAGGGAAGTGCAATGTATGAAGAAGCCATGGATCATTTTCTCAAAGAGTTACCTTCTAGCTAGAGAACCAAGATGCAAGAATGACAAATGTGCAGCACACAGGCCTCTTCTCACCTCACCTGCCCCATGACAGACATTACTATTGATCATGGTGTCCTTTCCTACCAAGCTCACGTGCAACCTCAAATTCCTTTCCAGCATAGCACTTCAATAGTTGCTATCCATCTTTCAAAGTTAGAACATGATTTGAGATATATTTGCCATCTCTGGTCACAATTGAAGAGAAACAGTAACTTCATATTACTACCAGATATTCATGGAAAAAGCCCAGTTTTGTGGTACAAGCTGTAAGGCAGCAGGAATTCAGAGGGAAGCTTCACGGAGGAAGGGACTTATACTGGCTGTGAACATTCATGCAGAATTTAAAAGAGAAATAGTGAATTTGGTAGTGAAACAACTACTTTTAAAAAGTATTTATTTATACACTCCCTAAAATAATCTAACTTGTCTCCATTAATAAGTCTTTATTAATACGTGCCACACCAGCATTAGTGATTAGGAGGATGGGTCTTGAAAGCAAGGTAGATCTGAATCCTAACCCCGACTTCATCACTGAATGTCTGGGAGACCTTGGGCCAGTTAACCAGCATCTCTAAATTTCCTCATTTGTAAAACTGGCAAGTAACAGAACCCAATGCATAGTGTTATTCCGAGGACTAATTGAAGAGATTCCTATAATGTGCTCAGCAGTGCGCCCATTATCATTATTTTTAGAGATTTTTAGGTCATTCTATTTCATCCTGGCTAGGGACATCTGTTCCTCAAGGCATTTTCCATACCAGAATACATCAAGGTAGAATGAAACAACAATGGTCTAGAAATTAGATAGATGTGTCATTAAATCCAGGCCTCATCATTTGCTAGATGTGTAAGCTGAGTAAGTTACTTCTGTAAACTCTACTACTTCATTTGTAAAATGAAGGAAATATTGAAGAATGTAAATAAGTCATATAGAGGAAGTGCTGGTAAATTGTTGTTCCTTGGTACATGGTAATTCTTTTTATATACATTATTGTGTCCAGGTTTTCTTCTCTGAATTTTTTAAAACAGATATTGACAGGCTTTTGAAATTTGAAATCCTCAATTGTTTCTCTGCTTTAGATCTACTTTTATTTGTTGTAAAACCTTGGATTCTAAAAAATAATTGTGCTTTCTCCTTTCCATTTGAGCAAGCAAGAACAAGACTATACTAAGAAGCAGAATGAAGAAGGCCATCAGAACCTTAGCACCCAAGAACTAGGTTTCTTTCTTCCTGGCTCCTGTTGCCCTCCAAATGAGGAATTTCTCTTCTTGAATTGAAATGCAAATTGTATATGACTCTAAAGATCCTTTATCTGACAGATCTGAGGAACACAGCTCTTCTCTGCTATCTGTGGGGTGGGCCACTTCTCTTAACTCTAAAGCTCCCGCTTTTTTAATCTAACTCTTTGAGCCAGCAAAGGAATGCACCCCGTCCCCCACTGTCCAACATTGTCCTTTCTCCAGTGAAAGCTCTCACTGTAGCCTTTAACCCAATGGGCTTCAAGGTGGCTCTGGCAAAACCACTTTGACAGGTGCATAGAGTAGCTCTGTCTCCATTTATACCTTTTCCTTTCAGTGTAGCACTGCCTCTCCAGCAGTAACTCCAGCACGGCTTTGCTGAAGTGGACTCCTGCTACAAGGAATGGTCCTGAGATCCATATCTCATTTCACAGCAGCTGCCAAGGAGCTGTCAGAAACTGGTTCTTATGGCCACAGGTCAGATTTAAAGCTGCGACCTCAAGGAAATGCACATGCTTCCTATCCCATTAAAAGTAGCTTGAGCTAGACACTGGCCCCCATGGAGTCCATCAACTTTGTTTTGGTTGCTGGATTAGGGCTCTTGCTTGCATTGAGAGAAGAAGGAAAGTTGCAGTCTCTCTTAGAGACTGAGATTTCACCCAAAATATTTTTTTTCTGCTCAGCAAACACTCACCTATTTACTTCTACAAGTTAAAAAAAGAAGAGTTTTAACTCTACAATACAACCTAAGAATCTAAAGCAAGAGTCAACACAAGAGAGTTTCAGTCCCATTATGGCATCCATATCAACTACTTACTGAATTGTCTGGAAGAGCAGGTAGATTTCAATGTGAGCAGCAGAATTGACAAATCATTGGCAATCGCTGTCTGGAACACTGTGCTGAGAATGCTAAATTGGAAAGGGGGGTGGTCAATTAGCAGTCTGCTTTAGATCCAGGATTGGGAAAAGACAGCAATTATGCCATATATTTACTGACTTTACTCAATGCCATAGCCTCTAAGTCAACTTTTCTGCTTACACGTCTCCATACTTCAACCCATTCCCCATTCTGCCACCATAGTCAGTAATTTAACACTCATATCTAATCACATCATTTCTCCTATGGCTCACATTACTCTTATGCTTATGTTCCCTAGCATGGTATATAATGCCTAGCATGATGTACAATGTATAATTGGGCTCTAGCCCATCTCTCCAGCCATTCCTCTTATCACTCCCCACCATAACACTATGTCCTGGTCACCCCAAATTTCTCATATTCCCTGAAATGTTTATTCTTTTTGCACATGCTGTTCTTCTCTGAAGTGGCTTTCCCTACTTACTCCACTTGTGAAATTCTATACATCTTTCAAAGCTCAATTCAAATGGCACTCCTTAGTCTCTCCATCCTGGATGCCAGGACTTTTTGTTCATATGACTATTATGGCACTTTTTATATCATAGTCATATTAATGAGAAACTTTTTTTGTAAGTAATAGAAACCAATTCAAACTGCCTTAAGAAAAAAATAGCAAACTTGTCTTTTTTTTAAAAAAAAAAAAAAAAGAAAGAAAGAAAGAAAGTACTATTTATTCTCTTATGTTAACAAAAATTTGGAGATAGAGTCTTCAGACATAACTGGATCAAGATGCTCAAATTATGTCTTCACAGCTGGCTCCTTCCTCTCCAGGTATTTCTCTCCTTTATGTTGACTTAATTCTAAATGGTTGGTTTCTACTTAGAGAACACTCCAGCTGCAGGTTGGCAAAAAGAGATTTCTTTCCTAATTGTTTCAATAGAAGGTCCAGATGTGAGTCTTATTTGTCTGTCTTGGATTATTTGCCCACCCTTGAAACAATCACTGTGACCAAGAAAAGTGAATTTTCTGATTCTCAAGATATGGGTCAGCCTCCATCGCTGAAGCAGGAAGGGTAAATCAACAACTCCACCCAAGCCATACAGAGCTACAATGGGAAAGACTAGCTTCACCAAAGGAAGACTGGGAGTGTTGTTTTTCAGAAAAGTGAGGCATCTATTCCAGACAGGTAAAATATAACAATAACAACTGTACATACACACAAAATGGTGAGTTTTGAGTTTATTTGCATCTTTTCCCCACCAAACTGAGCCCATCTCACTCACTCATAGTACCCTGTGGCACAGCGCTCAAGGACAATAGAAGGACAAGCACTTTTCCTTAGCTTTTTGGGAATGTGTAGTAACTCCATTTAGTCACTTAAGAACATGGTTATTAATTGTCTGTGTTTACTGAATATTTCCTCATTCTGTGAAGCAATTTATGAGTCTTGGTGCAGCTTGCAGAGACAAGCATTTCTCGAGTCCTTGTTTGACAAGCACAGAAGGAAATTTATGTGTTGTACTGTGATATGTATTATGTTTACTTGCTAATGAAATTTATCCCAGTTTTTGTGTTTATTTATAGCACACCAATTCAGAACTGATGCAATCATTAGAGAATGGCTTATACGTGACCAATTTAAGATATTTAAAACCTCTTATTGTAGTGACAAAAGATAAGGGAGTTAAAATGAATAAGGAAAGAGAAGTTTTTGTTACTGGCAAAAGACAAAACAGGGAATGAGAGGTCTCTAGTGAATACAGATACATTTGCATTTTATCTGAACATTTATTTGAAATCATATTTGATTTTTAAGTCTCAATACGCAGAGAAAAATCCTAGTCACTCATGGCTAATCTGGAAAAGTCTAAGAAGATTGTATGAATATTAGCCTTTGAGTGGGTTATAATACCTTTAGTGGATATTTTTTTCTTCTGGAACTCCCCAAAGTCTCCCATTCTGTGCTTGATATAGTAGGAAACACACTGGCTTTATAGTTTTAAAGACCTGCATTCAAGTTTCTGCCTGCAATATTCTGGCTCTATTGTCAAAATACACAGTTGTATATTTTGATAACAAAGGAAAGGAAATCAAGACAAATTCAAATGCATTGTTCTATGTGCTTTATATATATTTACTCATTTAATCTTTACAACAAGTTTTTGATGCAGATACTTCCCATTATACAGGTGAAGACACTGAGGCACAAGGTAGTTAAATAACTTGCCTAGGATTGCATGCTCAGTGAGTGACAGAGTCATCAATTTGACACAGGCAGTTGATACTGTAGTTCATGCTTTTGACCATGCAGTATGCTGCTATTTACTATGTTGAATGCCTTCTCCAGTATGGCTTGGGAGTAAGACAGGTCTAGGATCAAACTCCATCTCTACTACCTGCTAACCAGTCACTTAGGCAAGTTATTTCAACTCTCTAATCCTAGGTCTACATCTGTTAAATGAAGATAATAATATCAATATAAACCCACTAGCACCATACCTTGCACTCAAATGTTAGCTTTCTTCCTCCAGACACACATGCCAATTGTAGACTTGCTTAGCGTCTAACCTCAGCCACTGTGTGTATGTGGCTATAGCAGAATATTCAAAAGAAAGCACAATTCTAGAAGTCACCCAGTGAGTTCGGGTAGAGACAAAAAGAAAAAAACAAGTATTTCAGGCTTGATGCGCAAAAGCAAGTTTTGGCTTTGAATCATCCAATTCATTTTGGGAGTGTCAACCTAACTTGTGAAAAGTTGTCAGTGGTCCAAAAGTCACATTAGAATTTCAGGAAAGAAGAACTAGGCTATTGATCTGCACATTCAAGAAATATCAAAGATTTAGTGTTCCCCTGTGACAGAATAAGTGAATGTGTACTACCAAAACAATCCCTACACAGTGGTGTCATGTGTGTGAAATCCTTCAACAAAAGACAGGGAGGCCACAGCCAAAGAGAAGATTCTGTCTCCAGTAACCACCCAGCTGGTGTTTTCTGACAACCTAATGACCAAATTGAATCATCTGCATAACCAATCTAATTGATTATATAGAAATGGATTATGAAGGTGGTTAAAAAAAAAAAAAAGATATCCAGGCAGTCTAGGGGTACATTTGCATGTCCCTATAGATACCCAATATAAATCTAGATTTTAAAAAAAAAGGCAGTATAGCTGTTTATTTGCTTCCAAACAGTCGGCTAGTATATGACCTGTAGACACATAGCCATATGTAATCACAGTCCATCCTCGCTGATATAAAATATGAGAAAGAATTATTATTCATCTCCATAGCAACAATTTATTGAACAACTCTTTGTTGGGCACTGGGCTAAGCACATAAGGTATATTATATAATATAATCCTCACAACCCTATTTCAATGGAACAAGTATAACTATTACCTACATTACAGATAAGGAAAGTGGCTCAAAGACTGTAATCAACTTTCTCAGGTCCACACAGCTGGTTTATTGGTTTCAATACTTTCATCTACAAATCAGAAAAACCTAAGTTCAAACTAAAGACTTTATTATCCCATGTAACAGGAAGGTTATTAGAGGCAGAGTGAGCCCTGGAGATGATTGATTTGCTTGACTAATAGCTTAATCGTCCTGTTAAGGTCAGGTCCAAAGTTCTTTTCTATTTCTCAGCTCCCCCTTTCACAGGCTGCAGCGGTTTCAGGTATCATATCTAGAGTCACTTCCTGTGGATTTCTTTTATGAGACAGAAACTTTCCTCAGACACACATCCCCGTGCTCCCCAGCTTCCCTTCATGTCTTCTGGACTCAGAATATGTCACATAGCCATTCCTAAACCAATTACTTAGGAAAAGATAGAGAATTATCGTTAAACTAATTGGGCCGCATGGAGGCAGGATGATGCTGAAAAAATATTGGTTTCAGATTATTGGATAGGAAACAATATTGGATAGGAAAACAAATAGCAGATCGGCTCTTTGTTTTCCTCTGGTTGTTGGCTATAAATGAACAGTAATGGTCATTGCAACCAAGATATCAATAAAAGGCAAACACAGGTGTGTCCAAAGTAGGTGTTCTTAATTAGTGAATTCTACCATATGGTTGGTTTATGTTCCACTGTTCAGATAAACCAGGGGTCTTTATCCCAGTATTATCAACCCAGAGACACTGCAAAACTCCTGTTAACTGGTCATCTTGGGAGGCAATCAGTGCTTCTAGACATAGATCCGACTGTGTTAGCCTTCAAACTGAACTACTTGCTTCTGTTCTTGCCACCTTCCAGTCTGTTTCTCATCATGGCTCAAGGGATCTGATTCAAATTTCAACCAAGTCATGCCATTTTATGTTTAAAATCCTCAGCAGATATCTATAGTTATTGGGATAATGGCCAACACCTTGAATGTGGCCCACAACCATGCATGTTTGCCTCCTGCCTATCTCTCCAGTAGCCTCTCTCTGTGCTCTGGCCACATTGGCTTCTTTCACACCATCCTCTCATGATTTTCACATGCTAGTCACTTTCTTGGGAATTCTTCTTCTACTGTCTTTACCAAATCGACTCATTCTTCTGGTCTGGGATAAACCATCTCTTCCTCAGAGAAGCCTTTCCTGACCCTTGATAATATCAAATCGCCATCTTAGAGCCTCTCATAGCACCACGTTCACCTGCAGCGAACTTACTACACTCAGCGTGAACTATTATACTCACTGACCAGTTTCATTTTCTATTTATTTGAGAGGTTAATTGATTAATCATATGTGCTCATTAGTCTATAAGCCCACTGTCTTAGTCCATTTTGCATCACTATAAAGAAATATCTGAGGGTGGGTAATTTATAAACAAAAGAGGTTTATTTGGCTTGCACTTCTGCCAGCTGTCCAAGAAACATGGCATTAGCATCTGCTTCTGGTGAGGGCCTTAGGAAACTTCCAATCACAGCAGAAGGCAAAGAGAGAGCAGGTGTGTCACGTGGCAAGAAAGGGAACAAGACAGCAAGGGGAGGAGAGTGCCAGGCTCTTTTTAACAGTCAGATTTCACAGAGACAAAGAGTGAGAACTCACCCAATCTTATGAGAATGGCACCAAATCATTCATGAGGGATCCATCCCCACGACACAAACACCTCCCCACTTGGCCCCACCTTTAACATTGGGGATGAAATTTCCACATGAGATTTGGAAGGCACAAACATCAAACCATATCACCCATGAAGGCAGGGATGGATTCTGTGTTTGCTCATTTGTATCCCTGGTTTTTAGCACATTGCCTGGCACACAGTGAGTGCTCAAGATATACTGGTTAAACTAAAAACAAACTAGAGAACCTAACAGTCCCACTCTCCATTGCCTTAGCCTCTTCACTACTGTAATTCATCTCCATTCATTCTCCCTCTCCACTTCCACCTAAGCAGATTCACATCTTGACCCCAACCTCCTCACTCCCAATCTCTCTCTGTCTTTTTTGGCTCTGCAAACTCTAAGGAGTTGGACTCACCTCCAGGATCTTTATAACTGATGCATGGTGTAGCCTGATCTCAGTAGCTGGATCTAGAAAACAACTAAAATGTTCTCAAGTTCTTAAAATGAATAAGCAAACAAGTAAATAAATTAGCAGTACAGCGTATGATTAAAAGCCCAAGCCTTGCAACTTACAACAGTGAGAGATCTTAATATACTAAATGTATACCCAGGTTAGCTACATAACCTCTCTGAGCATCAATTATTTCAGCATAAAATGGGGATAATGATATTGATTTCACAAGATTTTCATAGGTATTCAATAAGCTAATGTATGCAAACATTTAGCCCAGAAATGGGAGCTATTGTTAACAAACCGAATTTCCTATAATGACAAAAATGTTCCTCTCAGAAAATTTGTCTTTATAAAGAGCAAAACTCTTTAATAAAATGATGGAATGAATTAAGGAAAAGGGGGTTAAAAACTATCGCTATACAGATTTCAGGCAATGGATATAGTTCATATAAATTATTCACAAGGCAAAGTGCTTGACTTTTTGAACCCAGTTAGTCCATGCTGTGCTCAGAATCCCAACAAAACTTTTAGGTCCAATAGAGTACTGAAATCCAGGTCAATTGTTCTGTTTCCCAGAGTCCAATCCTAGATTAGATTCTCTGAATTAAAAAATTTTCTGTATTAATTAACTCACCCCCTTCTGCTCTGTTAAACTTGGTATTATTCTGCCACTTAGTTTTGACAACAAAGAGCAGTTGTCAACAGCAGTTTTGAATGTTTGCATATTCTAGTTGTCTTCTCTGTCACTTTAGCTGTATGTTAAAAGAAAAGGCAAGAAGAATGTTTTCCAGCAGCTGTGGCAGAGTCTATGGCATATAAACAATTCACCAGCATTCGACATCCACAGCAGACATCATTAATCAATTAGAATGTTCTTTCCCACTAAAACCCACATGGAGTTTCTTAATCCTTTTTAATGCCAAACTACAGAAGCTACACCATTTAATTAGAGTTGATATGTAAGATATAACCTATTCTCCATGCTGGACTTAGGAAAATGTTCTACAAGAAACCAGAAATCTAGTTATCATACCAAGAAACGCAAGTGTAACCTTATAAAGGTATCACTCATGAGGACTAGCTTTGGAATGTTATTGCAATCAAAGAACTACAGCGTAGAAATAAAAAAGAACTGCAATTCAGAAACAAAAAATTATAATAATGGTAAAATTGCCCAAGTGCTTTACTTTATTTTCAAACGCCTTGAATGGAATACCAATGAGCTCGGACATACTCTATTTTAAATGTTCACTTTTCTTTCTTCTCCACTTCCTTTACACACTTCTTCCATGGCTCACTTGTCAAAATCCTCAAAATATTTGTCACCAAGCCCTATAACATCCCCTCTTGCCCTTGTTCTGCTCCCAACTTTCTCTAAATTTGTATCACTGAAGCACAAAAAGCTAGTCTGGAATGATATAGAAGGGGGAAATAGTGAAAAGGGTCATATCAGCATCATCTTTCACAGCAGGGTTAAAGAGAGGATTCAGAATTCTCACACATTAGAAATGTTTGGATAGACCTAGGCTGTAATTTGGGGGCCATTACTTCACCCTTCCTCCATCTTGGGAATCAACAGTCCCCATTACCAGTGCCGGCATTCGCAAAAAGGATCCCAACAAGCCAAATCTAAGTGCAGCTTTGACATAAGGAATGGCTTTTTTGAAGCTAATGCTCAGAATTCCCCACGGAGCTTGTGAAAAAAAAAAAAAAACAGCCACTTCAAATGATGAGAGCCTATTTCCTCCTGTATAGCCACCTTCTGTCTCTCTCATCTCTTCATCATGTAACAGAAAATGTGAAATGAGAGGAGACTGCTAAGAAGGAGACAGCCTTGATTTCATTCATTAAAAGAACTAAAAATTAGAAACAAGTAACAACTTCATTGGCTTCTACCTCATCTCAAAACATAAAGGCCCTGAGCAATAAAAGATCCAATAAAAACACAAAAAAGGACTGACAGAAAATGCGACCCATCACCATCAATTCCCTAACTTTAAAGGAATCTTGATCTTTCCACTGAATGCAGAATTTTTCTTCTAGCTTTGAGTCATATAAATTTTCATTACTGACATCCAATTTTATTTGAATTATAAAACTTTTTTAGAATATATACCTCACACAGCTATGAAACCCAGGATAGCACAGCTTTCCCTAGGGCCCTCTGTAGTTCAGGACAACCAAGCACCTATGTTCTGATTCTATGAGGGATGAATAAGACAAAAGTCTGGAGGAAATAGAGTGCCAGAAAAGCTCACAGAAGGTCAGAAGCAAGTCTTTAGAAGAGAGAGAACCACCTGAGTCAGAGATTCTGAAGTCCACCAGGCCTACTTAGAAAAGACGTATATTCAAATCAGCAAAGTGCCCAATATGCCTCTTCCAACCTAGGGTTGAAGGCAGCCAACCAAAAGCCCCTATGGCTACACTCCAGCACCTCAGGAGATGGCTTTTAGGTATTAACTGCAGCAAAATGATATCCCATCAGCATCAAATTACATTAGATGTTCTGAGAGAGAGGAGGGAAGGGAAAGAAGGGATTGCTGGCCAACTTCATAAGTGTATGGAAGTATCAGGCACTATTCAAAACAGATAAATGTTTTGTATAAAGGTATAATAAGGGTAACCATTAGACAGAGCATCCAGATCTTCCTAAATGCTGATATACCAAGAAGAAAAAGGAAAGAAAAGAAAAGAAAAAAAGAAAGCAATAAAATAAACCCATAGTGAAACATTATTGATGTACACACACCCCACATCACATAAAATAAAACAACATAACACAACTGAGATCAAAGCTCTCAATCATATCAATAAATATAAATGGGCATAATAAATCTATAAAAAAAATTTTTGATTTGCTAGCAAACCAAAATTCAACACATCTGAGAGACACATGCAAAACAAACAAATTATGAAAGATTAAAAGTAAAAAATGGATCTATAAATAAGCAAAATCCAATTTAAAGGCATCATTGGAAGGGGAAAAGCCTGTTTACAAGGACAATAACTATTATTATTATTACAGTAATAATAACACCCAAGTAAAATCCACATGAGAAAAAGTGTAAAATATTTCTGAAAAACACAGAAGCAGACTTGAACAAATAAGAAGGCTTTCTTTCCATATTCTAGGCAAGGAAGTACCAACATCATAAAGTTGGCAGTGCACACAAAGTTAACTTTCATACTTAGTGAGTGCCAATAAAATGTCATCAGGTTTTTATTTTCCTAAATATAAAGTTGATTATACCATTAATTTGGAAAAACACCAAAAAATATAAGAAATAGGAGGGGGGATCCTAGCCCTGCTTGGTATTAAGATGGTTTTTCAAACCTACAAAACTTTTAAAATGTGGTTTTGGTATTTTTTTATTATACTTTAAGTTCTAGGGTACATGCGCACAACGTGCAGGTTTGTTATGTATGTATACATGTGCCATGTTGGCATGCTGTACCCATTAACTTGTCATTTACATCAGGTATATCTCCTAATGTTATCCCTCCCCCCTCCCTCTACCCCATGACAGGCCCGGGTGTGTGATGTTCCCCACCGTGTGTCCAAGTGTAAAATGTGGTATCGGTATTTGAAGAGACAGAAGGACAAATGGAACAAATAGAAAATCCAGAAATAGATCTGATCACATATGAAAATTTAGCATTTAATAACTGAAAAGTGTAAAATTAATATTTTTTATTAATTCAGATTCAGCATCTGAAATTAGTTGGGAAAAGATGAATGTTTTAATAAGTGGTATTGAGATACCTGGTAAGTCAAATGGAAAATGATCAGACTGGATCTATTCCTCACTCCATATACCAATATAAATTCCAAATGTGTCAGATTTAAATGTAAGACTATGGCCAGGCACAGTGGCTCATGCCTGTAATCCCATAACTTTGGGAGGCAGATGCAGGCAGATCGCTTGAGGCTAGGAATTTGAGACCAAAAGCCTGGCCAATATGCTGAAACCCTGTCTCTACTAAAAATACACAAATTAGCCAGGTGTGGTGGTGCACACCTGTAGTCCCAGCTGAAGCAGGAGGATCACTTGAACCCAGGACGTGGGGGTTTCAGTGAACCATGATTTCACCACTGCACTCCAGCCTGAACAACAGAGTGAGATTCAGTATCAAAAAAAAAAAAGATACAATAAATGTAAGACTACCACTATATCAGTACTATTAAAAAATGTTTGAACTTGGGAGTAGGAAACACTTTCCTATGACTCAAAATCTACATGCAATAAGAGAAAAGTTAGATAAACTTGACATACAAATTAAAATTATAAAAACTATACAGCAAAAAATTCTTAATTTAAAATTTTTTAAACCCAGAAAAAAACACTTGCCACTTTCTGCAGGAATAATGAGTTAATATTATAAAAATAGAGGAAAGAATAAATCGATTAATTATAGTAAACTGGGCAAGAGATATAAAGAGATATTTCACCAAAAAGTAATGTAAATGGCTCTTAGTCCATATGAAAAGAGACTTAATCTTACTAATAATAAAATAAATGCAAATTAAGATTATATACACTATTCACTCAGAATGACAAAAAATCTAAAAGTTCAATAATCCACTCTTTTGGCAAGGTTGGAGGAAACATTCTCATACACCGCTGGTACAAAACAGAACAAACCCATTGAGAAGAGATTGACACTATCTAGCAAAACTAATAAGCATTTACCCTTTGACTCAGTAATCTCACTTCTAGAAGTCCATCCCAATGGCAAAAATAGAAAAAGATGTATGCAGAAAATTATCTTTTACAGCACAATTTATTACAGTAAAAGTCTGCAAACACACCAAATAGCTACCAATAGAGAACTGGTTTAGTGGTCTGCAAACCACAGTGCACAGGCCAAATCTCCAGGCCTGTTTCTATACAGCCTAGAAGTTGAGAGTGGTTTTACATTTTTAAAGGATTATAGAAAAAAAATGTGACAAATATGTTATTATCTGGTTCTTTACAGAAAATGTTTGCTGAACTCGGCTATGAACCAGCAAGGTACATCCACACAATGAAGAACTACACAATTGTAAAGAAAAATAAGAACTAAAAATAACAACTGCAATAGATTGAAACACAACAAATATGTGAGTTGATACCAATATTAAAAACAATAATGTGGGGCTGGGCGCAGTGGCTCACGCCTGTAATCCCAGCACTTTGGGAGGCCAAGGCGGTTGGATCACCTGAGGTCAGGAATTTGAGACCAGCCTGACCAACACAGAGAAACCCTGTCTCTACTAAAAATACAAAATTAGCCGGGCGTGGTGGCACATGCCTGTAATCCCAGCTACTAGAGAGGCTGAGGTAGGAGAATCGCTTGAACTTGGGAGGCAGAGGTTGCGGTGAGCCCAGATCGCACCATTGCACTCCACCCTGGGCAACAAGAGCGAAACTCCATCTCAAAAAAAAAAAAAAAAAAAAAATAATGTGTCTCATTGTTTGTGTGGCAGTGGCTCACGCCTGTAATTCCAGCACTTTGGGCAGCCAAGGCGGGCAGATCACGAGGTCAGGAGTTCGAGACCAGCCTGGCCAACATGGTGAAACCCTGTCTCTACTAAAAATACAAAAAATTATCAAGGCTTGGTGGCAGGTGCCTATAATCCTAGCCACTCGGGAGGCTGAGGCAGGAGAATCACTTGAACCCAGGAGGTGGAGGTTGCAGTGAGCCAAGGCCACACCACTGCACTCCAGCCTGGGCAACAGAGGGAGACTCTGTCTCAAAACAACAACAACAACAACACAACTCATTGCTCACTTTTGGAGAATTCCAAGAAACAGGCAAATAAAATGAAAGAATTGAGCATTTAACCCACTTTTCCTGAGAAACCAGTTGCTACTATCATGACAGAAAGAGTGACAATAAGGGATATGGCTCCTTGATATAAATAAACACCACCATCCATGAAATAATGTGGAAAACAAATCCAATCTTAATCTGAGTAAGCTCTTAAATCTGGTTATCAATTTATAGAATATACAGAGGACAGAAAAAAATACTTTTAATAACACCACAGGAATAAAATTAGCAAAATTTAGACTACAAGAAACTCTACTGACAAAGTGACCAGATTTTTCAACAAATAAGTTGCAAAGAAAGAAAACCTTAGATCGAAGGAGGCTTAAGAGACCTATTAAACAATTAAAATATATGAGTCTTATTTTCATTAGAAGTCAAACTAATTTTGAAAACAAATTGTGAGAAAGCATTTCTGTAGCAGCTGAGAAAATTTTAACACGGTGTAATATTTGAAAAAAATTAAGAAATTATTAATTATTTTAGTATAATGATTGTATTGAGATTATGTTTTTTATGTTTTTGTTTTTTGGTTTTGGTTTTTTTTTTTTTTTTTTTTGAGACAGATTCTCATTCTGTCATCCAGGCTGGAGTGCAGTGGTGCAATCTTGGCTCACTGCAATCTCTGCCTCCTGGGTTCAAGCAATTCTCATGCCTCAGCCTCCTGAGTCGCTGGGACTACTGCCGTGTGCCACCACGCCCAGCTAATTTTTGTATTTTTAGTAGAGACAGGGTTTCACCATGTTGGCCAGGCTGGTCTCCAACTATGGACCTCAAGTGATCCACCTACCTCGGCCTCCCAAAGTGTTGGGATTATGGGCCTGAGCCACCATGCCTGGCTGAAATTATGTTTTTTAGGAATTGTTATTTTTCAGATTGAAATATTAATGGAAGAAATGATATCAAGTCTTGGATTTTCTTCAAAATAATCTAGAGGTAGAGGGGTTAGCAAGTGCGGCACAGATGAAGTTGGCCAAGAATTGACCATTATTGAAGCTGGGTGACATATTCATCTAAACAGGCACAGGGGTTCATTGTGCTTTCTTCGTATATAATTGAACTTTTTCATAATAAAAGTATTATGTTTAAATAAAACCAGAGAAAAAGGAAATAAAAAACTGAAGCACCACCATTCACCTCAAGCACTGGGGATAAAGTGTGAATTATGAATTTTGGGGTCAGCAACTGTCTGTGGTTTCATTAAAAATTCACCACTGAGGCCAGGCACAGTGGCTCACGCCTGTAATCCCAGCACTTTGGGAGGCCGCGGTGGGTGGGGTGCATTTTACAGAAAAGGAGAAGTTGTGGGACAGGCATTCACATAGGTAACCATATATTTGTAAATCAATGCTGTGACATGGTTTTATCTTTTCTTGAGAGTCAGTGCAACATGCTAACTATCTATATGAGGGCAATGTCTGTAGAAGTTCATTCTTGCTTCTTGAAACAAATGGAATTCACTTGTGCTGTGTAAAGAGGACTAATGAAACTATCCATATAATCCAGGCAAAAACTTGATGCTGAGGGTAAAGAGGCTTGGGTTGTTCTGAACTAATTAGGCCAGCTAATATTGTTCAAATACACAAGATAATTGCTTAGGCATCCTCGTGAAAGTATGAGTAAGATTTGGGCGGTTCTCACTGGCATTGAGAACCTAAAACTACCTCCCTGTCCCATGCCTTTTCTGTACAGATGCCTCTTTGGTATCCCAAGGCAGAAGTGATCTTTCCCTCCTACAAACATCCAAAGAAATGCTTCGTACTTCTCTTCTAGTTTATTTAACTTCCTTATATTTGTTTGCATGCTTTTATCTACCGGTAGATTGTTGCTTGCACAGGACAGTATCTGTCTTATTTTATTGCTCCTAAGACTGATTATAGTGCTTTCCCTATACACAGTAAATTCCTAAATCATAATGCTAAATATGTAAGTCATTCAGTGACCCATAGTAAACCAGACCAACTTATTATGAGTTCAAAACTCTTTGAGCCAGAGGTTTTTCAACTGGCCAATTAATAAATAAAATAAATGTACTAGTACTGTCAATATACCCAGCACAGTGTTTAGTACCACTAGGTAAATGATTTTAAAATTCATTTGCTAAGACCTTGGGAAACCTTACACCGAGCCTTAATGTCCTATCTGCAAACTGGGGGGTCGAGGAGGAGTAATAATACTTCCTTTGTAAGATGATTATAGGAGTTAGAAATTATATGTAGAAAAGAGCAAGTACAGAGTAATCTTTTCTGTTTAATTGTAGTTATTATTCATTGTGGTGGGTATGAATTTTCAGGCATAACTCTCAAGTGCGAGAAAATTCACATTTCTTTATTGCTCATGAAATTCATGTTGTCCTCGCTGATCTCTCCACTTTCCTTGGACAGAAATTGAATTTCAGTTGTATTCTAGAGATCTCTAAACAGTCCAAAGATGTGGAAAGTCTCCATGTGTTTTATGCAGTCCTCTGCATTTGGGAAAGGCTCTCTGGACTTCAGTCTACTCTGCTTATCACTAATAAACTCTTCCAAGCCCTTCTTGGCCCCTTGGGATTGAAACTCTCTATCTTTGGTTCCCAGAACCATAATTTCTATGTTCCCTATTCCCCTTGGGCTGAGGAATCTTCCACTCCCTTAGTTTGAACTTTTCTGCCCCCACTCCCTAACTATAGAAGCCTGAGGCCAGGTGGGAGGGTTGTCATGTAGGAATCTGGAAACTTCTGCTTTAGTCTCTGAAACTCAAAAGTTGAGATGTCATTGAGTCTTAGCTCAAATGTTATCTCTTTGTAGAGATCTTTCTAGAATATCCCTTGTAAAGTAGAGTCCACACTCAATCCCAGCCAATTACATCACTCTATTTTATTATTTTCATAGAGTTCATCACTATCTTGACTTATCATAATCATTAATTGTCTTTGCTTGCTAGGATACAGTCTTCCAAGGGGCGGAAATCTTATTCACCATTGTATCCTTAGCACTATGTCTGGCACATATCAGATGCTCAGTAAATACTTCTTAAATAAAATAATTAATTATCCTGCCAAATTGTGAAGCTAATGGTGATGAAGTTGATGAAAGAAATATGACATAGTACTTATTTTAAGGTTGCTTAAACTATTTTGAGTTAATAATCAAGAAATAATTTGAAGGCTGACCCAAGGCTTGAGTGGAGAGTTTGGAGAGGTGAGGTAGTTAGAATAAATATATATATATATATTTATATATTCATTTATACAAATTCATAATACATTTATACAACTAATTTTATACAAATAATATATAAAATATGTAAAATGTATACAGTACACATTACTTATAAATATGTATAAAATAGAAGCTTTCTATATAGTTAGAAAAAGTTCTTAAAGTTCCAATGTTTGTATTAATAATATGAAAGGTAGATATATTTATGTTTAGCAAAAGGGGACATGGATTATAAAAGCTTGAGCAATATTGGTTTAAATTTTAGTGCCACAGTGAGTCGTGAGCTAACTCCACCTGAATCACTGGAGCATTTAAAAAATATAGAATCGAGGGCACTACCCATAGAGGTCCTGGTTCTGTAGAACTGGGATGAGATTCAGAAATTTGTGTTTTGAAAAAAGAATCTCTAGATGATTCTGCTTCTTAACCAAACTTGGGAGCCAGTGATTTATGTGAAAAGTCTATGGAAAGGAAAGAAAAGGAAAGTGAATTTAAAGAGGGATATCTTTGTGGATGATGTAGAACTTCAGCTCAAACACTGTGCCCCCTAGGGGCTGGGGAAATAATAAGGGCCTTTCTCTACTACCTGATCCCTGCCACAACCACAGCTGATTGGACCCAGCCTGGAATAAATCAGGCTTCTCTCTCCCAGCAGTAGAATTGGGATCCAGTGTGAATTTCTTTTGTTAGCTCAAACTGAGAAGATGGGTATTTGGGGGCTATGGAAAGCCATATTCTGGCATGAATCTGTGAGAAGAGACAATTTGTTAATAGGGAAAAGTAGACAGAGATGCAAAAACAATCGGAAACACAAGTCCATGTAATTAAGAGAGAGAATTGCCAAGAGGGTAATTAATTGCCTTGGCTTCTGATGTTTTTGGTTCCTGGGTGTAGCCCCTGAGATTCTTATAATAAATTCCCTTTTATTTGCTTAAGATAGTTTTAGTGCTTCTGCTACCTGCAACCAAAATACATTTTCAGGAGGCCAGAAGGGAAAAAAAAAAGCGTATAACAAGACTGGGTATGGGAGAAAGTACTTTGTTCCATCGCCAAGGAAGGCTATGGTTCATGAGATGTCATGTTCCGACACTCAGCAGAAGGCCCTGTGCTGTTTTTATGAGGAGTTCTGACAGCCTGTATCCAGCCAGGGCTGGGAAGGCGCTGTGACTTTCACACCCTCACGACCATGGCAATTTGACAGCAGAGGATAATGAACCCCACAGCTGGGGTTGGGATGCTTCTGTCTGCTTCGGCAGTGGCCTCTTCACTCCGGTACTGGAAAAAAGTACTCAGGGGGAAGCTGCTTCCCAGGTCAAAAATGATCCTTGAAAAATGCTATCCAGGGGCCACTTCCAAAATCGTAATGTCCACAGTAGGCAGGAAACAGGGAGGCACGAGCGAAAATGGAAACCAGTGCTCCTCTGAGGATAAAATTTTCTCTCTACTGAGATGGAAATTTTTCTCCCTTTCCTTTGCTTCTGCTACCATGGAATGGCCCTCTATTTTTCTTTTTTCTGAATTATCTTGGCTACATGATATGGTTGTTTGTCTTCTCTCTCTTGTACAGGAAGATAAACACTCTGAGAGTAAAATCCAGGTCAACTTCATTTCTAGACTTACACAGTGCCTCACACAGAAAATGTGCTCCAGGATAAATGTTTATGAAGGCTCTGCCACTTACTACCTGTGTGATCTTGGGAAACTTTCTTAACCTCTTCAAGTCTTATTTTCCTTACTTATAAAATAGTGATAATATTCCTTTGCTTTCTGGATTATGTGTAAGTGAAGATTAAGACATCCGTAAAGTGTCTTGCATGGGATAAGCACACCATAAACGGTAGCTATTATTTGTAAGCTCTGGGCATGAGCAGTGGCAAAACCAAACTGCACCCCCTTCTCTCCTGCCTTGACTATCCTATCTGGCTTCTGTTTCAACCCCAGTGTGCCCCAGTAGCAATAGTGCATCCATTCATCCAGCAGAGGGAGCTAGGCTAGAAAGTAACTACACTAAGTGAACCATAAGTACACAGTAAATATTGCATCATACCCAGCTTTGAAATGTGCAAAAAATTATACCTGCTCATGCCAAATTAGAAATGGCTTTCAAGTGCCTGATGCTACATTCATCACCATGTCCCAGAAAGATGCTGACTGAAGGTTTTCAAAAACTTCAAAAGACTCTTGCAATAATTGCATATTCATTAGACAAATTAGTTCTAGATTATTTTTAAAACCATAACTTGGAGAAAAAAAAAAGACCAACAAAGAATTGAATAAAATTATGCAGGAGTGGTGTTTAGAATATAAAAATGTAGAATACTATTCATTCTGTATGAAAGCATTAAATGGAAAAAAGTGGGGAGAGGGAGGAGGAAACCTAAAAATAAAAAGCCACAAAGAGAAAAATAATCTGTCTTTAAAAAATTCAGTCCTTGGGAAGTAGATAGAATTTTTCTATTAGTTTTGGTTGGGAGGAAAATGTACAGTTTCCACCTCTGATGGGGGAACCTCACTGGGAAAATAATAACCACTATCATCATAATACGACATTGGCTGAACTAGGTGATTAGCACAGTGTGACGTCTACAATAAGTATCTGCTGGGATCTTGTTCTTTGAGGAGTCACAATCTGGTATAACAGACCTGGCTTCATTTTTTGTAGGCTCCATTATATCCGAAATAAGCTGCTGCCACTTCGCCCAGATGTATTAACAGGGTAGAAGGTCAGGAAAAGCAGAGAAAAGCCACCAAGGGTGCACCCAGTGGCTCACAGCTTCCTGCCTTGAAGTGCATTTCTAAATGGAAAAACAAGTCCGAGAATGCCAGACCAGGCAGGGCTCTTCATGACAGCAGCCATGAGGAGGGAAATGCTGGTATTCACCATGTGGGAAGGTTAGGTGACACGCTCCCTTCCTGAGGCCACATGTGTACAATATCAAGGTATAAATTAAAGAGCCCAGCAGCGGTTCCTGTTACTTGCCAATGACCATCGAGGTTGATCATTTCACCATATGCAAAGGGCTGGCTGGCTTTCACTTGGCATAAAAATCAAGAAGCTTTTCAACACTGCTGGTTCCAAAACTAACATCATCTTCATGATTATAAGCACAGTGTTACATCATGGGACTAGCAGGGGAGGAAGGCATTGAGAAAATAATCACATAATTAATTTATGATTCTAAATTGTAGCTCATGCTCCAAAGGGGAAAAAAGACCAGAGAGCCACAGAGAAAAATACAGAGCATTGTTTATATTGGGTGAAAGCAGTCAGAGAAGACCAGTATTTCTAGGTAGTACAGAACAGTTAAGAACCTAGGTACTGGTGTCAGAAAGATTTAGATTTGAGCCTGAATTTGTCCTTTACTAGCTCTGTGACTTTGACTTTAGGTAAGTCATTTTCTTCTTCAAGCCTGAGTTCTCCCATTTGCAAAATAAGGATAATACCTAGATAGTGACTAAAGATGTAATGATGTGTTCTATACTACCCCTAGAATAGATTCAGCAATCAACAAAACTGTTATTATTGAACATGATAGTCCAAAAAATATCATAACCAGTATACTGGTGTGCTAGGGCTACTGCACCAAATACTACAAACTGGATGGCTTAAATAATAAAACTTTATCTTCTCATAGTTCTGAAGGCTAGAAGTCCAAAACCAAGATGTCAGGATGTTTGGTTTCTTCTGAGGACTCTCTCCTAGACTTTCAGATGGCCACCTTCTCGCTATGTCCTCACATGGCCTCTCCTCTGTGTGCATGCATCCCTAGTATCTCTCTGCATATCTACATTTCCTCTTGTTAAAAGCACACTAGTCACATTGGATTAGGGCCCACCCTAATGCCCTTATTTTGCCTTTATCACTCTTAAAAGGCCTTATCTCCAAATACAGATACTCTCAGATACTGGAGTTTAGGGCTTCAACACATGAATTGTAGGAGAGAGGGAGAACACAGTTCAACCTATAACGACCAGTATGGCATGGAGCTGACCAATCACAAAGGGGGCTGCTTGGTCACTGGCCAGTAGAACGAGCTGCTGATTGTATAGAACAGCAGAGTGCACTGATGCACATTGCTTATTGGTATTATTATTATTACTGAGTTTTAATAGCACTGCCTCTACTCAGGGATATACCAGGTTTGTAAGCAGAGCGACACAAAGTTTTCTAGAGGGGAGATTCCAGGAAGCAAAACAGTCTCCAACAAATGTTAACTTCTACATCCTGCCATGCCTGGAACCGGACAAATACAGAGATGCTTTAGAGCTACCTTGTGAAAAGAGACAAAAGGGGAAGAGCAGGAGGGGGAAGGATAAGAGAGTTAATGGTGACTGAGATTTGAACAAAGACAATGAGGAAGAACATGTATGTAGAGGAGAAAAATGACATGAAAAGAGTCAATAGTCCAGGGGTGAAAGAAGCCTCGATGGGCTGGGCCCTAGCTTTGGTTCTAGTCCAGGCTCAACAAACCAATCTGAACTTTTACGCAATCAGAATAAACTCTTCTTTGTGGACCTCCTTCATGAAATCCTGCTAAAAGAGATTCTTCCTCTTCCTCTCTATCCAAATGGATGCTTTTGTTATCCTGTGTTGTTTCAGACTGTAGGTCGTGGGAGAGAAAGGAAAAAAACCCCACTAAAACCTATCACTCTCTTCTTATTGTTTCCTTGTTCCTCTCTTTGGTTAGCTTTCATTTTGTGCTTGCCCATGTGCAGGCACTGTGCTTCACATTCATGCTTTCATTTAATCCTCATAGTTGTTCTGTTATTATTTCACAGATGAGAAAATATGAGGTTCAGAGATGTTTAGTGACTTGCCAAAGGTCAAACTAAGAGTAAGTGAAGAGCTGGGACTTGAACTTAAATCCATCCCACTTAAAGTCCCTGCTCTTAACCACCATTATCATCCTGTGGCTGTATATTCAGGAAGGAAACACATGGATGAACCAATCCTGGGGGCAGGTAATGACCAGCACCAGCATTTGGAGTACAGATTGTAGTCATGGGTGCTGTTGGCACCACTAAGGCAATAACAGTCATCATGGAGTCTAAGGTCAATGCCAGGATTTGAGGTCACAGCTTTAGGAAAAACTGAAGATGGAAGGAGGCTTCAAAGTCCAGACCAAGGTTGGGGTATAAGACAGATATGAAGAAAGTTGGGCTGTTGGTCTCTGATTTATCTTCCTCCCTCACTGTCCACATCCAATTAATCATCAAGTCTTGTTGCTTCTACTTCCAAAATATTTCTGCCATTCTTCTGCCTGTCCCCATCCTGACTGCCACTATCCCAATACATTGAGAGAATCAGTTAGTCTCTCTGTTTTCAGCTTTGCCCCTAAACCTTTTATTCCACTGCAGTCAGAATTCTTACTCTGAAATATAAATCTAATCCTACCACTTCCCCACTTATGTGGCTTCAGTAGCTTCCCATGGCCTCAAAGGCTTCCAAAGCTTTCAATTACCAAAGCCACCTCTTACCTCCCTGTTTTCACTCTTCCATAAGGCATACTGAACAACTTTCGGTTTCTCTGATGTAATACGCCATGTTCTCTCCAGTCGCTAGGTCTTTGCAAATGTTATTCTTGCTCTCTAGAGCCCAGTTTCTACCCTAATGTTTTCAAGTCTCAGCTTGGACATTGCTTCTTTGCAGAAGCCTTCTCTGGCATAGATAAGAATTTAGAGGACAAACCTAAACCTCATCACATTGAAGTTCCTCCATGACCATTTTTTTCCTACCCTCAACACTCATTACAAAAGCAAGTATAATGCTTCATTGCAGTCCCACATCTGTTTCAGGAGTGCTATAAAACATTGTCTATGAGTGTAGAGAGGGAAGTTCTATATATTAATCAGAGAGAGACAGAGAGACCAGAAAACAATTGCCTGTAGTAAATATTAAGTCAGTACCACTGTAAAAAGCAGGAGTCCCAGTGTATAGAGAAAAGAGGTAGAAAGCCGCTGACCCACAGGAGAAAGTAGCCTTCCTCTGCAGAGGGTCACCTAGAAGAGAAGGTAAACAAACTTCAAGCTCTTCAGCTTCCCTATCCTGGACAGTTTCTGACTCTGAGTTCTGTGAGGAATCTCCTCCAAGATTTTCTGAGGAAGGATCCAAAAAAGCTGCTTGACTTCTCTGTTCACCCTGGTCCCTGATATCGCCATTCTTTGAAAAGCCCTTTGTCATGGGTTTCCCATGTTACATGGGAATGAACAGCATGGCGATGTATAAATTCTTCACCAAATCAAGCTTTTCTCTTCTGCCTTTGTTATTCATCATAGGTAAAAGTGTCTGTTACAGAGGAAATTACACATGTAAACCCACTCACTTTACCTCCCTCCTAAGTCTGTTACATGCCTTCCTGTAGCATCCTGTGCTCAGCCAATAGAATTGCCTCACCCAAACCCTACATACACAAGATTATAAACTCCCTGTAGGTAGGGACCACATCTGAGTTATTCATTTTAAATTCACTGCCTAGCACAGTGCCTGGCTTATAAGGGGGATTTTCAATAACTAAATTCGAATGAATATTTATAATATAAATAAACAGTCTAACAATATGTATGCCTTCTCATTAATAAGATGCATAATAGATGAAATTTCCCCTCACCACCCAGCCCCACCATGCCCTTAGCAACAAGATCTAAACAGGGGAAGGGTCTTTCCCCAGCCCCACCTAAAAACGTCTTCTAATCCCACTTTTGGAACAGCAGAAGAAACATTCAACCAGAAATAAGAAAGCTGTGAAAAGGCAGAGTCCATTTAGGGTTAGTTTGAAGACTATTTGTGTGCGTGTTTTTTTAAAACAACATCTGGACAAATTTTAAAATGTACTTGTGGTCCCATTCATGAAACGGGAAGCAGACCATGGGCTCAGAGCACCAATTACTTGCCCTTTTGTTTCCGCCATTTCTTGGAGAAAATTTAGTGAGCTAACTTGCAGCATGTCAATATAATAAAGTACCCAACATCTGGGTAAATTATAGATTAGCTGCAGTAATTGTTCAGCTTTTAAAAAGAATTTTCCAAATAAAAAATTTTTTCTTTAATTTTAATGCATTTTGTTCAATGTCCTATAGTTTTGAAAAATGCATCATAATAGAACTGAAATGATCTTATGGCATTTTACCCACATTTGATCTAATTTCCCTAATGATTTTTCCAGCTCTTCTATTAAAGCAAGACAAATTGTCATCTAGAGAGATGATGACAAAAAAGTATGAAAATAATTACAGGTTTTTTTTAATTTGTCACTCAGACTTGGAGATGCTAAATGATGACCAAGAAGATCACCAGGTTAACCTGGAAGAAGGTGTTCTCTCTGGTTATTACCATGTCAATACTACTGTTATTTAACAACCTGGCAGTGTTAATGGGACTCTTCTTCTGGGGATGAAACTATGGGGGGTCTTCTGACCTCCAAGTCTCTTGGCAGCTTTTAAGAGAAAAATGCACAAGACATGTGGTCAGGAAAGCCGGGTCCCAGTCTTAGCTCTGCCATTTGCTTCCTGCATGGCCTTAAAAAGCACATCGTCAAAAGACAATCAGACAAACCCAGGTTGAGATTCAATCTACAAGATAACTGGCCTGGACTCTTCAAAAATATCAATGTCATGAAAGTCAAGGAAAGGCCTAGGAACTTATTCTTGAATAAAGACAAATAAAGAAATATGACCACTAAAATGCAACATGTGATCCTGGACTGGATCCTGGATCAGAAAATAAAAGTGCTATAAAGGACATGATTAAATCAACTAACAAAATTGTCATTCTTTTGTTTATCGATGTGTTACCTTTCAGATTGTCTCTTTCCAGTAGAAACTCCATGACAGCATGGACATTTTCTAATGTATTTGCTTATGCATCACTAGCATTTAGGGGATGCTCAATGATTTTTTTAATGACTAAATGAATAAATGAGTAGAATCAGATCTGTCAATCCAATCATTGTCCACAAACTACCAGTATTTCCTAACTTTAAATCAATTAAATATTTAGATGCTTTAAATCAATTACCTCATTTAAATAAATAAAGTCAGTGCTATTAGTCCCATTTTACAGATTAATAAACTAAGAATCTTATCAAGGTTTCTATCTCCCAGTGAAACTAGAGGCAAAGCCAAGATTTAAATCAAGTTCAGACTCCCAAGTCTTTGTTTCTTCATTGCATGGTGCAGCCTCAGAAAAGCACTCACATTCACAATCTTCTCCTCTGATCCAATGCCTCTCATTGGCATCCTGAAATCATATATGCAAGGGCTTGACAAGGTTTCATTTTCTTCTGCCACTTGTCTTTGACACGATGCCTTCAGCTGCTGTGGGTGATGGGAAGGCTTTTAACCTGGTGAATCAGTAGCTGATCCCTGTCCACCTTCATCAGCGGTGTGACACATGGCAGCCTCAGAGACATCTCAGGTCTTTAAGGCATCTTGTTTGTTGCCCTCCAGTCTGACTTTGGCAATTTTCACAACATTAACTTGTCCTTTGGATGAAAGATAAAACCCTCGGTAGTCACTTAGGGCGTGACTTGCATCAGCAGTAATGGTAACTGGAGTTTTGTCCTTACTTCATAAAAGTAAAAAGAAAGCATGGAAATTTTCTAAGGAAGTCCTCGTCAAATATTTATTCAGCTACCTATTGAGTTCTAGGCATTGCTCTCAAGCAGCTTGCAGTCCAGTGACAGAAACAGATAATCAAACAATATATGCCATCAGAAAGCAAGTACAGCATACCACAGGAAAGGGGGAGAAGCCAAAAAAGGTTTGGGACATGACATCTCTGCTGATGCATAAATAATACCTAGAGTTACCCAGTTAAAAGGGTAGAAGATGTCAATGTTCTTAGCAAAAGAAACTGTACATTTAATGGCCTGATCATGACAGAGCATGACACATTGGAAGAACTTAAGGAAGACCCATGTACCTAGAGCGTAAGGTGCAAACTTGCAAACGATGCAACTATAAAATCAGGCAGGAGGCAAAGGTATGGACCTTCTTCTAAAGGCAATGGGAAGCCAATATTAATTTTCTATCAGAATGATCTTCAGGCTTCATTGGAATAATGGCAAGACAATTCAGGTAGACTGAGACTGTTTCAATCAGTCTAGTCAAGAAATAAAAACTGCACCAGTTATTTTAACAAAAATAATTGAATGTAAAGAATTGTTAGCAAGGTATTGGACAATTGGGAGATCCAAAAGGAGATACTGAGATATCATAAGCATAGCAACTACAGGAAGCAGCTACTACTTCAATGGCTGGGAAAACAAAGAGAAGAGGTTGGTATTATTAAAAAGTATAAATTTGGAAAAGGGCCGCTGGAGAGATCAAGCCCAAACCTCTGAGGAGAGGAAGCTGCCTGGCTGGTGCTTATTTCCCAGGAGTTCAGAGGGTCCAGCAAAGCTGGGATTTAGGCTTCCCAGGAGAGGCCAGTTGGCAAGAGCTGATGTCTCCAAGAGACCTCCGTGAGGCAGGTCCTTAGAGTGTTAAAAAAAAGAAAAACTGCAAATAGGAACCAACTGCTGCTACTAGAAGCAAGTGACACTGCCAAGGAGAAGAAGCATTGCTACGTTACAGAAACAGAAAGGAACAAGGCCCTGTTCCTCCTCTAGTTTCACATCTTCTTCCAGCTTCCTCTCTCTCATTGGCAAAGCCTACCGGGGAGCCAACCAGCAAAGGAGAAATGTGGTTTGCAGAGTTCCAGCCCCAGTATCAAAAAGCCAAGTAACAAAGATGACTTTGAGCTGAGAAACAATAGCTTAGTATTCAACACATCAGAGGTTTGCAGGCTTCTGTCTCCATAAATACCTTCCTGACAGCTCTGGGGATAGGACCAAACTGAGAGCCATGGATTTAAGCAAGCTCCAGGGAGAGGGGAGCAAAAAAAGGAGATGAAGCCCACCCAACAGTCAGAATAAGAGGGAGGAATCTGAGCATTCAGAAGATCATGGCAGCCCTATTTCTACTGCCCACTGGAAGGGCACAGCCCAATCGGGGGCAGTCTGAGGCCACATAGAGCAAAGGACAATTTATCCTCAGGGCCTTGCATCTCCATTTACTACTCCCAGTGTGGGGCCCCTTACCAAACTCCAGCTTTTCTAAACAATGGCTCTTTGGTAATCCTGGAATACTTTTAAGTGCCGTTCACCTTACTTCCAGTTTCCTTCTGTGGGGGTCTTTTTTTTTTTTTTTTTTTTTGAGACAAAGTCTAGCTTCATGGCCCAGGCTGGAGTGCAATGGTGCAATCTCCACTCACTGCAACCTCCACCTCCCGAGCTCAAGCAATTTTAGTGCCTCAGCCTCTTGAGTAGCTGAGATTACAGGTGCACACCAAACCACGCCCGGCTACTTTTTGTATTTTTAGTAGAGATGGGATTTCACCATGGTGCCCCCGGCCGGTCTTGAACTCCTGAGCTCAAGTGATCCACCCACCTTGGCTTCCCAAAATGCTGGGATAACAGGCCACAGCCACCGCATCTGGCGAGGGGATCCTCTTCCCTAACCCTTCATGCTTAGGGTGAAGTTCCAATTCAGTTTAGCAGTGGAATATATGACAGCCTTGAGCCAATCAGAACGCCACGTGTTTCTGGCCACGGTGATTGGTTCAGGGTGTTTAGGTGATCCAGTGAAACCCAATGAGACTAAGAAAGGGACTGTTCTCCATCTGAAACTTAAACTGCCATTAAAGAGTAGGGGAACTCCTGCAGCTACATGACAACCACAAGAGGCAAGCTTGTTTGAATATAGGGATGCTACATCAACATGGAGAGCACAAAATCCAGAAATGGGTCCTGGTGCCGTCATTTGAGGTCCAAGCTGTAACTGAAGCCAAACGTACTGTCAGGCCTTTTCAGTAGGGTGATTACTGCATTTCCTTTTTTATTTAAGCCACGTGAAGTGAGATTTTCTTTCACTCACTATGAAAAGATGCAGTCCAAAAAGATATAGCCCCTGTTTCTTGCACTTGTCTCTCTGCTCTTTCCCTATGTGCAAGATAACCTTTCCTTGCCCTGCTTTTAGATCACAGTGCTAGCAGGAACATGACTTCACGCAATAGGAAATAACAATATTAAGCAAATGAAAATTGTTCAGCCTCACTAGCAATCAAAGAAATGCAAATTACAATGATCTCATCCTGATTAGATTGTCTCCCTAAAAAAAAAAAACTTTAAAAATTATAATAGCCAACTCCAACAAAGTTATGATGAAATAGGTACATTTATGCACTGCATGTGATGGTGTAAATTGTGACACCTATTTTGGAAATTGTTTATAATAATCTTGTCAACTCTCTTTTGCCTATAACTGTTACTTAAATCTTGCACTGTGAGTTCTTTACATGTTTTTAGCTCAACTCCCCAAAAAGACAGGAGGTTCCTGGAAGCTCTCATTTTTATAACCATTCAACAACGTTTCAGCCAACAAATATTTACTACCAACTAGAAAGTGGAAACTATGCATAGCAGCTAACATAGGACCAAGCACAGTTGCTGGTGGTCTTGCTGGGAATATATACACTTAAAGGAATGAGAAGTAGAGCCAAGGCTAGCCACAAATGAATCAATCAAGCCTAACCGTAGAATCCCACACAGCTTCAGTAATTATCTAAGACTCGGCCGGGCGTGGTGGCTCACACCTGTAATCCCAGCAAGTTGGGAGGCCGAGGCAGGGGGATCACGAGGTCAGGAGATCGAGACCATCCTGGGTAACACAGTGAAACCCGGTCTCTACTAAAAATACAAACAAACAAACAAACAAAAATTCCAGGTGTGGTGGCACGTGCCTGTAGTCCCAGCTACTCGGGAGGCTGAGGCAGGAGAATTGCTTAAACCTGGGAGGCGAAGCTTGCAGTAAGCCGAGATTACGCCACTGCACTCCAGCCTGGGCGACAGAGTGAGACTCCATCTCAAAAAAAAAATTACCTAAGACTCCTGGGTTTTCACAGAGTCCAAAAATCTTAATCAAAAGACAGCCAGTGGTTGGCCTCAGTTGTTCCTTCATGGAGCCCAAGATTGACCAGAAGAAGGGCTACTTCTCTAGCACCTCAGGATCCTGTCTCCAGCAGCACAGAACACCCTACTGAATACCCTGAATACTCCATGCTGTTTCATGCCTCTGTGCCTTTGACCACCTTCTTCTTTTGTCTGGAATACCACCCTGGCCACCTGATGAATGCATCCTTCAAGACCTATCACAAGCGAGTCCTCCTCTATGATGCTTGCTTGAATCCCCTCCCTCCCTGATTGCAGCTGATGCTGTTACCTGCTCTTATCGTTATCTGTGACACTATCTCATGATTTCAAATACTCATTTACCTGGCTCATATTTTCACAATGCCACACACTCCTTGAGGTTCTCATTCATCTTTCTATGCCGGCATTTATAACAGTGCTGAGCACATAGTATGCTCAATTAATGCTTATTGAGTTGATTGGTAAATAGATTTTAAACTGATCGTACTTGAATGTTTTTGAGAGTTGCAGTCGATGGGACAGGAAAGGTTTATATGTATTTTTGTCCAGCCAATTCTACAAGCTTATGTGTACATGGAGGTACACACACACACACAAACACACACATACCCCCTAGGCCTCATGTGTAACCCTGCTGTGTGTTTCTGAATATTAGCAAAGGGAATACTTGACCAGCTGGAGCCTTTCTCCAGGAATAGCTCCATGCATCAATCAGAAGAGTCTGAGTTGACACCAAGAGGTAAAAATGCTCAGTGTTTTCACCCAAAAGGTGACATTTTGTCTAACAATGTTAATTTTGCACCATAAACACTTTTTATACTACAAAAAAAATCAAAGTAAATGCCTGTCAGGTCGACAATTACAAATGGCAAAGGAGTGATTAATTCCTGCAAGAGTGAACTTGAATTATACCAAAAGACAAGTATTTAAAAAACAATTTGACATAGATTAATTAGCTCTGTGTCTTCATAAAGCAAGATCTTTGTTTGGCTTCAAGTGCACTCCAGTTTCTTTAATGTTAAGTATACAGATTTGCTTTATTTTACTTGCTCAGTTTTTGCCTGAATTTTTATCCTGAATTTTCCATCATTATTTATAGCTCTTCCCACAGTCAAAATGCCTCAGTTTAGGAACACATTTTCACTCATACATGGTTACCAAGTGGATTTCTAGCAGAAGCAACCATTTGAAAATAAGAAGAGAAAATACAGGTGTACGTCACCTAAAGAAATTCATGAAGGTACTGCCTCAAACTACAGCTGTACAGAACTAAAAAATTATGCACTTTTAAAAATTGTTCCTCATAAATTCCTTAAATTACCTACTTTTGTTGAACTTTGTTCCTAGGGAAAAATAAATAAATAAATCTTTTTTTTTTTTTTTGAGACAGGGTCTGGCTCTTTTGCCCAGTCTAGAATCCAGTGGTGTGATCTCAGCTCACTGCAACCTCTGCCTCCTGGGCTTAAGTGATCCTTCCATCTCAGCCTCCCAAGTAGCTGAGACCACAGATGTATGCCACGACACCCAGTTAATTTTTGTATGCTTGGTAGAGATGGGGTTTCACCATGTTGCCCAGGCTGGTCTCAAACTCCTGAGCTCAAGCAATCCACCTGCCTCGGCCTCCCAAAGTGCTGGGATTGCAAGCATGAGCCACTGCACCCAACCAGAAATAATTCTTAAAATTAAAAAAAAAATAGACAAATTAGCCAGGTGCAGTGGCTCATACCTATAATCCCAACATTTTGGGAGGTCAAAGCTAAAGGACCACTTGAGGCCAGGAATTTGAAACCAGCCTGGACAACATAGCAAGATCCTGTCTCCAAAATAAAAAATTTTAAAAATTAGCCAGGCCATGGTGGTGTGCACCTGCAGTCCTAGCTACTCAGGAGGCTGAGGTGAGAGAATGGCTTGAGCCCAAGAGTTTGGGGCTGGAGAGAGCTCTGATCATACCACTTCACTCCAGCCCAGTTGAAAGAGTGAGACTCTATCTCCAAAAAACTTAAATTAAAATTATAAAAATTGAAAAATTAGAGTATCTATGTACTGAAACACTCTATAGACTTTACAAATGATGTTGGAGAAGAATATATAACAGTTGGGAAGATGGTCTTGATATAGTGATAGGGAGGGAGCAAATCACAAGCAATATTTTGAGGCAGCAAAAATCATGATTATGAGCATGGATTCTCAAGCCACACTGCCTTGGTTCAAATCCCAGTCCTATCACTCACTAGCTGTATGACATCAGGCAAGGTAGTTAATCTTCTAGTGCCTCTGTTTCCTCCTCTGTAAAATGAGGGCAAATACTAGGACCTAGAGCATAAATTTGTTGTGAGAATTAAATCAATATAAATAAATACACACAAATAAAGTACTTAGTACCCGAAACATAGTAAGTGCAACAAAACTTTGGTTCTTGTTAACATTTACAGTATATTTCTGTTTTTAAACACAGTGTATGAACATATTGTACATAAGAAAAATATCTTGGAAGTATATGCCTCAAAATATTAGCCAAGATTGTCTCAATGGGATTAAGGGTAATTTGGGGGAGGGGGCAGTCTTTATGTTTATTTTTCACTTTTCTAAAATAAAGATGCATGATTTTTAAAATATTTTAATGTTGATAATTGTTAATGAAATTTATTTTTCTTATGTGCTTTTGCTTTTAAAATATGTTATTAATAAAACACCATGTTTAAAAAGATGTATAATGTATTACAATAAAATATAATGTACAGCTTCAGACTTTGCTGGAAATTAAGTACAAATTTATTGTATTTGAAGAATTTGAAGTCCACGGTATGAAGTAAGGTATGACTGTAGTTTTTGACTGTTGTTTTGTTTTGTTTTTTAATAATTTATTTCATGGATTCAACTTTCCTATATGACATTCAGAAATGTCATTCGTTTGTTCACTTCACAAATATTTTTAGTGACTACTGTGTGAATAGAATGCACAAAAATCACGCTTTCATATTATGTAACATACTAGAAGACAATAATTGCATCCAAAGGAAAAAAAAAAAAGGAAAGAGTGGCAGGAATTGGGCAGAGGGACAAAGGGGAACAGAGAAGAGCCAGCTACAATGTTTAAAGGGTAGTCATGCTAAGCCTCAGTGAGTATTCACTAACGCCAGAACTGATGAAAAGCCCTTTGAGAAACACAAATACAAGTATTCCATCACCCCCCACATAGTTATTGGACACTTAGAACATGTCAGGTCCTCGGCTGGTTACTACGGATTCAGTAGTGTCCCAAAAAGTCATGGGTCATGCCTTACTTTGCAAAGTATAAAATCTTATGGTCAAACATCACTAACAAGTAAAGAAAAAGATATAAATAATTACAGATTATCCTAAGCATGTTGAAGGAAACAAACAGGTACAGGGAGGGGAGCTACCCCTTTAGAGCAGTTGGAGATGCTCTCTCTGTAGAGGTGACATGAATGCCAAGACCTGAAAGATGAGAATAAGTCAGTCACGTCAAGAGGCAGAAGAAGAGCTGCTTAAGTACAGCAAAGAACGTGCGCAAAAGCCCTGAGGCAGAAAAGAGCTTGGTGCATTCAAAGCCCTGAAGGAGGCCTGAATGACTAGAGGCTAGTGGACTAGGAAGCAATTGGTAGGGAAGGGAGAATAAGGTAGAGAGAAGCCAGCTAATGCACAAAATCAGACTATATCACTTTTTTAGAAGAGAAATGTGGTCTTGGTCAATTTCCAGTGCCACCTCCAACCTGCTCTTCTTCCTTGAGTTGTCCCATGACATCACCCTTGCCCAGGAGAATTCAGGTCCTGGCTCAGAGTCTCTTGTGGAATTGCAGTGAAGCTTGCAGGTAGGCTGCAATGATCTGAAGGCTTCACGGGGTCTTGGGCATCTGCTTGCAAAATGGCTCGTTTACACAGCTGGGGGCACAAAGTCTCTGTCCCTGCTTAGGTGGGCCCTTCCACAGGACCCTCACAACATGGCAGCTGGCTTCTCCCCAGAATGAATGACCCAGAGTGAGCAAGGAGGAAGCTGCAATGTGTTTTATAACGTAGCCTCAGGAGTAACATATCACCACTTCTACCATAGTCAACTGATCACATAGACTGACTCTGATATAATATGGGAGGGGACCACACAAAAGCATAAATATCAGAGGGGGGAGAATCACTGGGGTCCATTTTAGCTAACCCTGGCTAGCTAATTAACTATGTTAACATATGTGAAAGTTTAATCTTCAAGCTTATATGTATGTGTGCATATGTGTATCTCGATATAACTCTTTCTAAATATGCATATATAAATATAACTCTATATATATCTAAAACTTGAAAATCATGTATATATGGCTTAGTATAGTTTCTGGCACATAGTGAGCAATAAATAATAGCTTTTTTTTTTTTTTTTTTTTTTTTTACCAGTGTTGCTCATAAAATAGCCATTTGCCAGTTTAGCAGCCACTTCTGTGCCTCTCCCTTCTCAAAGTATTTCACCTCTTTAAGAGGGCTCCTGAGACAGGCACTGCTTGACACAAAAATATCACACATCTAATGGTGAAAATTTCATAATTCCAAGATTCAGGAATTATGGTCCCTTCCAAGCACATATACCTCAGAGACACCTTTCATTCGTTCGTTCATTCATTAATTTATTCACCAATATGTCTTTGACCTACCTAAACATTCCAGAATTACTTCCTTATCTCTAAAATATCTTTTTGAGATAGGGTCTCACTCTGTCACCGAGGCTGTAGTGCAGTGATCTCTGCTTACTGAACCCTCGATCTCCCAGTCTCAAGTGATCTTTCCACCTCAGCCTCTTGAGTAGCTGGGACCACAGGTGCATGCCACCACACCTGGCTAATTTTTTTGTATTTTTTGTAGAGACGGAGTTGCACCATGTCGCCCAGGCTGGTTTGGAACTCTTGAGCTCAAGTGATCTGCCCACCTCGGCCTCCCAAAGTGCTGGGATTACAGGTGTGAACCACCACACCCAGCCATCTCTAAAATATTTGAAAAAATCATTACAGTTCTTAACATTCCCAGCAATTTGTTGAGAACTCCAAGACTCATCAATAAAAGAATTAATTCTTTAATTTCAAAAATAGAATGCATACAGTATGTACTAAAAAATAGTATATATTCAGACCACTTTTGGTAATAAAGGCTGGAAGAAGCCAAGACAGGAAGAATAAATCAGAGTAAGCAAATGATAGAGGCAGGGGGTACTGATCAAGCAACAAAGTGGATGTAGGAAAGAGAGGAAAATTATATATATATATATATATATATATATATATATATATATATATATATACACACACACACATATATATATGTATATATACCTGACATATATATATACACACACATAGGCACACATACAATATAAATAAATACCTGATCAATAATATAAGACATATATTTGACTGGTATGGTATACATATGTGTGATATATGTAGATAGATAGAGACATAGATACAGGCATCCCTGTGTGCAAGTCTTGCCTGGAGTGCTATTCATGCTTCTCCTCATTTAATCTCACAGCAACCCTGGGAGTCAGTGCATTCACAGGTGAGCAAACTCAACGAGGCTAAGAAACTTGCTGAAGGTCTTACAGCTTGGATTTGAACCCATATATGTCTGGCTCCAAAGCCTATGTGTACCAGCAGGGGTCAGCAAACTAACCACCTATGGGCCAATTCTCTCTGCTGCCTGCTTTTATAAATAAAGTTCAGTTGCCACAAGCCAACAGCATTTCTCTACGCCATGTTTATGCTGCTTTTATGCTAGCAGAGTAGAGGTCAGTAGTGACAACAGAGACTCTATGGCCTGCAAAGCCTAAAATATTTACTTTCTGCTTCATTACAGAAAAAGTTTCCTGACCCTCTACTCTTTATCATCATCTTATCTGAGAAACTAACTTGAAGATTTGGGGGAAATTGTCATAAATGCAGTCCATTTCGATAAGAAAAGTCTCTTGGGTGTGGTTGTGTCTCCTTACACAGTTTAAATCTATGGTCAGTTGGGAAATGGAGACTGTGCCTTTAAGGTTTAAAGCATTTAATGCTTGAGAATTACAAGAAGACATTTTGTGACATTTGAAGCTGTTTCGATTTCAGCTGCCTGTTATCTGACACTCCAAAATAAAATCACTAAAAATTTGCAGCCTACTTACTTCAAAGCTTACATATGAGAACTGTGATTGTCCTAATGTCCCTCAAAAAAAATATATATATATATATACATGAAGTTACGGTTTGCAAGGCAATTCAAAACATAAATGCAAGCTCTTTGGTATTATTATTAACTAAAAATATCATTCAGTCCTCTTTGCAAGCTCCAAAATATGAATTTCTATTATAAAGCTATAGAAAGTTTAGATTTCAATTCCAATTCATAAAACCTCATATATTTATTCATTCGGAAAATTCTGACTGAGGACCTACTATATATCAGGCAATGCTATTGTTTACAGAATGGTTATTTGTCAGGTACCAATTGCCTTACCTGTAGTATACATTCATCACCAATGATATTTTAACTTTTAAATGAGATTTAAGAACAGCTATGTCCCTATTATCTTGGAGCTTATAGTCTACAGGAGAAGAGAGAACTCAAATAAACACAAGTAACTAAATATATCATTACAAAATTGTCTTAGTCAGTTTGGGCTGCTATAACAAGTACTAGAGATGACTGGGTGGCTAACAAGCAACAGAATCTTATTTCTCACAGTGCTGGAGGCTGGGAAGTCCAAGATCAAGGTGCCAGCCAATTTATGTCTGTTAAGGGCCCACTTCCTGGCTCATAGAACAGTGCCGTTTCGCTGTGTCCTCACCTGGTAGAAGGGGCAATGCAGCTGTCTGAGCGTTCTTTAATGATGGCATGTATCCCATTCAAAGGAGTTTCATTCTAATGATCTAATCACCTCCCAAAGGCCCCACCTGTTTGTTGTTTGTTTGTTTGTTTGTTTGTTGAGATGGAGTTTCACTCTTGTCACCCAGGCTGGAGTTCAATGGTGTGATCTCAGCTCACTGTAACCTCTGCCTCCTGGGTTCAAACAATTCTCCTGCCTCAGCCTTCCAAGTAGCTGGGATTACAGGCATGCGCCACCATGCCCGGCTAATTTTTTTAGTTTTAGTAGAGACGAGGTTTCGCCATGTTGGCCAGGCTGGTCTCGAACTCCTGACCTCAGGTGATCCACCCGCCTCAGCCTCCCAAAGTGCTGGGATTACAGGCGTGAGCCACCGCACCTGGCCAGCCTCACCTCTTTATACCGTCATCACCTTGGGGTTTAGCAATTCAACATAAGAATCTTGGGAGAAACACAAACATTCGGTCCATACCAGCAGAATGTGTGAAGAATAGAGTTCTAAGAAAGATAGTAACAGCGTACCTAGTTCCTTTTGGAAGACTGGGAATGCTTCCTGGGGTAAGAGACATCTGAGATGGGACCCAGAGATGGAGCAGGGCAAAGCTATGTGAATTATTTGAGGAAGAGGAGCCTTGCTGCAATGTTCACATGTCAGAACGCTGAGGATTTGGGAAAACTGGGACCAGTGTATAATACCTAACATTTGCAAGTTGGATATTAGTATTATTATTACACTTCTGTACACACACACATCACACACGCACACACATCCCAATTTACAAATGGGCAAACTAAGGGTAGGAGAACTGCAGAGTCATCCATTTGCCAGGTAAATGACAAATCTGAGGGTCATACCTAGGCTGACTCCAGGGGCCAGAGCTTTCCACTGACCCATGATTTGCATCTCTTCCCTGCTCATTGACATTGATGAAATAGGAAAACCCTTGCACCACAGCCTTCTTCCCATTTCAGTTTGTGTGACACTGGGGTATTTTTAAAAGAAACTGATTTCAGAGCCATATGATTTTGCTTTAAGATTTCCAAATCCAAAGAGAAGAAATGTCAAAAGCTGTCATTTAAACTAAGCGTGGCCCCAGACTCTCCAGCTCTCCAGCAACCCACTTACCCTACCCTTAATAGCACAGCTGCCGCACAAATTTCTTTTCTGGAAAGAAAACATCACCATCAATCCTTTGTATTCTTGGGGATTCCAAAAACAGACCCTGGTGTTTGGTGTTTCTCGCTTCTTTTGGTTTCCTGGTCCCAAAGGGGTCACTAACTTCCTGGGGATGTAACACCAAGTTCAGAAAGCTGAATATAAGTTCTGCAACTTCCTGAAATTTCCCAACTGAAAAACAATTTTCCTTTTAGAGCAACCACAGACATGGATAAGCACAGTCACATATCTCTCTGTGGTCACTTAATTCCCTCTTAATAGGTGAGGAAAAATGGTTGGAGTGGAGTGATGTAACCTCTGCAAGCCTAACAGACATTTAGACTATATTCTCAAAGTGTCATCAGAACCCAGTGGTTTTTCTGGTCATCAACAGCATCCCCCCCAACTTTCCATCGCCCCTAGACATCAACCTGTAATGATTTTAGGACCCACAGACCTAGATTCAAATCCCCAATCCTCAACACATGAACTACATGACCTCGGGCAACTTCAGTGATGTATGTGAATCTCAGTTTACCAAATCCATGTACTCAAAAAAATATCAACTTACTTTCCTAAATCCCTTTCCCCCCCACCACTCTCAACATGGAAGATTGATATGCTGCTGGTTTTCACCAGCAAGGTAGAAGCATTTATAAAAATATTAAATATTATCTGTAGTTTTCATAAATAGCCACTGCCAATATCACCAGAATCTCTCCATAATCTAGCAACAAAAGGGTTAATAACTGGCACATCTGGGACCTCTAGGACCCACAGCTGGTATCATTTCTTATTGGTAGATGCCCAAGACAGTCAAAGTACCCAAAAGTATCTGTCCTTGCTGCCCACCACAGGTTCTCCCAGGGGTCCCCAAGGACCAGCCACGCTCCCTCTATGTATTCGTCTCGGCCCTGGGGATCCCTGAGTGAACACTACCAGACTATATGGGAGCATCCAACTCACTGTAGCTCACAAATACCAATATCGGTTCCACCTGCCACAGTGTGTCCTAATGTGGCAAAAGCAGTATGGGGAATACCTTTGGCAGTGCATCTAACACCCAGGTGAGCAAGCCCCTCCATGGCCATACGGACCACAGAGACTATGGCTGCCCATCTCAGGCCAGCATGCCATAGAATTATCTCTGTGTGACCACTTGTGGAAATTACAGCCACTGGGAGCCAGGCTCTGAGAGGACCAGAGAAAGATGAGGACAGCAGATGGTCAAGTCAGGAGATATTAGGTGCCACTGCAGGCTCAGGCCAGTGGCCGAAGGCTTCAACTCCATGGATGGCAATTCCAAGAGAGAAGAGTACTTTTTGAGAGTCCTATAATTACTGTGATTCTCCCCATTTCACAGACTAAGAAACTGAGGAACAAAGAGATTATTTAAAATGTAGGTGACAGAGTCTGAATCCAAACCCAGGCACCTTGGCAACAGAGGAAGCATGCTTAACCTTCACACCGACTGCACTGCCTCTCATTTGACCCAAAGTATACTTTCAACTTAATTAAAAATGACATTCCAGTAAATGATTTTCATGGCATAGTTGATAAGAGAGAATTTGACCATATAAAAATTTTAGACAACATTATAAAATCTAGAAAAAAATTAATGTAATTGCTTAGTTCAGCAGAAGCTGAAAAAGGCCTCAGGACCCTGAACAATAGTATTGATTTTAAAAAGAAATTCTCTATTTTTTGAGAATGCAAGTCTCCTAATGACTATCGACCAACAAATGAGCAAAGAGGTTGGTGGAGGAGTTTGATGTAATTCCCTGTGTCAAACCACAAGGTGTCACTTAGCATTTGACAACTATGCCATCAACAAATCACAGCAACAATTTCTAAAAATCAATAAATGACCTGTAAATCATTATCTTTTTAATGAACTATGTGCATTTCAGCTTGTATCACTTGGTAAGCAGTTTAATAATTTAGATTAGAGAATTATAAAATATACATTGAAGGCCGGGCGCAGTGGCTCACCCCTGTAATCCCAGCACTTTGGGAGGCCAAGGTGGGCAGATCACCTGAGGTCAGGAGTTCAAGACCAGCCTGACCAATGTGGTGAAACCCTGTCTCTACTAAAAATACAAAATTAGCCGGGCGTGGTGGCACATGCCTGTAATCCCAGGTACTCGGGAGGCCAAGACAGGAGAAATGCTTAAACCTGGGAGGTGGAGGTTGTGGTGAGCTGAGATCATGCCATTGCACTCCAGTCTGGGCAATGAGCAAAACTCTGTCTCAGGAAAAAAAAAAATATATATATACACACACACACATATATATATATTTAATGTTTTTATTAATATATTGATTTATACATTAGCGTATTACTGTAATGCTTAAGTATTTTTAATGCCATCCCTATAAACACTTATAAAAAGGATATTTTCATAAGTATGTATGAGAGTGAGCTAGCAAATTTATGATCATCTGAGTATGGTGTTCAAGCACCACTACTTTGCACAAAACAGCCCTTCAAATCTAGTCATCACACAGACCACTCCTTGTCTCATCTGTGTCTGAAGGTAGAATCATGCACAGAGAAATAGGACATCAAGATAAAAGTAAAGGAACTATAGTAGATGGGTTAAATGTGTTTTTCTTTTCTCTGTTTCTTTTTTCTTATTTTGGCTCTTGGATCCCTCCTTGGGGAAATCAACAATTCCCTACTTCATGTGGTCCTTGCAAAATGCATCAGGATGCTTTCTTTGACATAAATTAAGAAAGAAAGAAAAAAACTCTGACAGCTAGCTTAAAATCTCACACAAGAAGGCAAGAGGTAAAGCAATTCAATGACATTCGGGTCTTCTGTTCTCTAACTAGTTAAGAAACTTGCCTGAAGCACCCCCATGCCCAGCAGACTTCCAATTCATGTTTTGTGTCAATTGGCCAAAATGAGGTCACAAAAATTTGGCTGCTTCTAAACCAAGAAGCACATAGGGAAAGGAATTATCTTAAGTGATACAGACTAATCAAGACTCCCTACCTACCAGGGCACCCCTAATAAAACTTCAGCAGCCAAAAGTCAGAGAAGATACCACTTCTATGTGGGCTTGAGTTCCACAATCACTAGAAAAAAATGTTAAAGGTAGATCTTAAGGAGGAAAGAAAGTCATTTAGCAGATTGATATATAATTATTTCCCTTTCTATTAAAACACAGCAAATACTATCAAATAAAGCAATTACTCAACTCTCAACCCTAACAAAAATGCACACTAGACATGCAAACAGAAAGCTGGGTCCAAGTTGGAAGCTAGATTCACCATTTACTGGTCTGTGCAGCACCCATTGGCCATCAAGTGTCAAGTATACTAAGTCTTTGGAAGAAGCCAGACAAATTACCAAGCAAACACAATCTATTCAGAGCAGAGAGTTAGTAATATTAATTGTATCAGATAGGAATTTTTATGCAAAGTGTTTAAAACTCAGCTGAAATGCCTTAAGCAATTGATCCAGAGTCAGAGTGGGCTTTAAGTGAACTTCGTTGATTCAGCAGTTTAGACATTATTACCAAATACCCTTGATGTCTCATCTTCCTTCTGTCTCTTAGCTCTCCCTTCCATAGGGATTGTTCCATCATCAGATTCCATGTGGTAGACATGCCCCAAATACACACAGTAGCTTCAGCTTTACTCTTATGACAACCAAATAGCTGCCCCAGTTTCAAGCCACACATGCTAACCCTAAATGCTCCAGGGAAAAGAAAATGTCAGTTCCAACAGCACATAGCCAGGTCTTGGGATCCCTTTCATTGTCTTGAAATGGGACATTTGACTAAACCCAAACTAATAACTGCAGCTAGGGAAAGAAGATATAAATTGGCTTAGGTCCATTACAGTCTAATCCTTG